>NC_000005.10:50734807-51359807 GCF_000001405.40 Homo sapiens | reverse complement strand
GATTTATAATTTTAATTCTCTTTAATAGTAAAGAGATTTTTCCCAACATTTAAGGATGTTCTCCAAAGCATATAACTTTTGCAATATGTGCTTCATGGGTTCATATACAAAATTGAACCGTGAAGATAGGGAGTGCAATGATAGATGCTAGAGGCTGGGAAGCATAGTGGGGAGAGAAGCATAGAGGGGGAGAAAGTGGTGATGGTTAATGGTACAAAAATACGGTTAGATAGAGTGAATAAGATCTAGTGTTCAGTAACACAGTAGGGTGACTATAGTTAACAACAATTTATTGCATATTTAAAAGTAACTAAAGGAGTAAAATTGGAATGTTCTTAACACAAAGAAATGATAAAGGCCTGAGGTGATGGATACCACAATACCCTGATTTGATCATCACACATCATATTCCTCTATAAAAAACTCACATATGTCTCGTAACTGTATACAATTATTATGTATCCATAATTAAAAATTAAAATTAAAATAAAAAATTAAAAGAGGAATGCCTACATTCCTATTGGAAAAAATGAGAATTGATTCAAGGAACTTACACTTTTCTATCATTTGAACACATTGAGGATATTACTAAGTACACATAATATAATATGAATTTCTTTCACAGACCATGAAGACTGTGTCTCTTTTAGCTGTAAATAGGGCTTATATTATCCAGAGAAATATTGAATTCATTCGCTGTTAGTAGATGTCACAGTTTTTTTAGTTGCATAATTTAATTGCTATTTATTTTTAGAAACATGAGGTATTTCAAAGTACTGAAAGATGCAGCACTAAATATATACATTTTGAAGAACTTAAACACAGAACTTTTCATTTATCCAGTTCTACACACCAAACATAAGCAAATACATGAACAGGAAGAAACAGGCTAAGAAAAAGGCATATATATATATATATTTCTTTACAAAAATTTCTTAGTTCAAAAAGTGAGAAAGTGATATCTACTCAAAACTTTCACAACTCATTTTCATACAAAAATGTAAGTATCAAATTTAGTTATGTATCAGCGTCATACTAAGGTATACAGGCAGTGTAAGAATTAGCACAGTACATAGCAGAGATTAACAATATATTTGTATACAAAACATGCTCCTCAAACATTGAGGTATTATTACAGTTCTTAGGTATGAACTTCCAGTCTAATACTGGCCGCAAAAGCCACCTCTCATTACCCAAAACTTATACAAAAGGCGGATGTGTCAATGGTATTTACAGAAATGTTCCCCAGGGGTATCAAATTGCAAACCCCTTACGTGCCATCTGCTGGAACTTAAGCATCATTATAAAAGAAGGAATGACTTTCTGTTGTTTGGAAACTTGGAACACACAAGGTGACTTCAACAGCCCAGAGGCTCCCAACTGTCACACACTTCTACCGCTGTCATGGAGGTGAGGTGGAGGAGGCCGCAGGGCCACCCAGCATCCGGGGATGCAGGCTCTCTGAGGTCCCAGCAGAACCTCACACCGGTGGTCTTGCTCCCCAGCAGAACTTGACAGGGGACCTATTTGAAAGTAAACCAAAGATGTCACAGTTTGAGTCCCCTCTGAAGCAGACATTGAAATGGAAGATTAGTATGAAGGCATTTCATTAGAGTGTCCTTTGGAAAGGAAAGGAGGCAGGATTGGGCAGGGAGAGAATTTAGGCAGTGTCTTTGTTGATACAAATGCAACAAAGGCCTCAGCCATCCTCTTGGTAGCTCTAAGCTGGAATGGCCCTTCTAGGTTTTCCCAAATTTCGAAGAGGGGTTCTAGACTTTACAGCCCCATGTTTACTAGGCACTGGATTTGGGCTTCTGTGAGAGGTAAGGCAGTTCTCTTCAGCCAGTGGTAATTCTAAAACGGGCTAAGCACATGTCTGAAAACCTTCAACAAACTTCTCAGAAGCTGGACAATCATTTTCTCAGTTCTGAAGGGAGAATTTGGGCAGGACATCACAGTATCTCTGACAATCCAACCCTTCAGCTACTTGACTCCACTTTATATATACGGCTAATTGATTTCTTCATTGTGCACTCTAAGGGCCTCTTTTCCTCAGGGAAACCAATATGAGAAAGTTTAGTGGAGGATCCACAGCATTTGCTGCTGCAGCTGGTCTCAGAGCTGCCACTGAAACAGCATCTCTCTTCCCTACTATCTGTTCTAGAGTGCCTCATGTTCAGTTAGCAACCCTGCTAGTCTAGATGGTTATTTAGTTGGTTGACCAATATCCTCATCTCGGGGGGTCCACGCTGCTGGTTACCATGCTCTTTTGAGGATACTGCACTTGTCCATTTGCCGTTGACATTGGACGAGGGGGTGCCAAGAAACATTCCAGTTGACCACCTGAGTGCCAAACATAATCCTTCTTGTCCCCATTGTATAACAGCAGCCCTGCCTCCTCTTGATAATCTGAGTTAATTGCTCCCTCCAGGCTGAAAATTTTTCTTTTTGTTTGTTGGTACCTTGGTACAAGGAATACATAGTGTCCAGGCAAGAGTTGTAGCTTAAAGTGCAATGAGACTGTTTCTGTGTTCCCCAGTGACAGGATTGCAGAGCCAGGAAATGTGAATTTCTCAAGTGAGTCACTGAGAATGATGGTAAGCAGGGCTACTCCTGCTTCTAGCATTTCATTCCAGGCCTGTGTATTCTATCTACTGGAATCTTTGCACTATACAATAGTAATTGATTTAGTGTGGATATGTGTCCTGAAACATAACACCTGTCTTTGGAGGGTATCATCCCTAAACTAACACCTCAGCTGTACCTGTAATAGGCCATTAAATTCTCTATGCGGATATCAGCTACTGTGGTGATAGGACCAGTAGATTTTATGGTCATGTGCTCACTGTCACACCAGCTTTGCTATAAAGAGGGCCCATAGGTCTGATGCAAAGTTATAGGAGATGATGTGCCAGCATATAAAACATTTTGTAAGTCCCTGGATAGCAGTGGCTAGTTGAGGCTCTGTGGATAAGAATGTCACACCCACAATTAGAATATGTGTCAGTTACTGACAAAATAAATCACTGCCCCTTCCTGGGATAAAAAGGATCAAATGTAATAGACTTGTCACCAAGTGGCCAGCTTGTTTCCTTAAGGGACAGTGCCATATTAGATGCTTAGTACTGGTCTTTGTTGCCAGCAGGTTGGAATTTTGCAGCAGTAATGGTTATTAGCATTGGTGAATGTGAAGCTACCTTGTCTAGCCCCTGCTTAGCAACTATTCCTACCTCTCTGGCTATTACATTTGTGCAGTCATTGTACCAGCACTGTGATGGTTGATGACAGATGTTGACTATATCAGCTGGCTGAATAATTCTATGTGTCTGGTTGTTCATTGTTCTTTCTATGGTGGTGGATGTTCTCAGGATCAACACTTCTGGGAAGAATAAATGAAGCAGGATTGAGGTGAATTAGATACAGTCACAATAGGGTCTTAGCTGACCCCAGGAGGGGCTTGAAGTTTTAAACCGATTTATGCCTGGTGTTCCATTATTGGAAAGCTAAGCTTGTGGGAGTTATTTATATCCTACTGCTCAAAGTCATCTCCAAGGTTTGATTTTTCACACAAGAAAATTTGCAACCTCCAGCATAAATGGGTTAATGGCTCTTCAGAATTTCCCAGAGTTGAGAAAAGAGAGCTTGACCTTTATAACACAGAATCAATGAGTCACTGGGTTCAGGCTGCTCTGGGAAGGGGAGAATAACCTTAGGTAAGGTGATTCTTTTTAGCCCATTCCACTGAGCTCCCAATTAACCTGCATTATGTATCCCAATACATTTTAGATAGATGAGAATGGAATCACTTCCATCGAGGATTGGGATCTGACTAAACAGGTCTGAGACCTATGCTATCTGACAGACTATTTTTGGGAATTAGGTCCGTTTGACAAGTTCCTGGCCACCAGTTGTAAAAGAACTGACCATTCATTTCCTGAATGTTGATAATCATGTACACAGGGAACTCTCCCTGGTGCGGCTTAAACACTTGACCAAAGACTCCCTGCTTTGTTTGATCTTGTGAATATGCTCGTCTGATCTGTTTCTAGTGTATCTTGCTTACAAGGTTATTTATCTTGCTTCATTCCAATCTCAGCAAATCTCTTGAAAAAGTCCTGTTGCAGTTGTGACCTGATGTGATTCTAAACATATGCTGAGTTCTAGTTGTCACCTGGAACCACCACCCAATGACCAACTCATTCTATATTCTCTTAGTACAAAGAATTCATTTATTGAAAACTAAAATTATATGCATTATTCTTTGGAATATGATAAGATTCATTTTATTAAAGTACAAGTTTGATCAATAAGGAGATTTGGGCTAGTAAATAAAACTAGAAGATCAAAATGCCTGCTAAACTCTAAGTAGAATAATTGTTCAGGATTTTACACAGAAGGAACAAAAGTATATATCAAACTAAATGAGTCAGAATTAACATGTTAGGGTACACTCTCTTCCTTCACATGTCATGCCCTCCTTTCAGTTCTATAGGATAAAGACAAGTCTTGTAGGAAGGAGGGGTGATGATGAGCAGACACCATTTCCTACTCTTTGGGTTTTGTTGAGAATTGAACTAAGTGTGGATACATAGTTATGTTTTGTTAGTATCTGTGAGGAGAGAATTCATAGTTTTTATACCATAGCAATTTAGATAAAAGAAATCTATATTCTATACAGTGCTTATACTCTTGAAGTAGATATAAGAATAACATCAGTGTAATTCACAGTTGCTATGAGAGTAAAGAGAAATGATCTATCTCATCTGTTTAGGTACATAAGGAAAATCTTCACAAAGAACTTACTCTAATTCTTGGGAAAGAACCGATTTCTGCATTCAAGAATCATATGATTGCAACATTTTTTAATGTCATTCATTACCAATATGGATTTAGCTCCCCACTTCATCAAGTGAACAGCCATTACTCCATGTATATATCTGTAACAACTAGATTGAAATATCTTTTCAGATTAAGAACCACTTTTCTTTTTCTTTTTATTATACTTTAAGTTTTAGGGTACGTGTGCACAATGTGCAGGTTAGTTACATATGTATATATGTGCCATGTTGCTGTGCTGCACCCATTAACTCATCATTTAACATCACGTATATCTCCTAATGCTATCCCTCCCCCATCCCCCTACCCCACAACAGGCCCCAGTGTGTGATGTTCCCCTTCCTGTGTCCATGTGTTCTCATTGTTCAATTCCCACCTATGAGTGAGAACATGCGGTGTTTGGTTTTTTGTCCTTGCGATAGTTTGCTGAGAATGATGGTTTCCAGCTTCATCCATGTCCCTACAAAGGACATGAACTCATCATTTTTTATGGCTGCATAGTATTCCATGGTGTATATGTGCCACATTTTCTTAATCCAGTCTATCATTGGTGGACATTTGGGTTGGTTCCAAGTCTTTGCTATTGTGAATAATGCCGCAATAAACATACGTGTGCCTGTGTCTTTATAGCAGCATGATTTATAGTCCTTTGGGTATATACCCAGTAATGGGATGGCTGGGTCAAATGGTATTTTTAGTTCTAGATCCCTGAGGAATCGCCACACTGACTTCCACAATGGTTGAACTAGTTTACAGTCCCACCAACAGTGTAAAAGTGTTCCTATTTCTCCACATCCTCTCCAGCACCTGTTGTTTCCTGACTTTTTAATGATTGCCATTCTAACTGGTGTGAGATGGTATCTCATAGTGGTTTTGATTTGCATTTCTCTGATGGCTAGTGATGATGAGCATTTTTTCATGTGTTTTTTGGCTGCATAAATGTCTTCTTTTGAGAAGTGTCTGTTCATGTCCTTCGCCCGCTTTTTGATGGGGTTGTTTGTTTTTTTCTTGTAAATTTGTTTGAGTTCATTGTAGATTCTGGATATTAGCCCTTTGTCAGATGAGTAGATTGCAAAACTTTTCTCCCATTCTGTAGGTTGCCTGTTCACTCTGATGGTAGTTTCTATTGCTGTGCAGAAGCTCTTTAGTTTAATTAGATCCCATTTGCCAATTTTGGCTTTTGTTACCATTGCTTTTGGTGTTTTAGACATGAAGTCCTTGCCCATGCCTATGTCCTGAATGGTATTGCCTGGGTTTTCTTCTAGGGTTTTTATGGTTTTAGGTCTAACATTTAAGTCTTTAATCCATCTTGTATTAATTTTTGTATAAGGTGTAAGGAAGGGATCCAGTTTCAGCTTTCTACATATGGCTTGCCAGTTTTCCCAGCACCATTTATTAAATAGGGAATCCTTTCCCCATTTCTTGTTTTTGTCAGGTTTGTCAAAGATCATATGGATGTAGATATGAGGCATTATTTCTGAGGGCTCTGTTCTGTTCCATTGGTCTATATCTCTGTTTTGGTACCAGTACCATGCTGTTTTGGTTACTGTAGCCTTGTAATCTAGTTTGAAATCAGGTAGCATGATGCCTCCAGCTTTGTTCTTTTGGCTTAGGATTGACTTGGCAATGCGGGCTCTTTTTCGGTCCCATATGAACTTTAAAGTAGTTTTTTCCAGTTCTGTGAAGAAAGTCATTGGTAGCTTGATGGGGATGGCATTGAATCTATAAATTACCTTGAGCAGTATGGCCATTTTCATGATATTGATTCTTCCTACCCATGAGCACAGAATATTCTTGCATTTGTTTGTGTCCTCTTTTATTTCATTGAGCAGTGGTTTCTAGTTCTCCTTGAAGAAGTCCTTCATGTCCCTTGTAAGTTGGATTCCTAGGTATTTTATTCTCTTTGAAGCAATTGTGAATGGGAGTTCACTCATGATTTGGCTCTCTGTTTGTCTGTTATTGGTGTATAAGAATGCTTGTGATTTTTGCACATTGATTTTGTATCCTGAGACTTTGCTGAAGTTGCCTATCAGCTTAAGGAGATGTGGGGCTGAGGTGATGGGGTTTTCTAGGTATACAATCATATCATCTGCAAACAGGGGCAATTTGACTTCCTCTTTTCCTAATTGAATACCCTTTATTTCCTTCTCCTGCCTGATTGCCCTGGCCAGAATTTCCAACACTATGTTGAATAGGAGTGGTGAGAGAGGGCATCCCTGTCTTGTGCCAGTTTTCAAAGGGAATGCTTCCAGTTTTTGCCCATTCAGTATGATATTGGCTGTGGGTTTGTCATAGATAGCTCTTATTATTTTGAGGTACGTCCCATCAATACCTAATTTCTTGAGAGTTTTTAGCATGAAGCGTTTTTGAATTTTGTCAAAGGGCTTTTCTGCATCTATTGAGATAATCATGTGGTTTTTGTCGTTGGTTCTGTTTATATGCTGGATTACGTGTATTGATTTGCATATGTTCAACCAGCCTTGCATCCCAGGGATGAAGCCCACTTGATCATGGTGGATAAGCTTTTTGATGTGCTGCTGGATTCGGTTTGCCAGTATTTTATTGAGGATTTTTGCATCGATGTTCATCAGGGATATTGGTCTAAAATTCTCTTTTTTTGTTTTGTCTCTGCCAGGCTTTGGTATCGGGATGATGCTGGCCTCATAAAATGAGTTAGGGAGGATTCCCCCTTTTTCTATTGATTGGAATAGTTTCAGAAGGAATGGTACCAGCTCCTCCTTGTACCTCTGGTAGAATTCAGCTGTGAATCCGTCTGGTCCTGGACTTTTTTTGGTTGCTAAGCTATTAATTATTGCCTCAAGTTCAGAGCCTGTTATTGATCTATTCAGAGATTCAACTTCTTCCTGGTTTAGTCTTGGGAGGGTGTGTGTGTTGAGGAATTCACCCATTTCTTCCAGATTTTCTGTTTTATTTGCGTAGAGGTGTTTATAGTATTCTCTGATGGTAGTTTGTATTTCTGTGGGATCGGTGGTGATATCCCCTTTATCATTTTTTATTGCGTCTATTTGATTCTCCTCTCTTTTCTTCTTTATTAGTCTTGCTAGTGGTCTATCAATTTTGTTGATCTTTTCAAAAAACCAGCTCCTGGATTCATTAATTTTTTGAAGGTTTTTTGTGTCTCTATTTCCTTCAGTTCTGCTCTGATTTTAGTTATTTCTTGCCTCTGCTGGTTTCTGAATGTGTTTGCTCTTGCTTTTCTAGTTCTTTTAATTGTGATATTAGGGTGTCAATTTTGGATCTTTCCTGCTTTCTCTTGTGGGCATTTAGTGCTATAAATTTCCCTCTACACACTGCTTTGAATGTGTCCCAGTGATTCTGGTATGTTGTGTCTTTGTTCTCATTGGTTTCAAAGAACATCTTTATTTCTGCCTTCATTTCATTATGTACCCAGTAGTCATTGAGGAGCAGGCTGGTCAGTTTCCATGTAGGTGAGCAGTTTTGAGTGAGTTTCTTAATCCTGAGTTCTAGTTTGATTTCACTGTGGTCTGAGAGACAGTTTGTTATAATTTCTGTTCTTTTACATTTGCTGAGGAGTGCTTTACTTCCAACTATGTGGTCAATTTTGGAATAGTTGTGGTGTGGTGCTGAAAAGAATGTATATTCTGTTGATTTGGGGTGGAGAGTTCTGTAGATGTCTATTAGGTCCACTTGGTACAGAGCTGAGTTCAATTCCTGGGTATCCTTGTTAACTTTCTGTCTCGTTGATCTGTCTAATGTTGACAGTGGGGTGTTATAGTCTCCCATTATTATTGTATGGGAGTCTAAGTTTCTTTCTAGGTCTCTAAGGACTTGCTTTATGAATCTGGATGCTCTTGTATTGGGTGCATATATATTTAGGATAGTTAGCTCTTCTTGTTGAATTGATCCCTTTACCATTATTTAATGGCCTTCTTTGTCTCTTTTGATCTTTGTTGGTTTAAAGTCTGTTTTATCAGAGACTAGGATTGCAATCCCTGCCTTTTTTTGTTTTCCATTTGCTTGATAGATCTACCTCCATCCCTTTATTTTGAGCCTATGCGTGTCTCTGCACGTGATATGGGTTTCCTGAATACAGCACACTGATGGGTCTTGACTCTTTATCCAATTTGCCAGTCTGTGTCTTTTAGTTGGAGCATTTCGGCCATTTCCATTTAAGGTTAATATTGTTATGTGTGAATTTGATCCTGTCATTATGATGTTAGCTGGTCATTTTGCTCGTTAGTTGATGCAGTTTCTTCCTAGCCTCGATGGTCTTTACAATTTGGCATGTTTTTGCAGTGGCTGGTACCGGTTGTTCCTTTCCATGTTTAGTGCTTCCTTCAGTAGCTCTTGTAGGGCAGGGCTGGTGGTGACAGAATCTCTCAGCATTTCCTGGTCTGTAAAGGATTTTATTTCTCCTTCACTTATGAAGCCTAGTTTGGCTGGATATGAAATTCTGGGTTGAAAATTCTTTTCTTTAAGAATGTTGAATATTGGCCCCCACTCTCTTCTGGCTTGTAGAGTTTCTGCCGAGAGATCAGCTGTCAATCTGATGGGCTTCCCCTTTGTGGGTAACCTGACCTTTTTCTCTGACTGCCCTTAACATTTTTTCCTTCATTTCAACTTTGGTGAATCTGACAATTATGTGTCTTTGAGTAGCTCTTCTTGAGGAGTATCTTTGTGGCATTCTCTGTATTTCCTGAATTTGAATGTTGGCCTGCCTTGCTAGATTGGGGAAGTTCTCCTGGATAATATCCTGCAGAGTGTTTTCCAACTTGGTTCCATTCTCCCTGTCACTTTCAGGTACACCAATCAGACGTAGATTTGGTCTTTTCACATAGTCCCATATTTCTTGGAGGCTTTGTTCGTTTCTTTTTGTTCTTTTTTCTCTAAACTTCTCTTCTCACTTCGTTTCATTCAATTGATCTTCCATCACTGATTCCCTTTCCTCCAGTTGATCCAATCAGCTACTGAGGCTTGTGCATTCATCACGTAGTTCTCGTGCCTTGGTTTTCAGCTCCATCAGGTCCTTTAGGGACTTCTCTGTGTTAGTTATTCTAGTTAGCCATTCGTCTAATTTTTGTTCAAGGTTTTTAACTTCTTTGCCATGGGTTCAAACTTCCTCCTTTAGCTCAGAGTTGTTTGATCACCTGAAGCCTTCTTCTCTCAACTCGGCAAAGTCATTCTCCTTCCAGCTTTCTTCCATTGCAGGTGAGCAGCTATGTTCCTTTGGAGGAGGAGAGGCGCTCTGATTTTTAGAGTTTCCAGTTTTTCTGCTCTGGTTTTTCCCCATCTTTGTGGTTTTATCTACCTTTCGTCTTTGATGATGGTGACGTACAGGTGGGGTTTTGGTATGGATGTCCTTTCTGTTTGTTAGTTTTCCTTCTAACAGTCAGGACCCTCAGCTTCAAGTCTGTTGGAGTTTGCTGGAGGTCCACTCCAGACCCTGTTTGCCTGGGTATCAGCAGCACAGGCTGCAGAACAGTGGATGTTAGTGAGCAGCAAATGTTGCTGCCTGATCATTCCTCTGGAAGTTTTGTCTCAGAGGAGTACCTGGCCGTGTGAGGTGTCAGTCTGCCCCTACTGGGGGCTGCCTCCCAATTAGCCTACTCGGGGGTCAGGGACCCACTTGAGGAGGCAGTCTGTCTGTTCTGAGATCTCCAGCTGCATGTTGAGAGAACCACTAGTCTCTTCAAAGCTGTCAGACAGGGACAATTAAGTCTGCAGAGGATTCTGCTGCCTTTTGTTTGTCTATGTCCTGCCCCCAGAGGTGGAGTCTACAGAGGCAGGTAGGCCTCCTTGAGCTGCGGTGGGCTCCACCCAGTTCGAGCTTCCAGGCCGCTTTGGCTTTGTTTACTTACTCAAGCCTCAGCAATGGCGGGCACCCCTCCCCCAGCCTTGCTGCCACCTTGCAGTTTGATCTCAGACTGCTGTGCTAGCAATGAGTGAGGCTCTGTGGGTGTAGGACCTTCCAAGCCAGGCGTGGGATATAATTTCCTGGTGTGCCGTTTGCTAAGACCATTGGAAAAGCTCAGTATTAGGGTGGGAGTGACCTGATTTTCCAGGTGCCATCTGTCACCCCTTTCTTTGACTAGGAAAGGGAATTCCCTGACCCCTTGCCCTTCCCAGGTGAGGTGATGCCTTGCCCTGCTTCGGCTCACGCTTGGTGCACTGCACCCACTCTCCTGTACCCACTTTCTGACACTCCCCTGTGAGATGAACCCGGTACCTCACTTGGAGATGGAGAAGTCACCCGTCTTCTGCATGGCTCACGCTGGGAGCTGTAGACTGGAGCTGTTCCTATTTGGCCATCTTGGCTCCACCCAAGAACCACTTTTCAAATCAAAGGTCTTTAAGTTCATGATATTTCAGTGCAAGAGTGTTCAAACACTCTTCCCAAGAATTTTGGCATCCAGATATAATGGAAGAGCTTACTGGAGAGAGGGGGTATGACCTTAAGAGCAGAGGTGAAAAGCCATCTGATAAAAGCACTGGAGGCCATAAAGCCTAAGGCAAATTTAAGCTAAACAAAATTTGTTAGATTCACACAAGGGAACAGTGGCAATGGTGGAAGGGGAGATGCTGGAAGTACAGGTTATAAGATGGTTGCAATAGCCTAGATATGCAATTAAAAGGCATAATCTAGTCTTGTTAGTGGCAATAAAATGGAGAGGATAAGTGGGAAAGAAAGGAATGAGAGCTAACAGAACTTGGTGATTAATTTTAAGGTAAAGTGGATCTTCATGGGAAAATAAATCAAAGGAGATCAAAAATTTTAGTTTAGGTGACTGAACACTGTATGAATGCCCACTAACTTAAATAGAACTATTAGGCAGAATTTGGTTTAGAAGTTATGGCATTTTAAGTGGCAACAAAGCATCAGTTGAGAAAGTAAACCAAGCAGTTGAAAATATAAGTCTAGAGTTAAAGTTAGAGGCTAGTTTCAGAGACTAAGATTTAGTTGTGAGCTACAAGGAATAACAGTCAAACTTACTTTGCAAATGGAAATTAAATAGCTTGATCTGCTACTTACTCTCTTCCGATCTGGATCTTGGGATCGTGTGTCTGTAGTTTGAAGGAATTTCCACAAGGTGGTGATGCATTCTTATTAGCTAGTGTAGACTTCAGGTTTCAAAATAAATTATTAACAGGAATCTAAAAACAACTATTTGCTCCCTTTTTGGCATCTGTCTGAAGTCATTATTTGATGTGTTATATGAAAATATTATTTACTAACAAAGTATAACTAAATCATTTATCTTGTTATTTTCAAGAGATATCAAGAATACAAAGCTTACTTGGAGTAAAAATTACACTGCTCATGACAATTTAGGATAATTAAGGGCTATCCCAGCTTTTCATGAAAAAATAAAACTAGACATTTTCTCAGATTTTTGTCACGATTTGTTATATAATCTCACTTCTGTTTGCTTTTATGACAGGATGCTCATTTGGACTTTTTATTTTTCAGATCAATCTTTCTTCATTCCACCTGTCTCATATTTTTAAGTGTAAATTGTATGTTCTTTCTGGTTTTGAAAGCATTGTTCTACCCACACCCTAGAAATTCAAATCCTCTTGACACCCATATCCCACTCACACTTGCTTAAAGATCTAAATAAAAACATGTACTTTTCTTATGTGAATGAGTCATCAATGAATCATATAATATTACAAATATACGTTTGTATATAAGTATCCAAAATCTTAACCACATATTTTTATAACTGCTTGTGATATTTCTCCCACATTCATTATCTGTATTGAAAACATAGTTTAATGTATCAGTAAAAACTTATAAGTTGCTTAAGAGTCTGATTGAGAGGATGTAGATTGTGTTTCAGTCATATCTTAGCTCTTCTCCTAATAGGATGGTTGTTTAAAATTATTGTGCATTATTCATTGTCTTCTTTACATGGTTAAGTGAAAATGTGGGTTTAAGAAATTAGGTTTACTTAAAGGTCCAGAAAAAATCCCATTCATTGGAAGAAAATGTGTAAGTATCAATTTGAATTGAGAGAGGAGAACTCATAAAAGATATCTCCTTGACTATGTTCTTATCTTCATTTACCAGGCATGCAATGACTTTCCATAAGTGAGAAATTTTTTTAAAAAGTAAAAAAATATGAAAAGTATTGTTGGTACCAGAATGCTTTTCCACACTATTTGAACACAAAGTATATTGAAAACCTTATTCATTGTGAAATGCCATGGAGAACCATGTTGATACAGCAGAAGGCATCAAACGTCTTCAAAGATCTGAATAAAAAAGCAATGTAGGAGAGAGATGATTGAAGATAAGACCTCAGGTTGAGCAGGTCTGGGCTGCTTCAGAACATTTGAAAATCATGCAAGACCATGTAGTTTGAAGGTCATACATGAATCAGCTGCCACTGATACTGAGACTGAAGTGGTCTCCCTTAGTGAATTGCAGAAAATTATTGATGGGTGTGGTTATTGTGCAAAGCAAAATTTCAATATTGATGAAATGAATATCTTTGGAGATGAATGCTGTCATGTAGGTTTATTTCAGATAATTAGGAAAAACCTTGTCTTGGTCCATTTTCTGCTGCATTATGGCAGACTGGGTAATTTACAAAGAAAAGAGGGCTGGGCATGGTGGCGCATGCCTGCAATCCCAGCTACTTGGGAGGCTGAGGCAGGAGAATCACTTGAACCTGGGAGATGGAGGTTGCAGCGAGCAGAGATCGTGCCATTGCACTCCAGCCTGGTCACAGAGCGAGACTCCGTCTCAAAAAAAAAAAAAAAAAAAAAAAAAGACCTGTAAAGATGAAAGATTAATAGATATAATAGATAATAGAGGAGGAAGATAGTGAATTTCAGTTATTGTCCTGAGAACAATTGCATTGATGAGGGCTTTAATTTGTCTCACTCATCTCCATCTTTAAGAGGAAGACCTATAGGAAGTTCCTGAGGAGATCCCCCCCATTATTTAAAAACTTATTCAGAGAAAGATGAGTCAACCCAGGAAACCAGGGAATGGCTGGGGGAAAATGAATGATGTCTAGCACTATCAGAGCCAATAGAAGAGAACATTTTAAGAAGGAAGGCCCCTAGGAGGTGAAGTCCATGAGAAGTATGAAGTACCTGAATCTTAAAGATGCGTGGAGAAGTAGATTCATGCATTAAAAGAGTAGACTGTGGCAGCCATGGAGAGAGTTAGTGCAGAGCATAGATGACTGATAGCCCCCAGCTGCCATACCATCCAATCGACTGTGGTGTTTTTGCCAAGGCTGCCCTCTCCAGAGTTCCTCACAGCCAATGACTGAACACTGCAAGAGAACTAGTGTCAGGTCATTTTTGCCTAATGATGGACTCCTCTACAGGCCCCTTTGCTTAGGGGCTCTCTATCAACCTGGCCAAGATCTTTTCCGAAATGCTATGTAGTCTGAAGCTCTTTCCCCATCCTCATTTCTTCCTTGTCTCTTTTCAAAAGTGTCATACCTGCATTGCAGTCTGAAGGTTCCTCCCTCCTCCTTATGCTCCTGTACTCTTTATACTTCACAAGCATTTTCCACAACAAATCTCTTATCACTTGCTTCTCACAGATTTCAAACTGACACACTCACAGGTCTGAAATTTGGCGGGGATACACTTGGCTTCAGCTGGGGCTACTCAAATGCTGGGAACTAGAGTTATCTGAAGACTGATTCACATCTTTGGCATTTGAAATTGACTCTTGGCTAAGACCTTGGCTGGGGCTGTCGGCTACAATGCCTACATGTGGCTTCTCCCTGTGGCCTGGATTTCCTCCCAACATATTTCCTTGACTCCAAGTCCTAAGAGAGAAATAGTCAAACAGAAGCCTTGTTACCTTTTCTGACCTAGCCTCAGAAGTCACACAACATCATATCTACTGCATCCTATTTGCCATACACAGGGCCAGCTCTGACTTACTGTGGGAGGCAATCACATACGGACATGATTACCAAGCAGTGTAGATCATTGGTAGCCATCTTAGATGCTAGTTACCTCATTCTAAATGTAACACAGAAAAATGGATATATCTTGAAAATGTGTTAAAACGAAGAAGCAAAAGAAAATACTTTTATCAATGTCAAATACGTACATAAACACCAAACCACAATATGTATCTTATAAGAATACATACAACAAAAAGTTGTGAATCAAACATTTTAGAATGGCTTGTATAGGAAGAAAAGTAGGATGATAATGAGAAATAGGAATAACAATCTGAAAAACAAAATTTATTTTGCTTTAACAAATTTTTAATTCAAATATAGTTTTCCATTTACATATAACCATTTATATTTCAAAATGATGTTCACATCATAATATGCAAACTATTATTGGAAAATGAAGGTAGACTACAACTCCATTACTTTCCTAAGAGCAAGAATTTCAGGCAACATGAAACTCTCCCAGCGGAAGCTTTACTTTGGTTTCTATTCAAACAGCTAATGGTGGTCCGCAACTTTTGTAAATGGTCTTTGATTAAAGTTCCTTATTTGTTGAAGACTGGCCAAGATCTAGGCTCATAATCAATATTAGACCTTTAAGAATGATTATTTCCTGTGTTTTGAGTTCAATTACTTGTATTGTGTACGTGTAAAATTTGAAGGCAATGAATATAAATGACACATTTCACATGTCAGATATTTCTGCATTTAGCCTATAAATTAATTTAATAACATTAGTCATCATTTATGTAAGTATTTAATTTGTAGATTCATTATTTGTTCTTTTGAATACACAAATACATATTTTAGAATAAATTAGAAAAGATTTGTGAGTTATAAAGACATGAATCTCTAAACTTGAATATTTTCTTGAAGTTACTTCCCTTATAACAGAAAAAATGTGAACATTTATGTAAAATGATAATATATTTTTTCATCTTTAAAAGAATGAATACTTTCTGATTTTCAATGTGATTCTCTTTTATTATGAGTTATGGTTTCACAGAGAATTATTATGGGAGTTATGCTAATTAATCATAAGTGTATATATTATCTTATTTCCTTTAACTTTTTAAACCTTTGCATACAGGTCCTTTAAAAATTCTTTAGTTTGACGGTTGGCAACCAGTCAATGCTCCACCAACTTCCTGCAAAAGGGCATTATTTTGCATGTCCTTGGAGACTGGATAATTAACGTGTAATGTTTTACTTAAAACTGTAATTAAGTTTAAATTAAAATTCTTTGGGTTTTTAATAGAAGAGGAAGCATTTTGGTGGCTTTTTCACTTAAATGTTATATTTGCCAGCCTGTCTGGGCAAAACTGCCTCCATTTATATATACTTAATATTGTTGTTTTAATGTTGGCATTGGGTCTGGAAACTTTAAGAAAACTTTGTTGTTTTTCTTCCTACCCTCCATCACAGTTGTTTCACTTTAGTTTGTATTAAACATATGATGAAACAAATAAGACACTCATTGCCATTTGCTATTTACCCCTTTGTAGAAACTAGAAAAGTTCTGTTTAATCTTTTCTTGAAAACTCATTTTTAAGCCCTATAGACTTTCTCTTCCTCGGGCACTGGTTCTATTCTGAAGACCAGTAACATGGGTATGAAAACTCATGAAGAAGTTTCATCAATAAACATCAATTGAAGACCACCCATCTTGTTTCCAGCTTGGATATACATCCCACCCCCTGATTTGAGGGATACCAGCATATTCTGAACTTGAGTGTTTTCAAATTAATCTTCACATTCAGTAAACTATGTTAATTTCACCCACTCTGTACTTTTCCTCATTTTCTTCTTCCAGTTCTCAGAATTAGGAAATATTTTAAGTTATAATTCATCTGCTATTATTCTTACTCAAGAATTTTATTTCAAAATATCTAAAGTAGTTGGTAATTTATAATATCTAAAGAATAGGCCAGATCCACATAAAACCATAAACACAAGCAGTCACTGAACATGAACTGGGATGTTCAGTAAATCTCCAATCTGAATGATTTGTCATCATTAATGTGGTTGCGTTGTGATAATTTCTCGAAGAAACAGGTCAACTAGTTTATAGAAAAATACAGTCATATTCAATTTTGGCTTCAGCATCTATATACTTCGAGCAAGTGGGATCTTTAAAAAATATATTAAATTTTGATATTTTTTATTGTATTGTAGCCAAATGTCCAAAAGAAAATAAATGAGAAGCTCCAAATTAATTGGGGTCTCTGTCAGGACTGAAAGAAGTATTTAAGAAGGTGAAATAAATGATGTTATATTTAATGTACATAGCCGTTGTTCTTCATGATTTGTGTTTTAAGTCTTTTGAAAAGCATTGCTGAGGCAGTAGGAAAATAAGGAATGTCCTCAAAAATCAGACACAATGAGGACGCTTAATTCAAAAGGACAATTCTATTTGGGAGCCAGAGCATCTTGTGGGACTTCACTTGTAGAAGTGCCCACCATGAAATCTCTCCTAATCCTCTTTTCAGATACAGTGCCCCCAAACATATCCAACCAAGTGACTGTTTTGGGCCCTTTTTCCTCTTGGTTTGGAAGATGAAAGCACTGCTCTTCTACAGGGATTTTAAAGGAGTAAATGACCTCTCTTCATGAACACCGTATTTTATCAAGAAGTAACACATTCCTCTTATGTGGACAAAGGGTTGGTATTGTGAAATGGCTCTCATTTCAGTAAGTCCCATGGAGAGGTAGCTGGTGGTTCTGAATTTGTAGCTTAGGGCACTTAAAGCCTTATATTCTTAACCTCAATCCTTAGGGTCCAGTTCCATGCCTAGCATCTAATATCATCTTGCATTTTATTTTATTTCTAACCTAGACATAATATTATCTCAGAAGTCTTCCCTAAAGCCTAGGTTTGGCTAAAAAGGTTCCTCCTCTCTGCTTTGACACTGCCTTTGATCTTAGCATTTACCTTATGTATTGGACAGTTCAATATTCTCTCACTCTACCTTGTCGTTCAGACCATGTTCCAACAGGATTGAGAGAACCCAAGAAATGTTTATCTGGAGTCATGCATGTGCAACTGGACAGTACTTCACTTTAGGCCAGCGATTCTTCCCTCTCATTCACTGCCCATTTACTGCCCCTGGCTTCTGGGTTGTCTTAATGTGGGATGACTGTGAGAACCTGCCAGCACTCATGCACATGCAACCTGAATTTTTCTGAAATTAATGCCAGAGAAGTCACCTTTGATCGATGTGTAACTGGAGCTGACAGATAAATGCTTTTCCTTTTTGACTGTTGGGGCTGAGTTGTGAAATGCGCTTTGTAAGGCTCATCGGATAATCCCAACATGTTTACTTTCCCCATTCTATACTTCTGCTTCCTGGGATCATATTCCCATATAAATTTCTAATATTCAGACCTTCACCCAAGGCTATAATTTTTGGGGAAAACTTGACCGAGACACTGTAATATATTGGAATAATTTGATTTTGGAATTGTGTCCCCACCATTACACTGTAAGCTGCTTTCATATCTAGTACTGTCCCTGGCACATAGGTGCACTCCATCAATCTTTGGAATTAGCATCATTTACAACTTATTTTTTCCAAAATAGTTACACCAATATTGTTACCTTAACACCAATTTGAAGACCATATTCAAATTATCATATGCATAGTCATTGAAAACCTAAATGACAGATTTTTACAAACATATTGAATATATTGAATGGAAACTATCTCTTAAAAATGCTTGAACTCTTCATGAATGAGAGAATATCTTATCAGTTGTCAAAGGTCTATTCATACAGATTTGCCTTACTTAACAAGAATTTATTTCCTACTGTGTTAAGAGCACAGAATTAAACACCTTGGGAGTGAAGAGATGGATTCCTTAGTTTTGAAGGCCCTGAGGTCTATGGAGAGAGGAAAATCTTGCCCTCATTAAATTCCTGGGGAGCAATACAAATGAATATGTCAGAATATACAAAATAATGTAGCTTTAATTGAAAGCTGTGCATAAATTTTTCTAAGAGAATACCAAACCCTTTTAAGTTGATCTGCCATCATCCACTTTATGTTACAAGTAGTAGATTAATCCATTGATCTGTTTATTTCTATCAACACTCTGGTAATGTGACTTTATAAACACAAACTGTGCAAAACCTCCTCTGGTAACTTTTAAGCTAGAAATTATGCCTTTCTAAAATAAAAATCTCTTTTCTTTAGCACCAAATGATACAATTTCTGTATGGAAAATAAATGCATTAAGAACATGTCTCTAAAATCAGGCTTTCCCATAATCCTAGATAAGTTGAAACTGGACAAGTTAATAAGATTTAATAATTCGTCAGATCCAAATGATAAATGGCCCACTTGCCACATTGCTTTGCTCTCTTGATGAATGTGCTGTGCTTGATGTATAAATAAAATAATGAACCCATAAAATATAAATATTAAGCACATGCTGAACACTTATGTACGTACACCAGAAAATTATTCTAAAAGAATCTGCTCTGAAAGTATGGATTTTAACAGCACAATTCATTCACTTTATTTAATATGTAAACTGGAAGATGTAGATTTAGTTGCATGGCAGGGCCCAGTGTTAGTTTTGGAGCTAGTGCTAAGTCTCAAATAGGAATTCTGAAAATGGGAAAAACATTTTGTACTATTGTAGAGGGGAACTACTATTGTCATGTAAACAAAGGAAAAACCAATAGTAATTTAAAATGAGTTACATATTTGACAGCTCACTCCCTTGCCAGATTTTTCTATTCTTTCACTACAAAAATAAATAATGGATTTTGCTTAATTTGCTTTTCCAAGTAAGACATCTATTAAATATGGTCCCATGATTACAAATACATACATTTTATTACATGCAAAAAATTTAAGTGTGATATTTTATAGCTAATTTAAAAAATGGTGTTCTAAATAAAGCAATTGAAGTATGATAATATAGTTTCAGGTTATATTTTGGTTGGTGTGCAAATATGTTACCCAGCCTATATTTATGGGTTTTGTGATTCAAATGAACAATTTGTATACAAGTGCCATGTTTTTGTGCCAAGAGAATCCATTTCACTCCTTTGAATTAAGTCTTTCTCATTTTTGTAATACATTCAAAAATCTTTGGAAAAATATATTGTAATCTTTTAATAATCAGCTCTGGAATTGGCAAAATTGTCTTATTAAAGGGCAAAAAGAAAATTAAGCTAGAAATACTAGGAAGGAATAATGAATTATAAGTAAGGAAAAAAATGTCTATTACAAAGTTGGTGTTCGAGGAAAGTATCTTTACTAAACTAGGTAATTTAGTGACTGTGTTTCCTCTAGTTTATTTCCTCTGGCTAACCAGAGCTCTATTTTAGGAAAATAAGAAGGAAGAAATTTCTCCTGGTTAAGAATCCTAAGTCAGTAGAAATGCATTAATTATATTGAATATATAACTACTTCATGGAGATAAACTGTATTTTCAGTAGCTTATACATATCTTATACCAGATGTAATGGAAGTGGAATATATCATGGCCATATATGACAATAGAATCACCCAAAATAATGAGCCTACATTATTAATTTAGGAATCTTAAAGGACAGTATTATTCAAGCTCTAACACTTATTTTATCAGTCATATTATTTAAAAGTCACTATGTGCTAGAATTATACAACTGGAAATGATTACTGTTCTCAATTAACTCGCTTTTGAAGCTTACCAAAAGTGCATGCAATAGCTTGTTTAATTCATCATAATTTGCTAGAAAGCACATGTAGACCAAGTTTAAATGGGAAGAAATTTATTGCATTCATAGGATCTACATATTCTGAATTTATTTTGGAGATGGAAGATGAACCCAGGAGAATTTGCTCATATCTTGATTTTTAGGCATTGCAATTAAAGTATCTCCTGCCAAAATTTTGCATCAGCCATTAACTGACCATATGACATTACACAAGTTACTCAGCCTCTCTTGCCTCAATTTCCTAGACTGTAAATGTAGACATGAAAATACTTGGGAGGATTAATAGGTCAATGCCCTGAAGTGCCTGACACATTTTCAACACTGAGTAAATGGTAACTAATTTTTAATTAACATCACAGTTATGCCCATGCCTTGTGCGCTACACTGTCTTAGATTTGAAAGGGACTGGAGCCTTCGTTGTTCTCTGTCTTGTTTCCTGGAAAGAAGCCAGAATCATCAACACAGGCTTAAAATTAGTAATACTTTTCATGCTACTGACCAAGGGCCAGGCTTCTGTATTTGTAAGCCTTGCTTAAGGCTAGACATGGTGGCTCATGCCTGTAATTCCAGCACTTTGTGAGGTCAATGCATGAGGATCACTTGAGCCCAAGAGTTTGAAACCAGCCTGGGCAACATGGCAAGACCCCATCTCAACAAAAAATAAGGAAAATTAGCCAGGTATGGTAGCATGCATCTATAGTCCTAGCTACTGGGAAGGTGGAGGTGGGAGGACCGCTTGAGCCCGGGAGGTCGAGGCTGCAGTGAGCTGTGTTTGTGCCACTGCACTTCTGCCTGGGCGACAGAGTGAGACTCTGTCTGAAAACAAACAAAAAACCCTTTAAGAAACATAACCAAAATGTTGCTTCCAGGAGATAGCCCCTGCACTAGCCTTTTTGAGAGAAGCTGCATGTTTATTTTAGATTTTGAGATCCATGGGAGCGGGGACAAGGACAGGCATGAAATATGAAAAATTAGTGAATTATATACAAATGTAGAGGTAGGGATACAGTGCAACCATACATGCTTTTCACCCCTCAAGGAATATCAATGAATAGGGAATTGCATGATGCCCTATTAGCTTTATGTCAGACTAGATATGTGAGTTGATCCTCAGTTCTTAGAGTTCCATTTCCTGGAGGATATGAGGGGAGATTCTGGGACCTGTATGAAGGATCACGTTCCACTCCCAGTTATGGGGATGCATTTTCCATCTTCCTACATAACCACTTAAACCATTTTATTTCTCAACATCTACATGCCCACAACTGTCATGAATACTACTATGAAGACAAAACCAATAGAAGATACTATCTGTATCATTAAGGAGCTTAAAGTACAGTTGGGTAGCTAGCCCCAAATATAGCAAACACTAGAAACAAAAACAAGTGTGTAATCTTGTGATAGATTGGGTGGAAATGTACCATCTGGGACATTGGAGTACAAAGAAAACAAACTCCAGTATGTTCTGAACCTTAGGTTTCCCATCTGTAGAATCTATGCTAATGCTCACCTCACAGGATGGTTATGAAGAGTAAATGGTATAATTATTTGTTCTAACTAACAGTCGGGAACATTATATGTCCTTAATATACATTAGTGGAAACATCATTCAGGCTTGATGTAATTTAAAAATATTTTTTCCACACATTTATATGAAGATACTCTGTTACATGGAAATCAAGATATTAAGTGTACAATGATGAACAAAACGAAAGTGGATTGTATGTTCATAGAGCTGAAATTCTAGCTGGAAAAGAGAGAAAATAATTACATAAGTAAACAGAAAGAAAATATCAAGCAGTGATATATTATTCACAATTTTCAAAACCACAGTAATGTGTTGAAGAGAGAGAAAGAGTTACTTTAGACTGGGTGGTCAAGGGAGGCCTTCTGAAGGCATGATACCCGAAGGAGTGATATTAAAGCTGAAAGCTGAATAATAAGGAGCTAGCTACATTTTGATCATGTATGTTCATCAAAGGACAATTTAAAGACTTTCAGAAGTTCCTAATGAGCATACATTAGTTATTTATATGCTACTTCAAGACCACTGATACTGACTTCTCAAACAACGTATATCCATCTCATGATCTCAAGAAACCCAAACACAAGCCTAATGCTTTCTTGGGGAATCTCATTTTTCTTGTATGTGTGAGGGTATACTGCATGTGTGTATTATAAAATGCAATTATTTCTAACCTGCTTGATTTTCTACTTGAAATGATTATTCCATGCAATTGACCTGTCATCACAATGACACCTTTCAGAATGTTGAGACTTATTGACTGTCACATTTTTTATTTTCAACAATTGGAAGCATGTTATCTGAAGAGTATCCTGGTGATTGTCACAGGAGTGAACACAGTTCCATGATTCTTTGCGGGACTACCCTTCCACTATTTGTGATTTCCTGCAGCACATTAATGAAGTATTTGTGTGTGATGTTGCCTTGAATAACAGTTCTGTCTGTGGCCCCAAGTTGATCTGGGGATTTAAGAGATTGACAACAAAGAGAGTGTACTAAGACACATGTTATTACCTGACAGGGCAGCTGCATTTCCATGGGAGGTGACCAAGAAGGCTTCTTATGAATCCATGCTGACCTTATAGAACTCTCCCAGGTTTTGATAGTGTCCTTTTACAGATGTTACAAAGAGGTTCTAAATTTGTCATTAACCTCTCCTATAAAAGCAAAATATATGGAATACATAAATATACCATCAATTGCATTTAAGAAACTTATAAATAGGCCCCTTTTGTAAACTTAAGTCCAGATTATAAAATTAATATGGATTTATAAAGGTGTTTGAATAGGCTTGTTGGGACACAGCTGCCCAACAAGTTTGTAAGTAGGCTTTTTGTCATTCAACAGATCACTCTGTTGTCTAAATACCACTGTCATTCTGAATGAGGTAATATTTGAAGATATGACTTGGTATCTCCTTCTAGGCATAATTGGGGACTTATAATGCAAATGATAATGTAATATGAATACTGTTCTATATGTCCTTTTTGGTAAATTTTTATTATAATGATTATGCAGCTCTGTTACTGGCCCAAGGTCAATTCCAGGTTCCAGATTGCAAATGTTTTGTCCATTTTCACTCTTGACATGCTGCAAGATTGCTTTTCCACTGGGGACTGGATACCAGCGAAAATAATACAAAGCATTATGGGAACATGCGGTGCTTTCTTCCAGTGGCATGAAACTTCAAAGTGAAGAGACCGATGAGTCTCTGAAGAATCCAACTGCTGAAGTAGAGGACGAAGAACTTCTGCTCCTACCTAAATATAAAGACACATTTATGAATGAATACACCCAGATATGTTAACAGATTATGACAGTAGAAGAAGAGGTAACTGAAAGGACATCCACACCGAAAAACCCATCTGTACATCACCATCATCAAAGACCAAAAGTAGATAAAACCGCAAAGATGGGGAAAAAACAGAACAGAAAAACTGGAAACTCTAAAACGCAGAGCGCCTCTCCTCCTCCAAAGGAATGCAGTTCCTCACCAGCAATGGAACAAAGGTGGATGGAGAATGACTTTGACAAGCTGAGAGAAGAAGGCTTCAGACGATCAAATTACTCTGAGCTACGGGAGGATATTCAAACCAAAGGCAAAGAAGTTGAAAACTTTGAAAAAAATTTAGAAGAATGTATAACTAGAATAACCAATACAGAGAAGTGCTTAAAGGAGCTGATGGAGTGAAAACCAAGGCTCGAGAACTACGTGAAGAATGCAGAAGCCTCAGGAGCCGATGCGATCAACTGGAAGAAAGGGTATCAGCAATGGAAGATGAAATGAATGAAATGAAGCGAGAAGGGAAGTTTAGAGAAAAAAAGAATAAAAAGAAATGAGCAAAGCCTCCAAGAAATATGGGACTATGTGAAAAGACCAAATCTACGTCTGATTGGTGTACCTGAAAGTGATGGGGAGAATGGAACCAAGTTGGAAAACACTCTGCAGGATATTATCCAGGAGAACTTCCCCAATCTAGCAAGGCAGGCCAATGTTCAGATTCAGGAAATACAGAGAACGCCACAAAGATACTCCTCAAGAAGAGCAACTCCAAGACACATAATTGTCAGATTCACCAAAGTTGAAATGAAGGAAAAAATGTTAAGGGCAGCCAGAGAGAAAGGTCGGGTTACCCTCAAAGGGAAGCCCATCAGACTAACAGCGGATCTCTCGGCAGAAACCCTACAAGCCAGAAGAGAGTGGGGGCCAATATTCAACATTCTTAAAGAAAAGAATTTTCAACCCAGAATTTCATATCCAGCCAAACTAAGCTTCATAAGTGAAGGAGAAATAAAATACTTTACAGACCAGGAAATGCTGAGAGATTTTGTCACCACCAGGCCTGCCCTAAAAGAGCTCCTGAAGGAAGCGCTAAACATGGAAAGGAACAACCAGTACCAGCCGCTGCAAAATCATGCCAAAATGTAAAGACCATCGAGACTAGGAAGAAACTGCATCAACTAACGAGCAAAATCACCAGCTAACATCATAATGACAGGATCAAATTCACACATAAGAATATTAACTTTAAATGTAAATGGACTAAATTCTCCAATTAAAAGACACAGACTGGCAAATTGGATAAAGAGTCAAGACCCATCAGTGTGCTGTATTCAGGAAACCCATCTCATGTGCAGAGACACACATAGGCTCAAAATAAAAGGATGGAGGAAGATCTACCAAGCAAATGGAAAACAAAAAAAGGCAGGGATTGCAATCCTAGTCTCTGATAAAACAGACTTTAAACCAACAAAGATCAAAAGAGACAAAGAAGGCCATTACATAATGGTAAAGGGATCAATTCAACAAGAAGAGCTAACTATCCTAAACATATATGCACCCAATACAGGAGCACCAAGATTCATGAAGCAAGTCCTGAGTGATCTACAAAGAGACTTAGACTCCCACACAATAATAATGGGAGACTTTAACACCCCACTGTCAACATTAGACAGATCAACGAGACAGAAAGTCAACAAGGATACCCAGGAATTGAACTCAGCTCTGCACCAAGCAGACCTAATAGACATCTACAGAACTCTCCACCCCAAATCAACAGAATATACATTTTTTTCAGCACCACACGACACCTATTCCAAAATTGACCACATAGTTGGAAGTAAAGCTCTCCTCAGCAAATGTAAAAGAATAGAAATTATAACAAACTATCACTCAGACCACAGTGCAATCAAACTAGAACTCAGGATTAAGAATCTCACTTAAAGCCACTCAACTACATGGAAACTGAACAACCTGCTCCTGAATGACTACTGGGTACATAACGAAATGAAGGCAGAAATAAAGATGTTCTTTGAAACCAACGAGAACAAAGACACAACATACCAGAATCTCTGGGACGCATTCAAAGCAGTGTGTATAGGGTAATTTATAGCACTAAATGCCCACAAGAGAAAGCAGGAAAGATCCAAAATTGACACCCTAACATCACAATTAAAAGAACTAGAAAAGCAAGAGCAAACACATTCAAAAGCTAGCAGAAGGCAAGAAATAACTAAAATCAGAGCAGAACTGAAGGAAATAGAGACACAAAAAACCCTTCAAAAAATCAATGAATCCAGGAGCTGGTTTTTTGAAAGGATCAACAAAATTGATAGACCGCTAGCAAGACTAATAAAGAAAAAAAGAGAGAAGACTCAAATAGACACAATAAAAAATGATAAAGGGGATATCACCACCGATCCCACAGAAATACAAACTACCATCAGAGAATACTACAAACACCTCTAAGCAAATAAACTAGAAAATCTAGAAGAAATGGATACATTCCTCGACACATACACTCTCCCAAGACTAAACCAGGAAGAAGTTGAATCTCTGAATAGACCAATAACAGGAGCTGAAATTGTGGCAATAATCAATAGTTTACCAACCAAAAAGAGTCCAGGACCAGATGGATTCACAGCCGAATTCTACCAGAGGTACAAGGAGGAACTGGTAGCATTCCTTCTGAAACTATTCCAATCAATAGAAAAAGAGGGAATCCTCTCTAACTCATTTTATGAGGCCAGAATCATTCTGATACCAAAGCCGGGCAGAGACACAACCAAAAAAGAGAATTTTAGAACAATATCCTTGATGAACATTGATGCAAAAATCCTCAATAAAATACTGGCAAACCAAATCCAGCAGCACATCAAAAAGCTTATCCACCATGATCAAGTGGGCTTCATCCCTGGGATGCAAGGCTGGTTCAATATACGCAAATCAATAAATGTAATCCAGCATATAAACAGAACCAAAGACAAAAACCACATGATTATCTCAATAGATGCAGAAAAAGCCTTTGACAAAATTCAACAACGCTTCATGCTAAAAACTCTCAATAAATTAGGTATTGATGGGACGTATTTCAAAATAATAAGAGCTATCTATGACAAACCCACAGCCAATATCATACTGAATGGGCAAAAACTGGAAGCATTCCCTTTGAAAACTGGCACAAGACAGGGATGCCCTCTCTCACCACTCCTATTCAACATAGTGTTGGAAGTTCTGGCCAGGGCAATGAGGCAGGAGAAGGAAATAAAGGGTATTCAATTAGGAAAAGAGGAAGTCAAATTGTCCCTGTTTGCAGATGACATGATTGTATATCTAGAAAACCCCATTGTCTCAGCCCAAAATCTCCTTAAGCTGATAAGCAACTTCAGCAAAGTCTCAGGATACAAAATCAACGTACAAAAATCACAAGCATTCTTATACACCAATAACAGACAAACAGAGAGCCAAATCATGAGTGAACTCCCATTCACAATTGCTTCAAAGAGAATAAAATACCTAGGAATCCAACTTACAAGGTATGTGAAGGACTTCTTCAAGGAGAACTACAAACCACTGCTCAAGGAAATAAAACAGGATATAAACAAATGGAAGAACATTCCATGCTCATGGGTAGGAAGAATCAATATCATGAAAATGGCCATACTGCCCAAGGTAATTTATAGATTCAATGCCATCCCCATCAAGCTGCCAATGACTTTCTTCACAGAATTGGAAAAACTACTTTAAAGTTCATATGGAACCAAAAAAGAGCCCGCATTGCCAAGTCAATCCTAAGCCAAAAGAACAAAGCTGGAGGCATCACACTACCTGACTTCAAACTATACTACAAGGCTACAGTAACCAAAACAGCATGGTACTGGTACCAAAACAGAGATATAGATCAATGGAACAGAACAGAGCCCTCAGAAATAACGCCGCCGACCTACAACTATCTGATCTTTGACAAACCTGACAAAAACAAGCAATGGGGAAAGGATTGCCTATTTAATAAATGGTGCTGGGAAAACTGGCTAGCCATATGTAGAAAGCTGAAACTGGATCCCTTCCTTACACCTTATACAAAAATCAATTCAAGATGGATTAAAGATTTAAACGTTAGACCTAAAACCATAAAAGCCCTAGAAGAAAACCCAGGCAATACCATTCAGGACATAGGCATGGGCAAGGACTTCATGTCCAAAACACCAAAAGCAATGGCAACAAAAGCCAATATTGACAAATGTGATCTAATTAAACTAAAGAGCTTCTGCACAGCAAAAGAAACTACCATCAGAGTGAACAGGCAACCTACAAAATGGGAGAAAATTTTCGCAACCTACTCATCTGACGAAGGGCTAATATCCAGAATCTACAATGAACTCAAACAAATTTACAAGAAAAAAACAAACAACCCCATCAAAAAGTGGGCGAAGGACATGAACAGACACTTCTCAAAAGAAGACATTTATGCAGCCAAAAAACACATGAAAAAATGCTCATCATCACTAGCCATCAGAGAAATGCAAATCAAAACCACTATGAGATACCATCTCACACCAGTTAGAATGGCAATCATTAAAAAGTCAGGAAACAACAGGTGCTGGAGAGGATGTGGAGAAATAGGAACACTTTTACACTGTTGGTGGGACTGTAAACTAGTTCAACCATTGTGGAAGTCAGTGTGGCGATTCCTCAGGGATCTAGAACTAAAAATACCATTTGACCCAGCCATCCCATTACTGGGTATATACCCAAAGGGCTATAAATCATGCTGCTATAAAGACGCATGCACACGTATGTTTATTGCGGCATTATTCACAATAGCAAAGACTTGGAACCAACCCAAATGTCCACCAATGATAGACTGGATTAAGAAAATGTGGCACATATACACCATGGAATACTATGCAGCCATAAAAAATGATGAGTTCATGTCCTTTGTAGGGACATGGATGAAATTGGAAATCATCATTCTCAGTAAACTATCGCAAGAACAAAAAACCAAACACCGCATATTCTCACTCATAGGTAGGAATTGAACAATGAGATCACATGGACACAGGAAGGAGAATATCACACTCTGGGGACTGTGGTGGGGGGAGGAGGGGGGAGGGATAGCATCGGGAGATATACCTAATGCTAGATGACGAGTTAGTGGGTGTAGCGCACCAGCATAGCACATGTATACATATGTAACTAACCTGCACAATGTGCACATGTACCCTAAAACTTAAAGTATAACAAAAAAATAAAATAAAATAAAGAAAAAGAAAAAAAAAAAAAAAGAAGAAGAGGTAACTTGTATTTGCCGGGCAGATTTAGTTTTAGATCGTGTATTCCCCTTGGACTCCTGTATTCATGTGATGTAATGGCTTAGAGTTAGACTAGTTCAAAAATATGTTGGCAGCAGTAAGTAATCATGCATGCATGATCTGCAATTTTTACCTTACCTTACTTACTAATAAAAGGAAGCTTTTCAAAATAAAAATATTTATATTTTAGATCTGTGATAGTACAGTGCTTAAGAGTACTGAAAATTAATTTAAATAGGCCTGTGTTCAAGTTCCAATTCTGACATTTATTAACTGCATAACGTTGGACATTTCTAAATTTAGTCTTTTTATTTACAAACCATAAAGAGAAATAGCTATGTCAAAGTGGGTATTAAAATAATGAAATATAGCTAAAGGTTCCTGGTAAAATTCCGAGTTTATTTCGGTGTTCAGTAAATGGTATTCATAATATGGTCGTTGGCATGTAGGGAAGATTTTAGAAGGATTGCTGCTACATTTAATTCCCATATAGCACCTCTTATAATACAATTCTTCGTGCCATTTCCTCTTTCAAATTTTCTCTGTTTCTGTCTCTATACACACATACACGCATATACATGTAATTTTAAAATTTACATTCTGGCTTTCATCATGGCAGGATTGTTCTAACAATTTTCTAATGTCATCTTTGGCTTCTCCATCTTTCCTCCTTCTCAAATTCACTTTACACACTGACTCATTCAGTTTCCTAAAACACAATTCTCATGTTTTTTTAAAAAAACTTCACTAATTTCTCTTTGATTACGAAATGAAATTCACATTTCTTTTGCTAACATTCAATGTTCTTAGTGGTAGTCACACCCTCCTACTGCCAGGGATCAGCTACATTCACCTGTGGTCTTTGTAACTTCAAAGTCGCCTGTTTCTCCTGCTTCCTTTTGTGCCACTCTCATTTTGAAAAGCTTACCTTTCCTAGCTTCACCCATGCCATGCTCTGTCCTGCTGAGGACATTCCTATAAACTATTTATACTACCCAGAATTCTCTCTAGCATTCTAGGATTATTGTGTCCTCTGAATCCTTGCTTTGCACTTAAGAAAAGTCATTCTACAAGTTTGTCTGTTTCACCCTATTGCACATAGGTCCTCCAAAGCCAATTTTAGCGTGAAGTTTAATGTGCAGGATGTATATTATGGAGTTTCCTGTAGTCAATACTTGTAGAAGGCAGGCTAAAGAAACAGGATTGGGCCAAGGGAGAAGTCAAAGTGCAAAACAGGCCCAACAACAACTTCCGCTAACCCCATAGGGAACTCTAGAGCTAAAATAAGTCATCACAATTTTCCTAAATGAGGCTGAAGTGGCCTGGCCTTTATAATCTTGCTTCAATCTATCAGTTTATATGGACCCCTGCTCTGAAGGGTGTGAACTTGACCAAGGTGGTTCTCTGAAGCTTAAGCAACTTCTGAAAGGCAAACGCATGCAGGCTGTGTGCTGACAGCACTCTCAATAGCTGGGACAAGTACTTTATTGAGGATCTGGGAAGTGCATTCCCCTATACATTACATATCCAAAAAGCAAAGCTAGCTAACTGAGCCCAACAACATGATCTAAGTGTTTTGTATCTTCTACTGACCAGAACCAACTCACTGTGTCAAAAACAGGGGTCTGTGTCCCATGCTGGAGAGCAGAGATCCCCAATTGTCAGCAATCTGTGTGATGAAGCATGAACAGGGGAATGAGTTTTATTCTAGAAAATGACCTTCTTTATATCCCATGGAGAAGTGGAAGAAGCAGCAAGGTTATCACTGAAAAACAAAGGGCTCCTGTCCATAGCCATGTAGTTTAGTATTTATTTAAATGCCAGAACAAATCCTGCAAAGTTTAGGGATATAAATCAGAAGTGCATTTTTCTTATGAACTCTGCCTTTGCCCTAACAGACCCCTGATAAGACAACTTATCACCTCAAAATATCACACAATTACATTTCTCCCTCTAGAATACTATTACTAATGACAATTTCAAATAGCTTTTTGAGAGCCTTAACCTTTTCAAGGGTACTCATCACATTGATCTCTCAATAGTTTGAACTTCTGTATTCTCTCTGAGTTGTAATATTTTATGGTGACATTATCCATCAGACAATTAAGTGTATTTATCTGAAACTGAATTCATGCATAGAGAACATCAGTCCTCTACTCAAAAACTCCACTGGCTGTTCAGTCATTTTAACATCTCTTTCAATATGTATTTTCAAATGCTTGAAAAAAAAACCTCTTCGCATTAGATTTCTCATTCTGCAATCAAATAATACCAGATGGTTGTAGTCAGTATCAATGATTTATTGTTTTGTCATTATGACTTCTCAATCCAAAAATTTCAATAAATATTTGTGACAAGGCACTGTAGTGGACACACTGGGGTATACACATATAAACACAATACAGACCTTGGATATTTATTGAATTGATTTGTGGAATCGATTTCTGAGTTTGTAAGAGAAATAAGATATGTATAACACATTTATGATTCAATAAGAATGCTAGTCCTGTTGACTGAGGGCTTGGTAAAGGCTTCATGTTGAAGATAGCGTTAAAGTTTGGCCTTAAAGATTGGGTGGTGATTACGTATTTATGTACATATATATTTAAATTTTATAGGTAAATAACTTCATTATAGCAAAATTAGGAAAAGAAGCTGAAATAATAATAAAATAAAACTTATGCACCATCTCACTATTCCTACTTTGATGAATCCTTTACTTTATCTATGCTTATCTGTCAAAACTATCTCAAAATTTTTACTCAAATCAGAGGACCTTCATCATTTTTGTTGCTGCTTTGGTACTCAGCAAAGACTCAGAGTTATAGCCATCTCTTCTTTCCTTTATTATGATCATAGCTTGTTTTATGATCATAATTCTACTTTTCCTATTATGGTTTACATGTGTTTGGATTCTATATAAAAGGTTACATTTTTATTTCTAGATGGCAACAGATTTAAGATTCAACCCAGGAGTGAATATCTTACTCAGTTTATTAACCTCTCTGCACAGGAAATTGGGTATGTGACTTTCTGTGATCCTGAACTCAACTCGCTTGCAAATAGTTGTCTCCCTCCTGCAATGTACTCTAAGATTTATCAGAAAATTGAGGTTTATCTGAAAAAAATGAAGTTTTCATATTATATTCTAAGTTGAAAGTCAACACTCGAGTAGAACATAAATAGCTAATTTCCCAAAATGCAACAATGGAATAAGAAATCAGGTGCATAATCATTAATCACCAATGATTCTCTTTAGTCATCTTTCTTGATTTATAGATTTTAATTTTTTAAACTTCTAAATTAGAGTATGAATAACATCTGAAGTATGCCCAAAATATGCTCAGTGCCTTCTAATTTTAGAGTGATTTCCCACATAATATCTCTTCAACCTCACAATGAGCAGGTAAAAAGATGCTATTCTCTTAATTTTACATGTGAGAAAAGGGAGATGTTGAAAAGTCATGTGAAAATTCATTGTCAAATAGCAAGTTCAGTGTGAAGCATGGACTGGGAACCTGATCTGTAGCTTCATTTTAAATGTGCTTCAGTAGTTTTTAGATGCAAAAATCAACCAATTTTCTTCTCATTTTTGCATAACAATATCTGGTGAATCATCTCAGAAGAGGAGCATTTTCGTAACTCTCACCTGAATGAACTATTGTTTAAATGCTATTAGTTATTGGCAGTGGGCCTGAACTGAAGTGCTGACATATGGGAATAGAAAACCTTTTTGCTCCTTGCAGAAAACATTCATTTTTCCTGGCAGCATATCTTCAAGGTAGCTGCTGGATGGTGTTAATAAGCTCAGAAGGAAGTATCTAGAAGGGTGACAAATGTAGGTGTGAAATCCAGCTGCTTCTGATATGAAATAAGACCTGTAGGTACCAAAGAGCTCTGAACCGAGAGAGAGCACTGTGACTCACGGCATTTACTAAAACACAGCTGAAGTTACCTTAGGGGTACTAGGTGAAACATGCCAGTTTAACTTCTGCAGTTTTCAATGTGACTTTTCTCATTTTACAGTAAAAAGGACAAAAAGTCGGCAAGTTCATAGAAAAACTTTCGGGCCATATTTTTGACAATTCCACATGAAAAAATTATTAAATTCAAATCCAAAGTTATCATGAAGCCTTCACTGTCTCCATGAGAACTAAGTGGAAAAAATAAATAGCAAAGGAAACAGGAGTTTAGGAAAAGTGATATCGTGCATATAAACATTTTAGAGGTCTGAAGCAACCCAAAATTTATTTCTGAAAGGATAAATTGCAAGTTCCATCTTAGGATACAGTGGGTGGTAACAAAGATGATTGAAGAACTATAAAATAGGATGTATATAGAAGATAAAAGTATTTGAATAATTTAATTGGAGAAAGACCTGGCTAAGGATGACAACAACTTTCAAGTAGGTTGACTATTTCTTGGATGATGGTAATCATTTATTTCTCAATTTTCCTGAATCAAGAACAATTTATACAGTTTTAAACGATAGTGTGAGGGTTATAGTAGGATGTAAAAATGAACATTTTAAAATTTAGCTAACATATATTGAATGCTTAGAATTTTGTATATTCTCTGATAAATATTGGGGTTATAATTAAGAATGTTTGGGCTAAACTGTATCCCCCAAAAAGATATGTTGGAGTCTTAATTGTGAGTATCTGTGAATGTGACCTTATTTGGAAATAGAGTTTTTACAGATGTAATCAAGTTAAGATGAAATCATTAGGGTGAGCCCTTATCCAATAGGAATAGTGTCCTTATAAGCAAAGGGAAATGTGGACACAGATGCACAGAGAGAGGAGAATGCCACGTGAAGACACAGAGATGCTCATAGAGAGAAGGCAATGTAGAGACATCACCTCATCCACAGGGAGGACAGCCATGTGAAGATGGGGACAGAAACTGGAGTTATGCTGCAGTGAGCCTTGGCTGCCAGAAGCTGGGAGAAGCAGTGAAGATCCTCCTCTAGATTCTTCGCAGAACACATGGTCTGGCCAAAACCTTCAGTTTGGACTGCTAGCCTCAAGAACTGTGAGACAATAAATGTCTATTGTTTTAAGCCACTCAGTTTGTAGTACCTTGCTACAGTAGCCCTAGCAAATGAACACAATGTGTAAGACATTATTTTTGGCTCTGAGAATGCAAAGCCTAGTGGGTAAATCAGAAATGGTGTATTTGTAGTCCAGTGTGTCTATAAGGCCTCCACGCAACGTGCAAAATCCTGACTTTCCCTCAGATTCATCTCATAGGCTACTACTTTCTCTCTATGATACTTTTGATTCTCACATAATTTAAAACTGATTTATTAAAATAGTATGTATCCCTTTGAATTGCAAAGATGTGTTTTGATGTTCACTTCTCAAATATCTCCTGTGAATCCAAACAGTATTTGGCACAATTCATTGAATAAGGAAGAAATGAATAAAGGTGAATTTAAATGTAGATCACATTCAGTGAAATGGAATTCCCTTACACTCAGTATGAAAAACCATCTATAATGTACAAACTACATGCTTACTTACTTTTTATTAAATTCAGTGTGATAAGTGCTATAATTAGCACATGGACAAGATACTTAGGAACATAGAGGTTGAAATAATTAACTTGGACTAGAGGAGTCAATTGAGAGGGGCTTAAGATGCTTCTGAATTTCTGTTATGAGAAATATTATAAAGTGTTGTCCATACAAGTGACAGATGTAATATCACCCCAGCATTTCCCTTCTAGTTCAAGGAAGGTCAATTTTGTTAATGTGTCAGCTATGATTTTTGAGGCTAATATCAGAAAAATCTGCAGTTGTTGTTGTTGTTGTTGAGATGAAGTCTCAATCTGTCACCCCGGCTGGAGTGCAGTAGCACGATCTTGGCTCAGTGTGAGCTCCATCTCCCAGGTTCAAGCGATTCTCCTGCCTCAGCCTCCCCAGTAGATGGTATCGCAGGCATGCGCCAGCAGGCCAGCTAATTTTTTTTTGTATTTTTAGTAGAGCTGGGGTTTCACCATGTTGGCCAGGCTGGTCTCGAACTCCTGATGTGTCCAACACATCAGATAATCAGTCTCTAGTCTCCGGAGCTATGTTAGATGGAGAGGTGACAACAGTAAAGATATGCAGGGCATTGCAGTGAATAATTTCTTCCTGACTGGCGGATTGCCAGCTCTTCTAAATATTAAGCAGGTTATAATCTGAATCCTCCAAACCCTTCTGAATTTTTGAGCTCTAGCTAACTTTCTGCTATTTTGGTTTGTCCAATGCTTTCTATTAATTTAAAGAGTAATTTTATTTGGACTTTGCTTATATGCGATTTCACAGCCACTTTTCTTTCGTCTTTTTTAAGCAAATTTTAATTTGAGAAAGTAGTAATTGATGAAAATGAATGGAGGAGCAAATGTGGAAATCCAGAAACTGGCCCATATGTATGACAGGTGGCAGAGAAAAGCCAGACTGAAATTGAAAAGAGGATACAGATAATCCACAGAGATAAATAAGAAATTTTAGAATAAGGAAAATTTAGTCTTTGAAACCATTTCCAGGAATAATATTAATAATATTTTACTTGTATATAACTTATAAAATGTTTTGCATGGTTATATCATTTGACATCTATGATAATACTATAAGACAGTCATTATGCTCATTTAAAAATGAAGAAATCAAGGATAAAAGAGTCTAAGTGATTTACCAAAATTCACAGAACTAAAATTGTCCCACAACAATGACTTAAACTCCAGTCATCTGATTTCAAGGATATGCTTATATCATTACACCCCAGTGATAAAATAAGCACCATGTGATCATATCTATAATGTTGAAATTGAAGTGAAAAAAATTCATTCTGGCTTCCTAATGACTTGCAGTGGGTAGTTTAGTTTTCAAAGCCGCATACCACCTACTCCTTGATACTACAAAAATGTGTCAGCTGTTTAAGCATCCTAAATGGTTAAAAAAATCCTAAAGCCCCATAAATGGAAAAGTCCCCTTTATCTAGGGGCCTCGTATATTCTATGTTGTGCTAGAAACATACACTTCAACAGCCATAATTATGTTTTAACCAAACCCTTAGAGAAGAAAAAGTCATGGCAAAGGTGAAAGATCGGTGCTGGGAGTAGTTGGGCAGTACACCCCACTAGGCAACCATATCGGTGCTATTTATCTCATTTCTAATGGATTATTTTTATGCATGTTTGTATACATGCCTGTGAGTTTATGCATACGTGAAGCTGAGGGAAACACTTTGTTCAAAAATGCATAATGATTGTATAGAATCTCTGAGATGGAAGAAACCTTAGAGATCATGAAAGAATACAGATTAGAAACTTTCCTCCTTTCAAAGACAAACCATTTTAAAAATAGTCTAATTATTTTAAACTGTATACTAAGTTTAAAATCTATCTCTGTGTAATCCAATTGTCCCAGTTTGGCCCTAGAGGGCTTTACACTCTGTTGACAATTCTTCAAATATGTGAAGATTGTTATCATTCATTGCCCCTTATAAGCCTTGTCTTCCTCAAGGAAAATATTTATAGTTCTTTCAATCACTCCACATATGAAATAACTGCCCTTATATTTATGTACTCCATATTGTTGCAGACCCCTTCAAATGTGGCATTTATCCCAGTGACAACCACACAGATGTGTTCATTCTGACGCAGCATTTAGTGGAAGGATGACTTAACTTATTTAAATGCATTTAGCTCTTGGGAGAGCTATGCCTCAGTGCTAATGCTTATTGGATTTATTCTTAAAGGAATCTATATCCTTAGTATGTGAACTGCTAAGTCATTTTATACTTGCAGAGTACTTTTGAGCTTAAAGTCACTTTCCATTTAATATTTTTAAATTTCCATCTTTATAATTTCAGCTCACGATTTTAGTCTGCCCAGTTTTTCTGTAATTTCACTTCTCTTATCTTGTGAAGTCACTTCCCTGCTCACATTTGTGTCATCCACAAAATTGATGAGGACACATTTTCTATCTTTGCTTTTTGCGGTACATGGGGTAGTACCCAAGTGAAGCCTTTATTGGCCTTACCTGAATAAACAACCATGTAAGGTTGCAGGCAAGATATGAATCAAAGCTTTACAGGTAATATTGTTTAAGCAACATCAAATCCATCTTATGGTACTGTCTTCTGGACCAAATTATCTTTCATTTTACTAATTAGTGTGCTAGTGCCTTTGTCTAACACTAACCACTCTCCTATTGTTTGATAATGTCATGGTCATATTCTTTTAAAGTGTGACAGTTTCATTTAGCAATATGTTTTCTTAGCTAGAAAGTATATTTCCCAGCCTCCTTTGTAATTTGTGTGGCCATGTTACTATGTCTGGTCAATGGGATGAGAGTCAAATCATCTATATATTTTCCTTCTCTTCCCACTTACTGGGAGATGACAAGTGAAGCAGTTCCCTTGGACCTGATAGAAGCCGCATATCAATTACGGAAGTCTTTATTGCCTTCTACTGTCTATTTCCACATTTTTAGGCAACTTTAATACAGCTGCTTATATCACAGATAGCAGGTGAGAGAGAAGAATGATCAAGTGTTTGATATGTGTACTATTTCTTTATCTTCCAATATAGCAATTTTATCATTCAATAATAATTTATGCCAACAAATACTTCTTTTTTTCCTAAGTTCATATCAGATGGATAATGCATCAACATCATAACAAGGTTGGAGGGAAGCACATCTCACAATAAATGTGAAAACCCTATCATCCTGTTTATGAACTACAAAAGGATCAATAGGTACTTCTCTTACATGTGGATACTTTAGAAAGTGTTATCTATCAGTCATTCGTAATCTGATGTATAGGAATATAATCATAGAACACAATAAACATATTGTTGACAATAGCAGAGCTCAGAATAATCAGAATTTAGACTGTGGATGAGTTGGATGAACAGCAGATATTTAGTTTTGGAGAATAGAGTACTTGGTTAAGAGTGTCATTAGGTGAAATTAGTAGATTTGCATAGCTGTAAATAGGCCACTATCAGGGCCCTGTGTGATTGAATGAAAAATAAAAAGGCCAAAGTTCAGAAAAATAAAAATTAGCAGGATCAAAAGTTAACTCTGGTTCTTTTGCAGTTTTGATCAGAGATCTACTTGTATGCATTGCATTTTTGGATCACATTCTACATATAGGGAAACATAGGTCACCAAAGCCTAGTTTTGGCTTTTTGCGGCACAAGGGGTAGTGCCTAATGAGAGCCATAAGGAAAATCTCGCAGGCTAGAAACATTAGTCAACCCCAACTCAGCCCAGGCCCTTTGTCTAGTAGACATACAGTGGTGTCTACTCTATACCAGAATTTACAGTTTGAATTTAAAGAAGGATAAGGAGAGAGAGGGAAACAAAACAAAACAAAAACAGAATAACAACAGAAACAATGAACAGAGGGAAGGAATATTTACCAGACACTGCTATTGGAAGGAAATTCACATTATTTTGTTTATATGACTCCTCACCTTGATTCTACTTCTCCATTTCCTCTTCTCTATTTTAATAAAGATAGGCCTTTCAGGTTTCTCTTTTTAGTGACCTATGAAACTTATTCTGATGTATGTTAATGAAAAAGTTGTTGCTTGAAGTGTTGAAGTTATTTTAGTGCACTTCTGACAATGAATGCTATTTTTCAATAGAAAGAGAATTTGCAATTATGAAATTAGAATAAGCAAGCAGACAATGCCATTTTATCCTAATAGTGACATGTAATATATTACCATGCTAAAAGTCACCAGTATCAACACGTCACTTTGAAAGAATGAAGGTGCGTGGTTGAACTAGAAGCAAAATAAATTTTACATGAAATATAGGATTTTCCTCCCCTCATCCCCACTTGCTCTCTGTCTTTCCTGAAAGCATCTGCTGTTGAAAGAGCTTGCCAAAAATGTCACTGCCAGATTTTGCTGGACATGGGCTCTGATCATTTCCAAATGATAGAAAATCAGCTGTGGGATTTAGGCTCTAAGTAATCATTAACCATAGGCCCTGCATTGACTGGGTGGAAAATATAATGTTCTTAATCTGCCTGATCGGAAAGGTCAAGCTGTGCCACATGCTGCCTGCTCCCAAGGATTCAATACCAGCCACAATGACTACAACAATAAGACAGCTTTGCCCTAAAAGATAACACATTCCGTTCCCGGTGGTTAGAAGTACAAGCACCCAAGTGCATATTCTTCATGTTAGAGCTAAGGCATCAATAGTACTTTTTTCATAGAGAAGAAAACCATGGGGAAAGACTCAAACATTAGCTTTAGGAAATAAAAGAAATGATGGTGCTGGCATCAGTCAGTACAGAAGTCACAGTTTTGTTTTTTTTTTTCTGTCTCTTCTAATTGAATGTCTGCCTTTGTAAGATATTCATGTATTCTCCAGGTGAAAAGGTTGCCCAAATTCTTCCCAATATATCCTTCAAACATTTATTAAACTGATGGTATTCAAAGACCAGAATTTACTTAAAACTTCTATTTCAATAGCTATTGCTGTCAAAGTATCTAAGTGCATGGTTCTTTTGTTGGAACTCAGATATTTGTCATTATAGATATAATGAATCAGGACTTCTGGCTTGTAGTTCAGGATGTGAGGAGCTTAGGAGTCACAACCTCATCCTAACAAGAAGCAGAAAGCTGAACAAACTGAAAAATTAACAACTCTTCTTAGATCTTTCAGGGAAGTGATCACACAGGGTGAACTGCTACCCCTAAAATGGAAGAAACAGAAAGGTGGCTGCAGAGAATCACAACTTTCCAGAGCGGAAGGCCATGAGTAGAATCCTCCAAAGGAACCAAAGCTGGTGTAGGAAAACCTGAAGTATAATTGAAAAATTACCCTGGAGGCTCAGTGTAGACAAATCTAAGAGATAAAAACACTAGGGGAATTCAGGGGTGTGTGTGTGTGTATGAAAGAGAGAGAGAGAGAGAGAGAGAGAGAGACTTTGTGAGTTTTATTTCCAGGAGCTCTACCAGGTCCTCACAGTGAAGATCAGAGAAAAATTCCCTTGTGCTTCTGGCATGGGGAGTAGAAAAGAAACCATTTTGAAATACATCAGAGCATCCTGTTCTTAACAAGTCCTGTCCTCAGGAGAAACTATTTTATCAGAGCCTAACATAGGGCAGGGAAATCCAACTTCCAGCCAGCCCCCTCTAGGCATTCTGTCCCACCTGAAGCAAGATGAAGACTGAGAAGGGGTACAGCCTCCACAAAAAAAACTGAGACCTAATCTTAGGACTATAGAATGCGTCTCCTTCCCTGACATCTTACCACTAAATTACTAAAGGCAATTTACTGCAGTTCCTTTTACCTAGTATTTTGTGTCCACTCTTGACAAAAGATTATAATGCATTATAAACACACAGAAGAAACTGAAAAAGCGTCAGAATCTGAGTCACATATGGCAGTCGTATTGGAATTATTGGACCAGGAGTTTTTTTAAAAAAACTATGATTAAATATGCTAAGGACTTTAATGGAAGAAGTAGACAACATGCAGGAACACATAGATAATGTCAGCAGAGAGATGAAAATTCTTTTTTTTTCTTTTTTTAAATTTATTATTATTATACTTTAAGTTTTAGGGTACATGTGCACAAGAGAGAGATGGAAATTCTAAGAAAGGATCACCTATGCATATACTCCTTGTATCTAAAATAAAAGTTGAAATTACAAAAAGAAAAAAAACGCTAGCGATAGAATAAAAATGTAACAAGATGAAGAATGCCTTTGATGGGCTCATTAGCATATTGGACATGGCTGAGGGAAGAATCTCTGAGCTAAAGGATAGGACAATAGAAACCTCCAAAACTGAAAGGCAAAGTGAAAAAACAAGAACAGAATAAGAACTGAACAGAATATGAATGGAAACAAGAACTGTGGAACAACTACAAATGATGAAATGAGAGAAAACGAGAAAGGAACGGAAACAATATTTGAGGCAATAATGACTGAGGCTTTCCTCAATTTAATGTCAGGCACCAAACACAGATGCAGGAAGCTCAGAGAACACAAAGCAGGATAAATCAAACAAACAGACAAACAAACAAACAAAAAAATAAAACTCAAAGATCAAAAAACCTCAACTACCTAGACTTACTATATTTAAGCTTTAGAAAATCAGAGATAAATTAAAAAAAAAAAACCTTGAAAGAAGCCAGGGAGAAAAATACCTTAACTACAGAGGAGCAAAGATAAGAATTATATCTGACTATGCATAAACCATGCAAGTAAGAAGAGAGTGGATTGAAACATTTAACGTGGTGAGAGAGAAAACTACCAACCTAAAGTTAGGTACTCTGAAAAATTACTCTTTAAAAGTGGAGGAGAAATAAGGATTATGTCAGACAAAGATTGAGGGAATTTTTTGCCTGTAGACCTGCCTTGGAAGAAATATTAAACAGACTTATTCAAAGAGAAGGAAAATGGTATGTCAGAAATTTGTATCTACGTAAAGAAAGGAAGATCATCAAATAATGAATAAGTGAAGGTAAATGAAAACTTTTATCTTTCTTTTCTTAACTAATCTAGCAGAAAACAGTTTGCTTCAAATATAACACTATTTGATTATGCATGCAAACATGTATATAATATATAACATATACATTCAAGTGAAATAAATACCAGCAATAATACAAGAGATAAGAGTGATAAATGAAGAATATTTAATTATTAGAGGCTACTTGAACAACCCATGAAGTAGTATAGTGTTATTTGAAACTGGACGTGGATTAGTTGTAAATGTGATAGGGAAATCACTAAAAAACATTTTTAAAAAGGGGACAATTTATACACTAAGAAAGAAGAGAAAATAAAATCATATAAAATGCTCAATTAAAATAACAAAAGAGCCTGGGAAACCAACTGAGAACTTGTCTTTACACAAAATTTTAAAAAATAGCCAGGTGTGGTAGTGTATACCTGTAGTCCCAGCTACTTGGGAGGCTGAAGTGGAAGGATCACTTGAGCCCAGGAGTTAAAGGCTGCAGTGAGCTGTGATCATGCCACTGTACTCCAGCCGAGGTGACAGAGTGAGGCCCTTTCTGGGGAAAAAAAAAAAAAAAAAAAAGCAAAAGTTAGAAAAAGTGTAAATGACAAAAATAGGAGAAAAGAACAAGGGCAACAAATGGAAAACAGTAACAAATATGGTAGATATTAGTCCAACTATATCAATAATCTCTTTAAACATCAATGGCCTGAATAAGCCATTTAAATGACAGAGATTGTTAGAGTAGATTAAAAAAAAACAAGACCCAACTGTATGTTGTCTATAAGAAATCCACATTAAATATAAAGATACATATAGATTAAAAGTAAAAGGATGGAGAGAGAGATATTATGTTAACATTAATAAAGTGGTCATAGCTATATTAACTTTAGACAGCTGACTTCATGGAAAGTTATCAAGGATAAAAAGGGCATTATATAATGATAAAGGGGTCAATACTTCAAGAAGACAAAACAATTCTTAACGTGTAGGTGCCTAACATAGAGCATCAACATATGTGAGACAAAAAATGAGAGAACTGCATGGAGAAATAGATTAATCCATTATTATAGATGAAGACTTTAAGACCCCTATCTGGGGGAGGCCGAGGTGGGGGAATCACGAGGTCAGGAGATCCAGACCATCCTGGCTAACACGGTGAAACCCCTACTCTACTAAAAAAAATACAAATAATTAGCTGGGCGTAGTGGCACACGCCTGTAGTCCCAGCTACTTGGGAGGCTGAGGCGTGAGAATCGCTTGAACCTGGGAGGCAGAGGTTGCAGTGAGCCGAGATTGTGCCACTGCACTCCAGCTTGGGCAACAGAGCAAGACTCTGTCTCAAAACAAACAAACAAACAAACAAACAAACAAACAAACACCCTATCTGGCAGGCAAAAGAATCATTAAGGGCATAGTTGAACTCAAAAGTACTAACAACCAGCTGGATATAATTGACATCTGTAGACAGCATTATCAAACAACAGTAGAATACACATTCTTCTCAAACTCATAGAGAACACTTACCAAGACAGACAATTTCCTGGGTCATAAAACACGTTTAACAAATGTAAAAGAATAGAAAACCTACAATATCTGCTCTCAGACCACAGTAAAGTTAAATTACAATTCAAGAATAGGAAGATGGTTGGAAAATTCCAAAATTCTTGAAGATTAAACAACACACTTCTAAGTAACATGTGGGTCAAAAAAGAAATCTCAAGAGAAATTAAAAATAAATGAAAACACAAATTATCAATATTTGTGAAATGTGGCAAAAGCAGTGCTTAGACAGAAATTTATAGCATGAAAGAAAGTTCTAAAATTAATAATCTAAACTTTCACCTTAGGAAAACTAGAAAAAGAAGAGCAAATTAAATTCAAAATAAGCAGAAGAAAAGAAATAATTTGAAAAATAGAGCACAAATCAATAAAATGGAAAACAGGAAATTCATACAGAAAGTCAATAAGACTAAAAGCTGGTTCTTTGAAAAGACCAATAAAATTGACAAGTTTATAGCCAGGATAACTAAGGAAAAAAGCAAGAAGACACAAATTACTAATATCAGAAATGGAAGAGGAGACATACAGATCATATGGACATTAAAAGGATAATAAAGGCATATTATGAACAAAGCCCATGCCCACAAATTTGATAATCTAGGTGAAATTGATCATGTTTTTGAAAGACACAACTTGCCAAAACTCACACAAGAATAAATAGACAATCTAAATAGATCTGAATATATTTGTTAAAGAAACTTAATCAATAATTAACTATCTTCCAAAATGCAAGCACCAAGATGGATTCACTGGTGAAAACTACCAAATGTTTAAGGAAGAAATTATACCAATTCTCTGAAATCTCTTCCAGAAGATATAAGCAAGGAAATACTTCCTATCTCATTCTATGAGCTCAGCACTCCCCTATATCAAAATCAAACAAATACATTAAAAGAAAATAAAACTATAGACCAATGTCTCTCATGAACATAGATGCAAAAATTCTCAAAAAATTATAAGCATATCAAATCCAACAATGTAAAAAAACAAAAGAATTATACAACATGACCAAGTGGGATTTATTGCAGGAATGTAAGTCTATTTGAACATTTCAAAAATCAATTAATATAATTATCATATTAACAGGCTATAGAAAACAAAATCATATGAAGATATAAATAGATGCAGAACAAACATGTAACAAACACCAATACCCATTTATGGTTAAAAATTCTCAGTAAACTAGGAGTAGAGGGGCATAGCCTCAACTTCTAAAAACAACATTTCTAAAAATCCTACAGCTAACATTATACTTAATGGTGAAAAATTTGAAGTTTTCCCTTCAAGAGCAGGAATACGGCAAAGATATCCTCTCTCACCACTGCTTTTTAACATCATAATGAAAGTCCTAGATAATGCAGTGAGACAAGATTTTTTAAAAAGTATAGATTTGAAAGGAAGAAATCAAGCTTTGTTTGCAGGTAACATGACTGTATATAGAAAATTCAAAAGAGTCAACAAGAAAAAACCCTCCTAGAACTAATAAGCAATTTTAGCAACATTGCAGTATACAAGGTTAAAGTCAATTTTTTTCTTATATACCAGCAATGAACAAGTAGAATTTGAAATTAAAAACACATTAACATTTATAGTAATATCTCCAAAATAAAATACTTAGATATAAACCTAATTAAATATGCATAAGGTTTCTAAAAGGAAAACTAAAAGTTCATTAAATATATCAAAGAACTAAAAGGAGAGATATTCCATGTTCATAGATAGGAAGACCCAGTATTGTCAAGATATCAGTTCTTCCCAACTTGACATATAGATACAATGTAATCTCAATCAAAATCTCAGAAAGCAATTTTGTGGGTATCAATAATCTGATTCTAAATTTTATGTGGAAATACTGCCCCAGAATAGCCAGCTCAATATTGAAGAATAACAAAATCAGAGGGCTGACAATACACAGCTCCAAGAATAAAAAACTACAGCAATCAAGACAGTGTGGTATTGGCAAAAGAACAGACAAATAGATCAATGGCACAGAATAGAGATCCGGAAATAGACCCACATAAATATAGTCAACTGATCTTTGACAAAAGAACAAAGGCAATAAAGTGGAATAGATAGTATTTTCAACAAATGGTACTGAAATGACTGGGCATCCACATGTAAAACAATAAATCTAGACCTGACACCCTTCACAGAAATTAACTCAAAACAGTTCATAAACCAAAATATAAAACTCAGAGCTGTAAAATTTCTAGGAGACAACATGGGAGAAAACCTAGGTGACCTTGAATATGACAATGACTGTTTAGATACAACACCAAAGACACTATTCATCAATGAAAGCATTGATAAGTGGGACTTCATTAAAATTAAAAATTCCTGTCCTGGAAAAGACAAGCAAGTATGAAAAGTCACAGACTAAAAGAAAATATTTGCAAAAGGCACATCTGGTAAAGGACTGTTAGCCAAAATAAAAAAGGAACTTTTAAAACTCAAAAATAAGAAAGTGAACAATCTAATTTTTAAAATGGGCCAAAGATCTTGACAGATATCTAAACAAAGAAGACATACAGATAGCAAGTAAGTATATGAAAAGATGTTCAACATTATATGTCATTAGAGAATTGCATATTAACATGACAGTGAGATACCACTACACACTTATTAGAATGATTAAAATCCCAAATTTTGACAACATTAAATGCTAATGAGGATGGAACAGGAACTCTCATTCACTGCTGATGGAAATGCAAAATGATATAGCCACCGTGGAAAAGTTTGACAGTTTCTTATGGAACTAACCATATGATTCGGCAATTGTGAACTTTGGTTATCTACCCAAATGAGTTGAGAACTTATGTCTACATCAAACTCTGTATATAAATATTTATAGCAGCTCTATTTATAATTGCCAAAAACTTGGAAGCAACAAAGATGTCTTTCAGTAGTTGAGTGGATAAATAAACCTTGGTACAAGCAGACAATGGAGTATTATTCAGTGCTAAAAAGAAATGAGATAATCAAGCCATGAAAAGAGGTCTAAGAAACGTAAATGCACATTACTAAGTGAAAAAAGCTGAATAATTAGATTGGCATTGTTTCAAGCAGCACCATGAACATGGTTTCTGGCACATCAAATGGCATTAAATACATCTTTATTGAACTAAATGATCATTTCAGAGAAATAGACGGTCCCAAGAAGGCTTATGGTTACTTTGATCATAAATTTGAGGTTTTCTGAGCAGACTATCAAGTGACAAGCAAAAGATTAAAGCTCAGATGCACATGATGAAAAGTCTTCCTTTGAAAAATAAATTCAGTCACTGCTGGATCAATTCAGTTCTCTACTGTGCTAGCATATCATTTCCTTCATCAAAATGCTGCTGATAGGTTTTGTTCACCCAACAGATTATCAGGATACCCGGCCTTTTCAAATCATACACCACCTATAATGTGATACTATTTTCTTTTTTTTTTTTTTTTTTTTTGAGACGAGTCGCTCTGTCGCCCAGGCTGGAGTGCAGTGGCGCCATCCCGGCTCACTGCAAGCTCCGCCTCCCGGGTTCACGCCATTCTCCTGCCTCAGCCTCCAGAGCAGCTGGGACTACAGGCGCCCGCCACCACGCCCGGCTAATTTTTTGTATTTTTAGTAGAAACGGGGTTTCACCGTGTTAGCCAGGATGGTCTTGATCTCCTGACCTCGTGATCCGCCCGCCTCCGTCTCCCAAAGTGCTGGGATTACAGGCAGGAGCCACCGCGCTCAGCCAATGTGATACTATTTTCAACATACTGAGGAAAATGGAGTGGCTGCTAAAGGAGGTGACTCTTCTTTCTTTGTGGAGCACAACTTTACAGGTGTTCCTCATTTCCCTGAAGATGCTAGGTACATGTGGTATTTTTTTGTATATGTGCAGCTGGTGGGTTTTATCCTATCTTCCTTAACAATATCATTTTAGTTTCATTACATTGAAATAATAGCATTCACTTGGATGTGCCCATGTATTCTGATAGGTGCTGGAGATAAAGAGAAGCAAGGCATTGTCCCTGGTATCAAACAGCTCACAATCTCATTAAGGAAATAGAACTGTAATCTACAATTAAAGTGCAGGAAATGAATTAAGAGACCCTGTTTCTTCAGGGGCCATTTCAATTTCTTATATATGTGAAAATGTGCAGATGATGTTATCACTAAATGTCAATAGAAAGAAAAGACTGACCAGAAAAAGAACCAGAAAAACGATACCTCTTTGCTGTATTAAACAAGATTTACTTGTCTAAAAGAAACATAAGGAAATCACAATTAAGATACAGTCATATATAGCATAGCGATGATTTGATCAATGATAGACCAAATACATGACATTGGTCCAATAAAATTATAATGGAGCTGCCCTATACAGGTGTATCATTTGAAATCTTTTTATACCATATTTTGACTGTACCTTTGCTTTGCTTTGCGTAGCTATGTTTAAATACACAAATACTTACCATTGTGTTACAATTGCCTACAAAATTCAGTAGAGTAACATGCTGAACAGGTTTGCAGTCTATAAACAGGCTATATGTTATAGCCTAGAAGTGTAGTAGGCTATACCATCTAGGTTTGTATAAATACACTCTATGATATTTGCGCAGTGACAAAATTGCCTAATGGTCCGTTTCTCAGAATGTATCCCTGTCAATAAAGGATGCATCACTGTATATAAGAGAGAGATCATAAATAGCCTCACTTATAGGTAGAGATTTGGGCATGATAACTTCTGCAAGATATTCAAGATAGAGCCTAATTCCCCTCCCTTTGAATGTGGGCTGGTTTTGATGACTTTCCTAGTTACTAATGCAATATGATAGGGCAAGCTCATAAGAAGCCATGTACCTTCTGACCAAGCCTCCTAAACCTTTCTTCTTGGAGCTCGGCTTTCAATGCTATGAGGAAAATCCCCAGCCTGCAGCACTGACTGAATTCCCAGCTAACTGCCAACTGCAACTTGCCAACCATGTGCATTTTGGAAATAGATCCTTAAGTCCCAGTCAAGCCATTTCGGCTGATGCTCATAGAGATGAGCCACCTTACGAAGTCCTGCCCTAATTACAGACTCATGAGCAAAATAAATGATTGATGTTGCTTTAAGCCACAAAGTTTTGGGATTTTTTTTTTAATGTAGCATAAGTAGCTGGAATGACTTCTAAGCAAAGCTTATTGTAAACATAACTTTCTACTTCCAGGTTGACCCTTATTTATGTAAAATTGAAGTAGTCCAGTATACATCCTTGCCAGGACATATGCTGGAGCATGCACTAGACCAGGTTCACCAACTTATAAGAGGTGACGGTTATTAGATAACCTTGAAAGTCATGCTTTAGGGCTTATTCCACAGTTTCAGGTAAAAAAATCTCCCATTAATTGACATAATTTGGGTATCCTTCAAGTAAGACAGAGTTACCACTGCCAAAGACTTGGCTTCATTGAAGCCAAGCCCTAAAGCCTCTTTTGGGCCAGGTGCAGTGGCTCACACCTGTAATCCCAGGTCTTTGGGACGCTGAGGCAGGAGGATCACTTGAGGCCAGGAGTTGAGGATCACTTGAGGCCAAGGATCACTTGAGGCCAGGAGAAGACCAGCCTGGACTACATAGGGAGACCCTATCTCTACTAAAAGAAAAAAAAATTAGCCAGTCATGGTGGCATGCACCTATAGTCCTAGCTACCTGGGAGGCTAAGGCAGAAGGACCTTCTGAGCCCAGGAATTTGGGGTTGCAGTGAGCTCTGATTGCACCACTGCATGACAGTCTGGGTGACAGCGGAAAAAATAAAGTATCATTTGCAGTGATCTTCAAGTCTGGAACTCCACTTTTAGCCACCACTTTATGCACTTCTGTAATCATTTTAAATATGGAGCAATAGATGACTTATTTTATTCACTGGCAGGCCTTTTATGAGGGTAACCAAGAAATAGTACCAAGATGAAGCAATAGAAAACATCATTTTAGAGACAAGATATTGTACCTAATAATTGTCTTTTCTTTCAACATTATCCTGCTGTGTCTCATTTCTATTCATTTTTTTTACCTTTTTTTAAATTTTTTATTATTAAACTTTAAGTTTTAGGGTACATGTGCACAATGTGCAGGTTAGTTACATATGTATACATGTGCCATGCTGGTGTGCTGCACCCATTAACTAATCATTTAGCATTAGGTATATCTCCTAATGCTATCCCTCCCCCCTCCCCCGACCCCACAACAGTCCCCAGAGTGTGATGTTCCCCTTCCTGTGTCCATGTGTTCTCATTGTTCAGTTCCCATCTATGAGTGAGAACATGCGGTGTTTGGTTTTTTGTCCTTGCGATAGTTTACTGAGAATGATTATTTCCAATTTCATCCATGTCCCTACAAAGGACATGAACTCATTATTTTTTATGGCTGCATAGTATTCCATTGTGTATATGTGCCACATTTTCTTAATCCAATCTATCATTGGTGGACATTTGGGTTGGTTCCAAGTCTTTGCTATTGTGAATAGTGCCACAATAAACATACGTGTGCATGTGTCTTTATAGCAGCATGATTTATAGTCCTTTGGGTACATACCCAGTAATGGGATGGCTGGGTCAAATGGTATTTCTAGTTCTAGATCCCAGAGGAATCGCCACACTGACTTCACAATGGTTGAACTAGTTTACAGTCCCACCAATAGTGTAAAAGTGTTCCTATTTCTCCACATCCTCTCCAGCACCTGTTGTTTCCTGACTTATTAATGATTGCCATTCTAACTGGTGTGAGATGGTATCTCATTGTGGTTTTGATTTGCATTTCTCTGATGGCCAGTGATGATGAGCATTTTTTCATGTGTCTTTTGGCTGCATAAATGTCTTCTTTTGAGAAGTGTCTGTTCATATCCTTTGCCCACTTTTTGATAGGGCTGTTTGTTTTTTTCTTGTAAATTTGTTTGAGTTCCTTGTAGATTCTGGATATTAGCCCTTTGTCAGATGAGTAGGTTGCAAAAATTTTCTCCCATTTTGTAGGTTGCCTGTTCACTCTGATGGTAGTTTCTTTTGCTGTGCAGAAGCTCTTTAGTTTAATTAGATCCCATTTGTCAATTTTGGCTTTTGTTGCCATTGTTTTGGTGTTTTAGACATGAAGTCCTTGCCCATGCCTATGTCCTGAATGGTATTGCCTAGGTTTTCTTCTAGGGTTTTTAGGGTTTTAGGTCTAACGTTTAAGTCTTTAATCCATCTTGAATTCATTTTTGTATAAGGTGTAAGGAAGGGATCCAGTTTCAGCTTTCTACATATGGCTAGCCAGTTTTCCCAGCACCATTTATTAAATAGGGAATCCTTTCCCCACTGCTTGTTTTTCTCAGGTTTGTCAAAGATCAGATAGTTGTAGATATGCGGCATTATTTCTGAGGGCTCTGTTCTGTTCCATTGATCTATATCTCTGTTTTGGTACCAGTACCATGCTGTTTTGGTGACTGTAGCCTTGTAGTATAGTTTGAAGTCAGGTAGTGTGATGCCTCCAGCTTTGTTCTTTTGGCTTAGGATTGACTTGGTAATGTGGGCTCTTTTTTGGTTCCATATGAACTTTAAAGTAGTTTTTTCCAATTCTGTGAAGAAAGTCATTGGTAGCTTGATGGGGATGGCATTCAATCTGTAAATTACCTTGGGCAGTATGGCCATTTTCATGATATTGATTCTTCCTACCCATGAGCATGGAACATTCTTCCATTTGTTTGTATCCTCTTTTACTTCATTGAGCAGTGGTTTGTAGTTCTCCTTGAAGAAGTCCTTCACATACCTTGTAAGTTGGATTCCTAAGTATTTTATTCTCTTTGAAGCAATTGTGAATGGGAGTTCACTCATGATTTGGCTCTCTGTTTGTCTGTTATTGGTGTATAAGAATGCTTGTGATTTTTGTGCATTGATTTTGTATCCTGAGACTTTGCTGAAGTTGCTTATCAGCTTAAGGAGATTTTGGGCTGAGACAATGGGGTTTTCTAGATATACAATCATGTCGTCTGTAAACAGGGACAATTTGACTTCCTCTTTTCCTAATTGAAAACCCTTTATTTCCTTCTCCTGCCTAATTGCCCGGGCCAGAACTTCCAACACTATGTTGAATAGGAGTGGTGAGAGAGGGCATCCCTGTCTTGTGCCAGTTTTCAAAGGGAATGCTTCCAGTTTTTGCCCATTCAGTATGATATTGGCTGTGGGTTTGTCATAGATAGCTCTTATTATTTTGAGATACGTCCCATCAATACCTGATTTATTAAGAGGTTTTAGCATGAAGCGTTGTTGAATTTTGTCAAAGGCCTTTTCTGCATCTATTGAGATAATCATGTGTTTTTTGTCTTTGTTTCTGTTTATATACTGGATTACATTTATTGATTTGCATATATTGAACCAGCCTTGCATCCCAGGGATGAAGCCCACTTGATCATGGTGGATAAGCTTTTTGATGTGCTGCTGGATTTGGTTTGCCAGTATTTTATTGAGGATTTTTGCATCAATGTTCATCAAGGATATTGGTCTAAAATTCTCTTTTTTGGTTGTGTCTCTGCCCAGCTTTGGTATCAGGATGATTCTGGCCTCATAAAATGAGTTAGGGAGGATTCCCTCTTTTTCTATTGATTGGAATAGTTTCAGAAGGAATGGTACCAGTTCCTCCTTGTACCTCTGGTAGAATTCGGCTGTGAATCCATCTGGTCCTGGACTCTTTTTGGTTGGTAAGCTGTTGATTATTGCCACAATTTCAGATCCTGTTATTGGTCTATTCAGAGATTCAACTTCTTCCTGTTTTAGTTTTGGGAGAGTGTATGTGTCGAGGAATTTATCCATTTCTTCCAGATTTTCTAGTTTATTTGCGTAGCAGTGTTTGTAGTATTCTCTGATGGTAGTTTGTATTTCTGTGGGATTGGTGGTGATATCCCCTTTATCATTTTTTATTGCGTCTATTTGATTCTTCTCTCTTTTTTTCTTTATTAGTCTTGCTAGCGGTCTATCAATTTTGTTGATTCTTTCAAAAAACCAGTTCCTGGATTCATTAATTTTTTGAGGGGTTTTTTGTTTATCTATTTCCTTCAATTCTGCTCTGTTCTTAGTTATTTCTTGCCTTCTGCTAGTTTTTGAATGTGTTTGCTCTTGCTTTTCTAGTTCTTTTAATTGTGATGTTAGGGTGTCAATTTTGGATCTTACCTGCTTTCTCCTGTGGGCATTTAGTCCTATCAATTTCCCTCTACACACTGCTTTGAATGTGTCCCAGAGATTCTGGTATATTGTGTCTTTGTTCTCGTTGGTTTCAAAGAACATCTTTATTTCTGCCTTCATTTCGTTATGTACCCAGTAGTCATTCAGGAGCAGGTTGTTCAGTTTCCATGTAGTTGAGTGGTTTTGAGTGAGTTTCTTAAATCTGAGTTCTAGTTTGATTGCACTATGGCCTGACAGAGAGTTTGTTATAATTTCTGTTCTTTTACATTTGCTGAGGAGAGCTTTACTTCCAACTATGTGGTCAATTTTGGAATAGGTGTGGTGTGGTGCTGAAAAAAATGTATATTCTGTTGATTTGGGGTGGAGAGTTCTGTAGATGTCTACTAGGTCCGCTTGGTGCAGAGCTGAGTTCAATTCCTGGGTATCCTTGTTAACTTGCTGTCTCGTTGATCTGTCTAATGTTGACAGTGGGGTGTTAAAGTCTCCCATTATTATTGTGTGGGAGTCTAAGTCTCTTTGTAGGTCACTCAGGACTTGCTTTATGAATCTGGGTGCTCCTGTATTGGGTGCATATATATTTAGGATAGTTAGCTTTTCTTGTTGAATTGATCCCTTTACCATTATTTAATGGCCTTCTTTGTCTCTTTTGATCTTTGTTGGTTTAAAGTCTGTTTTCTCAGAGACTAGGATTGCAACCCCTGCCTTTTTTTGTTTTCCACTTGCTTGGTAGATCTTCCTCCATCCTTTTATTTTGAGCCTATGTGTGTATCTGCATGTGAGATGGGTTTCCCGAATAAAGCACACTGATGGGTCTTGACTCTTTATCCAATTTGCCAGTCTGTGTCTTTTAATTGGAGCATTTAGTCCATTGATATTTAAAGTTAATATGGTTATTCGTGAATTTGATCCTGTCATTATGACGTTAGCTGGTTATTTTGCTCGTTAGTTGCAGTTTCTTCCTAGTCTCGATGGTCTTTACATTTTGGCATGATTTTGCAGCGGCTGGTACCGGTTGTTCCTTTCCATGTTTAGTGCTTCCTTCAGGAGCTCTTTTAGGGCAGGCCTGGTGGTGACAAAATCTCTCAGCATTTCCTGGTCTGTAAAGGATTTTATTTCTCCTTCACTTATGAAGCTTAGTTTGGCTGGGTATGAAATCCTGGGTTGAAAATTCTTTTCTTTAAGAATGTTGAATATTGGCCCCCACTCTCTTCTGGCTTGTAGAGTTTCTGCCGAGAGATCTGCTGTTAGTCTGATGGGCTTCCCTTTGAGGGTAACCCGACCTTTCTCTCTGGCTGCCCTTAACATTTTTTCCTTCATTTCAACTTTGGTGAATCTGACAATTATGTGTCTTTGAGTTGCTCTTCTCAAGGAGTATCTTTGTGGCATTCTCTGTATTTCCTGAATTTGAATGTTGGCCTGCCTTGCTAGATTGGGGAAGTTCTCCTGGATAATATCCTGCCTAGTGTTTTCCAACTTGGTTCCATTCTCCCTGTCACTTTCAGGTACACCAGTCAGACATAGATTTGGTCTTTTCACATAGTCCCATATTTCTTGGAGGCTTTGTTCGTTTCTTTTTATTTTTTTTTCTCTAAACTACCCTTCTCACTTCATTTCATTCATTTCATCTTCCACCACTGATACCCTTTCTTCCATTTGATCGCATCGTCTCCTGAGGCTTCTGCATTCTTCATGTAGTTCTCGAGCCTTGGCTTTCAGCTCCATCAACTCCTTTAAGCACTTCTCTGTATTGGTTATTCTAGTTATACATTCGTCTAAATTTTTTCAAAGTTTTCAACTTCTTTGCCTTTGGTTTGAATTTCCTCCTGTAGCTCGGAGTAGTTTGATCGTCTGAAGCCTTCTTCTCTCAACTCGTCAAAGTCATTCTCCGTCCAGCTTTGTTTCTTTGCTGGTGAGGAACTGCGTTCCTATGGAGGAGGAGAGGTGCTCTGCTTTTTAGAGTTTCCAGTTTTTCTGTTCTGTTTTTTCCCCATCTTTGTGGTTTTATCTACTTTTGGTCTTTGATGATGGTGATGTACAGATGGGTTTTTGGTGTGGATGTCCTTTGTGTTTGTTAGTTTTCCTTCTAACAGACAGGACCCTCAGCTGCAGGTCTGTTGGAGTTTGCTAGAGATCCACTCCAGACGCTGTTTGCCTGGGTATCAGCAGCGGTGTCTGCAGAACAGTGGATTTTCGTGAACCGCTAATGCTGCTGTCTGATCGTTTCTCTGGAAGTTTTGTCTCAGAGGAGTACCTGGCCATGTGAGGTGTCAGTCTGCCCCTACTGGGGGGTGCCTCCCAGTTAGGCTGCTCAGGGTCAGGGGTCAGTGACCCACTTGAGGAGGCAGTCTGCCTGTTCTGAGGTCTCCAGCTGCATGCTGGGACAACCACTGCTCTCTTCAAAGCTGTCAGACAGGGACATTTAAGTCTGCAGAGGTTACTGCTGTCTTTTTGTTTGTCTGTGCCCTGCCCCCAGAGGTGGAGCCTACAGAGGCAGGCAGGCCTCCTTGAGTTGTGGTGGGCTCCACCCAGTTCTAGCTTCCTGGCTGCTTTGTTTACCTAAGCAAGCCTGGGCAATGGCAGGCGCCCCTCCCCCAACCGCGCTACTGCCTTGCAGTTTGATCTCAGACTGCTGTGCTAGCAATCAGTGAGACTCCGTGGGCATAGGACCCTCCGAGCCAGGTGCGGGATATAATCTCCTGGTGTGCCGTTTCCTAAGCCTGTCGGAGAAGCACGGTATTCGGGTGGGAGTGACCCGATTTTCCAGGTGCCGTCTGTCACCCCTTTCCTTGACCAGGAAAGAGAACTCCCTGACCCCTTGCGCTTCCCGAGTGAGGCAATGCCTCGCCCTGCTTCGGCTCATGCACAATGCGCTGCACCCACTGTCCTGCGCCCACTGTCTGGCACTCCCTAGTGAGATGAACCCGGTACCTCTGATGGAAATGCAGAAATCACCCATCTTCTGCGTGGCTCACGCTGGGAGCTGTAGACTGGAGCTGTTCCTATTCGGCCATCTTGGCTCCTCCTCCCTCATTTCTATTCTTATTTATCCAACATTAAATCCTCTCCTTAGATTTTCCAAACATAAAATTTCAGAAGTTATTATGCAAAGTTACATAAAATTCAGGTTGCACAAGTTATACATAAAAAATGTAAGGATTTTTAAAGCTCTTCACTGCCCAAATACACTTATTTAGTTAAATTAGTTGCTCTTTCTTGGCCAACATCTTTTCCATTAAAAAAGTAAAGGTTGGCCAGGCGCGGTGGCTCACGCCTGTAATCCCAGCACTTTGGGAGGCCGAGGCGGGCGGATCACCAGGTCAGGAGATCGAGACCATCCCGGCTAAAACGGTGAAACCCCGTCTCTACTAAAAATACAAAAAATTAGCTGGGCATAGTGGCGGGCGCCTGTAGTCCCAGCTACTTGGGAGGCTGAGGCAGGAGAATGGCGTGAACCTGGGAGGCGGAGCTTGCAGTGAGCCGAGATCCTGCCACTGCACTCCAGCCTGGGCAACAGAGCAAGACTCCGTCTCAAAACAAAAAGTAAAGGTTGGTGATTTGGACTCCCTCAATCAAGAAGAGGATCTGGCTTTTCTAGTCAGATTCTTGCTTCTGCTATCACTGCCACTTCCCTAATGGGTTGAGATTGCACGTTTTGTAAATCTGAACTGATGACTGCTGAGAGAACTAACGCTTTCACTAAACCATTCCCCAAAGTAGTAACAATGAAAAATACTAATATACTACTTATTATGAGCCATTCTTTTAAATGCTTTATGTGATTAACTTGACAAAATATGAGGTTACTTTCTATTTTTACCCCCATTTCATCAATAAAAATCAATAAAAAACTGCGGCACAGAGATACGCATGACATTTTTCTTTTCTCTCTCTCTCTTTTTTTTTTTTTTTTTTTTGTGGAGACGGAGTTTCACTCTTGTCGTCCAGGCTGGAGTGCAATGGTGTGATCTCGGCTCACTGCAACCTCCTCCTCCCAGGTTCAGGCAATCCTGCCTCCCAAGTAGCTGGGATTACAGGTGCCCACCACCATGCCCTGCTAATTTTTGTATCTTTAGTAGAGATGGAGTTTCACCATGTTGGCCACGGTGGTCTCGAACTCCTGACTTCAGGTGATCCACCTGCCTCAGCCTCTCAAAGTGCTGGGTTTACAGGAGTGAGCCACCGCACCCGGCCTCGCATCCTCACATGACATTTTTCACTGTCATGTAGGTATTAATTATGGGAGCTGGTATAGGATCTGAGGCAGTTTAGCTTCAGATTCTATACTCTTGACCTCTACTGTTAGGATCCCATTGAAAGATGGGAGTGAAACTGTGATCTTGTATCCATTTGTGTGTGTGAGAGATAAAGAGACAGAGAGAGGAGACAGAGAGGCAGAGAACAATAGGGTGTTTTATGTAATTGTTGGACAAGGAAGAGAAAGAAAAAAATAATATACTTGTCAACTGTGGGCTACATATGCAAATCTATTATTTTAACATTGTCTAGATATGACAGGATCTTATAATTAAAAACTCTAGGCATCTCTTCCAGGGAAGAAGACAGGAAAACATTCCTATCATCAAACAATATTTTCAAGAACTTGTTACAACCTAGGCACTGTAGGGATAAGAGAATTTTCAGGGCCCTGCTCTAAAGTGTCTTATAAACTCAGTGGAAGCCAAATCACAATGTGAATTTCAAAGCCATACAAAACCTGCTAAGTGCCAAGGAAAAAATAAAATTTAGGTGTTATAAGGCTGTGGCAATTTAGAAAACCTTCATAGGGAGGTGAGTCAATTTGGGATAACAAAACCAAGAGCTCATTTGGGGATGTAAATCCATCAAGGACTTTGCAGGGTAACCCCTTTTCTGTGTGTCTTGCTAAAAACAAAGCCCAGAGAAGCAAGCTCCTTGGAAGCAGCCAGCACCAAGGAGAGAGCCAGACAGGCCTGCCAGCCAAATGAGAGTATCTCAATCCCATGGTGTCTTGGCATGGTCGCATAAACAACACTTGAGTGTTGCCAGTAAAAAGCTCAGGAAACCCCACCAGACTCCTGGGAAAGACAAGTGGCTTCTTTCCAAAAAACCTAAGGATGTAGTTCTTTTTTCACCCCTACATGAGAAACATGAATTCTCCCAGACAGTAATGGTCTCACCACGGTTTCTAACCTGCTTGTTTATGACTTAAAATTGATAATGAAAAAGCAGTTGTTTTGAACCTTTCTTTAAATGTAAAGAAATAAAAATATTAGCTCCACATAACATTTATGTTGATTACAACATATCCATTAGGAGAAGGATTATGACTTTCTCAATCTTTATCCTTTTTGGTGGGGCTAGCTTTTGTTTTTTAAATTCCTTTCTCATAAAACTAGTGAAAAGCACAATATAAAAGTATAAAATAAATATATATTTTTTTAAATTAATGCTGAAGTAATATTTTCAAAAGATGAGCTAAAAGAGAGAAGAAAGAGTCCTGAAACAAAGCCAGACACATACACAACAGCATCTTGATCATCACATGGCCAGGTAAAATCGTGTATATTTATGTTAAGATATTTTGTTAGATTCGTGGATTTTCTCATAAGCATATAGTAGATAAAGTGAAAAAAAAGGCATAAGATGAGTTCAGTGAGTTTGGTGAGAATTTACTTACGATCTTGAAAGAATAGTAACAAAGGTGGGAATGATGCAAAGGGAAGGAAACCAGCATTTGATCAGCTAATGTTCTCTCAGTCTCAATTGCACAAACTCCCTCATCTCTCCTGGCTGCTTTGTCAATCCTCGCTTACAAACCCTGCATATAACCTTCATTTAATTTTCACTAATGGAAGAGGATGGTGTGTGCAGAAGTGGTACAGCATTTCCCCCCACTAGTTAATAAATGGGCAATTTAAAAAAAATTATATACTGTTCATTCATTTGCAGAGAATGAGACATAGTTCACTGGAATACACTGGTGCTATTGTCAGCAACAAAACTGCAGTACTTTAACTGCTATTTGAACATTCATCTACTGATTTTCTCAGTGCCTAGGAGATGAAGTCTTTATATCAATGTAGACTCTGAAAAATACACTAAGACCAAGAAAAGAATTAAATTTAGTTATAGGCAGCAGTCTTTAAACCTAAGTTATTTTTGAACACTTTTTCTGCTTTTGAGCTGTATGTTTGGAGTACAGCAAGCAGGTAGGAAAATATGACAACTATTAAGCACTTCCTGCTTATATAACTCACCATACTTGTACAAGAAAAATAATTGCTCTTTCAGGTTGATAAGCTATACCTAAACTCTGGAAGGGTAGAAAATTTTGGCTGGAAGTAGAAGGTGCATTCTCTCTTTCTATGTATATATACTGAGGCCTCTAGTGTAAGTGCTAAGAAGTATTGAATTAAATGTTTTAAAAGTTAATTCTTCAAACTTACATTTTTCTAGCACTATGCATCTCACAGTATGGAGTAAATGAATTGCATCTCAGTATTCTAGGCAGGCCTCTTAAGTCTTGGCCTGGGAATTACCCGGACCTTTTGTTCTCTCCAGTAGTTCCATGTTCACTCAATTTGAGTATGCACTCAGGGTTATGTGATACAGAAAGATAAAATACATAGTAATTCCCTGTGTATTATTTAATCCATACTGTGATAAATAAAATCTCTTTATATGTCAGAGAAATTGAGTGGTATACTGAAGTATATTTATGATATTTACTTATATATTTGTGACTTGCAAAACATTTTGAGCTTTTTGAGCGTATTGACTTTATTTTCATTCTCGTATCCTTCATGTTAAACACCCAATAATGTATTGTAAATGGTGAATGAGTAAGTACTGAGCTTGAAGTTAGAAAAACTGGGTTTGTATTTAGGCGCTATCTCTTGAATGGCCATCTTACATTGAACAACTGGGGTAATTTTATGGAAGCCATTTAATTTACCTCAATCTATTCTCTTCTAGTACATTGAGAGAATCATGCTGACTTATATATCTCATAAGCGTGGTACAAAAAGATTACCATTTTCTTATAAGTATCTTTAAATTTCAGACAATTATCTTGAAAAATTGATAACCATTGTTGATATCATTTTTGCCAACTTTTTTTTGGGTAATAATTGTTTATATAATAAGTCTGCAAAGAGATAATTTTGAAACTAGAAGAGATAAGATATACACATAAAGGCATACTTAATGATATATAGTTGGATAGGTTGAGGATCAAATAGTATAAAGGCAATAAGCAGTTTAGAATTTCAAAGAGGACCATTATCCATTCCAGTGGCATTCAGGAGGAGTCTTATGGGAGGGCTGGGAAGTACATTGGGCCTTGAAGTGAGAATAATTCTGGAAAAATGAAGAGAGGAAAAGATAGTTTTGACAATCAAAGTGGTAGGAACACAGAAAGTTAGGGATTTGCACAGTGTGTGTCATAAACTATGAGGACATCTTGACCAGACTATGGATGATTTGCATATGGTATTATTAGAAAATGAAGTTGAGATGATGAGTAGGGTCAGGAATATAGAACACCTTACATGCTGGGCTGAAGACCTACTAAACAGTATTAATGAGAATACCAGGCTTTCAGGCTTGACAATATTTACCTTCTACAACTTAATATGGAGAAAAGAATGTAGCTACAATACCGATTAAGAGAGTCCAGGAGTGAAATAATGTGAGTAGAGATAGAAGAAATGGAAATTGACATAATTAATAAATTTGGACCCAGACACATGATCTTTTTAATAGAGATGAATTTCCTGTGGTTTCATATTAAACTAGTGGAGTGGTGAGTTATAAGGTAATGGACAATTGCTCAATTTTGCTTTTTTCCTACCCATTCCCAATTCCCTCTGGTTCTGGAAAGTAACACACTGATTTTTATCCTGGCAACTATTCATGTCCTTCCTTCTTTCAGTCCATATGGTTCAGGCCATGTTGATTTTACCCCTGGATGTAGAGTCTTGGATTAGTCGTCTCCACCACATAATAATGGAGACAAGCCAGTGAGACATAGTCTTGGAACTTTGGTTAAAATTAGGGAGGAAAAGTTGGTATTGCTGAAAAGACAGAATGTCTAGCAGGAAGTGCTGGCAGCCATCTGGCCATGTGCAGTGAAGTACCTTTCTGAGAATGGAGCCAATAAAGAAGGAAGCAGCCTGAAGAATGGAGAGAATACTAACTTGGAACCCTGGAAAAGTCGAGCTTCTTAGTTTTCTGCCACTTCCAATTGACATGATCCTAATGAATACATAGGCATTAGAATAATTAAATTTTATGTTTTACATCTGTATCAGTTTCCCAGGGCAGCCATAACAAAATACCAAGATCTGAGTGGCTTAGCAACAGAAATTTATTGTTTCACAGTTTTGGAGGCTACAAGTCTGAGATCAAAGTTTCAGCAGGGTTGTTTCCTTTGGAGATCTTTGTGGGAGAATCTGTTCAATGTCTCTTTCCTAGCTTCTGGGGGTTTGCTGTCAGTATTTGGTGTTCCTTGGCTTAGAGATGCATCACCCTGATCTCTACTTTCATCCTATCATGGCATTCTACCATGTACAGTCTGTCTCTGTGTGCAAATTTCTCCTCTTTAGAAGGGCATAATCATTAAAGCAGGATTAGGGCCTGCTTTAATGATCTTATCTAACCTTGATCATCTGCAAAGACCCTATTTCCAAATAAGTCCACATTCGTAGTTTTTGGGGTTAGGCCTCAACATCTTTTTGGGGAACAGAATTTAACACATAATGGCATCCAATTACTTTCCATGTTTATAGAAACAGTTGGAAATTAATAACTTCTGATGCTCCCAAAGTAATCAACAGATACAGATGAAACATTCAGCTTTCTTGCCTTCAACAAATCTTTCCTTCACTCAACTTCATTAGCATTCATTCTTAAATTGCGTCTTATCACCCAAATAGTTACTAAGGTAAAACACACAGAAAACATTCAGTGTAGTGCATTAAGCGTAGAACTATTCCATGGATGAAAAGCATTTGCTTCCATAGGGTTAAAGGAAGAGCTTACAGGATGTGAACGTATCTGGTATTTTTATTTTGTAAGGCCAGCCACACACAATGCCATCCATTTGAGTTATACTGCTTTCAGTATCAAAGATTGAGATGGATTACATGTTGTGTCTGACCACAAAGAGCAAAATGGCTCTAGCTTCGTGGGCCACCCTTGCATGGACATTCTTGATTTTTCTCATAGTTGTTACAGATAAACGATACATTACAACTGAATGTGCTTCCTGATAGCATGTGATAATAGGAATGTAATTAAGTTGATCAGTCTTCAGAAGCCAAAAATGAACACCACAGAAAAATAGTTGGCCAGGGTTATTATCTAAACAATCTAAGTAGTTATATGTGAACCGTAGGGCATTGAGTATAATATCCCTTTCTAGGCTTCGTGCTTGCACAGTGGTTTATTCCTGGTTTTTTTGCACTAGCTGGTCGAGCAAGTTGTTGATGACTTCCTTAATGGGCATCACCATGACATAACCAAAACCAGACAAATCTGGGGTTCTTAAAATACAAGATTTGAGAAAACTTATCTTAACCCTTTGAAGTAATTGAAATAATATGGTTTGTGTTTGCAAAGGGTAAGTTCTTTGATGAAAGTCATCGGATAAATACTGCCTCATAGTTTCCTGTCAATGACAGAGAAAAATCAACAGTAAGTCAGTGAACATAGGCACCTACTGTATTGCAGGATGTTCTTACAGAAGAACAACACAGAGATAAAGTAGAAAGATTATAAGCTCTAATGCCAGATTATACCTGGTTTTAAATCCTGGTTCAGCTATTTGCTAAACTGTATGATCTCAGAGCTACACTCCACTTGTGTGAAAAATAAAGAAAATGCCTCCATCATAGGGTTGTTGTGAAGACTAAATGGCATAAGATGCAAAAACACAAGAACAATGACAATCATAGGTAATAATTCAATGAATGGCAGCTATTACTGTTATGAAAGGATAAATAACATATTAAATTTCTTCTTATTTTAAGTTTGATGTAAAAATATTTTGGAAAGGTACATTTAAGAGTTGTTTATTGAATCTGTGGCTATTCATGTATTTCTCCAGTGGTCTAGTTGCTATTGTTTTATCCATGGCTTGGTCTCTTGGAAGAAAATGACAGTGTTTTCAGTAAACTTTATACTAGTTCCCGTTTGTTTTTTAGATTGCAGTGCCTTAGGTTGAGTTCCCCAAAATTAGGTTCTGAGAAGAGGATTCATGTACAAGAGATTATTAAGTGCTCCTGGGAAAGAGTGTCAAGGAACTGTGGGACACGGGGCAAGGAAGGAGAAGAAGCTAAGGAGGGTACCATATTGGTGAAGTCCCAGGTGGGGTCATTAAAGATGTGTCCCACAGGGGAGCTTTATAAGTTGTGCCTCAGAATTGTTCCCACCTAAGGCAAGGGAGCTGGACTTTCCAAATCCAGCACTAACTAATCAATCTCTGGCTAAGGTGACAGTACACAGTAGTATACAGAATGCAAGGGCATCTGGAAGCATGCCTACACTGTCCCCTACAAATATGGCATGCAAAATTTAGTAGAAATATGTTCTATGTACATTTATACTGCACATACATTAAAAGAATGGCAATAGTGCATATATAAATACACATACAGATGAGAACTTCAATTCTTCAATTTCTCCAACTTCTCCAGCTTCTACAATTTCTGCAATTTCTATTTCGACATCAGAAATTAGAAATGTGAAGCATATTTCCTAGTGTCGGGTCTGGGAAAAGGGGTAAGAATTCCTAACAGACAAATAACTTTCTAACTGCTCTTAAATGTTTACCTTCAACAGGCATATCATCCAATACTAGTTATAGAAAAATAAATAACATAGACGATACCTAAAAATGCAAAGCAAAACAAGGCAATTTATTAAGTGTAAGTAGAGACAGTATTGAAGTGTTGTCATCATAATATTATTTCCCCCATAATTAGGTTTAAATAGAAATGACTTGCTCAACATCTACTGCTTATGTTATATAATTTATAGGCAATATCATATAAACTATTATTAATTCAATGTTAAAGTCAAGAAAAAGATTACATCGGGCAAATTCTTATAACTCACTTTATTATTTTATTTTTGGCAAAAATTTATGAGGGCCTTTGTTCAAATCCTTGTGAAAATTTCATGTGTTTGTAATATGGACTCTTAGATTGTGAAGGTAGCTGATTCTTATTTGTCTTACTTATTTTGTTCCAAAAATAGATGGACTTGATAGGTAAGAAGCGAATCACTCTTACAATTGTCAAAGCTGATGTTTTATAATCTTGTAAAATTTCAGCTCTCCCCAAACAACAAAAAATAGAATGAAAGATAATAGAAACTGCACACACAAAGATACTGTTATTTTAGGCAAAATGTGTAAAACTTTATTATCTCTACAAATACATATATTTGTAGATATATTCCTATATTTTCCCTTTTCTGTGTATTATTTTCCCTTTAGTTCAGCATTTAAAAAGCATTTAGTTCAGCTTTCTCCCTAGATTACTATAATAAACTATTAAATATTCTAACTCCCATCATTCTCTTCTCCAATTTTTCTAATGTTGCTGCCAAGTTAATCTTTTCGTTTGTTTTTTCGCTCTGTCACCCAGGCTAGAGTGCAGCGGTGTGATCTCGGCTCACTGCAACTTCCACCTCCCAGGTTCAAGTGATTCTCCTGCCTCAGCCTCCCGAGTAGCTGGGATTACAGGTATTTACCACCATGCATGGCTAATTTTTGTATTTTTAGTAGAGACGGGGTTTTACCATGTTGGCCAGGCTGGTCTTGAACTCCTGACCTCAGGTGATCCACCCATCTTGGCCTCCCAAAGTGCCAGGATTACAGGTTAATCTTAAGCATATCTTCAAACACCTCCTTTCCTTACACTAGGGCCTTCAATGGTTCCCCATTACTTACAGTCACCCTCACATTTAAGGCCATTTATGATGATAATCCTCTAATCTAATCTTTCAGATTTACTTTCCACTTCTTTTTGATCCAGTTAATTTAAATAGCTTACATGAATACAATCCTAGCTTTCTTAATTCTCTGCCTTTGTTTTCCCAAAATTGCCTGCACTCTCATCCCTGCCGATTGAAATTTTACCGAGCTGATAATACCTAGAAATATAGTTATTTCTGAGTGTGGTAATTTTTACTGTAATTTTTTTGATTTTCTGTGCTTTCTAAGTTTTCTATACTAAATTTTTTAAAATTCAGAATAAAACAATAAAGTGTGTAATCTCAGTCTTTCAAGAATTGACTCCTGTATCACCATCCTTATGAAGCCTTCACTCATTCTCAGTCTCTTCTTTCTCCAAAATTTGCTGGTTATAAATATAATAAAAGCTCATTGTAAAAATAATTTAACAATACAAAAATGTATAAAGAAGTAATAAAAATATCCCATGACAAGCTAAGTGTATATCTATACATCTATTAATATATACACACATACAAAGTTGAAACAGTTCTAAACATATTTTTTCATAGCCATTCCCTATTTTTCTTTCCTTTTAATTAATTATGTATCATTAACATCTTTCTCTGTCAACACAAATAGTTCTATCTCATTATTTTTAATGACTGTATATTCATTAAATAAATGACCAATATTGTGTTGATGGACATTTAGGACATTATCCAGCTGTTTACTGTTATAAACAATGCAATAAACATCCTTTCACTTAGACTTTTTTGGCACCCTTTCCAATTAATTCCTTGGGAAAGATTCTAGCATTGGACCTGGTGGCTCAAAGGGCATACACATTTAAAATGTTAATAGACAAGCTAAATTGCCTTCCAGAAAATTGGACCAATTTGCATCTATAGCAACAATGTATGGAAGTCTCCGTTTTCCCATTTTTTATAACATTGGATACTGTTATCCATTTAACAAATCTGATTATTAGGTAATCTTCTATTTAGGTGGATCATCTATATTTTTTCTTTGGCAAAATACCTAATAAAAACCTCTGTTTTTTTATTAAGACATCAACCCTGAAAGAACACAGATTGTATTTGTTAATTTTTCTAGGTATTTGGTAATTATTTCTAAGCCCTACCTCTTAAAAACACAGATGCATTTAGTGCATATTTACATTTATTTGCCACTTAGTATTCTTAAAAATTTACCAGCGCATTCTTATATCTTTTTTCTATCCTGCAATACTATCCCTTAAGTCCCTCAATCTGTCAACATAATGATAGTCAATGATGGCAACGAAAGCCAAAGAATAAGGCATTTGCATCTCAGTTATAATATTGCTAATTTAAAGGAACTATTTTCTTCTTTCATTAACAGCCTGGAGCATGTGAGCCTGGGATATTGCTAAGGAAATTCTCATTGACTCCAATATTTAGAGAATATTCCTGTTTCTATTTGTAATGAGTCACACAATCACAAATTATGTTGGGATACAAGCTTAAGGGGTTAGCAGTGTTTTAAAAACAAGTGTCAGACTCATGTGAAACACCTGGTGAGATGCGAATTTTTTTGCTTGAATAGTTCTAACATTAGTACTGCACAAATATTAGGAAGTATAATCTTTTGTCTAAAAATTCGTACTGTATCAATGTAAAATAATCATAAGTTATCTGCTATTAAATTTAAGACACGTTTCTAATTAATGTCTCTATATTTACTTCTTGAATTTGGGGGTAAATTATTCATTATGGATGGAAACACAGGAGCTTGGAATTGTATTAGTGGCTCTATTAGCTATTGGCCTTACTTAGGGTAGTAACATAAACTTTCTGTGTCTCAGTTTTTTCATCTCCATGATGAAATAATTAAATTATATATTACTGAAGGCTTATTCCATTTTACCATGTTACTATATCATGGGTCATTATAATATGATGGCTTTGGAGTGTATATAGTGTCCAGGAGTGCAATTCATGTAATTTATACTGAAAATAAAACTCTTGAACCAAGCAGAGAAGCTATAGCTTTATACAGGGGTTAAGCTTTTCTTAACTTTTGAAATCTTTAAAGTTATAATCTAAAATTTTTCCTTTAAAGGTTTTAGGAATGGAGAGAAGAAGGTTTTCACATTCTTGTTTTTTTGCTTCTCTGAAGAGCTTTATTTTTTTTCTAACTATGCATATCTATAACTTATTTTTAAAAAGGCAACTGAGATTATCTGGATGGTCAAATTATAGGGTTTTTTGTTGTGTTCTTTATACATTTCTATATTCAAAAATGAATAAAACTTCTAAATTTCTTTTTTTTCTTTTTGAGTTTCCTCTTGTTTTTTTTTAATTATTATTATACTTTAAGTTTTAGGGTACATGTGCACAACGTACAGGTTTGTTACATATGTATACATGTGCCATGTTGGTGTGCTGCACCCATTAACTCGTCATTTAGCATTAGGTATATCACCTAATGCTATCGCTCCCCCCACCCCACAACAGTCCCCGGTGTGTGATGTTCCCCTTCCTGTGTCCATGTGTTCTCATTGTTCAGTTCCTGAGATATTTATATGCATGTAAAAAGTATGGACATTAACTGGGGTGGTTTTGTGCCAGGACTCCTGGAATGAAATCCAAGAATCCAGGATTCTCATTCTGTCTTCTCCATTCATGCTCTCACCTCAGGAACATTCCAAAACTTCCTTTATTCTTTAACTCAGCAACATCTTTATTAAGCACCTCTGCTGTGATGAAGCTTTAGAGGTTCATATTCTTATGGGGAATAACAGAGAACAGATTATTACAACAATGCAATAAACCACAGTTTACATTTTAGCAACACTTTTTACTAAATCCTTGACCACAAATGACGTTACTAATACCTTTATTTTTTTTTGCTGTCTGATAGATGAAAAATATTTTCTTACTTTATTATATGTTTATTTGATGTTTAATGATGGTGAAGTTGAATATCTTTTTTATAAGTTTATGATCCATCGATCCTTTGTGTGTGCGATTCTTGTGATTATGTCCCTTGCTCCTAATCAGAACACACAAGAACAAAGAGAAGGGAGTACTTACCTAGCCCTATCTCTGGGGTCAGGAGAGGGCCTTCTAGCTGAGGCTGGAGGGATAAGAGATGACAGTTTGTAGATATGATGAATACTATTATCTGTCAGCTTCAAGTTTGCCTTTCTATCCTCAGCTTTGTGATGCTGGGACTGCAACTCTGAAGACAACCTTGTTCTCTTGCCACCTGGCCCCCTGTCAGGTTTTGCCGTTGGGAAACTGGAGAGCAGGAGAAGGGGAGATAGGATTTCAGTCTTCCTGCGTGCTTCCTGTTACTCCGTGTCTCCCCACGGCAATCCCTTCACCTTGGCAGCAGTAGTTCGTTCCAGTGCCCATGCTGTTATATATTTATTTATTTTTCTCTTTTGATTTGTTTCTTGTTTGTTGTTTTTGCATTCCAAAAACTAGCCTCATTATAATCCCTCAGAGATGCCAGCAGCCACCTAGAATGCCCCTTCTTCAGAGGTCTGAGTCCCAACTTTTCCCCTTGCCCCCACTCCTCCACTCCTGATATACCACAGATATCAGGCCAGCACCCCTCCTTGTAGATCTGAGTCTGTGGGATTCCCCCTACAAACTGCAGAGTTCTCTGAGCTCAACTCAACTTCAGCCCCATCCCTTGCTTCTTCCCAGGAAGCGGCTTACTTTGGCCACTATCTTTGTTTTACCCCCCAGCACCTATGTAACCATTTATATTAAATCCTTTCTGTTGAAACATATAGTGTGATTTGGTTTACCTATGGGATCCTGACTGTTAGAGAATCACAGTAACTTCTGTGGAGAAATATGAGGTTCAGCATTTACCTGTTAAGGCTGAGGGGCTGTAGAGCAACTGGATTTTGAGTCCAACGGGCAGTTGGGAATCCCAGACTGGAGCTCAAAAAACACATTAAAAGTAGAAATATCAGAATAATCTGTTTCCTCATTTACATAAAACTGGGATTGGTAGAAACAATCACTTTTAGCTTTTAATATTCTATATTTAAACAGAGACATATAGACATGTTCCTTGTTTTAAATGTGCATATAGACATGTATAGTTCTTTGTTTTAAATAAAGATGTGCTTGACCATAAAAGTAGCTGAACAGCTGACTTACTTCTGGATATCTCAAGTTATAGAACAATCAGGAAAGTATTAAAATTTGGAGAAAAGTCTTCAAGCTTCATGCCGTCAATTACACCAGAAATTCTATGTGGTGGCAATGTGGACTGTAAAATTTTGAGAGTGGTAGTAGAAGTGCAAATGTCCTCATTATTTTGAGTGGCTTGAGTAAAATTGGAGTGAAGATGCTAAATGCGATAGTATCCCACAACACAAGAGCTTGGAGTGGATGAGCAGTTGTCCATTATTACTCCATGAGAGGCTGTCTCTTTCCTTCTACCAGTTTTCACAAAAGGAAATCTAAATACTACTGGAGAGTTCTAGACATTAGGCTAAAGTCTTTTTAGATCCTAAGAATGGAAGACCAAGAGAAAGGTTGAAAAAAACAAAACACTACAAAAATCATATCATAGAATGATTAAGTCATTAAAAACTTTCCAGTATACTTGAGACTTCTATTCCCCTTACACTGTCATCTGATTGAAGTGGTCATTGTAGCTAATAAGCTGATATGAGATGGTACTTTTGAAAAAGATGCTGCCTTTGGGAAAGACTCATATGTGCCTTTCTAAGGTGATAAGTTCAAGGGAAACCTTACCGAGACACTCCAATGATTTCAAGGTAGTTTAAATAGGCATGAAATGCTCTATTAAGTGCTCTTAAGTTAGACTTCCTCAGCCTGATATTTAGAGGCTTAAAGTCGAAAAACCTTTTATCAAATGCAACAAAACATGAGGCAAGATCAAGAGAAATGTTTATAAAACCAGTCTGAGCATCATTTTAAAGTTTATAATGTGTTAGAATGATGAAGGAGCACATTATACAGTTATAACAGATTTTTTTCATTTCCTGTTCTTTAGTTTGACCGTGACCTTTCTTCTTTCAGTCTCTTCCACTGTTTCGTAGTCATTTATTTGGCAGGAAATATTTCAAGTATTTTATTTTATGATAAAAAGTCTGTCAGTTTACCTTTGAGATTTGATATTAATATTTTATTTTTCATTAGTTCTATTTCTTAAAGTGTGGTTAATTCTATTATACTTAAGAATAAAAAATGTTCAGCTCTAGACCAAATCTATAAAGCAGATCTTATAGTGGTTTGGGCTTAAGTTCTAAGATATTATAAAATGTTTTCATTTTACACGTTTTGTCTGAATTTTTAATTTAACGTTTATGAGCTTCTTTTATTTTTGTAATTAAAATAAAAGTTATATACACACTAAAAAATAGAAACTTCAGGAATAACATCCTTGTCATAAATATGAAGTTTTTATGGTCTGAATGTCTGTGTTTCTCCAAAATTCATATGTTGAAACCTAACCTTGAAAGAGATGGTAATAAGAGGTGGGGTCTTTGGGAACCCCTCTTGGATAGGATTAGTGTCCTTTTTTTTTTTTTTTTTTTTTTTTTTTTTTTTTTTTTTTTTTTTGAGACGGAGTCTCGCTCTGTCACCCAGGCTGGAGTGCAGTGGCGCGATCTCGGCTCACTGCAAGCTCCGCCTCCCGGGTTCACGCCATTCTCCTGCCTCAGCCTCCCGAGTAGCTGGGACTACAGGCGACCGCCACTACGCCCGGCTAACTTTTTGTATTTTTAGTAGAGACGGGGTTTCACCTTGGTCTCGATCTCCTGACCTCGTGATCCGCCCGCCTCGGCCTCCCAAAGTGCTGGGATTACAGGCGTGAGCCACCGCGCCCGGCCGGATTAGTGTCCTTTTAAAAGGTCTTGAGGGAGACTCTTTGCCCCCTTTGCCATGTGAGATCACCACGAGAAGGTGACATCTATGAAACAGGCCCCCAGCCTTCAAAACTGTAAGAAGTAAATTTCTATTGTTTATAAATTACCAGATCCAAGCTACCTTGTTATAGTTACAGGGATAGACTAAGACAAATTGATAACAAGAAGTGGGGTGCTGCTGTAACAAATACCTAAAAATATACAGAAGTGGCTTTTGAACTCGGTTATGGGCAGAGGCTGGAGCAGGCTAGAAAAACACTATATTACTGTGAATGGACTAAGAAATGATTCAGTATCTGGTGAAATAAGGGCTTGTGGAGCCCTAAACTATTTTTTTCAGTGCCCAATTACTGTTTCGCATTTTTAGTTCTTGGCTCAGAAGGAATGTTTTAAAAAGGACTCTCTTACTCATTTAAAAATATAAAATACATTTATTTTCTTTGATGTTCAATATTTGTTATCAGACTGGACACAATTATGATGGAATAAGTGCCTAAGCAATGAACAATTTGGCAGAGACAGATTATCCCAAAGCTATGGTAACCAGAAAATGTACTTATATTACAGGTCACATCAGTGCATCAGTGTGGAGGCCTAGACAGAAGCAACTTACTGAATAAGCAAGGTTTAGCAGCGAAATAAATCATGAGAAAGAAGTAGTTGCATGTGGATCAAGCCCTAGTTTGGAAATGCAGGTCATATCCGTTCATTCTGCATGGTTATTAATGAGCTTACCTAGACAATCAGAAGGAATAGCCTAGCTCTGAAAGATGTTCTTGCCATGCAGTTGTTGTTAAAGTGATGCTGTTTACCTTGATCCCAAAGTAAAGAATCTTGTCTAGAAAAAACTTCAAAGCAATGTTTAATGAAAGCAGAACAGGGCTGGGGATTAGGGGAACCAACCTAATTTGTTCTCAGCTACTAATCAGCTGCCAGCTGTATGATCAGAGGAAAGTCACTGCCATTCTTTGTGATGCAATTTTCTTTTCTATATAAAATGGCAACTTAATTTCTAAAAAATCTGTGATATTTGTAGTAAAATCTTCTTTGAAAAAGTATTCATAAAAGTTTTGAAAAGTTAAAAGTTTTGTAGTAACCCAAATCAGTACTAATCAAGCAATCAGCATTATTATTCAAATTACCATTAGCATTGTGTACTTTGATACCTTAGTAAGAAGAGTGAAAATTACCTGTCTTCCACTAAAGAGACATAATATAAACACAAAAACTTTAAAAGATAATGTGGCTGTGTAAAAATATAAAGATATATATCATAATGATAATAGCAATTTCTAAGAAAAAAAACCCCTCTGTATATGCAAGGTAATTCTGATTACAAACTTGCATCTTTACCCATCTGTAAGGTGGGGACTGAAAATTGGGCATGCAAGTGCCAAGGTGGAGATTACCTAGGACTTTTTCCTGTACGGAAATTACATTTGGAAAACTCTGGCCAGGCTCTTGATATACTAAAAAGAAAATAAAAGAAAATACTACTTTCCCTCCCTTTCACGATGTATGATCTTCAAACCTAACAGCGTCTTAAAATTCTGTTTTGAATATTAGATGCTGAAAGTTAACTCTTTTTTTTCTTTGCATTTTTTTCAGGTTTCCTGACCTCACCACCTCTATCATACATAGATGCCTTTGGCTGACTAGGTACGTGGAAAATAAGAAAGGAAAATACATTATTTTTCTAACTATTAGCTGGATTTCCATCCATCCGTTATTTCTCTTCTCTCTGTGTATTCACTAATATTATCTATTCATCAATCTATCCTTATCTATTATCTACTTGTCTATGTTGCTGTACTATACAGCAATTACCTTTATTTGTATACATGCAAAGAGACAGATCTGGAATATTTTTCAGCAAACATTAATAACTTTTGTTTTCGGGTGGTGGTATTTTGGAGATAGTTTACTTTCTTCTTTGCTCTTTTATGGATTACTTGATTTCTTTTACATAAAAGGGGTATATGATTTTTTGGAAAAAAGTAGTTTTCTTAAAAGTAAAGTAAAAATAAGAGGTTTTCATTGGGAACATGAAATAATAACAATAGAATCTACCTCATGGTATTATAATGAGAATTAAATGAAATTATAGGTGCTTCCCAGTATCCACTTTGGGACACTGGTGACACTTAGGTGTATTATTAATTTAGTCTTTATCCCTAATCATATTTAATAATTTGGCCATTGTTCGCTTTTTACTGATGTATACACTGAAAATAGTAATGTATTTTCTGGGATTGGTGGCAAATATTGTCTTTCAGGAAAAAATTTTGACTTTGATTTGAAGACTTGTATATAAAATAATTTAGAGGTAACTTCAGCAATCAAAGTGAGACAAAAAGAGCAATGTAGTAGATGGATAAGGTAACATTTATACAGAATAAGAATAATTTACAGATTAGGAGAGAATTCAAAATGCTAAAATTTACTCATAAATGGAAAAAAGTTACAAATATTTTTTCCTACTCTATCTGAAGCTGTACCAAAAAATCCATTATTATACTCATCTTGGCATGTATGTATTATAGCAGCATCTAAAACGATAAGGATTTTCGTGTACATTTGCCGGTAAAGCACACAAAACAAGACTATGAGTGCTCAAGACTGAAGTGCAGCAATCTGATGGGATTCTGCTGGGAAAAGTCAACAGCAATTAGGAAAATAAGCACAAGTTCACTTTTGGTTTTCCCAAACAAAAGCTTTTTTCCTGTGTTTTTTTTTGTTTGTTTTTGTTTTTGTTTTTGTGAATTACAGTAGTAATTCCCAAAGGGAAGTAACAGTAATATTTATAAACCGATTGTAAACTGATTCATTGTCCATAAGATTTTTGACTTTCAGAATTCCTGATACAATATTAATATTCTCATGCTTTTATTTGCTTCTTCTTACTGTTATTTTTGCTAAATTACTCTCATTCTCAATTTTTCATTTATTTTCACAGTAGTTGGGTAATTTTTCCACCTTAGATGAAGTTCTCACCTTTAAAATTTTCCTATAGTTATTAATTCCTTTTTACAATTAAAGACTGAGCTGCTTCAATATGAAGTGTTTATGAGCAAAGACTTGCAAACCTAAGTCAAGTATTAAAGATGCATTCTAACTAAGGCAGGGATCTGTGTCTCCTTCATTTGCCTTTAGATATAAGAAATGTAAACATAAAATACAATATTCTCTTGGAGGGAAATGGAGGCCTCAGTCAACTCAGAGTTCTCAGATCCATTGGCAATGATCAAGTCTTAGGAATGGGGAGCTGGTGAGGCCTTATCCTGTGTGGACTTCCTTTTCAGCGTCTTGACTCCCTGGCCAGTTGTCAATTCACTTGTAAGGAACACAGTAATTACTTGTCACAATAAACTGTATTCTTTGAACGAGAATGTTTTACAGTGGTTTTACTCTGACTCTTTTTACTCTGACTCTTTAGAGATACTCTATAATCCTTTAATGTGGAGACTGAGACTCTGGCTGTTTTATGAGACGACTTAGTAAAAGTGCCTTGAATATTCCCTGGACGTTGGAAATACTCAAGAGTTGTTAATTTTCTTACCTTTTTTTCTAGACTGAGAAGGTTAACATACATGGCTCACTTTGTTAATGCAAATCTAATGAATTTTCTGGGTCATGATATTGAAAAGAGCCAAATATATATGTATACTCAGTCATTCAGAGGAAAAAGGAAGTTTTCTCAGTCCTGAGTCATGAATTTCCCATTAACATTTTAATTCTTTAATCCATAGAGGAAGCCATGGCTGGCTAATAATATCATGGAAAGTTTACCTATAAATCTTCTGAAAAATACATTGCATATATAATAAAAGTATAGTCATATTTTAAAGTAAAATGAGAACTTGTTTTATGTATAACATCCTGTAGTGACATGAGACTTTTTAAATGCACAATTAATTTTATTACTCCCTTATTAATTTTAAGGTGGACTTCTGGGTTAAAATGGACAGATCTAGATGTTAGGACCATCATAAGAAAAACAAAAGGGTAGAGCTTATGTTTTCATCATTGCTATTTCAGGAACCACCAAGATCTCAAAGGTTTATTATTTAAATTTCCTTCCTTTTGTTTCCAGAAAGTAACAAATATATAACTAAAAACCAATGAAAATGCCTATTTCTTTTTACCATGGTGTTCTGAATATAAATAATTGCAAGAATACTCTCTCTTTATCTTATTTCTTATACTTTTAGAATTAAGAAGGTACTAGCACATGAAAATGAAGAAAATACTACTGGAAAACTTCCTTAAAGAATGAAGTTTATTGAAATAACAAAATATGATAGAGAAAGAAGATTCTGTTAAAAACTGGTATAGCTGGTTTTAGGTAACATTGCTATTAAAGGGAAACCTTATTCATATTTCTCAGCCCACAGCATGTATAAAATTAACAGTTAAATGAAGAACATAGAATGAAAAAAGAAGTTAAAAATATATCTTGATAAAATGTTCCCTTTCCCCTGTAAAGCTTGTAAATTAGCCATGGGAACCTCCCACTGGTGCCGAACTCTGAAAGTAGACCCTTCGTCTTCCCTAGAGCCTCCCACAGGTCTTACACCTCATTTAAATTCCCTTACCCACACACATTTCTCCCTATCACTTCTTAACTGCTCAGCTGACACTGAATATTATAAAAAAACTAACAAAATAAACAAACAAATATGCATGAGAAATAATACAATAAATGCTTGACAGAGGAAAAATAATTTCTATCGAAATTCTAATTTTGAGTCTCTGCATTTTGTAGTCAGGTGGACCTTATCTTCGAGCCCCTTGCTGCTCAAAATGTAGTAATTAGACCAGCAACCTTGCATCACCGGGGAGCTTGTGAGAAATGCAAGATCTCAGACTCCGTCCAGACCTTCTAGATTAAAATCCGCATTTTCGCAAGATCTCTGGGTGTTTCATATGGCCATTACAATTTTCTAAAAATTTATTTGAAAAAAACCTTTGCTCAGCCTACCCAGAAAATGATACCAAAACCTCTTACCCTTATGTTATTTGAGCTTAAGACTGAAACTACAGACAAGCTTCTTTTTTAAAAAAATTATTTTGTCGGCTTTTAATGTTTGAATGTAATAAAACTACCTTTTAGTGCTACTAAAATGATGCTAGATAATATAACCATTTGGGTGGAATCATTCAATTTTTAATATTTTTTAATTTTTCAGTTTTCCAATATGCTTTCCAGTCTCCTATTTCCATTAGATAGCAGCCACTGGAGTCTGAGGAAATTTGCACCACTAAACAGTCCCATTTATGTCACTCATACCACTATGGTGGGGCTAGAAAATTCAGGTTTTCGTGATACCCAAAGGCTTTTGCAGATGGTCTCTGATGCTTATTTTCTTTACATTTCTCTCGCCACCAGCCTGGTCTCCTCCTAACAAAGTGCTTGGCCTCCATCCAGTCTCTCCCTCTTTCATGGAGCTTCCTAAAACAACATTTCCCAAAGTATGTTTACAGAATAACTAGTTCTATACTATATTAATAAGAATGACTTTCCCAATATGTACTGTGACCAAATGTGTTAGTCAATGCTAGGCTTTCTAAAGCAAAACAGAATTCTTTACCAGCAGGTGGATCACACATTAACTAGCACTACACTACACGGAGTACACTCCTGAGTACAAGATTAGAAACTAGAAGGCTGGGCACAGTGGCTCATGCCTGTATTCCCAGCACTTTGGGAGGCCGGCTTAGGCTGGTGGATCACCTGAGATCAGGAGTTCAAGACCAGCCTGGCCAACATGGTGAAACCTCGTCTCTACTAAAAATACAAAAATTAGCCAGGTGTGAAGGTGTGTGCCTGTAATCCCAGCTACTTGGGAGGCTGAGACAGGAGAATCGCTTGAACCCTGGAGGCGGAGGTTGCAGTGAGCCGAGATCGCTCCATTGCACTCCAGCCTGGCTGACAGAGAGAGACTCTGTCTCAAAAACAAACAAACAAAAAAATTAGAAACTAGAAGAACAAAATTAAAACTGCTCTTTGATCCCACCTTTCATAGGTATATGGTCATTTGATAATCATCCATGGGCTACAGGTAGGATGAAAACTGTTTTCAAACTTTATTTGACCATAGAACTTTTTTTCCACATAGCATCTACAGAGACTGGAGTTTCGTAGCTATGTTTTGAGATTTGCCTGCTTTTCTCACGTTCTTTTCCCACTAGGAAATTCAACATGATTTCACACTCTTTATCACATTAAGTTCAAATCTCTTTTTTTTTCATGCCCTACCTGATATGATTCTGCCCTATTGTCCTACCTACCATTATTAGTTCGTTTTCACACTGCTATAAAGAACTGCCCAAGACTGGGTAATTCATAAAGGAAAGAAGTTTAATTGACTCATAGTTTAGCCTGGCTGGGGAGGCCTCAGGAAACTTACAATCATGACGGAAGGTGAAGGGGAAGCAAGACACCTTCTTCACAAGGGGGCAGGAAGGAGAAATGAATGCAGGACTTACAAAACACTTATAAAACCATCAGATCTCATGAAATACTTACAAAACCATCAGATCAAGCACTTATAAAACTGTCAGATCTCGTGAAAACTCACTATCACAAGAACAGCATGGGGGAAACTGCCCCCATGATTCAATTACCTCTACCTGGCCTCTCTTTTGACACATGGGGATTATGGGGCTTATGGAGATTATAATTCAAGATGAGATTTTGGGTGGGGACACAGCCAAACCATATCATTACCCAAGCTTATAATCCTGTCTCTACAACACCCATGTTAGTTGTCAGGAAGGCTTTTCCTTAACAACACCTACAATTCCTAACACCTACATTAACAATACAAAACCTCCACAGATCCATGCCTTTGCTCATTACCTTCCCACTTCCTGGAATGAAATTTTTGGCGCAACACTCAAATTTGAAGCTCAGTTTCAATCTTCTTTTTTTTAGATTGGGTTCCCCCAAAATATACCTAAAAAGAGGATTTTTGTGAAAGTGTTTTTTTAGGAAGGGTCAAGAAAAAAATAAGGGAGGAGGGAAGTGGGGCCTGGGTGAGAAGGAGGCCAAGTAAGGGTATGAGATGGAGTGAGGTCCCAGGAAGGGTCACTTTGGCTCAGTCTCAAAGGGGAGCTTTGGAGACAGGTTGGTTACATTCGATCTGCCTCATTCAGGGACAGAAGCCCAGGTATTACTAGGCATTGATTAAGGGCTGTGCCTAGTCGGGAGGGACATACATTCACATGCATTTCCAGCTTCTCTCTGCCAAAGACACATGAGTGCTAGCTGTTGGGAATGGAAGCACAGGGAGCCTGTGAGAGCAAAACTGGTAAAGCGATACCAGGATAGGTGGATGAAGGACTGAGAGCATAACCTACAGCTTCCATGCACTCTTCTCTAGCAGGGCATTTCTCTGTTGAATGAAATCCTGATAAACTCATCGCTAGTATTATTTGATTTTGCACTTACTTGCTATTTCCATGTATATATTTTCTAAATTCATCAATATTGTAAGATCTTTCTGAGCATTGTTCATGGATGATAACTCTCTTGTAACTAGAGCATTCCTGAGCATATTCATTCATTCATGTAAGAAACATATTTCCAAAGAAAAATTAGGCTTTGTGTATCAAAACCATGAGTATGTTACTGACATGTCTCCAGCCCTTATTGTCTAATGGGAAGTAAGGTAGAGGTGGGGATTTCTCTTAAATCAGTGTTTAAGGGAAGATGATTAACTATATTTACCACTTAGTAAGAATTGAACTGGCTGAGATTAAGAAACAAGTTGAGTCCCATTGCTATTGGGTACTGTATTCACTATTTGTGTGATGGGTTCACTAAAAGCCCAAATGTCAGCATTACACAATATACTCATATAACAGACCTGTACACGTACTGCTTGAACCTAAAAATAAATAAATAAGAGAAAAGAAACAAGTTGATTTCCCTTGCTCCATATTTTGATCATTTTAACTTATGAAGCAGACTCTCTTGTATAAAAATCAACAAGAGTTTTATATCACATATGTATTTGATGTGAAGTGAGGTAACAATGCAATTTGGAATTAAAGGATCTGTCAGTAGTACAGCATCACCACTTACTTTGTGATCCTGGATGGACTGAAAACCTTATTTTATCTCTAACATATATTGAGGGTAGTAATAATTTTTCTCTTTTTTATCTTTGATTTGAAGATTAAATGAGACCATAATGTATAAAAAGACTTTATAAATCATAAAGCACTATGATGATTTAGCTATATGTAGGGGCAGAGAGCTGTGATATCCTTCCACACCTATCATAAGGGAAAGGGATAGAGCCAGCACCTCTATCATAACAGATAGGTTACAAATAGAAAAGCGCAACAAATTTATTTAATCAAAATTTTATGTGACACAGCAGCCTTCAAAAATGAAGACTCAAAGACCCAGGGAAAACTTTCCATTTCTATGCTTAGATTCAATGAAGAATGGACAGCCATGTAGAAATGTGCTTGAACAAAAGAGTATGCTCTAATGGCAATAGATTAAAGGGGAACCCAGAAAGTGCTATGTATTCAGATTCTCCTTGGCTTCTCTGTGTAGCATTCCTTCTCCCCAGCTGCAGGACAGGACCTGTCTGGGATGAGGGTCTTATGACTTACTTTCAGGCAAGGTGGGTACAGAATTTATGGTCAGATCTCACACAGAAAAATGGGAAGGTCAGAATGCCTTTCTTACTTCTGAGGCCTCCAAAAATGCTTTGGGGTAGTGTTTTCTGAGCCATGACCTATATTATACAAATAAATAGAAGATTGTTGTTTTCACTCAAGAGCAAATGATGTTAGAGTCCAGCGAAAATGATTTTCTTCAGAAGCCAAAAAGCTCTTCATGAACTCAAAATATTAAGTTGATTTTCACTGATTTACAATTTTTATAACCATAAAATATTAATAGCTAGCATGTAATGGCTGAGTAAAAGATAGGTTCCTGCTTAAAAGCTCACTGTTGGTAATATATCTGTTGTTTCAGGCTGAATGTTTCAAATTCTTTTGCCTTCCCATATCATTTCTCTTTTTATCATTAAGGTAGCTTTTAGCATGAGAGGCTCTAAATTGCTAATTAATTAAAATTGCTGCCCAGTTCCCTTCAGCCGCTTATATAGCCCACATTGAGCTTTGCAGCTGGGTGAGTGCGACCTTCGAATATCAATCTCATAATTGGCTGCACGATGTTACGCCTCTCAAATATGCAGTCCACTGAACCACATGAAAAACATAAAGCCTCATTTTTTCTATACTAATTTGACATATAGATTTATATCACATTTAACCTGTACAAGAACTCTTTGAAATCAATATTTGCGATATGTATTCTGGATTTTGACTTTCTCTGTTCTATGTAGGAAACATTCTTCTTCTCTTGATGCCCCAGAGAGGACAACAAAATAGTGCTGCTTGTAAGCTGGGCTTTCTGGCTCACTGCCAACAGAAAGGAAAGCAGCACAGACTGCTGAGCAGTGTCTGGCAGCCATGCACAAGTCCTTCAACACCTTTGCAGGGAGCTTGAATTCTATGGTCATCCACAGTGGCGTGCCCTCTCAAGGGAAGCCAGCATTCTTGGGCTTCCTTAGTGGAAACATGGCCTCCCAAACCTGAGAAGGAAAAGCCCTGAATTTAATGCATCTTGAATGTCCTGTTCAATCTCTGCCAGCAAATCTGATAACAATAGTTACATTTTTGTAAGCATTCACATCAGGCGTGAAACTTTGACATGCGATGTGCTTTTTCTTATTTATTCCCTAAATTAATTCTAGAAGTAGATACATTTTGATCCCATTTACAGTTATGGAAAATGGGATTTAGAGATTATAATAATTTCTCATCTTTGGCCAGGTTTCCCTGAAACAGAAACAGAGGTGAGGATTCTGATGCAAGTGCTTTATTAAGAAAGTGCTTCTGGGAGAAACCAGTAGGAAAATGAGAGAAGTGGGGCAGGGAGGAGAAACAGAATGAAAGGCAGAGAGATTGAGAAAATAAATGTTTCCAACCAGAATCAGGTCCATCACCAAGAAAATATTGACAGCTATTTATTTCACTAAGGTAAACGTAGAAGCTTTTAAACTGCAGACTCTGTTGAATCAACTCTGCACTTTCGTTGCCTATCCTGAAGTGGCTCTAAAAAATAAGAACTCCTCCCATGAGTTGGTTAACTACCCTCAATGCATCTGTAAATTGACTATTTAGATTAACACTGTTTTGGAACAAAGAGATCTTTCTCTTTGTTTAAAGAGAAAGATCTTTAAACAGTTTAAAGAGAAAGATCTTTAAAGAGAAAGAGATCTTTCTCTTTAATTTAGATTAACACTGTTTTGGAACAAAGATCTTTCTCAAGATCTTCAATGTTTTTAAAGTAAATACATAGAATTTGAATAATTTAAGAGCTTCAGTGTCAGTCTTTAAAAAAACATAAAAGCATAAGTAAAAATATTTGCAGATAGCCTCCAAAACAGTTTTTTCTTAAAATAAATAATTAATAAACTTGTCTGTACCAGATTATTTATTTTGGGTTGTTTTGACTCAATTTTGTAGCCATGTTCTCTTTCTGTGATATTCAGGTTTTTGTTTTGTTTTGTTTTTTGTTTTTTTGTTTGTTTTTTGGCTTTTTGTTTGTTTTTACTCTATTTTTAAATGATGTAGCTTCAAGGTCTCAGTGTAGTCTTAGTCTATCAGCACGGAGAAGTTCTGTTGTGGAGGTTGTCCCTTACTGAACACAGTGATTGTTAAGGCTCATTCTGGGGCATGTAAATTCCTAGGTACCTCCCATTCTTTGTATTGAAAGGCAAAAGAGGCTTCTGAAGTCTGAGGACACTCCTGAGGAGGAAATGATATAGATGCTGGCAATTCAAGGGGAAGTTCAGTGAAGGAGGCCTGGGGTGATCAACATGCCTCTCAGTAGCCATGGAGCTAAAATGTAGCAAAGCCGAGATTTCAGCCAAGCTCTCTCTGTCTCTACAGCTCAGGAATTTTAACCACCATCCTGAATGTGAGCCAAAAGTGGTCTGGCACACGGACAATCAGGGTAATGGAGGGTCTGTGTATTGTGTCCATGAGGTGCTGCTGACAAACGTTAATGATAAGCATCCTAGAGTAGGGAAGGCTAGAGACAGAAAAATAAAGTAGCCATGAATTATTTTGAGGGCTGTCAAGACCTTAGAAGCAGGAGTTGTTCTGAACTAGGTTGTTCCCAAGTACAGATTCTCACTCATAAGTGGGAGTTCAACAATGAGAACACATGGAACAGGGAGGGGAATGTTACGCACCAGGACCTGTTGAGGGGTGGTGGACTAGGGGAGGGATAGCATTAGGAGAAATACCTAATGTAGATGACAGGTTGATGGGTGCAGCAAACCACCATGGCACCTGTATACCTATATAAAAAACCTGCACATTCTGCACATATATCCCAAAACTTAAAGTATAATGATTAAAAAAAAAAAAAAAACTAAAAAAAAAGGATATAGGGGAATAAAATGAAGATTGCTAAAAGCAAGTGTTTTAGGGCAGTAAGACTTTTTCAGTTATTGAATCAACCATTTCTTGAAAAAAAATGGCCATGCTTCCCATTGTCAGTCTAGAATATCATCTGTCAACAATGTCCGTTACATGGGAATTGAACTATGAGATAGACTTCTAAAGTCCTCTGATTTTCTAAAATGAGGACTTAGTTTGGAGGAGCCATTTGACTTGTTGCCTTGGCATTTCTAGACATAAACGTTATGGCATATTACAACTATATCCCCTTTTTATTTTTTTGAGACGGATTCTCGCTCTGTCGCCCAGGCTGGAGTGCAGTGGCGCAATCTCCGCTCACTGCAAGCTCCACCTCCCGGGCTCACGCCATTCTTCTGCCTCAGCCTCCGGAGTAGCTGGGACTACAGGCGCCCACCACCACCCACGGAGAAGTTTTTGTATTTTTAGTAGAGACGGGGTTTCACTGTGTTAGCCAGGATGGTCTCGATCTCCTGACCTCGTGATGCACCCGCCTCCGCCTCCCAAAGTGCTGGGATTACAGGCGTGAGCCACCGCGCCCGGCCTATATCCCATTATTTTAATGCAAAATCAAATATACTAACTTCTAGTTGAAATGTAAAACTTAAAAAGAGTCAATTGCACTGTTTACACCCCATCACCTTTCCCATCACATCTGTTCCTTTGTAATAAGCAAATAAGCCAGGAGACAAGATGACTGCTGCATTAGGGAACTGGGTATCTGCAAATGCCCTCTACATTGCATAGAAGAAATTTGGACAAAATTGAAGCTACATCATTTAAAAATAGAGTTTAAAAAGTGACTATCACAGCAGAGAACATGGCTACAAAATTCGAGTCAAAACAACCCAAAATAAATAATCTGGTACAGACAAGTTTAATAATTAATTATTATTCTTAAGAAGAAACTGTTTTAGAGGCTATCCGCAAGTATTTTTACTTATGCTTTTACGTTTTTTAAAGACTGACACTGAAGGTCTTAAATTATTCCAATTCTTTGTATTTACTTTAAAAATATTAAAAATCTTGAGACAGATTTCTTTGTTCTAAAATAATGTTAATCTAAATAGTCAATTAACAGGTACACTGAGGGTAGTTAACCAACTCATGGAATGAGTTCTTATTTTTTAGTGACACATAAGGATAAACAAGGAAAGTGCAGAGTTGATTTTTTACAGAATTCAACAGAGTCTGAAGTTTAAAAGCTTCTATGATTTCCTTAATGAAAAAATAGTTGTCAATATTTTCTTGGTGATGGAACTGATTCTGGTTGGAGGCATTTATTTTCTCAATCTCTCTGCCATTCACTCTGTTTCTCTCTTGTTCTGTATGCTTCTTTCTCTCTTATCTTGCTTTCTAGATTACTTAAAGAAGAGAAACCCTCCTGTGAAAAGATATCAAATTTTCTATTCCCTGGCCAAAAACAAGTGTGCACAGTCAGATGAGGCAGTTAATATGAATAGAAATTCCTGAGAAGGTTGTGTTTTTTTTTTTTCCTTCACTAATAGAAATATGATACCTGTCAGCAAGTTCCCATTTAATAAATGGCAGCCTGGCTTATTGTAATATTCTTCTAGTTCCCATTGATAGGTAAGATTTTCTACATTTTGGTGCGTCATAGATTTACAATCAATTATCCTGTTTGAATGTCCAGTGGAGACCCATTTCTCTACGTAGAGATGCTGCTGTTGTTTGATGTTGCAATAGAATCTCTTGGCATGCATTGGTGCATTATTGTGTCACCCTGCCTTCTTTCATTGCTCTGATGGAAAGACAATCTTCTTGCCTTTTACCTCCTCTTACCTATAAGGGTGGAAGTGGGTGAGCCATTACTACAGTTCATATATCACTGCACCATTCTACTAGCACAATTAAACTAGATTTGAGAAACAATCAGAACAATAGTTTTCTTCCAGCCACCCTTGCCTCTAATAGCAGCATTTTGCTAATTGGCTCCTAGAATGTCCTTAACTTTATCCTAGCATATTGACCCTTAGGAAGGGAACTAATTATGTTTTCACATTGTTTGCTTTACAGTGATTTATATACGTCTTTGCTGATATTCCTATTGTGGTCTGCAGACGGTGCTAGCTCTGTTTTCCATTTTGTTTCCCCCTTTGACTCATGAGCCACTGTCTTGAATTGGTATGACTTCTCCATTCTCACCCTTTATCACTTGGGACTTTCCCAGTTCATCTTTTCTTTCAGGTCTTATCTATTTCTCTGGATCTCTTTCTCAAGCTCCCTCCTCCATCTTGTCCATCTTGTTCAGTTCCACTTCCTTTCCTTCCCTTCTGCCAGTCTTATTTCAACTTCAATAACTTTAACTCACCTTTTGTGAATATATTCTTTTTCCTTTGGGCTTTCAAGTGTTTTTTTTTTTTTTTCTGTAAGTTTAGTCAATGCAAAATAATCCTCTCCAATTTTACTGAGGTGGTTGACCACGTCAACGACCAAATCCACCTCTAAACTGGAATTCGGTTGTTGACCCAGCCCCAACCGCGGCTTTCTTGTAGGCACCAGGGAGCACAGCACTCTGTCTGCAGATATCTCTGTCGGCTTCCCCTCTTGTGAGTCTTGCAGGTTGCTTACCCTCCACACCTTTAGGCCGAGGCCTGCCATTCTCTGGACGGCTGTGCACAATCTCTGGGGGCAGGTGAAGGTAATCACAGAGATACTGGATACCCTCCTTGGTGAGGTCGCAGTAGAAATGTCTCCAGGCAAAGTGTTCCTTCATGTAGCCTTGGGACTTCAGAGACTGCATGGCCTTCATGAGTGAACGTTGGGCACATTCTTGTCTGCCAGCTCTGGGTGCTTAGGCATGTGGACATCCTTCTTGGCCACCATGACTCCCTCCTTAAAAATGAGTTCATAAGTGGCAATCTGATTCTTCTTAGGCATCAACATTTCGGCAGCTTTAGGGTCTGGGGCCAGGGCTGGAAATAAATGTTGTTGTTGTTGTTGTTGTTTAAATAAGTATTTATTATTTCAATGTTTCAAACATACAGCAAGTACATTAAGGATATAACACTCTTGTGCATAACTACCTTAATACTATGAAATATTTTTTCTTGAAAATTTTGAAAGAATCAATTAAACATTACATATACATTTGTGAGCCTGTATTTTCCTCAATTTTATCCACTCCTTTTCTTCTATTCATGGAAGTAAACACTATTATTAAATCAGGACTTATTTTCTCATATGCATTTGCTATATATTTATGCATATATAAATTTTATGGTGCTTTTTGCAATTTTAAACTATGTATAAAGTGTGTTATACCTAACTTTTTCCACTCCACATTATGTTTTTAGATTTATTCATGTTGAGAGATATAGCAGTAATTCATTTGTTTTGACTGCTGAGAAATATTCCCTTGTGTGAATATATCATGATGTATTTATCTGTTTTCAAGTTAATAAAACTTTAAGTTATGTCTAATTTGTTGCTTTTATTGACAAGGCTGCAAAGAACTTTCTTGTGTATGTCTTTTTATGCACATATAGATTTCCCCAAGGCTTGGGATGTGATTATCTTCATCTATACTAGTGTCATTTTGCTCTCTTCTGTGGCTGCACTGACTTATGCTTCTACTCTTGAAGTACAGTAGGGAACAGAGACCAGTGTGTGAGCACTTTGTCCTTTATGAGTTACTCCTATAATGTACATAAGCCAAGGAGGTAACATGGAAGGATGGACTTCAAGAGACAAGACAAATGGCTGAAGTTCTGCTATAGATAATTGTATGAGTAGTGTAACTAAATGTATAGCCTAATTGTAAAAACAACTTTGAACACCAATGTTTGTAGGCATAAAATACAGTAGAGACCATACAACTGATGATAATTCCACTTACCAAGTCTTAAAGACTTGGTAAATAGAAAGCTGGAAGCTTCATGTTGGTCTTTGTAACTCACAAAGTACTATCCTCTTCCTATAAGTATTTCTCCCTTTTGCAGACAGGCCTATGGCATATTTGCTTTTGCACCTTTTAACATCTTTCTACATCAATACAGACCTTGCCTAATTCTTTACACTAAGGACCTAATTTTATAAGCTCTGTCAATACTTTTGGATTATAGGGCTTCATATTATCTGGTTAAAATCAACAGCAGTTTTTCCATTCAACAGATACGGAGCTCCTGATAAGTGCTACTTTTCTAGGCCCTAAAGATTTGTCAGGGAACAAAACAGAAATGCTCCTGGCACACACAGAGCTTACAATTTAGTTGGGAGAAAAATACAAAGAGGGGGACACAATAATTTCAGATAGTGTGAAAGTGTGAAGCATATCAAGGAAATCAAATGGATCTGAGAATGTCTGGGACTGGTTTATGAACATCTTCCATATTCCAATGACATGGCATCAATTTACCAATCTTGTACACAGTGCAAGGTGCTAGAGAATAGAGTCTTTTTCTTTTGAACTTGATTTGAGATTACAACAGTATTACTCATATGAGGGATTTTGATGTCATCAGATGATCATATGATGTAATGGTCACCGCAGTAGTTAAATATTTATTTAAGTAAAAGACAAACAATCTAGAAGTTGCAAAAAAGAAATTGTAAAAGCTTCAACACAGGAGAGTTCACACATCACACAAGAAAAGTAACCAGGACACAAGGTAGGCTATGTTGGCTAATGAATGAGAAGTGCACCCTTGAGAACTAAAGGAGCCAAGAAGAAAACATGTCACTTTGGGGTTGTCAAGAAAGAATTTCAGAAGAAGCTATGATTTAGGCTTGAAGAATGATTGTTATTTGATATTGAGATTATAAACCTGGATAGGTGTGGCATTATACTTCTCTATAAAATTAATTCATTCACTCTGACAGCTTTTCTCTTCTTGCCCCAGATTCCATTCTGACTTAATTGAACTTCCAGTTAGCATCTGCTTATTAGGCCTGATCTCTTCCCTGGAATGGTCTTCAATTGTTCTTTCCTTGTCTCTTCCCGGCCTTGTGGTTTCTTTACTTCATTATGGTGGGCGGATCTGGAATTCCTCTGTGCCCCAAATCACCTGCATGCTGCCAGGCGTGTCCTAAAATGGCTTTTCTCTTCCCTTCTGTTACTTGGCACAGCCACAATCAATGTGTAGAAAAGGACTCACACAAAGAAAAACAAAATCATAGTGATTTTCTCTGGATTTAAAAACAATTCTCTTGGTAGCAATCTTCCTTTAGAGTTCTGTTTTCTATTTTCAATAGCGACCTTGACACATTTCCTTCCATTTCGTTGTTTGTTTGTTTAAAAGAATGCAGGAACAAAACAAAGGAACCAATATGTTTTATCGCATTGACAATTAAGAAGCACAGGTTCAAAGGAAAGGTTAGTTTGGAAGACAGTTTGAGAAAAAATTAAAGAAAAAAAGAATGGATATGTTAGGAATTCCATAAAAGGAAAAACAACCAAAGGAAGCTATGAAACTAGAATACATAGAATTCTAAATAATAGCAACTGGAAAACATAGAGCCTAATTTAGTAGCATCTACAATTTTTCTCAAAATAACTCACAATGCCTTTCGGTATCAGATTATGTTTCAGGAACTTAATTTTTTTTTTAAACTGTTTTTATTTACTCAACATATTTGTGACCTTTAAGCAACACAGTAATCATTGCAAAACAGAGTATGAACTGAATTTCCGCCTTTGAACTTCTGACTTGTGGTCTAGAATACAGACAGACATTCAGACAAACCATCACTGGAATATGATCCTTAACTGAGGCAGCTCAGCTAAGGATCATGGGGGCAGCTGGGAGGGAGTACAGTGAAATGGAACCTGCATATAGTCTCTCTGGGGAATAACACCCTATTCCTAGGGTTGCTTCAGAAAATTTTGGCATCTTTTCACTTTTACATTACAATTAAAATTTTAAAGCTAGAGTTGTTAACTCTGAAACTTTTCAATATTCCTTCTTTAGAAAATGCAATCCAGTCTTCTTCTTCACTCTTCTTGCTTCATCTGCTCATTTTTTCTAGCTGCCTTCCACCCACTTCTGATTTCTCATCATGTACTCAAATCTCTCACTCCTTCTTCCTGGCTTTATGCTCTAGGCTGAGAGACAGGGTGTAGACCATGTTTTCTATTTTACTGTATTCTCTATCCAGTGATATCATTTACTTAGCTCTGTGTTCCCACCCAAATCTTACCTCGAATTGTAATTCCTATAATCCCCATGTGTCAAGAATGGGACCAGGTGAAGGTAATTGAATCATGGTGGCAGTTTGCCCATGCTGTTCTCGTGATAATGAGTGAGTCTCACGAGATCTGATGGTTTTATGAGCGTCTGGCATTTCCCCTGCTTACACTCATTCTCTCTCCAGCCGCCCTGTGAACAGGTGCCTTCCGCCATGATTGTAAGTTTCCTGAGGCCTCCCCAGCCATGCAGAACTGTGAGTCAATTAAATCTCTTTTCTTTATAAATCACCCAGTCACAGGTGGTTCTTCGTAGCAGCATGAGAACAGACTAATACACACAGCTGTAGTGCCTAGTGCAGGGTTCTGCTAAGAGAAGGCTTGTTGACAAAATGCCCAAAGTTTCTAAAGCCACCACAGTGACAGGGTGTTATTGCAATGCTATCTTCTTATGGATTTCAGAAGGAAATCAAGGGAACTGATTAAACAGCGACTGTATTTTCACTGCGGAATCACCTCCGTGAGAATCAGTGGGAAGTAAATTACAGGAAAGAAACCTGCAGAGAAAGTTATTCTTGATTAGACATCACTTTCACTGACCGCTCCAAGGGAAGCCCAGTGCTCAGCAGTAGCACATTTTGACACAGAGCACAGGAACTGTGTGAGCTAGGGCTGAAAGAAAAATAACCGGTTACAGAAACTGCTTTGGGATTCTATTTTAGCATGAACAGAAAACCTAAGGATTCCTTCGCAGATCGGTATTTTAGAAGGGAAATACAAATTTGTCTATGAGATAATACTGCTTTCCAAACAGAAGCCTCCTGTCAGTGTATTGATATCGTTTTTAAAAAACATATCATTTACTTTCTAATTGTTTTAAGTACAAAATTCCTACATAAATGATTACTGATGTAAGACTCAAACAATGCAGAAATGTACAAAGTAAAATGCTGTATTTCCCTTCTGTTCTTCCCCTTGAAGGCAACCCCCATTAATTAACATATACCATTCTTGTCTTTCATTTCTCCATATATGCCATATACAATCAATTTAAAAAATATAAAGAGACTAGATACTAAATTTCTGTTGCTCTGTGTTGGGAGATAAGTATTGTTCCCATTTTGTAGAAAAAGAAAGCCTTTGACTGTAGTTGATCATCTCAAGCCACTGAGCACAGAAAAGTGAAAAAAGCTGAGACTCAAACTTCCTTATGTCACATTCAAGGCTCCTCTGTATATTCTTTCTTCTTCAAATGTTACTGCCCATTACAGGACAGGCCCATTTTAAAATGTTGATTCACACCAGAAGAGCTGTTTACATAAAGAGGGCAATAGAGTCTCTATTGGCGTAAAATAACAATTTAGTATCTTATAAGGACATATGTACACAAAATCAATAGTATATTCTATGCCAGTGGTTTTCAATATATAGTTTCTTGACAATTAGCATCAACACCCCCAGAAACTTAGAAAAGTAAATTCAGGAGGAGCCTCACCCAAGACCTACTGCATGAGGATATCTGGGGTTAGAAAGCAGCAATCTGGCTGTAATAAATCCTCTGGGTTATTCTGATGTGCATTAAAACTTGAGAAACACAGTTTTATCCAGTAAACTGGCAAAAGATAAAAAAAAAATTGCTATTTAAATCTGAAGAACTACCTATTTGAACCTTTGTGCTGAAATATCTTCTTATTGAGGTCAAAAGATATACCCCCTACAGAGATCAAAAGACAGCTTTCTCACTGAAATACTAGCAGCTGCTCTTCGTCTGGTCTAGTCCTGGCTTATTGCTTCCAGGTATAGTAGTAGAATTTCATTTCCCTTTAATGTATTCTTTATATTTCTTGCTACTGTGAAGATTAGTTTTTAAAATTATTCTCAATATATTTCTCTATGATTTCTCATTTTCCACATAAGAACATGAAATAATTTTATACTTTCTAGTGATTAATTTAACTCTGGAAGCTAAAAATAAAATAGATAACAAACAAATGAATTCAAAATAGAAATAAAATTTCCAAAATCCTAAATGCAAATAATGCCAAGCAAGATGGTTACCTTTTGGTGACTAACTGATAAAAACCTACTTCATGTGAATGGAGGAGGAGCATAAATAACTAGAGTGAGAACACAGACTATTGTTCAAAAACTTTTCTCACAACATGTCATGATTTGAACCAGCCTTGCTACTCTCTTCACCGCTGTGGAAGAGACCTGACATTTTACTCACAACATCATTCTTTGGCTCAGCATCTATTTAAGGGATCTCAGAGCCTTGGGGGGCCTCTTGGATACTCTATCATCAGCCTGATGTGAAAAAATGATATGAGGGAGAGAGTCCATTAATAGCTCTTTCTGTTAAGTTAGAGGAATGTTGACTTGTTGAATGTGAATATTATCATCCCCCCAAAATTAGATGTTGAGCAATGAATGATCAAATCTACAAGAAACCCAGATAATGAACACCATATATCTTTCTTCTGTGGGAATAAACCAATCAAATATGTGTGGCCTGATAAACTTTGATATGCTTTCTTTTCAGGTGAATAAAATCCAAGATAATATTGAATTGTTGGCTTTTCCTTCACAGGGAGCAGTATTTCACTGAGGAAGCTGGTAACATAGAGCTATCCAAATGAAATTATAACAATAGAAAATCTGTACCATACAACATAGCATAATATAATCATATTGCTGCTTGGAAAAAGATTAATCACTAATCACAGTACAATTTTTAATTAAAAAGAAGGTGGGAACTAGATGAAAAAAATTAGGGATGTTCAGTAAGCTAGTGATCAAAGCCAAACACTAAATTAAAATGTTTTCTATGAAAGTATGAATCTGCTTATGCAGATTATCCCACTGAATTATTCCACCATCTGCAGAATTCATGCCTTTTTGCTTGACTCATTTGTTACAAGTAGCTTATCAACAATAGCACCCAATATTAACATAAATACGTGATTCTTAGATGATGATAGAATGAGAAAATTGGAAAGTCATACCCATTTTGAAAAATTAAACCAGCACTAGGTTTTCATGCCATGTATTACAGTATCAGTGAGACTGTTTCTTTTAAGAAATTCAGCAATATCCCTCACTCCTAAGCAAACAACAAACGTTGATGGTATCACAGAGAATGTTGAAACATTTGAGGATGTTCTTCTTTGTTGATCTAGTCATAATTTCAATGCAGAATATGAAGAAAGTTGGAAGCCTGTTGAATGAGAAATCTGTACTGCTAGTGGTAGTCACATGTACTAAGAAAATTTTAGAAATCACATTTTTATTTAAAACATATTGTAAAACATAATTACAAAGGATGGATATTCACAATATGGTGCCTGAATTGTGCATCATATGCACATATTAAAATGGTATAATGGTATAATATGTGCATGAATGATATATGTGCATGTATCAAATTATATATAAAAATATATCAAATTATATAATGATATAATATGTGCATGTATCAAATAATTATGATAGCAGACTTACTACTTCTTTAGCTTTTATTTATATGGTAATTATTCAGAAAAGATTTGGGCAAGTTTTTATACATGGAATACACACTGTTGATCTCTGTGAGCTATGTTTCTCTAGTTTGGGGAAATAATTGGAGCATATAAGTGGGATTAGGAAGATTTTTGTCTATATATCTATTTATCTCTCCCTTCACCTATTCAGCTTTCCAGCTGTCTAACATCTATCTTTATATGTATATTTGAGATATTTATAATAAAAGTCCCTTTGTAAGATTTCAAATTTCCTTCTAAAAGTGCAGAATCTATAAGAGGTCATACTTTAATAAAAATTACCTTTGGTGAAGTCAAAACTTAAATCCATATTGCAGACTTTGGATAGCCAGAATTCTACATGAAGCCACAGAAAATTAGAGGGCACATGTAGAAACAATGTAGAAAAAAATTTGGAGTATGTTAATAATGAAATTATTCTAACCTTGCATTTTTTTTCAGGTCCCGAATAAAGCAAGTCTTCGAGAACACTAAAATTTCTACCGCATGCTGCCTTAAGCATCACCCTTACTGAGAAATGGTGATATCTCTTCTATATCAACAGGAGTGGTGGTGAACTGTAATTTCTAAAAGGCAAAATTGCATTGTAAAATTGCTAAATGTTGCAAATAAGGATTTTAGAGAAGCTATTTGGTCACAGTAGAATGGAGATTTCTGTTAACGTTCAATGGAAGGTTCACATTAGAGGTCATCTCAGAGAGATCAAGGTAATATTCTTTTAGAAACTTGCTATGACCCTCTACTGTAATTAGTGAGTCCGAGATACCTGAGGGAAATCTAAATTTGTGATAGTTCTGGTAGGCCTTTGTAGTCAGAAGTGGGGAGAAATTGAAAGTTTGGATGAGACTTATGTCTACTGTTATTGACATATTTTGTCCATTAATAGTAATGAAATAGATATTTTGTTCATTAATAGTAACAGATGGAGAAAACGTCACATAATGAAGACTTGTAGAACAGTTGTAAAGCATAGACATAAAATTGTGTTCTATACAGCTCAATTCAGAAGAGTCCATTATATCAGAAGAAAACCAAACAATAAAAATTAAATACGATGGGGAACAAAAGGCAGGAAAACAACACATTAAGAATATCTGAACAAGAATATCTGAACATGAATATCTCCAGGGATCCAATGACGTAGGGATCAAATCAAATTATTTTTTAAATTTTGAGTTTAAAATGATACAGTTAACTTTCTAATTTAAAAATTTCCAAATATTTGATTGTTAATTCCAATTTAGTGTCTTTTTGATTCCTGAACTCTTCAGGAGAATGGCAGAGAAGAGCATATCCTTTTTAATGATAGGCTGGAAAATTCGGATAAGTAGAATGACCTGGGCTTCAGTTCATATATGGTCATTTCAGACACAGTACCACACAGAAAAAGAGATTTATAAGCAGACTATGTCAGCAATCCTATTCTTGGATGCAAAGGATTATAAGCCTAGCACAAAGTAAATAATCAGTATTTGCTTACATTTACAAAAGGCTACACAAAAGATTGTGGACAATATGGACAAAGAGCAAAATTAACTCCCAAACTCAAGACAAGAGGGTTCTGTATGTCGAGTGATAAAGGAGATTTTGGAACTCTGTACTTGAATTCTTCCAGAAATCAAGAACCACAGTGTGTTTGTGCACATACTGCCAATGTATACATTCATGGGCCCTAACATGAAACTCCTTAGCGGACCTACACACAGAAAATAAAATGCACTTGATTTGAAAGCACTGTTTCAAGTGTTTCAATATGCAAAGCCAATTTTTATTAATAGAGCATAGAGAAGATAACTTTTTTCCTTCTCTGATTTAGATTGTAAAACATTTAGATTGTAAAACACTAATATTTAAGTAGTGCTATTTTCAGTTTTATTGCTTAATGTTTGAATGTGCAGAAGATCTTAAGAATCAATTGTAAGTCCAATACTTATTAAGTCTAAGTGAGAAAATCTACAATTTTCATAACTCAGTGTCTTGAACAGGTTGTAGTGATGCTATTTGATTAGTTTAACACCTCAGAGGTATGGTTTGCTGAGAATATGATTTTGAAGAGTTTTAAGTTTAACAAAACTCTATAGTGAACTTCACCATAGGATAAATTGCACATTAACATGTATGTGAAATTTAACACTTGAGAATAATATTCTATCTGTAATTAAATAATACATTAAATGTCTCAGGTCAGAATCACTGTTATCAACTGTGAGATATATTTGCTGTTTTAGGCAACTGATGCATGGAGTAAATAGTAGTAATCTACTATGTAACCAAAAGAGTTAACAGTCTTCCTGGTAAGCCAATCATAAACATCCCCAAATTTATTATTTATCTTGATGTTAAAGTGTGCTAAATGATATACCTTGATGTTAAAGTGTACTAATTTTCAAAAAGTAAATAGTTTCCTATGCAATGGTCTCTCCTTATTCATGAAGGCTATGTTCCAAGACCCCCAGTGGACTCCTGAAACCCTGGATAGTACCAAATGCTGTGTATACTATGTATTTTTCCTATACCAACACAGCTATGATAAAGTTTAATTTATAAATTAGGCCCAGTAAAAGGTTAACTAATAATAAAATAGAACAATTATAACAATATACTGTAACAAAAATATGGGAATGTGGTCTCTCTCTCTCAAAATATCTTATTGTACTATACTGTACTGTACTATGCTAACCTATTCTCTGACTGCTGTTGACCATGGGTAACTGAAACTGCAGAAAATAAAACAGCTCATAAGGGAGGACTACTGTGATATTTTTTAATTAACGAGAAAACAAACTTCTTGACAGATAATCAATTAGACAAGAAAATGGTGAAGAAATGTGTAAGGGTTAAATTAACATAGAAAAGCAAACGAACCATAAATGCATTACTGGAAATGCCTCAATAATCTGACTGATGCAACACATGAAACGTTTTGTAATTTCCCAATTGGAGCTGGATTTTTATGTTCCTAATTAAAGTAAAACTTCTAAAAGTAAATAGCATAAGTAAATTTTAGTGCAACTATTTACTGAAAGTGTTTAACTGCATATAGGGGCAACATGGCATGTCAAAGTGAACATAGATACTTTCTATCCCTCATTGTGTACTAGAATTCCGCACCCTTCTAGTACTGTCACATAATGTGATGGTAGTTTTCCTAGGAATGTGAAGGTTAGTTTAGGAAGATAATTTAGGGAAGAAAGGACTATGGGCTTCTTGAGTTTCAGGATCATTTCTTATTTCATATTCATACTTAAAATTCTTAGTTAGCTGTATGAGATTGACATCTCATATACACTTTATTTATTCATTCAACAAATATTTGTTGTGAGTATATGAAGTGTCTCAGAAACTGGTACTCAGAGCCAGAGCACATCAGTGAAGAAAATAAGCAAAAATCTCTACTTGTTTATGGATTTTATATTTTTATATTAATAAGTATTATTACACTTAATATATTTTGATGAATGATTATTGAATGAATGACCAAAAAATAGCCATTTGGGAAAACCAGGAAAGACTATTTTGAAATTCTGTAATTATGATAATTTGCCATTGTCATTGCAAGGAAATTATGGAGTGTCAGCAGAGCATACCAATTAGTTGAATAATACTTTTAAGAAATGTAGTTACTTAGCCATCTGAATTTAGGTTAAAAGCCATATTTCAAAAGACATCCAAACTGGAAAGGAAGAAGTAAAATGATCTCTATTTGCAGATGACATTATTTTATATGTAAAAAAAGTGTTTTTGAGCCCACAAAAAAACCCATTAGAACTAAAAAAAGAAAATCAGTAAATTTGTAGGAAACAAAATCAACATACAAAAATCAGTTCTGTTTCCATATACTAACATTGAAATAGCTACAACAGAAATTAAGAAAAAAATCCTATTTACAATAGCATCAAAAAGAATTAAAAAACATAGAAATAAACTTAATCAAGGAAGTAAAAGACATACACATTGAAAACTACAAATTATTGATGAAAGAAATTAAAGAAGACACAGTAAATTGAAAATGCTGTGTTTGTGGCTCAGAAGATTTAATATTGTTAAAATGACCATACTACCAAAAGTGATCTACATTTTAATTCAATCCCTATAAAATCCAAATGGTATTATTTACAGAACTTGAAAAGTAATGCTAAAATTTGTATGGGACCACAGAAGACCCTGAAGGGCCAAAGGAGTTTTGTTTTTTTTTTTTTTTTTTTGAGACGGAGTCTCGCTCTGTCGCCCAGGCTGGAGTGCAGTGGCGGGATCTCGGCTCACTGCAAGCTCCGCCTCCCGGGTTCACGCCATTCTCCTGCCTCAGCCTCCCAAGTAGCTGGGACTACAGGCACCCACCACTACGCCCGGCTAATTTTTTGTATTTTTAGTAGAGACGGGGTTTCACCGTTTTAGCCAGGATGGTCTCGATCTCCTGACCTCGTGATCCGCCCGCCTCGGCCTCCCAAAGTGCTGGGATTACAGGCATGAGCCACCGCGCCCGGCCAGGAGTTTTGAGCAAAAGAAAAAACTGAAGGCATCAACCTTCCAGTTTTCAAAATGTATTACAAAGCTACAGTAATCGAAACAGTATGGTATTGGCATAAAAACAGACATGTAGACCAATGGAACAGAGCAGAAAAGCCAGAAATAAACCCATGCATATATTGATTTTTGACAAGGGTAACAAAAATACACATTGAGGAGAGAGCAGTCTCCAATAAGTGGTGTTGAAAAAACTGTTTATCCACATGTAAAAGAATGAAATTGAATCCTTATCTTACACCATACACAAAAATAAACTAAAAATGGATTAGAGATTTAAATGTAAGACCCAAAAGTATAAAACCCCTAGAAGAAAATATAGAGAAAAAGCTTGATGACATTGGGCTTGATAGTGATTTCTTGGATATGACACCAAAAACACAAGCAACAAAAGAAAAATCAGACCAAAGAAAAATTAGACAAGTAGACTTGCATCAAACTAAGTAATTTCTACATCGCAAAGGAAAGAATAGAATAAAAAGGCAACTTTAGAAGTGGGAGACAATCTTTGCTTACCATATATCTAATAAGGGATTAATCTCCAAAACATATAAGGAAGTCCTACAACTTAATAGCAAAGATCCTAATAACATGATTAAAAATATGCTTTCTTTAAAATAGTCATACAAATGGTCAACTAGTATAGATAGATAGATAGATAGATAGATAGATAGATAGATAGATAGAATACTCAAGATCACTAGTTCAGGGAAATGCAAATCAAAACTTCAATGAAATATTATCTCTTAGGATGCCTGTTATGAAACAAAAAAAGATAAGTCTTTGTGAGGATGTGGACAAATTGGAACCCTTGTACACTATAGGTGAGAAAGTAAAATGATGCCACCATTATAGAAAACAGTATGAAGGCTCTTAAAAACATTTAAAATAGAACTACCATATCATTGAGCAATCCCACTTCTGTGTATATATCCTAAAGGATTGAAATCAGGATCTTGAAGAAATATCTGCTCTCCTGTGCTCATTGCAACATTATCTACAATAGCCAAGTGTATTAGTCTCTTCTCACACTGCTAATAAAGACATACCTGAGACTGGGTAATTTATAAAGAAAAAGAGGTTTAATGGACTCACAGTTCCACATGGTTGGGGAGGCCTCACATGGTGGAAGATAAAAGGTGTGTCTTATATGACAGCGTGAAAGAGAGAACTTGTGCAGGGAAACTCTCCCTTATAAAACCATCAGATCTCTTGAGACTTATTCACTATCATGAGAACAGCACAGGAAAGACCCGTCCCCGTGATTCAATTACCTCCCACCACGTCCCTCCCATGATATGTAGGAATTGTGGGAGCTACAATTTATAATGAGATTTGGGTGAGGACACAGCCAAACATAGACCTTAGGGGCAGCCTCAAAAAACAGAATCTCTCTGACTTTCTCCTGCCCTCTTTTCACTTGCCCCAAGGCAGGACACTAATCTTCCCCACTTTTCTGATTATGGTTCATAAAACCCTCATTCCAGAGAGAGTCCTGCTCCATACCCAGGGGGAAGGAATGCTGACATCATGAAGCATCCATAAAAACCCAAGAGGATCAAGTTCAGAGAGCTTCCGGGTAGCTGAACGCCTGGGGGTTCCTGGAGGGTGGTGAGCCCAGGTAGAGAATGGAAGCTCTGTACCTATTCCCTCATATCTCATCCTATGAATCTCTTCATCTGTAGCCTTTGTAATATCTCTCATTATACACCAGTAAATATGAAGAAAAGGAGAAGAATAATATCTATCATAGGGTTGTTGTGAGGATTAAATGAGATAATACTTATAAAACACCTATCACAAACAGCATTCAATAAATATGAACTATTATTTATGTTAATACAAATAAGAGGACTGGTAGGTTACTAGAGCTTTTGAGAGAATGTATATCAACACATGACATTTTTAAAAAAAGAATTTCACACAGTATTAAAAGACCAATTGAGATTGGATAGCCTGTACTTGGAATGGTCCTATTCTATACAGTTCCACAATAGTTTACAGATGTACTTTTGTAAAAATATAACAGAAAAAAAGGACAAATTCCTCAACTGATACAAAGTTGGGGGCAGGGATGGCCAAGAATCTTTAAGAGTGATAATGAGGGCAGATTTTTTATCTACTGTAAGGTACATCATCTATATAGAGGCAAGTGTAGTGGGCAGATGTTACATGAAAGTGAAGGTGTTAGGAAAAATGCAAGCATCCTTGAAGTTGAAGTGTGTATTAGGGTTCTCTAGAGGGACAGAACAAATAGGATAGATGTATATATAAAGGGGAGTTTATTAAGGAGTATTGACTCACACGATTACAAGGTGAGGTCCCACAGTAGGCCGTCTGCACTGAGGAGCAAAAAAGCCAGTCCGAGTCCCAAAGCTGAAGAACTTGGAGTCCGATGTTTGAGGGAAAGAAGCATCCAGGAGGGGAGAAAGATGAAGGCCAGAAGACTAAACCAGTGTAGTCTTCCCACATTCTTCTGCCTGCTTTTATTCTGGCCATGTTGGCACCTGATTAGATTGTGCCCACCCAGACTGAGGGTGGGTCCGCCTTTCCCAGTCCACTGACGCAAATGTTAATTTCCTTTGGCAACACCCTCATAGACACACCCAGGAACAATACTTTGCATACTTCAATCAAGTTTACACTCAATATTAACCATCATACCAAGATATAGAAACAACCCATATGTCCATTGACAAATGAATGGATAAAGAAAACATGGTATATACATTCAAAGGAAAATTATTTGACCTTACAAAGGAAGGAAATCTTAATATTTGTGATGACATGGATGTTTCTGGAAGACATTATGCCAAGTGAAATAAATAAGCCAGTCACAGAAGGACAATTACAGGATGATTCCACTTATGTGAGATACCCTGGATAATCAGGCTCATAGAAGCAGAGAATGAAATGGTGGTTACCCAGGGGCTGGTGAAAGGGAAAATGGGGGGTTGTTCAATTGGTATAGTTTTGATTATACCACATGAAAAATTGTAGACATCTGCTATACAACATAGCACTTAGAGTTGTTACCAATACTGTAATGTGCACATAAACATTTGTTAAGAGAGTAGGTCTTATATTAAGTGTTCTTACCACCTAAAAACCTAAAAGGACACAGGAAATTTTTAGATGTCTGTTACCTTGATTATGGTAATGGCTTCATATGTCTGCACATATATCTAACTTCATCAAATTGTACATATTGATTATGTGTATTTTTGTGCATCAAATAATAAAGTTGTTTTTGTGCATCAATCAATAAAGTTGTTTTTAAAAGGTTCAGCTTCACAGACAAAAAAGTCATTTAAACGTATTCTAATATTTTCTTTCTTAGGAAAATGTACTTTAGTGAAATCAGAATCTGGTAATTGTCACCCCTAAATTAGGAGCTAATATTATGTCTCTATACTCTGAAAGTAAATGTGTATTCGTTGGAGCAGATAGCTAAGAATAGTGGGAGGGAAGGTAAAAGAGTGTAATTGTACACTAGCATCAAGTGTATTCTCAAGGTTAAAAGTTTAAAATCTTTCATTCATGGTGTTAGTAACTGTCATAGTTCTTTCACTGTATCTATTGCAAAGAATAGCTAAGAAGTAAAGGAGTGATTTCACTCTCAGCATTTCTGAAGACGATCATTTCAATAGGTGGATGAAGTAATTTTGAGAAAACCAGGAATGTTTGGGTTATCAAGATTTTCAAATGGGAGAACTTTACAAATAATGCCCAACCCTTCTTCTCATCTTCCTCCTGACAGAAGCTGACACACAACAGTGAAAGGATCAGGCCATGACTTGTAAAGAGTTCCTCTGTAGAGCCATTCTGCAATGGGAAAATTTGCCTCAATATTACAGCACACTAAATATTGCCTCTGTAACTGGCTCTCATATTGAAATGATATATTTTTCAGTTTTAGTATAAATACATTTTTATTTCTATGAAATATTGTCTTCAATGATCACCAATCACTGGAGATTTTTGAAATATTTCACACTTCCAGCCTATCCTCTGAGAACAATATATATACATATATTTAAAAAAATACTTTTTCTATTCATCCTTTAGAGAGCTGAATGTGTATGTTTTATATAGGCAGTGTTTATTCTGTTCACCAAATATGAGTTTACGGAATTAAAATACATCACATTTTAATTTAAAAAATCAACATATTCTACATTTACTTTTGTCCTTGAAATAACTAAAAGAAGAACTCTTTTTTTTTTTTTCTGAGACAGAGTCTCGCTCTGTCACCCAGGCTGGAGTGCAGTGGCGCAATCTCTCCTCACTGGCAAGCTCCGCCTCCCGGGTTCACACCATTCTCCTGCCTCAGCCTCCCAAGTAGCTGGGACTACAGACGCCCGCCACCACGCCCGGCTAATTTTTTGTATTTTTAGTAGAGACGGGGTTTCACCGTGTTAACCAGGATGGTCCTGATCTCCTGACCTCGTGATCCACCCGCCTCGGCCTCCCAAAGTGCTGGGATTACAGGCATGAGCCACCGCGCCCGGCCAAACCGCGCCCGGCCAAGAAGAACTCTTAAATGATCTCAAATTTAGGAGTGAAAGGAATACATCTTGTTTTAAATTGTTTGTTTGAAATGTCTTAATTATCTCATTGGTAGTAATGACTAGGTGATAATGACTTTTAATCACCAGAAAAGAGACTATTACAAAAATAATGACTATTGTATCCCAGATTTTATTACTAAAAATCTCAAGTCCTTAAATATTTAAGCAGTATCTTCACATCACACCAAAAAGAAGTAAAATGTTTTCTAATTTTCATATAAGAAGTTTCAGAGCATTAAATAAATGTTAAGACAGGTACTTGGGTTTCAGCTATTTTCACATATGTAAGTAACTTTTATATTTGTAGATGCAAATTTTGGGCTTGGAATCAGAACACTGAATTTGAGTCCCCAAATATTGCTGACCACATCTGAGATTCAGCTGTTTATGAAATGGGACATATTTTACTTACCTCACACTGCTATTGTGAAGATTAAAAGAAAAACATGGAAAAACAACATGTAAGTTATAAGTCCTATGAAATAGAAAATAATATTTTGCAGTGTTCAAGTCAGCTGCAAATTTGAATGTTCTTTGGAGATTTTAGAAAACAAAAAATATCAGTTCCCCAAGCTTTGAATTTCTAACTCAATAGATCTGGGAATGGAGTCATCTATGTTTTTAAAAAGCTCCACAAGACTGAGATACCTGGCCAGAATATCTGTATTGTTATGATGATAATTATTATCATATTATTTTCATAATCTAAGATACTCTTCTATTCTACTTTCCACTCCACCACAGGCGGAGTCCGCAATTCCCTAAAATACTTGCTCTTCAGACCGTTGTTAATGTTCTTAAAGATAAGGAATTAAAAAATAAAACCAACACAGAAATCGTATTGCAAGGAACAAAAAATTAATCTACTCTATTCCTGTCATCTGAAAATAAAAGCCAAATATATAAAGCACAGAAATTCTTCAGATCTTTCTTGGAATATTTTTAGACCAAAAGCAGTTTAATGATAAAGAACACAGATGTTCAATATGGAGATGAGAAAGGACAGGAAAGTTCTTGGCAAGATTAACTGAACTTTTTACTTCTGTCACATAAATGTGACTCCTCTCAAATGAATCATCACTTTTCGATTAGAGCTAAACAGTAATAAAGTGTCAATATGAAAATATGTTGAAATTTAAAAACTCATATCAGACTAATTATTTGTCATATAAATTCCACAAATCAAAAGCTTAATGGACATAAAATCACTCATGTTTACACGATGAGTTACTATTAGCAGAACCAGCATAGAGATTACTTTCTATTGATTTTCATCATGTCATGTTTTCAAAGTGAAGGTTCACTTCATTATGACAATGAAGTAAAATTGAAAATGTTCAAAATTTCAAGAGAATCACAGCATCAACCCTGCATCAAATGTTGTCAATTAAGGTTTTTGAGGGGATGAATTATATTTTTGAGGAGAGAATTTTAATGGCTAAATATTTTAGGCACTAAATAACAAAGGTAAATGAGACACAGTCCCCCTTATCAAAAAAAAAAATAGAGTCTATTGAGGGAGGCGGACAAGTAAACAGATCATTATAAGTTGTTATCATAAGTGCCATAAACTAGAGAAGCATAGCATGCTATTGTAGGACATAAGAGTACCTCCTAAATTTTGCTGGTATTAAGATGGTCAGAACAAGCTCTTAGGAGGAGGCAGTTTTCAAATTTGATTCTTAAATGACAAAGAGTTGTTCAGATTCAAGGGGTGGAAAGAGGATAAAAGCAGTCCTAGAAGAGGAAGCTATGGAGGAGGAAGAAAGAAAGCAAGATTGGTGATTTCAAAGATGGAGAGAATTTTAGTGTAACTTGAGTGTAAAGTGAAAAGATAGGAATGTAGGCAAAGATGGAAACGGGTGTTATATGGCGTGCTTGGACTTGTTCCTGGAAGGTGTTTACAAGCCATTGAATGATTTAAAGATGTATGTCTTATTTATGTTGAAAAGAAACACATCAATTATTTGAGTTGCTTTTTTTAAATCATTAATCCTGTTAAGAGATGTTGCTGAATTTAATAAAGATTACCTAATGTCAAGGAAAAGAGTGCTACATTAGGGGAAAAAAGACCATAGATCATTTGAATTCCTTACGTGTGGAGTGCTCCATCCCTCAGATGCATATGTAACTACAGTTAATGCAAATAGCTCATCACTGTAACATAAGAAGAAATATACTCTCTCCGCTACTAGCTACCCAACATACAAACACATCTCTTAGCTGCTTAGTTTAGAGTTTAGGTAGTTTGATCCATCTGTATTTCCAGCAGTTGAAATGCCATATAAGGCTTTGTATATTCCAGCTAAAAAGAAAAATCCTTGGGATTAACACGTAAACAAGAAATCAACTCAAATCTTTGGTTCTATTGTAAGAAATGCAAGATTTAGTTGAACTTTGACTTTAAAAATTTATGAAGGCTTTAATTATAATTTTTTTTTAATGCTGGGCTATAACAGTGGTTGGTAATGATATTCCCTTTTGACTTTATATGTCTAAATGTTCCTAATAAGTTTATTAATATCAAAAATTAGTATAGTATATCTTTATAGTATATCTTTTACTTATTTTTTTTTTTGGCCTGACGTGCTGATTCTTTTTTTTTTTCTTTTTTTTTTTTTTAATTATACTTTAAGTTTTAGGGTACACGTGCACATTGTGCAGGTTAGTTACATATGTATACATGTGCCATGCTGGTGCGCTGCACCCACTAACTCGTCATCTAGCATTAGGCGTATCTCCCAATGCTATTCCTCCCCCCTCCCCCCACCCCACCACAGTCCCCAGAGTGTGATATTCCCCTTCCTGTGTCCATGTGATCTCATTGTTCAATTCCCACCTATGAGTGAGAATATGCGGTGTTTGGTTTTTTGTTCTTGCAATAGTTTACTGAGAATGATGATTTCCAATTTCATCCATGTCCCTACAAAGGACATGAACTCATCATTTTCTATGGCTGCATAGTATTCCATGGTGTATATGTGCCACATTTTATAAATCCAGTCTATCATTGGTGGACATTTGGGTTGGTTCCAAATCTTTGCTATTGTGAATAATGCCGCAATAAACATACGTGTGCATGTGTCTTTATAGCAGCATGATTTATAGTCCTTTGGGTATATACCCAGTAATGGGATGGCTGGGTCAAATGGTATTTCTAGTTCTAGATCCCTGAGGAATCGCCACACTGACTTCCACATGGTTGAACTAGTTTACAGTCCCACCAACAGTGTAAAAGTGTTCCTATTTCTCCACATCCTCTCCAGCACCTGTTGTTTCCTGACTTTTGAATGATTGCCATTCTAACTGGTGTGAGATGGTATCTCATTCTGGTTTTGATTTGCATTTCTCTGATGGCCAGTGATGATGAGCATTTTTTCATGTGTTTTTTGGCTGCATGAATGTCTTCTTTTGAGAAGTGTCTGTTCATGTCCTTCGCCCACTTTTTGATGGGGTTGTTTGTTTTTTTCTTGTAAATTTGTTTGAGTTCATTGTAGATTCTGGATATTAGCCCTTTGTCAGATGAGTAGGTTGCAAAAATTTTCTCCCATTTTGTAGGTTGCCTGTTCACTCTGATGGTAGTTTCTTTTGCTGTGCAGAAGCTCTTTAGTTTAATTAGATCCCATTTGCCAATCTTGTCTTTTGTTGCCATTGCTTTTGGTGTTTTAGACATGAAGTCCTTGCCCATGCCTATGTCCTGAATGGTAATGCCTAGGTTTTCTTCTAGGGTTTTTATGGTTTTAGGTCTAACATTTAAGTCTTTAATCCATCTTGAATTGATTTTTGTATAAGGTGTAAGGAAAGGATCCAGTTTCAGCTTTCTACATATGGCTAGCCAGTATTCCCAGCACCATTTATTAAATAGGGAATCCTTTCCCCATTGCTTGTTTTTCTCAGGTTTGTCAAAGATCAGATAGTTGTAGATATGCGGCATTATTTCTGAGGGCTCTGTTCTGTTCCATTGATCTATATCTCTGTTTTGGTACCAGTACCATGCTGTTTTGGTGACTGTAGCCTTGTAGTATAGTTTGAAGTCAGGTAGTGTGATGCCTCCAGCTTTGTTCTTTTGGCTTAGGATTGACTTGGCGATGTGGGCTCTTTTTTGGTTCCATATGAACTTTAAAGTAGTTTTTTCCAATTCTGTGAAGAAAGTCATTGGTAGCTTGATGGGGATGACATTGAATCTATAAATTACCTTGGGCAGTATGGCCATTTTCACGATATTGATTCTTCCTACCCATGAGCATGGAATGTTCTTCCATTTGTTTGTATCCTCTTTTATTTCCTTGAGCAGTGGTTTGTAGTTCTCCTTAAAGAGGTCCTTCATGTCCCTTGTAAGTTGGATTCCTAGGTATTTTATTCTCTTTGAAGCAATTGTGAATGGGAGTTCACTCATGATTTGGCTCTCTGTTTGTCTGTTATTGGTGTATAAGAATGCTTGTGATTTTTGTACATTGATTTTGTATCCTGAGACTTTGCTGAAGTTGCTTATCAGCTTAAGGAGATTTTGGGCTGAGACAATGGGGTTTTCTAGATATACAATCATGTCATCTGCAAACAGGGACAATTTGACTTCCTCTTTTCCTAATTGAATACCCTTTATTTCCTTCTCCTGCCTCATTGCCCTGGCCAGAACTTCCAACACTATGTTGAATAGGAGTGGTGAGAGAGGGCATCCCTGTCTTGTGCCAGTTTTCAAAGGGAATGCTTCCAGTTTTTGCCCATTCAGTATGATATTGGCTGTGGGTTTGTCATAGATAGCTCTTATTATTTTGAAATACGTCCCATCAATACCTAATTTATTGAGAGCTTTTAGCATGAAGCGTTGTTGAATTTTGTCAAAGGCCTTTTCTGCATCTATTGAGATAATCATGTGGTTTTTGTCTTTGGCTCTGTTTATATGCTGGATTACATTTATTGATTTGCGTATATTGAACCAGCCTTGCATCCCAGGGATGAAGCCCACTTGATCATGGTGGATAAGCTTTTTGATGTGCTGCTGGATTCGGTTTGCCAGTATTTTATTGAGGATTTTTGCATCAATGTTCATCAAGGATATTGGTCTAAAATTCTCTTTTTTGGTTATGTGTCTGCCCGGCTTTGGTATCAGAATGATGCTGGCCTCATAAAATGTGTTAGGGAGGATTCCCTCTTTTTCTATTGATTGGAATAGTTTCAGAAGGAATGGTACCAGTTCCTTCTTGTAACTCTGGTAGAATTCGGCTGTGAATCCATCTGGTCCTGGACTCTTTTTGGTTGGTAAACTATTGATTATTGCCACAATTTCAGATCCTGTTATTGGTCTTTTCAGAGATTCAACTTCTTCCTGTTTTAGTCTTGGGAGAATGTATGTGTCAAGGAATTTATCCATTTCTTCTAAATTTTCTAGTTTATTTGCATAGAGGTGTTTGTAGTATTCTCTGATGGTAGTTTGTATTTCTGTGGGATCGGTGGTGATATCCCCTTTATCATTTTTTATTGCGTCTATTTGATTCTTCTCTCTTTTTTTCTTTATTAGTCTTGCTAGCGATCTATCAATTTTGTTGATCCTTTCAAAAAACCGGCTCCTGGATTCATTAATTTTTTGAAGGGTTTTTGGTGTCTCTATTTCCTTCAGTTCTGCTCTGATTTTAGTTATTTCTTGCCTTCTGCTAGCTTTTGAATGTGTTTGCTCTTGCTTTTCTAGTTCTTTTAATTGTGATGTTAGGGTGTCAATTTTGGATCTTTCCTGCTTTCTCTTGTGGGCATTTAGTGCTATAAATTTCCCTCTACACACTGCTTTGAATGCGTCCCAGAGATTCTGGTATGTTGTGTCTTTTTTCTCGTTGGTTTCAAAGAACATCTTTATTTCTGCCTTCATTTCATTATGTACCCAGTAGTCATTCAGGAGCAGGTTGTTCAGTTTCCATGTAGTTGAGTGGTTTTGAGTGAGTTTCTTAATCCTGAGTTCTAGTTTCATTGCACTGTGGTCTGAGAGATAGTTTGTTATAATCTCTGTTCTTTTACATTTGCTGAGGAGAGCTTTACTTCCAACTATGTGGTCAGTTTTGGAATAGGTGTGGTGTGGTGCTGAAAAAAATGTATATTCTGTTGATTTGGGGTGGAGAGTTCTGTAGATGTCTATTAGGTCCGCTTGGTGCAGAGCTGAGTTTAATGCCTGGGTATCCTTGTTAACTTTCTGTCTCGTTGATCTGTCTAATGTTGACAGTGGGGTGTTAAAATCTCCCATTATTATTGTGTGGGAGTCTAAGTCTCTTTGTAGGTCACTCAGGACTTGCTTTATGAATCTGGGTGCTCCTGTATTGGGTGCATAAATATTTAGGATAGTTAGCTCTTCTTGTTGAATTGATCCCTTTACCATTATGTCATGGCCTTCTTTGTCTCTTTTGATCTTTGTTGGTTTAAAGTCTGTTTTATCAGAGAGTAGGATTGCAATCCCTGCCTTTTTTTGTTTTCCATTTGCTTGGTAGATCTTCCTCCATCCTTTTATTTTGAGCCTATGTGTGTCTCTGCATGTGAGATGGGTTTCCTGAATACAGCACACTGATGGGTCTTGACTCTTTATCCAATTTGCCAGTCTGTGTCTTTTAATTGGAGCATTTAGTCCATTTACATTTAAAGTTAATATTGTTATGTGTGAATTTGATCCTGTCATTATGATGTTAGCTGGTGATTTTGCTCGTTAGTTGATGCAGTTTCTTCCTAGTCTCGATGGTCTTTACATTTTGGCATGATTTTGCAGCGGCTGGTACTGGTTGTTCCTTTCCATGTTTAGCGCTTCCTTCAGGAGCTCTTTTAGGGCAGACCTGGTGGTGACAAAATCTCTCAGCATTTGCTTGTCTTTAAAGTATTTTATTTCTCCTTCACTTATGAAGCTTAGTTTGGCTGGATATGAAATTCTGGGTTGAAAATTCTTTTCTTTAAGAATGTTGAATATTGGCCCCCACTCTCTTCTGGCTTGTAGGGTTTCTGCCGAGAGATCCGCTGTTAGTCTGATGGGCTTCCCTTTGAGGGTAACCCGACCTTTCTCTCTGGCTGCCCTTAATATTTTTTCCTTCATTTCAACTTTGGTGAATCTGATAATTATGTGTCTTGGAGTTGCTCTTCTCGAGGAGTATCTTTGTGGCGTTCTCTGTATTTCCTGAATCTGAACGTTGGCCTGCCTTGCTAGATTGGGGAAGTTCTCCTGGATAATATCCTGCAGAGTGTTTTCCAACTTGGTTCCATTCTCCCCATCACTTTCAGGTACACCAATCAGACATAGATTTGGTCTTTTCACATAGTCCCATATTTCTTGGAGGCTTTGCTCATTTCTTCTTATTCTTTTTTCTCTAAACTTCCCTTCTCACTTCATTTCATTCATTTCATCTTCCATTGCTGATACCCTTTCTTCCAGTTGATCGCATCGGCTCCTGAGGCTTCTGCATTCTTCACGTAGTTCTCGAGCCTTGGTTTTCAGCTCCATCAACTCCTTTAAGCACTTCTCTGTATTGGTTATTCTAGTTATACATTCTTCTAAAATTTTTTCAAAGTTTTCCACTTCTTTGCCTTTGGTTTGAATGTCCTCCTGTAGCTCAGAGTAATTTGATCATCTGAAGCCTTCTTCTCTCAGCTCGTCAAAGTCATTCTCCATCCAGCTTTGTTCCATTGCTGGTGAGGAACTGCGTTCCTTTGGAGGAGGAGAGGCGCTCTGCTTTTTAGAGTTTCCAGTTTTTCTGTTCTGTTTTTTCCCCATCTTTGCGGTTTTATCTACTTTTGGTGTTTGATGATGGTGATGTACAGATGGGTTTTTGGTGTGGATATCCTTTCTGTTTGTTAGTTTTCCTTCTAAAAGGACCCTCAGCTGCAGGTCTGTTGGAATACCCTGCAGTGTGAGGTGTCAGTGTGCCCTTGCTGGGGGGTGCCTCCCAGTTAGGCTGCTTGGGGGTCAGGGGTCAGGGACCCACTTGAGGAGGCAGTCTGCCTGTTCTCAGATCTCCAGCTGCGTGCTGGGAGAACCACTGCTTTCTTCATAGCTGTCAGACAGGGATATTTAAGTCTGCAGAGGTTACTGCTGTCTTTTTGTTTGTCTGTGCCCTGCCCCCAGAGGTGGAGCCTATAGAGGCAGGCAGGCCTCCTTGAGTTGTGGTGGGCTCCACCCAGTTCTAGCTTCCTGGCTGCTTTGTTTACCTAAGCAAGCCTGTGCAATGGCGGGCGCCCCTCCCCCAGCCTGGCTGCTGCCTTGCAGTTTGATCTCAGACTGCTGTGCTAGCAATCAGTGAGAGTTCGTGGGCGTAGGACCCTCCAAGCCAGGTGCGGGATATAATCTCGTGGTGCGCCATTTTTTAAGCTGGTTGGAAAAGCGCAGTATTCGGGTGGGAGTGACCCGATTTTCCAGGTGTGTCTATCACCCCTTTCTTTGACTCAGAAAGGGAACTCCCTGTCCCCTTGCACTTCCCAAGTGAGGCAATGCCTCAACCTGCTTTGGCTCATGCACGGTGCGCACACCCACTGGCCTGCGCCCACTGTCTGGCACTCCCTAGTGATATGAACCTGGTACCTCAGATGGAAATGCAGAAATCACCCGTCTTCTGCATCGCTCACGCTTGGAGCTGTAGACAGGAGCTGTTCCTAATCGGCCATCTTGGCTCCTCCTGTCTACCGAGTATATCTTTAAACTGTAAGATTATGTCTTAGAATTCACATAAGTCTCTTTTACTTGCCTCACCTCCATTTTAATGTGATTAAAATAGAGGTGATATGTATACAGGGAAAAATTGGACAATTAAGAATAGATTATGCCATGTAATATTTCTTTAGAATAGTTCAGAACAATACAGACTCATAAAACGTGCCATTTAAGTTTTTCCTAGATAAATTACTTTGCATAATCTAGCTAATAAAAAACAAATAAAGTTAAAACTTAAGAAGACAGTGTAGAAAAGAACATATAGGTCAGTATGTTTAAGGGTAGAATCAGGGGAGGTGATGGTAATGGTTGGATTTCTGTTCATTCATGACACTAATTCAAAAACATAGGTCCAAGATAAGATAAGGTAAAGATAGTCATTAGTCGAAAAGAAATAATATACGTAACTTCTACATTGTTAGAGAATAAGGAGAATAAAGAAATCGCGTTGTGTAGCTGATGACAGAAAAGTGAGAAAAAGCAAACAGCAAGAACTCATAAAATATATAAAGCATAACTAACAGAAAAAATAGACCAAATGTCAGTTATCACAATAAATATTAATGAGTTGAACAATTTTATTAAATTAAAAATATAAGATTGTATTTAAAATTATAAATGGCTATGTGATTTAGAAGAGACACCTAAAATTAAATGGTACAGAAATGTAAAAATACAGAGATTAACAAGAAGACATAAAAGACAAGTAAAAGTTGTTTTCAAAGTCATAGATGGCTATTGATAAAATCATAAGAGAAATAAAATTCAAAGCAAAAAAAAATCAATGAGACAAAGCTTCATACAATTTACATGCCAAATCTCAAGAAATTTTTAATCAAGATAGCAATTTTAATAAGTATGACTGCCTATAAAGTATACTCTTTCAATTAAAATTATTTCCTGAATATTTGTGATACATCAAACAATATGTGTGTACAGTAATATTCATAAATTATGAATTATACATTCTGATATCTTTTCTCCATTTTTCATTTTTTGCTTTCAAAACAAATAAATTGTAGTTAAACATGCATTTAAGTGAAATGAATACTTTAAGTATACAAATTATTAAATGTGGAAGAATGACAAAAAATAAAATAAGTTGAAAAAGAATTTAAAAACCATAGTAAAAACAATAAACCGGTGAATAATATAAAAGCAATAAACCAGTGAATCTGAAAAGGCTTTAACAATTGGCTGATAAATAAATCCTTCCTAACTTATATCTTATGACAAGTCTAATTTTTAAAAACACATTTGTATATAGGAAATGGGATATAACTACACTCAGATATTATGAAAAATATTATTCTAGTAATTCAGAAATTTCTGGACAAGGAAAATTTGCATTATCAAAGTTGTTTTTAAAAGGGTTAATATGAGTAGGTTAAAAACAATTAAAAATTGATAACAATTTTTAAAATAATGCTCACCAAAAATTATTGCATATAGATAGTTTGCAGGCAAGTTTTTAAATAAACCTTTTAAAGAAAGAGTTAATTTTCATGATACTAAACCATTTTTAGAGGTCGTAATGTAACATGACATTTTTAACTTACTTTATGAAACTTTCTTTACCCTGATGACAAGGTTCAATAACAAATATGCCCCACCCTTATCATTCATTTTTTTCTTAAGGACAGAGTCTCGCTCTATTGCCCAGGCTCTGGAGTGATGCAATGGCACCATCGTGGCTCACTGCAGCCTTGACCTCTCCAGTAGCTGGGACTATAGGCACGCACCTCCCAAAGCGCTGGGGTTACAGGTGTGAGCCACCACCCATGGCCTCATTTCTTACTCTGGTAAATTATGCTGTCTCCTATTCAGCTGACCAAGCTTCACATGTTGGCATCATTCTTGATTCCTCTTGCTGGTTCATCACATAATATTAATCACAAAGTCTCAAGAATTCTACCTTCTAAATGCCTCTAGAATTAGTTCATTTCTCTCCATCCTTATTGTCCTCCAGGATAGGCCATTGCCATCTTGCATTCTGGTACATTAAATAGTGTATAATTCATGACATTATAGGAGTGCTTGGCTGCTTCACATGCATTCTCCATGCTGTAATCTGGGAGCTCTTTCTAAAATGTAAATGTGATTATGTCATTTCCATGCTTGTCAATGACTTCCTGTTGTCATTTGGATGCAGTACAATATCAAGCTCATTTTCAAAACTTAAAAGGCTCTTTATAATCTGGTTGACATCTACATTTTATAATAGTGATTATCAGTCTATCCTGATTCACTGAGAACTCTGTGAACTTGAATTCCTAGCTTCTAGAATACTACCTAAACAAATAATTATTAAATCACTGGCTTTAGTGTTTATGTAGAGGTATCTGTAGACCTCAGAACAGAATTAAAACATTGCGAAAATTATAGCTTGATAAATGTGTACTGTAAAAATAAATCTAATTTGTTGACTACACATTAAAAAGAAAAAAAGAAGAAGTCAATATGGGAAATCTATAGTTGTGTCTTGTCCAGAAGAAAGCAGCCTGAACATCAAAAACTTCCTAATACTTGAGGACATATTGAAATTCCATTTGTCTTTACTCTGACACTACTATTCGCCCCAGAAGTTAGAAGAATGTTTGGCATATACTGGACCATGAGAAAGTTTATAATGCATGAGTAAATGTATATCGTAATTATTCAAAGATTCATGAAAATCTGGAGTCCATATTGAACTCATTCCCCTGAGTTCAAGGACAGATATACTATGTACAAAAATCACAGAATCAAAGTCTGCTAGATCAACCAATACTACGAAAATATTAAATTGTTTTATTTTTAAGACTTGTATCTATTATAATAGAATGTTGCAATAGGTTAAAATGTGTGGCTTATAAAAACTAATAATCTACATATTATTGTGATGAAGAGTAATTTACTGAAGAGAACTCTGAGGCAGATTTTTGTGATCCTATCCAGCAAAATTCTATTTTCTAACTTTAGGAAGTTTGCATTTTGGGTCCATTCTATGAAAGACTTTACACAAAGAATGTGTAAAGAGGTATATTGGGTATGAGTATCCAGATTTCAGAAAAGATTTTCAATATTTTCCGTAGATTTCCTCTTACGGCCTTTTTTTTTTCAACTTAAAGTAATTAATCAAATGTGATATAATGACTGTGCCAATTGGTTCCCATTTGGCATGACTTTGGGAGGTGTGTCGGAAATTTTCTGCTTGTCTCTCCAGCTCTATTCTCCACTCTGTTCTATGTCCTAGAGGTTGGCCTCTGTAACCTTCATCAGTTTGGGTCCTACTGGTCAAAGATGGAGGGTAGAAAGAGGTCAGGAAAGTTATTCTTCTAGCATCATCTTTGCTTATTTTGAACTTGGCAATGACCACATTCTTCTTCTACAGATCGTAGCTCCTAAAATAATGGCCCTTTGTATTACAACCACAGCTATAGTTCTTGCCAGATTACAATAACTGCTTTCTCTACTTGACCCTTCAAACCAAGAGATGGATAAGGCTTCCAAATATTACTACCTCTGCAGTGTGTCATCATTCCTTGTTAGTTTTTCTATAATTTTCCCAAATATTTGCAAATAGTCTACGTATTAAAAACCTCCTCAATGACACTTTTTGACTTTGCTGATCGACATACAGGGCTATTAAATTAAGAAAAATACCTTAAATCATCAAGAAGTAAGCTATGCTACTCTGGTATGCCTTAGTAATTCCACACTATGAGCAAAACAACCCCAAACCAGTTTTGAATATAAAGAATAAACGAGCGTTTTCCACTGAGATCTGCTGGAGTAAAATTTTGCTGTTCATGTAAATTGCTTATGAATGGATTTAACTTTAAGCCCTTTCAAATATCTTTATAGATTCCTTAGAGTTCTGAAAAAGATTCTTGGAGGATTTTCTTGGCTTCCCATTTGTTTGTATCAAAATATGAATCAAAGACACAACCCTTAATTGCTCAGCTGTGGGGTTTCAGGGCGCATTCCAACACGTCTATGATCAGCTGTAGAATCAGAGTGAATATCTCTGCCATGCTTTCTCTGCTTCAGCTGCCTTAAAAATTGGTTTTCTCCTTTCTATTTAACCTGACTCAGGGGCAGCAAAGCCGAAAGAGAGATTAAAGCATTTTAAACTTTTCCTAGGACAGAGAGAGTATCAGGTTATTATTAGCACATAAGAATATTATAGGCATTCAATGCTTAAAGAAGGGAAGAGGGAGACAAGACTACCACCAGTTGAGTAGATAACAAAACCCTTTGTAAGATAGGTAACATTTGAGGTAAAACATTAAACATGTATATTTTATTTTTACTAGTAGTATTATTTTTGTTGTCATTGTTTTGTTAATCGTCAAAAAAAGTATATGATGATCTTAAATAAACGTCAAGTTTTTTTTCTCAAATAAAAAGTAGAGGGGATCTAAATATTTTGAGAACAAGAAGCCTGTAGTGATTAATATTTTTGGTTCCCCAATTATACTGAACATAATACTATGAATACAATAGTTATTAAGAGTATTGGTTACTTAGAGAGTAAAAGGCGTGTTTACTCTCTAAAATTAAAAGGGCATTTATTAGAGTGAGCAAATATAAATAGAAAAAGTGTTCGCGGGTAGAAGTTGAGTAGAACAGTTTGAAGTAGTTTATTTTCAAAGACTAGTAAAAAGTATTTAATAAGATAAACTTGAATCAAATTATTGGGTAAGTAATTGAATGTTTTTGAGTGGAGTGTGACAAGATCATTGGTGATGTGGGAGTTTACTCTGAAAGCATTGTGCAAGGCGGACTGAAGTGGCAAAGAATAGGAGTGCCGTTGCAATGGTCTGCGTGTGATATAACGTGGGTCTGAATTGGTGTAGTTGCAGTGAGAGGTTGAATGAGAAGAAATCACCAAATAAGAAACAGATTACTAAAGAATTAATAAAGCAGATGCATATGTTTTCCATTTTAACCCTCTTAATACTCCCATTAAGCCATGTAGACTTTTCATTGCTGTATTACTTCAGCATACATGATTTTACTCTTTCCTAAACTACATTTTGTGAATATATTCTGGAACCATTTCTGAATGCCATAGGATATTAGAGAAAAATCAGCAAAAAGGATTACATAATTTGTTTTGCCAGCAGTCTTCAGCTTCTTTCAGGAAGTGTATAAACTAATCACACGGACCACGCAAATATTGATTGTTCAATTGTGTAGATAAAAGCTGCAGTTGCTATAGGGCTTATAAAGAGCTAAAAAATTAGATCACCAAACCCAATGTGGTGATATGAGCTCACCTCCCTTTTAACCCTGTGACCTGCGTATACTTACCTCATTAGGCTTTACTGTTAAGGACATAGCAAAAAAAAAAAAAAAAAAAGATGATTTTAAATAATAAATCGAACTATTTTTTTCAAAGAAAAAGTATGGGGGGGTAAATATTTTGAGAACAAGAAGCCTATATTGTTTGATTATTTTGGTTCCACAATTATACTGAACACAATACTATGAATATAATAGTTATTAATACATTTTTTGTAAAATAACAAAGTAATTGAATTAAGGACTCAGTGGACTAACATCTACAAAAACCACACTGGATTAACATATTTTAATTTTTAATGAAGAATATTTCTCAAAAGTCAGTGAAGAGCTAAGCAATTATCTAATGGGATTATGTATCATAGATTATAAAATACTACTTTAGGATCAAAACAATACTGTCTTTATTTTAGGCCCCTGGTATAAGAACTCATTAGCCTAATTTACCCTGATTATAAAAATGATTAACCTTTTATATATATTTTTACTATTGGTAGTTGTGGTTTTTTCTGGAACCTTCCAATAAAATATATTTTAAAATAATAGGAAGTCTATATATTGAAACATAGTATACAGTACTTACATGACTGAATTTTGGCAAAGAAAATGATTGTCTGACGTAGTTTTAGAATATTGTACTAGGAGTTAAAAATCTGCCTTGATAATATACCTAATTAGAAAGATCAAGTGCCTTAATTAGTTGCATTTTGTTTGTCATCTACAAAATAAATTAATTTAAACTGATTTTTATTCTTGTATTCATAAATTTATTCAACAAGTATTAATTGTGAATTACACAGAAGCATTTACTACTGCTTGCCAGAATTCAGTAATGAACAAACCACTACATCATCCAGTAGGAGTTGCAATATTCATTTATTCAGTCATACATTTACTCATTCATTTTTATCTACAGATATTTAATGGCCCCTGCTGCCAATCATACCCAAATAATACAGAAGTTACTCAAGAAAGTAATAGAGATTTCAAGAGTAATTCAGAGAATTCTGAATCCTTAATAAGTATGCATTTTTATCACATTTTAGGAAATCTACAAAATTACATTATTAGACAACAGGAGCATAATATATGTATATACATCATGTGTATGTATATATACACATATACATACATATATACCAAGTAGAACAAACTAAAAAAATCTACTTTATAAAAAATGAATAAAATATTTGAAAAGATACAGTTACACCTTTATTAAATTACTTCCTAATCCATAGGCAGGACAATGTCACCATTAACAAATAATAGACATCAAGCTACAGAATAACTGTAAATGATAACTTCCTTCATTGAAACCTTTAAAATGCGACAGTTTTCCAAAAATTCAAGGGCAAGTAATACGTTGGCTAGATATTGACCTCATATCACTCACTGAGCTCCAGTAATTTAGAAATATATCATCAGATAGTAACACAGAACACATAAACTAAAAATTATAAGATTTTTAGAAACAAAACACATGATGGTGAAGGCAAATGCTATCCACTTGCAGCTATACATAGAGTGCACAATGCCAGAACCATCATGGCCCCCTAGTAAACCAACACGCTTTTTGGTCTTGGTTCTGCCACTCCTCAATTCGACATTAAAATCTACAAGAACTGTTTACAAGTGCTGTGTGTATAAAATATGAATGAAATACACATTCTTCCCTGATACAACATATAGTATAGCAATGAAAATAAGTATTTATGCCAGGGGCAGTGGCTCATGTCTGTAATCCCAGCACTTTGGGAGGCTGAGGCAGGCGGATCACCTGAGGTCGGGAGTTCGAGACCAGCCTGAACAACATGGAGAAACCCCGTCTCTACTAAAAATACAAAATTAGCTGGGCATGGTGGCGCAAGCCTGCAATCCCAGCTGCTCGGGAGGCTGAGGTGGGAGAATCGCTTGAAGCTGGGAGGCAGAGGTTGCGGTGAGCCGAGATTGCACCATTACACTCCAGTCTGGGCAACAAGAGCAAAACTCTGTCTCTAAATAAATAAATAAATAAATAAAACTAAAATAAAGTATTTATATTATGGAAAACTTTGTTGTAATGGCCATTAATAAGATACAAAGTCCAGAGGAGTTATCTGTGGCCATCGAAAAGTTATCTCTTCTCTGATAGCCTCATTTAACTCTATGTAAAATGAAACTAAAACATACGGTTCATAAGATTATTAAGATGATCAATGATACCTGAAAATATTTTATAATAATCATTTTAATTTTTCAAAATTAATTAAATCATGTTTCCAGGTCAAGATGATTGGTTCAGTATATCTAGAAACTGTACTATTAAGATAGTATAACTTTACAAATAATTTAGTTCAACACTCAACAACAGATAAAAATCTGAGGTTCAGAGAGGGTGAACTTTTCAACATTTTAGTTGTAATAAGTTGTTAATTCTAGACTAAAGCACAAAACCCTAATTTTTAACTTTTCATAATACCTAATAGTCCAGCTACACTGTTGAAACTACCCAGGAAATTTCAAACAACTTATTAAATATATTGGATTTCTCAGAGTCAGATCCTGTATCCATTAATGCCTTCATTTTCCTAGAAACCTTTCATTTTATACTTGACAGAAAAACTATTAGCCTCCAGAGAAAATCAGTTCATTTGCTTTGGACTCAGGTCATATCTCAAATTTCAAATTTCAGATGTTCCATCACTTGCCATTACTCAAACCTTTCTGGATAGTTTTGGCAGTGCTCACTGAAACAACAGTGACAAACTAGAAGAACTGCTTCCTGTGTCCTGGCAAGTGCTTCCTCCTTATACAGACGGTTTTGGAAGACTTCCCAGATTGTGCTTTTGCACTTTTAAGGATGAAGGCTACATGAGAGAGCTGGATGGGATAGCACAGTCTACACACAGTAAGCTAAATAAGTATTCTTCTTCACCCTGCATTTTTCCCTCTCCCCTCTTGAGGCTTATAAGTCATTTTGTAAGCTGTTTACTGTTGAATATTTCATTCTGAAGATAAATCAGGAATTTTACACAGTTGTTGATTCTCTAATTAAGGTTCTGTAGAAAACCAATGAGAAGCCACATTTATTTTAAAAATGGATAGCTTTCTTCATCATTTTCTGGAAAATATTTGCAAATAACATCCCTAGAAATGCAGTTTCTCTATGACAATTTACCTATTAAATGGAAAGGTCTGTGATGTCATCATGTGTCCAGATGACTGAAAAATTTTCAGATACTTACCACTGGCTTATTTAAGTAGATTGCTTATTTTGTTTTTGAGACAGAGTCTCACTGTCACCCAAGGTAGTGTGCAGCCTCAGCCTCCCAAGTAGCTGGGACCATAGGCATGAGCCATCATGCCTAGCTAATTTTTGTATTTTTTGTAGAAACGAGCTTTTGCCCTATTGCCCAGGCTGGTCTTGAACTCGTGAGCTCAAGTGATCCAGCTGCCTCAACCTCCCAAAGTGTTGGGATTACAGATGTGAGTCACTGTGCCTAGCATAGACTGCTTTAAAAATTTTATTTTTGCCTTATAAAATATCTAATTCTAAGTTGTTAATTTTTTTTTTTTTTTTTGAGGCAATGTCTCACTCTGTTGCCCAGGCTGGAGTACAGTGGTGTGATCTTGGTTCACCGCAACCTCTGACTCCCGGGTTCAAGCGATTCTCCTGTTTCAGCCTCCTGAGTAGCTGGGACTACAGACGTGCGCCACGACGCTCAGCTAATTTTTATATTTTTAGTAAAGATGAGGTTTCACCGTATTGGTCAGGCTGGTCTCAAACTCCTTACTTCAGGTGATCCACTGCCTCGGCCTCCCAAAGTGCTGGGATTAGAGGCATGAACCACCACGTTCGGCCCTAAATTGTTAATTCTAAGTTGTCATAATATCCCTTTTTGTACCAACAGAAACAATAATGCGCACTTTTCTTTTAACATCAAAAGGACATCACTATGGAAGAAAGAGTATCGTAGATACATTATTAGGTGTATTGCTTATTGTGCAGTGAGTGAATGAAAATATACCACTTGCTACAATTCCTATGATATCCCAAGGATTGTCCCAGTAATCACTGCAGTTGCAGAGACTAGCACTGTGCCTAGCACAGAATAGTCATGCTACATCATTGAATAATATCATGAGTAAAAAGTGAAGATGAACTAAATAAAAAGTTAGTCTGCCCTTCAACAAAAGGCATTGTCGACACTTCCAAACAGACATTTGTCTTACCTAGGGCAAAGCTAGCCCTTCATTCTAGGCTTCTCCTTGGGAGTTGTTTGCAAGTTGTTTATAGCAAGAGTTTATGGAACACAAAGGCATTTTATCTTTGTGGAGGTAAGAATGATAAACTCCTTCACTCTCCTCAACAGTAACAACACAATCAGTTGTTTCTGAATGTCGTTCACTAAAGCTGCTGAAAAAACAGATTTCTCTTAGGTATTTATTTATTCATTTTCAATAGCATAAAAATACAGAAATATGTTCTCATAGTAAGCAATTAAAAATGTTAAGTATTTAAAGTTTTAAAAAATCTATGATTCATCTGTATTCTAAAAATAATAGTGTGATGTGGATAAGTTTTCTTGCCAGAATATATAGATCTAGCTTTTTTTTTCCTTACTGTTGCCTAATAGTCCGTATTATGAATGGGCATTTGTACTGTTTCCAATATTGCTACAATGTACATCTTTATATATGCCAAATCATACACACAGGTAAGTATTTAGGTAAGTTGTGTGCACACAGAATTGCATTTGAAATTCAGCACCTTCTTTGATGCTGCACTGTGTATTATTTAGCTCAAATTCTATTTGCCTATGCCTTCCCTGTTGCTTTTTTTTGCTGGCTGATGTTGCTAGGATGCAGCCTTCCTATTATTTTTTTACTTTACTAGCCTCTTCATCCCCACAGGTGTCACACCAGTGCAGTCCTGCATAGGGCCCAGCAGCCTCTCCCATCTTTCATGAAATTGATCTTGTCCTGCATGTCCAACATGAGCCACTGGGAAGCCTCCCTCACCTCTCCCGTATCCCAGGACTTTCTTCTACTGGCAAGAAAATCATATAAAGCTACCCTTCCTGCCTGTATATCTTTCTTCTTCCTACAACCTTCCTGGGTAAGGTTCAGGGAAGCCAAGACTCAAACTCTGATTCTTCTGCTTACTACATTGCAGTCACATGTTACTTTACTGGCCAAGGACATAGGATCCTCATTTATAACATGTCCTTTCTGGCAGGATTTTATGAAGATAATAGGGAAAAAGCACCAAGAAAAATCTCTAGCACTTGGTTGATGAAAACATATGTTAGTTAATGTGGTTTCTGTGGGCCCCTGGCACAGACTTCAAGGCAATAACAGTAACAACCATGATGATGATAGCAATAACTATAAAATGGTCATTTACCATGCATGTTACATGATTGGTTCATTACTTCTTCACAAGACCCTGAGTTAGGTAGGTTAGGTAGGGGAAATTGTGTATGAGAAAGCCATTCATCATCTTCATTCCTGGGTATTCTTTTGTCCTAATTGTGGAGTTTTGGGGTAACTTCTCAAGATTGAGTGAGGCTACTCCTTCCAAATGCTCTAGTCCTCCTCCACTCTCCTGTGTTCATCTCTTCAAGTTGTCCTCTGGACCAAGCCAGGGGATTCATTCCTTCTTATCTCAACTGGAGTTCTGGTGCCATATATATATATATATAAAATAAAATTAGGAAAATTGCATATATATATATACATATATATGTGTGTGTGTATATATATATATGCAATTTTCCTAATTTAATTATCTAGGTTGTTTATCCACCAAAATTTTTAAAGAATTTCATGCTATTTTCTTGTTTATAAAAATAAAATCTGGCCAGGCATGGTGGCTCACACCTGTAATCCCAGCACTTTGGGAGGCTGAGGCAGGCAGATCATGAGGCCAGGAGTTTGAGACCAGCCTGACCATCATGATGAAACTCCAACTCTACTAAAAATACAAAAGTTAGCCAGGCGTGGTGGCACATACCTGTAATCCCAGCTACTCGGGAGGCTGAGGCAGGAGAATCTCTTGAACCCGGGAGCAGAGGTTGCAGTGAGCTGAGATCATGCCACTGCACTCCAGGCTGGGTGACAGAGCCAGACTCCATCTCAAAATAAATAAATAAATTAAATAAAGTCTACCAGAAGGAAGAAGTGTACATGGAACATTCTTGGTATATATGTATACTGTGTGTAACAAATATACATATATAAACAAATATGCATATAAAGCATCACATCTTAACATAAAAAGCACACACTTATTTCAAACATTTTGCTTATAAGTAAATTTTGCAGATAAAATATATAAAATAGAACAAGTTTAGGCTCTCACAAGATTTTTATAAAAGAATGACAGAATGAGTCTCAGAAAATGAAAATAGGTATTTCTGTGTCCCATTATGAGACTTAAGAAGCCACAATGCTTCAATTCCAAATTCCTAAATAGCGGTTGATAAAATATACCATAAAACAAAATGTTATTAAAGCAGACTTAGTGATTTTATATTACTGAATCTCTATCTTGGATTACACTCATGAATTTGATAAGAAACTAAAATTGTGGAAGTTTATAAAGTTTATTTTCATTTATTCTTCTGTAATTACAAATAATGATTATGCATTCAAATTTATTAAAGAGAACTTAAAGAAAACAAAGCCACAAAACATACAAAAAATGGGGAGAAAGGTACTAAAAAGGAGCCCCTTTCTTGAAGGGGCTCAAAAATGTCACCTAAAAGAATAATGATGGTAATAGATTATATTACTATAAATGTGAAGAATCTATATTGCTAGTGAAAAATAAAAAGATTGAAGAGGCAAGAAAACAGGAAAACTTTTTATTTCTTTCCTACAGATGAATTCTAGCTAATACATGTAGAAGAGATGACAGAATTAGAAAATCACTGTTTTGAAACCTCTCTTGTAATAAGTGATTCAGGCAGATCATAAATAGATGTCAAAATTAAGGGATAATAAGTTGTTGGGGGAGACGATGGTCATATGGTCTTAAAAATATCACACCACAGATTACTTACCAACACATTGGAAAGAATATAACTTTAGAAATGGAGAGTTCCACCAGTCACTACATTAACAGAATGATCAAACTCAGAATTCCCAACAGAAAGACTAGACATTACGTGTTCCTTATACTATGCAATAAGAAGTAGACAGCATCACTAGTATGTAGTGTTTTGCCAAAAATATTTAACCTAAATCTAATCATGAAGAAGCCATAAGACTAATCTAGAATGTGGGGCATTCTAAAAGACTACTGTCCTAAATTCTAAGGAAAAAAAACTCATAAAACAAAAAGCTTGAGGGTCTGTTCTTGACTTTAAATAATAAAAAGACATCAAACCAAATGCAATATGTGTCAAAAAAAACTGAATCTTGGTAATCCTATAAGTGAGGAAAGCTATTAAAGACATCCTGGGGACACTTAGGGACATTGAAGTATGAAACTGATTATATGATATGATGCAATTATGGTTAATTTTCTTAAGATGTGATAATGGGGTGCAGCACACCAACATGGCACATGTATACATATGTAACAAACCTGCACGTTGTGCACATGTACCATAAAACTTAAAGTATAGTAATAATAAAATTGAAAAAAAGAAAAGAAAAATCCTTGGCCAAAAAAAAAAAAAAAATAAAATAAAATATCACTGTAAAAAAAAATAAAAATAAATAAATCAGTTCTCACCACAAACATTTATTGCTATAGAATAAATATATTTTCAAAGTTTCTTTTTTTAAAAAAAAAGACCGGATAATGATATTGTGATTTATGCAAGAGAACAGGTTCCTACAAATGCATGCTGAAATATTAAGGCAGGAAGCAATGATGTCAAAAATTACCTTAAATGGTTCTGCAATTCCAAAATAGAAAATTTGAAAACTAAATATAGTTTTCCTAATGAATGTCAGAGAAAGACATGGAAAACAGGGTAAGGAAGACAGAGGGTAGAGACAGAACTTGGGGAGAACTAAGCCAAGTTCAGAGGCCTAGTATTCACAGAGAATAGTAATCTAAGACATAATGCACTCATTAAGTTATGAAATAGAGGTTTGTTAAATAACTACTCTGTATCAATTATACATTTTGGAGGGCTAAATCAGTGGGTGAGGCCTGGTGGTGAGAGACATAATTGGGTACCCTAATTTGGAAAAATAAATAAGGGTTTGCTTACTAGAAGATATACCCATATTACTGTGGGGTCTTCCTGGCAAAAGATAGCTAATAGAATTCACCATGGGGGAGTATTGTAGGACCTGGTAAGGTTCAAAGACCCTAGTGAAGGGCAAGGTTCTGATCCTGAAGAGAATGGAGGAATTCTGAAATTCTTCAGTCAATTACTGAAGATTAATGTAGAGTGTGTCATAACATCCTGTGCCATGATTAAAAGGCCATTTGGACATGCTCGAGAACCTAGGTCCTGGGGTTGAGGTAATATGACAAAAAGTCAAGCCAGAACCCATTGTTCTTGTGAGTTTGCTGATATACCTTGTGAAAATCAGACCTGGCTTTGCCACTGTGGTCTCTTATAAGAACTAGCTACACAATATGCTAAAGAAAACAAAGATAGCAGAAAAATATAGATGAATCAACAAAATGAATACCCACTGTGTGAGGCCATAGCTCCTGCATTAGGGTAGCATCAAAATAATCATTAGAAGACATAACTTCCTTATATTAAAAACGTTGTTGGGGGATACAACAACTAAATAATCCAATACATCTGAAGAGGTAAAAACATTTAAAATAATAATAACCAATTTTGCACATTAAAGACACATTTGAGGGGCAAAATTTAAAAATTGTGTTGAGAATGGCAGGGGATTATTATTCTTGCCATTGCCACTTTCAGCCTCAAAAACATGTGGCTCATAGGCTCCTACGGTAAAACAAAGAATCAGACTTTAGAACACGTGCTAGCTTTAACCTTCTGCAAGTGCCTTGTTTGGTGAGAGTTTCAAAAACATTCTGGGCAAGGATGTGGGATGGATCTGGAAGAATATAAGGGTTAATTGCTATGCAGATAGATGATCTAAACAAAGGAAATAACATTTGTAAAGTCCAAGATAGCTTTGTGACCCTTCTGTGAGGAAGACTGAAATGATATTGGAGATACTGCATGAGAAGAAACTTTAATTAACTTTATCAGACCATAATAATTGCCAGTGAGTTTGTAGATCATTATTTTCCAAGTTGATTAGTAACATGGTCAAAAATACAAATTGGACACATTTATACACTTTGGTTATGTTCTGTAGTCGCCACACTTCAATGCCACACCCTGTTCTTAGAAGAATATGTTGATAGAAAATTTTATAAGCATCATGATAAAATTATCAATTTATGTGGTTTTAAATTTGGAAATGAAGCTACATAAAAAAATTAACTTGTTAGAGGGTCAAATGACAATGTCCAATTTCTGAACCGTAAGCTTATTAGTTGACAACAATTGATAAGATATTAAAATTGTATCAAAGTTATAAAAATGTGATTTAAATGTGTATTTGGTTTCAACAAGTAACATCATTGAATCACAATGTCTTGGATTGACTATCCAAATTTTACAACTGGGATAAAATCTAAGAATACTCATCTAGCCCTTTTATATTACAAGCGAGAAAAGGAAGACCCAGAGAAGTGAGTCTCTGGAATTACTAGATGTAGAAAGCAACAGAATTAAGACTAAAATGTAGATCTTCTTATCCTTAGCCCTTTCTTCTCTGTCAACCACATTATTTCTCTTTTTTCTACCAAAGAGCATAATGCCCCAGAAAAATGCTATAACTATGGTGTTTTCATTCATTGTTTCTATGAGTTGAAGGTCTTTGGCATGTTTGACTTCTACCTCATTTCTCATCAATGCTCATATCTTGTTAATTATTTCTTTGCCTTCTCAAACATAGGCTACTAATCAAAGCAAGTTACTCTCATGGCCACTGTTTACAGAGTAGGTGGCTTTTATAAATAGTTTATAATTTTTTAGATTATAAGGATGAAATAAATAGTAACCATTCTTATGCCAAAAGACAAAGCAAGAAAATGTTCCTAATTATTTTTAAAACATTTTTATTGTATTAAAATATACCTAACATAAAAACTGTCATTTTAACAATTTTAAGAGTACAATTCAGTGGCATTAATTATATTCACAATGTTGTGCAAACATTACCACTCTTCTATTTCCAAAACCCTGTCATCACCACAAACAGAAACTCTATAGCCATCAAGCAATAACTCCCCATTTCCTCCTTAATTCGGTCACTAGTTACCTGTAATCTATTTGCTATATCGAAAAATTTGCCTACTATATATTTCACATAAGTGGAATCATACTATATGTGTGATTTGTTTCTGGCTTATTTCACTTTTTTCAAGATTCATCCATGTTGTGGCATGTGTCAAAGCTTTATTTCTTTTTATGGCTGATTAATATTTCATTTTAGCTATATGCCATATTTTGTTTATCCAGTCATCTGTTGCTGGACTCTTGATTATTTTTAAACCTGGAAATGTCATTCTCTGATATTCCATCTGTCCAAAGCTCATACAAAATATATTGTCAATTTGGTGTAGCTTTACATTTGAACTTTGGAAAGACATCTGCAAAAAATTAAATTATTTCATGGTTTACCACTATCAAATGATAGTAAGAATTATTCAGTAACATGCAAATGGAAACCACTTCACATTTTCTATTATGTCACAAAACAGGATTACTATTAATTCATTAATATTGTCTAAGCCTACCTATAGTCCCAGCTACTCAGGAAGCCGAAGTGGGGGGATCGCCTGAACCTCGGAATTCAAGACTGTAGTGAGCTGTAACAACACCTGTGAATAGTCACTGTACTATGGGGCAACATCGTGAGGCCCCATGCCTAAAAAAGAAAGTTGTCTAAATAGCTTTTATTTTAAAGTTAAAATTTCGATGATTTAAGTGATTTTTCACGCTGGTTTAGAATTAGAATCATAAAAAGATAACACATACTGTGTAAACATGTAAACACAAATGTCACTAATCCCTAGGAAAAACACAAAAGTGTGTGGTTCTGCAGATGATATTGTGGTTCTTGGAACTCCTAAGCTCTTGTGTGGGCCTAGGAAACAGATTTTAATCTCGACTATATTTAACCAAGAGTTCTGGGAGGTAGAAACAGAAGATGCAAATAACTCAGCTCCTTCTTCTTTATGCATGCTCTCACCCTTGTAGCTTCAATGGAGCTCTCTTATGCTTCAATTCATGATTTATAATGTTCTGACTAATTATCCTATGACCATAGGTTTTGTGTTCCCTCCTAAGTAGCAAACATATATGATAAAGAACTCTGACTTATATTTCTTCTAATTTTTTCATGGTCTCTAGCACATATTCAATTTTCAACAAAAATTCTTATATATATTTTATTACATTTACTAGCAAGTTTTAAACAGGGATGTAATACCTCTTTTGAGTTCTTAGCAAATGCTTTTGTTCTTTTAACCATGATACTTATGCATAAAATTTATACATAAAAGATATTCCAGAATTAGTTGTTAGCTTGATTTGATTTTTATTTTTGATTCTTTCTCCCTAACATTATATTTCTTGGTGTTATGAATGGCTGGCTTCCTATAATTAAAAAAAGACTGGAGATGTTATATTTTTTGAAAGATTTACACTTGAACTATTGAGTATAATTTAGCTGATTTTTTTCAGTGTGGGTCCAGTAGATATTTCTAATATTGTTCAGCATTTTTAAGTACTTCCAAAGAGAGCAAGAAAGTAGTTTCAATATTTTCAGAGAAAAGTTAATTCACAAAGGAAGCTTGTGTTTTATGAGGCTTTCCTGAATTACAGAAATTAAAGGTGGAAGGACCCATTAGGTCATTCAGTTCATTCCCTTAAGAGTGCAGAATTGCTCCCTGAAGAATATGTACTAGGGCTTTTCTGGAAAGGAAACATTAAAACTCAACTGCAATTGAGATAGAAAATTTGTAATTTATACATAATAAAGGTTTTTCTCCTCAGATATTAACACTACTGCATATTTTAAAATCTGGCTAACACATTAATAAAGTGATTAGCAAAAGTCAAGAAAGCCATTTGTTAGTGTACTTCCTGATGATATAAAAAGCTTCTTAGGCAATTAGTTTGGAAGGAAATGAAAACGAACCCCTAATTCCTTCTTCTTATGCCACCCATCTAAGGCTTTTTCTCTTTGTCCCCCAAAATACAATTTCAGTGTTAACTTATGATTAATACTTCCTGCCTGGAAAGCATCATGGGTAAAAATTTCTATTAATTCTTCTTGTTCAAGTACAGTGTTCATGAAGACCTTTTAGAAAGATACTATTCAAACTATTGATTTGACAAGTCCATATAGCCACTTTTGCAAGGACTGAAGTTATTAATTCTCTTAGTGTCTCAAAAATAATTTTTAGCCTCAGAAATACCTTTCCAACAAAATTTTGTGGTACCTGATAATTTAGCCATAGAATTTATTTCCTAGGTTAACTTTTCCCAGGTTATTTTTCATAGAATACTTGTCTTAGATGACGGTTCCACAAGCAAATTGGGGGAAAGATGCGTATTTTATTCTCTCTCTTAGAGATGCAAAGTATCCATTAATGTCAAGATTGAAAAACCCACAGGAAAGAAAGTTGCTTAGTTTTGAGAAGTCAAATATTTAGCTCAGAAAGTTTCTTATTTTGTGGCCATGATTATGGAATATACTTTTGGAAATGCCGCCTTACAGTTACCAAGCTTTTTCCTTTAAATAAATACGTTGGGTGGGGTAACACTTGTGGTTGTCTACAAGAGAGTTAATCTGCCATATGAATTAGTGTCTTTGAGTTTTTTTATAGGTGATTTTCTAGAAGAAAGAACTAAAGAAATGCCAAGGTAATAAAATGAGTAGTTTAAGAGCATGAGCATTGTCCATAAATTCCTTATTCACTTGTTCAACTTCTACTTATCCTTAACATTTTCCATGTAATTAGCATGGTCCTATGCTTGAGGAGCTGTTGAGTAGGCCTGTTTCCCAAGGCTGATATCTGTTTTCTGCTTTCAGTTTAGAACAGGTCAGGAACCAGACAAAGAAAACAACTTACAGTCAAACCAAATCTCTTTTGTTGCCCAGATCCATAGTGGCCTCTGAGTTTCTCACACTATGATAACTTTTCTGGTTCTCAGTTTCATTATATAAAAATAACAATAACAATGTAACTAACTGTGTGTAATATTGTGAAAACTACTTAATGTCTTACACATTAATATTCACAACTGTACAATGAGGAGCTAGTAATTGGCAAGAGCATTTACAGTTTCTAGAATCTATGCATTTCTCTGTCTGGTTTAGAAATTTAATTTTGCCCCACTCTGGGCAAGATGGATAAATAGGGACTAAATTTACCTTCCAGACAAATACAACAAAAACAAAGACAGACACAGAAAATAAATCAGTGTTTTGTTTGTTTGTTTGTTTGTTTTCCCAAGGCACTAGATACTATACTACAAAAGACAGTAATCCCCAAGAGACAAGGAGCAAGAGAGATGAACCTTCTGATTGTCCCAGATTTCCACCTTGAGAAAGTTTCCAGGCCAAACCATAGCAAGAGGCAACCCAGAAGGAGTCTGGGGATGTTTGTGAATTGAGCAGACAGAGCAGAGGATCTGGGAAGACCAAGGTGGTAAGTGTTCATAAGAGTACTGGAGAGGAGAACACTAAGGAAATGGGAAACTGAGATCTATGGAAAGCCATCTGAATATTCAGCAGAGTACTGACCAGCACATACCTGTGAACAAACTACCTGAATCTAGGGAAAGAACCAGTGAAACAACTCAAGAAACAGTGCCTACTGCTCACTTAGGGCCTGGGAAAGTGCTTGTTTCTACTATCCAGCCCAGGAAAGCTCAGACTTCAAAAAGTATTGGGTAGAGCACTCAATAAGACCTTGATTAGAAGTAAAAAACAATTAGCTCTGGAATGCGAATTTCTCAAAACCCATCTAAAAATCATAAATTACAACCAAAATGATTGAACTATTTCCAAATAAGTTAGCATCCAAGAACAAAATTCAAGAATATTTGTTGGAGTATAAGATATCCCTCACATAACAATGCAAAAATTCACAATGTCTGGCATTCAGTCAAAGATATCCAGATGTGCAAAGAAACAGGAAAACATAACTCATAATGGGGAGACTAATCGATCAGTTGAAACTAACCCACAGCTGATAAAGATGCTACGATTAGTAGGCAAGGGCATTCAAACAGTTATTTTAACTGTATTCTGTATGTTCCAAAAGTTAAATAGAGATATAGAAAATACAAATTTTTGAGATGAAAACTACAATGTTTGAGATAAAAAAATACACTGGATGGGATTAATGGCAGATAAAGTACTGCAAAAGACAAGATTAGTGAACTTGAAAATATGGCAACAGAAACTATCCAAAATGAAACAAAAAGAAAAAGACAATAAAATTTTAAAATGAACTCAGCCTCAGTGCCTTGAAGGGTAACTTCAAGTCACTTAATATAAACATACGTCACATCTCTGAGGAGAGGGGGTGCAGAAACAAATATTTGAAGAAACAATGGCCAAAACTATTCCAAATCTAATAAAAACAATAAAACCTTAGCTCTAAGAAGCTCAATGAACTCAAAGCATAAGAAGCATGAAGAAAACTACACCAAGGCACCTCATAATCAAGTTGATAAAAAACATTGGCAAAGAGAACATCTTAAAAGCAGGCAGAAAAGAAAGATATTACATACAAAGGAGCAAAAATAAGGATTACAGCAGACTTCCTATTTGAAATAATACAAATAATAGGATAGTGGAGCAACATCTTTAAGGTAAAGAAACATCTGTCCACCAAGAATTCTATACCCAGCAAAAATACTATTCAAATGCTAAGGAAAAAATAAAGACATATGAAAGCTGAAGGAATTAACCACTAGCAAACCTATACTGTAGTTCCCCCTTATCCACAGTTTCACTTTCTTCAGTTTCAGTTATTTGTAGTAAACCATGGTTCCAAAAATTAAGATATTTTCAGAGACAGAGAGAGAGAAAGACTACATTTATATAACTTATTATGATATAATGTTATAATTGTTCTGTTTTTATTATTAATCTCTTACTGTACCAAATTTATAAATTAAACTTTATCCTAGTTATGTATATATAGGAAAAAACATAGTCTATATAGAGTTTGGTATTATCTGCAGTTTCAGGCATCCACTGGGAGTTTGGAATGTATCCCACATGCATGAAGGGGAACTACTGTTTTACAAGGAATGTTCAAAGAAGTTATTCAAGCAGAAGAAAAATGATACTACATGAAATATAAATGAACGACACTAGATGAAATCTTTTGTGGAACTACACAAAGGAATGAAGACCATTAGAAATGATGACTAGATGAGTATATGATTTTTTTATCATTTAAATTACCTTATTATGTAATTATTTAATCAGCGATAATAAAATAGAGTTTATAATATAAGTTTAAAATATAATGTACAACAGCAAGAACACAAAAGCTGGGAAAGGAGAAATGAGTGTATATTGTATATGGAGTAGAATAATATCATTTGAAGGTAGACTGTGTTGAGTTAAATATATAAACTACACAGCCTAACAAAATTAAATAAAAAAGAGTTATAATTAATAAACCAACAAAGGAGAAAAAAATGGCATGATAAAAATACTCAATCTGAAAGAAACTAGAAAAAGAGAAAAAAGGAAGGAAAGGAGGGATGAAATATAGTAACAATGAAGAGGAATGCGGTACATGTAAAACTATATTAATAATCACATTAATTATAAATGGTCTCCACAATTGAAAGGCAGCTATTGTCAGACTGGATAAAAAATATGACCAGATTGGATAAAAAATTGGTATATGTTACCTATAAAAAATGCACTTTAAATGTAATGATACAAATAGGATAAGAGCAAAAGGGTGGGAAAAAGGTATGCCCATGCCCACACTAACAAAAAGAGAGTATGGCTACATTAATATAGAACAAAGTAGATTTTAGGCCAAAATCATTACCAGGATTAAGATGGTCATTTCATAACAAAAAGGATCAATTTATTATAATCCTAAACAATTATGTACCTAGAAAGACTTTGAAATACATGCAGCAAAACTGATACAACTGCAAAAAGAAATAGATATGATAAATCTACAATTATAGAAATAGATTTCAATACCTCTCTCTCAATAATTGATAGAACAAGTAGACAGGATGTCAACAAGTTGATGGTAATGAGGAACAACATTATCATCCAACTTAACCTAATTAATATTTATAAAATACTCCACCCAATAACAATGGAATACACATTTTTTTTCGAGTGCATATGAAACATTTACCATGAAATTGAATTTTTAAAAGTCTCAGGTATCATTTATTGCTAAAATGTTTTAATCTTCACTTTTAAAACTTTATAGCTTTTCTTTAAAACATCAGTTTTAAGCAATCTGCTTTATCATAGAAATAAACTATTCTAAACTACATTTTCTTTGGAAATTTTAAATCTAGCATCAATAAAATACAGAAATATAACTATTTATAGAGATATATTTGGTATTCTAAATATGAGTCTGGCCTAAAGAAAAAGGAAACGTTTGCTGCCATGTTGAAAACATAGAGCATAATTAATATAGACTATTATCACTCAGTAAAATTACTCAGTATGTTTGGAGATTTCATATCTTTAGCAAACACTAAAGATAGTAATAACTTGGGGATTAGGAGCACCATTAAACAGATGCCATTTTGGCAAATGTCCTTAATTTGTTAGTTTTAATCAATGTTTTTGGTTAAAAAAAAAAAAAACTGCTTAGAATCTCTCTCCACATTCTTTTGTTAGATACTGAGTGCAGTCTCCAAGAGGCCTACTCAGTAGTCCAAGATTTAATAGTTATCTTCTTATCTACCACAAAGGTTAAACAGGGATAAAACTGGCAATAGCTTGAAAGAACCAAGCAGAGTGGGGGAGTGAACAAATTTAGGATTGGGTTAGCTTTAGTGTCACAAATCAACTTAAAAGGTAACTTGCAACCTCCTTGAAGGAGGTTCAGAGGCAATCTCCTTCAGTAAATTCTGCAAGAGCTGTGCAGTTCAGCCGGGAGCCAGGGCGTATCCTGTTTTTGATCCCTCTCTACCTCACCCATGTTTAAAACAGGATTGCTCTCGCGATGCAGTATGTGTGTATTGGAACAGCACCCAGCTCAAGACCCAGAGAGAGACTTGGGTGTAATATTACAGAGCAGAGCTAACATTACTGTCTGCCACTACACATTGTCGGCACAGTTGTGTTCATTAGTGTTGTCTCACTTCATTCTTACACAAGCATCCTCATGTAAGTTTTATATTCCTATTTAAAGACAAGGACACTGAGGCACATAGAGATGCTGCAAACTGTCAGTTTAAAAGTTAGGAAGTAGAAGTGACATTTTTCAACACAGAGCTCCAGATAACAAGTCTAATGTTATTCTCATCCTTAGCTTTTTTGAGTAGTGCTATATTGTCTCCCACATTTAACACTGCTCCAAAAAAGGCTTTGAATCAACTGTCTTGGGTTTATGTCTGCATGTGTTATTTACTAGTTATTTGATATGGGCCTCAATTTCTTCATGCTAACACTGAGAATCATAAAAGTGCATAAATAAACTCACATACCTAAAGTATCTGTTAGAATACATGGACCACAGGAGACACTTATTCCTGTATCAGTATATAGACTTTTAAACCCTTGATGTTGGCATCTTTGTGTTAATAAACAAAACCCTAGAAGAAGATGTTGCCAATTTATTAAAGGTGTCTAAATATGATAATGAACATAAATACCTGCGGAGAGGATATCAACATATAAGAAACACTGAAGGTAATTGGAGTCATGCCTCTCGAAATATTTCTGAGGTTAAATGTTATTTATTAGTTAATATATCTTAAGAATATTTTTAACGTGGGCTTTTGAGTTATGGTTGGAGTTTTATCACAGTTGATAAAGTAAGAACAATTGTCCTATCTTTGTATAATTGTAGAATGTCTTGAAGATTGATCATTCTTAATCTATAGAACTTGACCTAGAAAATTCCTATGATCTTACATTAAGTATAGAAACACTTTCATTTCCTTTACCCACTTTCCTAAGAGGTTTGTTGGTTGATCATCAGGCAAAGTGTATGAAATGTATCATAATTATTTGATACTTCAGTCTCTGGGCCTTTTTCCTATTTATGTTGGCAATTCTGATTTCCTTCCTTTAATAAATTTATCATCAATTTATTACAATAATTAATGAAGATGTCCCAGAAAACAAATGTCTCCCTTAAGTAGATTTTTTAAAATACTAATAAACAACTTGCTGTTTTAAATTTTCATAACAAACTTATCACATGCAAAACTGTACTATAAATTATAGATACCCATCATTAGTAATGTATAGACTATCCAATGTCATACATATTAAATAGAGAGTAACTTAAAATAGCCCTGGTTGCTTTGACTGTATTGTGTATTCACTGTATTGCAGGCATATTAAATATCTCTGTTCATTAATATTTTACTCTGAGTATTTTTATACAATTAGCAAGAAACTTCTAATTACAATTTCTAATTAAATAACATTACAACAATAAGAAGCTATTAGTTTTGGTCAACTGGATTTCAATGGGTTAACTGGGATCTTTGGTCCTGAGACTGTTCATATCCTCAGACTTCACAACACTAGCAGAGGCTGGCTCTGCAATAAGTCTCACATTACATGCGGATTAGATTTGTAGAAATCCTGTAACTCAATAGGTACCTGCCTATTCTCTCCTGGCGTCAGCCTGCCTGCACTGCTTTGCTCTGTAGACATACCTGGCATTCCACCCATGCCTCCCCACTTAGTAAAGTGAACTGGAGTCAGCCTACCAAAACATTGGGGTATTGTTGTGAAGGAGAAAACCCCCTGACAGCCAAGAAAAGTGTGAAGTCAGGCTTGCAATGCCTTGCACCTTCCTCTGAAGCATACATGCTACTCTTCCTAATTTCTTTACATCCTTATTACAGCAAGGTTGGAGTACAGATATTTCCAGGTATTTGTCAGCATAGTGCAGTCATAGTCCAAAGGTAAGATGGAGTTCTGGCTGTTTTTTCTTCCTCTCTTCTCTTCTCTTCCTCCACCACCCTCACTTCCTTGACCACCAGGCTTTCCCTCCCTGCCCCTCTCTGTTTCCCCTAACAGTGTACCTTGACAAACATGTTTACACTCAAAGGTGGGAAAACAAAACCAAGCACCAAGCACAACAAAAAACAGGCTTGGCACCAAATCCTAGAGTACTCAGTGGACTGATTTCTGGGAGCTGTGCCAAACGCGATAAGCACTGCTATTTTAACACATCTCTAGTGCTCAGCACAAATCATTCATTAAATAATTAGCATGTTACCTTGTTAAGAATCTTTAAAACTAAGGTGAGATTTTCATTCAGGAAGCACATCAGATTGTTTAGCATCTTTTTCTAATTAAGCATTAATCCCTCCCAGGAAGAATGAGTCACTCAAGCAAGTGAACTTTCAAAGATAAGGGATTTCTCTTTTGTAAACTGCAATTAACAGCTTTTAACAGCCAGCATTAATCCGGTTTTCCCAACAGTTGAAATGATTCTGATGATTTTTACTTCTTGCTCCTTATGCAGCTGACCAAACTCAAGAAATCGAGACATTTATGACAAATATGGAAATGAGATGAGCAGAAAAAAAAACCCAAACAAAACAAAAAAAACCCCTCAAATTGCATTGCAATCCCATAGAGCATCCTTCTTATGGGAGATTTTTTCCAGTGCGTCAATTAGCAGCACCCTCTGTGGAGATAGGAGGTGGCATTCTGTGTGACAGTTTGGTTGCAATTCTGCCTTTCACAGGTGCAGAACTTATCCTGACAGTCAAACTGTGTCATGTGCCCTAATCATAAGCACATTTTTTTTATTATACTTTAAGTTTTGGGATACATGTGCAGAATGTGCAGGTTTGTTACATAGGCATACACATGCCATGGTGGTTTGTTGCACCTATCAACCCGTCATCTATATTAGGTATTTCTCCTAATGCTATCCCTGCCCTAGCCCCCCATCCCCCAACAGGCCTTGATGTGTGATGCCCCCACCCCCGTGTCCATGTGTTCTCATTCTTAAACTCCCACTTATGAGTGAGAACATGCGGTGTTTGGTTTTCTGTTCCTGTGTTAGTTTGCTGTGAATGATGATTTCCAGCTTCTTCCATGTCCCTGCAGAGGACATTAACTCATTCTTTTGTTTGGCTGCATAGTATTCCACGGTGTATATGTGTCACATTGTCTTTATCCAGTCTATCATTGATGGTCATTTGGGTTGGTTTCCAAGTCTTTGCTATTGTGAACAGAAGCACATTTTTAAAAAAAAATTTTGTATTTTAAAATACAAAATGCATTTTATGGTTGTATTGATAAGAAGCTCTGGAGCAGTCTTAATGTCCTACAGTTTTCTACCATTCAACTACTTACTTATAATTTTTTGTAGCAAAATCAAAGATTAAATCTTCATCCTTTCATGTGAAGACGTAAGTTGAGGATTTACATTCTCTTGTAGCTGGTAACTCTAGAGAATTAAACAGTTCTAAGTGAGTTCTTACACCAGCATTCATTGTTATGGGGAAAAACCATAAGCTATTTCTTTCTTAGAAGTTATCAGGCTTCACCATTTTCAAAAAAGGATATGTGAAAATCAAAGATGAAAGGTGAGTCTTATGCAATTCTAAGAGAGACAGCAACTGATTTTTCCTTAAAGGCAATCTGATCCAATCTCCCCCTACTTTATGGAAAATTAAACTAAAACTAGCAAGGCAAAGTGACATATCCAAGGTCACACACTAATTGATGGTAAAGCCAGGAATAAAACCAAGTCTATTAGCTCCCAATGTAGGAAATTCTGTTCTTTTGATATACCAACTTGCTGACATCTCCACTTAAAAACTGCAGGTGTAATTTAAAAAGAAAAAGGGAAACACTGACCTACAGCAGGTCCTTTTAAAAATGTCTATTGCATAGATAGACTGAAAATAAACAAAATGATAAACCAGCAAACCCTAACTGAAAAAGTAGAACATGATCAGAAAAATATCAACTTTTCTGTTTAAACCTTATGAGTACAGCAGTTACTCAAATACTTTCAGCACACTTTGAAAGCAGAGAACTTTGTTGTGTGTTTTGAGGAATTACCTATATATTGAAGACTAATGTTCATCTTCAATAACTTTCTACCTAATTATTGGGATAGGGTAAACACATTTAAAAACCACAGAATTCCAACCTGAAGGCAAACGAATACAATACAATACAATGCCGGAAGTGCAAATGAATACAATGGTGTTGGCATTGATTTAATAGTATTTAGCACTGCGTATGTAAACCTGATGGTTTCCAAGTTACTCATGTTATATTATATTAGTCAAACTTTTATTTCTGCATTTAAATTGTCTTTTAGAAATGACACTGAGGCCGGGAACGGTGGCTCGCATCTGTAATCCTAGCACTTTGGTAGGCCAAGATGGGCAGATTGGCTTGAGCTCAGGAATTCGAGACCAGCCTGGGCAACATGGTGAAATGCCGTCTCCACAAAAATTCAAAACTAGCCAGGTGTGGTGGTGTGTGCCTGTAGTCCCAGCTACTCAGGGGGCTGAGGCAGGAGGATCACTTGAACCCAGGAGGTCGAGGTTGCAGTGAGCTGAGATCATGCCACTGCATTCCAGCCTAAGTGAAAAAGTGAGACCCTGTCTCAAAAAAAAAAAAAAAAAAAGAAAAGAAACTACAATGGAAAAACATAAAATGTAACACACACATTTAAATAGGCATACCAAATTTTTGGTATAGTCAGAAAACAACCATGTTGGCTACGCTCACTTATTCCGCCAGTATTCAGTCTATTGCTGTGCTAGCTACCGTGCGGGGAACCCAAAACTAACAGATACAGTCACTTTTCCCCAGAAGTTTACAACTTATCTTGAGGAGATATATTGTACAGCAATATAGTAATAGAGTTAGTGAAATTATAAAGATGATGTGATATTTGATACAACACCAAAATGAGAGCTTCAAACAATCAGTTACATTAAACATTTAGAGAAAAGGCAGACAATTACAGCTTGCTTTAATTGGAAAAATTCTCACTAAGAAATTAATAATTGAGTTGGGCCTTGAAGGTTGGGTCTGATTGGATATTAGTTTCACTTTTTTGTTCAGAGGTTTGAGGATAGCATATATTAACATATTGAAGTTATTACAGGCAAATCCCTATAAATTCACACATCATTTTATATACATGGTACTATGGATAGACCACAACTATAATGTGTTAACTCTCCTATCAGTAATCCACAAATATTTTAATCCTTCAGATCCTCTAAAGTTCAACTTAAGTACCAATTTCTTCACAAATTAATTCAAAACCACTTCAGTTAATAGTGTTCATTCCCTTTCCTAAGCACTCCTAGTACTTAGAGTGTAAACTAATTTTTATACAAGGACATATCGGAAGTACTATTTATTTAAATTTATTTTAGAGATGGCATCTTGCTTTGTTGCCCAGGCTGGGGTACTGTAGCAGGATCATAGCTCACTGATGGTACAAATTCCTGAGCTCAAGAGATCCTCCTGCCTTAGCCTCTCAAGTAGGTGGGACCAACTGCAGGCAAGTGCCACATCACCCAGCTAATTTTTAAATTTTTTGTAGAGATGGAGTCTCACTACCTTGCCCAGACTTGTCTTGAATTCCTGGGCTTACGTGATCCACGTGCCTCAGCCTCCCAAAGTGCTGGGATCACAGGCCTGAGCCACCTGCCTGGCCCCAGAAGTATTCTTAAAAGAGAATTAATCTGGATCTCAGGTGGGTACTTTCCTAAGTATCTTGTAAAGTCTTTGAAGACAAGATAGAAATAGTACAGAGAAATAAATGCACAGAAGAATGATCCCTGGGATGAATATTGTCAGGTTGATGCCAGCCTGGAGAGAAGATGCTAGCAGGTAACCATAGGACCTGTCTCAATTCTACCATTCATTGTTTATGAAATATGTACCTTGGTATCTTGTTTATCAGATTTTTAAGTGATTGCAATCAGGAGTGAGGATGGATAATACATATATGAGAAAAAAGAATAAGAATGTGAAGTGATTTTAATATACGCATATTTTAGCCTAAAACAAAGACCATGAAATGTAATATAGAAACATTTAAGGACTTGGATACAAAACTCTTTAAATTTGTGTGTGTTTTATATTTTCTGACACTTTGATATAATGGTTGCCACGTAGGGTTAAATAGCAATATTTTCAAGAAAGACTTAGGTTAATGTGTGATATGATCATGAAAAAATTGATTATGATTTTGATATGCATTTGATGAATAGAAATATAGGTCTCTGGAAGCTGGGAAGTAATAGTGACTTTGCACCAGTTAGTCCATTTGTAGTTGTGTGTTCAAATTTGGATGGTGCACTTTTAAATATGCATGTATAGACAAATAGGAATATGTCCATTGTGAACAACTAGGATACGAGGGAACTCAAAACCATGCTATTAAGGAAGACTTGAAGGAACTGGGTATATTTAGCTTGAAGAAACTAAAACTTGTGATTAGAGTATAAAAAGTCAGGAAACAACTGATGTTGGAGAGGATGTGGAGAAATAGAAATGCTTTTACACTGTTGGTGGGAGTGTAAATTAGTTCAACCATTGTGGAAGACAGTGTAGTGATTCCTCAAGGATCTAGAACCAGAAATACCATTTGACCCAGCAATCCCATTACTGGGTATATACGCAAAGGATTATAAATCATTCTACTATAGAGATACATGAACACATATGTTTATTGCAGCACTATTCACAATAGCAAAGACTTAGAACCAACCCAAATGCCCATCAATGATAGACTGGATAAAGAAAATGTGACACATATACACCATGGAATACTATGCAGCCATAAAAAAGGATGAGTTAATGTCCTTTGCAGGGACATGGATGAAGCTGGATACCATCATTCTCAGCAAACTAACACAGGAACAGAAAACCAAACACCGCATGTTCTCACTCATAAGTGGGAGTTGAGCAATGAGAACACGTGGACACAGGGAGGGGAACATCACACACTGGGGCCTGTCAGGGTGTTGGGGGATAGGGGAGGGATAGAATTAGGAGAAATAGGTAATGTAAATGACAGGTTGATGGGTGCAGCAGACCACCATGGCACATGTATACCTATGTAACAAACCTGCACGTTCTGCACATGTATCCCAAAACTTAAAGTATAATAAAAAAAAGAACATTCTTAAAATGTTTTAAATACTCTCTTAAAGAAAACCATTAGCAATATATTTTCTACATGACTCCAAACTTCAGAATTTATGTTCAAGAGAATGCGATTTTGGCTCAGTACAAGAAATAACTTTTAAAAATAATTAGAGCTTTTTGGAAATGAAATGGACCACTGTTTGACGGGGGTGGGAATTCTTTTATGGGAGGTTTAGAAAGAGAGAGTTTATGATCACCCAGTAGGAATGTTGAGCAGGGAATTTGATTATTGCTGCCAGTATAGGATTTAAGGTCTAGAAGTTAAAGTTCAATCTTGAACTTCTATGCTTCCACAATTCTATGGCATTGGGCACTTGATTATATTAAATTTATATATGTATCACTTTGTCCTCTAGTCCAAGTCCCATCTCCTTAACAATAGTGACTCTCCAACATTATGTCATGTTGTAAACTTTTTCCTTTGCTCCTTTTTCCTTAGCACAGAGTAGTGTGTTTTACACAAAGCAGATACATAACACGTATCTTGAGTTAACTGAATAGGATATTGAACCAAGCGAAAACTAGATAATGGTGAAAAACCGGCACTACCCAGTTCCATAGTTAGGAGCTTTATGCACCAATGGGCTCCAGCATGGAATTTTGTCATACTCTTTTTCTAATGTAATAAATATACTGGCAACCAGAGAAAGCTACATACACATCATTCATGGAAGTGTGGAGTTCCCTTTCTCAGAAGCAGCTGTTCACATTGATTTATATTACAGGATTCACAGACACTTGCCTTTCCGAATTGATGCTGGAGGAGAGGACCATGGCCAGGTCATGTTAGAAAATGAAGGCAGGAAGCACCAGTGCAGGTGCAATGGGATTTACCAAGATGTGATATCTGGAGCGATCTTCTACTTTTGACTTATACCTGAGCTGAAAACAAAGCAGTTTATTCCATCATGAAAAACACAGCATTATACTCATTTATCTGTAGGAGAGGTAAACATTGATTTCAAATCACACAGTTTTTACCTTTTCTCAGCTCAAAAGAAGAGGTGGAAAAATAGAGGGAAATAAACATTTGATGCTTAATTTATAGATTAGCAGTACTGTGGAAAGTGTCCCTGGAAGAAAAACAGAAAAAAAAACAAAAACAAAAACAAATGTTGCCAATTTATGTAAGAACTTGCCTTTGGCCAGTATAAAATGGGCCCTAATTTAGGGGAAGGGCCAAAAATCAATAATCCACTCATTTCAATCTCTCAAATACTTCTCACACCTTTATCTCCACCCTGATCTTTAACGGCATCCCATTACATGATGTTACTTATTTTTTTATATATACACTTTAAGTTCTGGGATACATGTGCAGAACGTGCAGGTTTGTTACATAGGTATACACGTGTCATGGTGGTTTGCTGCACCCATCAATCTGTCATCTGCATTAGGTATTTCTCCTAATGCTATCCCTCCCCTAGTCCCCCACCCCCTGACAGGCCCCACTGTGTGATGTTCCCCTCCCTGTGTCCATGTGTTCTCATTGTTCAACTCCCATATTTTTTAAGAGAGCTTGTAGAACGAATGCCATAAATAACAGAAAATGCATTTTTTTTTGTAATGAGATGGTTTTTCTTGCTTGTCCTTAGTTCTTATTTTCAAAACTGGAACATTTATAAACTAAAAAGATAAGAAAGCACATCATTATCCTACAATTAGACATGATATATTCACTGCTTTTCAAGGCCTTATTATAAAAGTCAGGTGGAAAAATAAAATAATGCTTTATGGACATCTTTAATGAGCCTTACTCAAAATGAGATGGTATATGCCACACTATCTTAACTAACTCTACCTTTCTTCCATACTCAGAATATTCCATTATGGACAAGATATCAACCAATGACTGAAGATTGCTATCAAATTGAAATATGGAGGAGTAGCAAAGAATTTTAAAAGAATTCTATCACATGTGTAATGAAACAAGTAACGAAGTTTAAAGCAGCTATATCCATGAGTTATTAATTTTGGCAATTATAATGTTACATGCACTGACAATTCTTATTTTCTGTATCTACTGATCTTTGTTACAAACAAAAAATGGAAACAGATAAATGAAAATGATGCACCAGAAAGATAAGTCATCCTCTGTGGCTCTCATATATCACATGGCATTTTTCAATAGAAACATGTGAGAAGCAAGACACTACAGTGCTTTCATAACAGTTTACAGTGTATCTCAGTGAGGCAGTTTTTAAACTGCATGTTTAGTTTAAATGTAAATCACTTATTAATTGACTCCATAAAGAATTTCAAATAAGAGCTAATCTCAATGTATATTCAATCAAAGAGCATCTTAGTGTCTCTATATTTTAAAGTCGTTTATCAACGATCACCTCAAGTTTCTAAAACTTTTAAAACATTTATGCCCACCCTTTATCCACTCTACAAGTCAAATATAAACTCACAAGTGGAAAGTTTTGTTGCCATCAAAATTTTTACCTTTGGAGAATGTACCACAACTCCAACACTGTTGATGTTGTTCAAAATATTTAGACATTAGTCTTTTAGATTAGATTTCAGAACAGATTATTATCCAGTTAGAAGGGAGTTTATTTTTCAATTAATTAATTTTTTAAATTTGCAAATAAAAATTGTATATATTTTATGGTGTATAGTGTATAACATGATGTTTTGAAATATGTGTACAAGCATTATCTTACATGCTTATGATAAAATCTACTCTTAGCAAGTTTCAAATATATAATACATTGTTAAATATAGACATCATGTTGTACAATAGATCTCTTGAATTCATCCTACTGTCTAATTGAAATTTTGAATCCTTTGACCAAGAATTCCCTAGTCAATGCCCCGCTCCCTGCCCCTCTTCTCTTGGTAACCAGCCATTGGTAACCACCATTCCACTCTGTGTTGGACATTTTTAGATTCCATATATAAGTGAGAACATACAATATTTGTCTTTCTGTGGCCTGGCTTATTTCACTTAACATAATATCCTCTGGGTTAATCCAAGTTATCATAAATGACAGGATTTCCTTTTTTATTCTTCATAGGTAAATTGGATTTTGGAAAATGGTTTTGAGAAAGGCTGCTAAAATAGAGAAGTGTGCCCATAAAGTAATGGGATTTAATCGTTGCTGTTTCTTCTAAGGTTCTATAAAAGCAACTCAAAGTGGAGCAATGTTTTGAGTGAAGGCAACATAATTTCAGCAGCCTCCCCAGGTGACTACTTTACAGGCAGTATTGAACTGCAGTAAAGACCATTAACATTGGAGCTGGACATACCTGGGTTGCTTGATCTTAATGATCATGTTTCATCAACTTTCAATGAGGGCGATAACTCCTACCTCAAAACTATAGGTATTGTCAATTACAGTATTGAAGAAAAAACGTTCATAAGATTTGATAAAGTTTAAAATGTCCATTACTCTATAATGTCACCTCATTTTTGTTGTTGAATCTATCTACTTTAATGTGATCATCATAATTGGATCTTTAACATAGTTTAACATATCTTAAAATTCAGCATATTTTATCAGAGTTTTATTGTTACAGCAAACCTGTTATTAGAAAATGATAATAGCCTAATAAGTCATAGTTAACAACTATCAGGTGATTCCTCTTGTGAAATCAAACTAAATTGCATATATTAATGAAAAATCTTCTATGGCCCCAAGGTTAGGAGAGTCTGTGGGAAGAGAGGAAAGATTTAACACAAAAAATTAAATAAAATTTTTCTTAGTGAGCAAATGATAATCTCCCACAGAAATATTAATTGGCCCATGGTCTGACTGAGGTTATAAGAAAACAGGTGGGAAATGCATGATTTAGAAAAAAAGGTAAATATGTCATATGGTCCATCAGTCAGTCAATATTTACAGAAGTTCCATTTCCTCATGCACAAACGGTTCACACCCTTTAATATTTTTCATCAGTAAAACTGAAAGGGGCTAATGATAACGTCTTTAAAAATCTGTGGACTAAAATAAATGCTTCTATAGTCCACCTAACACTTGAAATAGACTTCATGTCAGAAATTGAGGACTCTACTATAGGTTTAATTTCTAATAAAACTCTTTGTACAATAATAGTCACACTTTTTGTTTCTAATATGTCCCTAAAGATAGATTTTCTCTCCCAGTATTCTCTCATTAAAAAACTTTAAAATTTTTTGTAAATGCTTGGCATTTTCATCATTAAAATCATATCACATTACAGAAAATTCAGAAAAAGTATTCATAATGCTATCACTCTAAAAGTGACCACTGTTACAATGTTTGTGTTTTATTTTTCTGGTTTTCATTTATATAAATATGTAATTTTACTTAATTTTAATCAGAGTATAAATATGCTTTTGTATCCTTTTTTCTATCTTGGTAAAAACTATATTGTCTTCCCAACCGATCATTATAATGCCTTTTTATGTTTCTATTAGATACAGAATTTAAAAATTATTCCTATCAAACTTGTAATATTAGCATATTTTATCTTCACATAGCATTAAGCTGATAGGCTAGCTAATGTGTAGGCCCACATTATATGTTAAGACATTCATGCCTAGAGAAAGAATTCTGGTGGACTTGGCAGCATGAAATTAAATTCTGGCTTGGCCATTGTGTAAATTTGGGCAAGTTGTTTAAACTCTTTAACCCTCAGTGTCTTCTTTTGTAAATGGGGAAATATCTTCTTATAAAGTCGTGGGAATTAAATAAACTAATTCACATAAAAGCACTTAGTACAATGTCTCAGACATAGTAAGATCTCAATCACTATTAACAAACTAGCAGTCAAGTGACCCATTGCCCAAACCAGTGCTTCTCTTGAGAACCTGGTAGTCAACACAATGATGAATATATGCCTTAATCTCCACAGCTCCTATACATCACTCACTTGGCTGTGGATTATCACAATCAATTTTTCATGATTATTTTACAATTCACATTTCCTCAGAAATACTTAGGCAGCTTTCACTGTGCATTTTCCCAAATGTTAAACATGATTGACAGAGAAACATAATACTCAAATCTCAACACAAAGTGTTCACATTTGAAATGCTAAGATCTCCAAAATGCCAAGCCTGATCTTTTGCAGACATCCAAGTAGATTCAAAATATATAATTTGCTTCCTAGCCCTTAAGAGGACCAAGCTGACATGCACACAACTTCCAGCCCCTCCCCCATCATACACATATACCCACAAATGCTGGTATAAAATAATAAACAATACCATAGGCTTCACGTTTCTAAGGTGAGATGGGCTTTTGGAGGGTCTTCACTGTTTCAGTTTGCCTGTATGTGAAATAGAGGATTGAATTTATAAAACGGAGTGACATTATGATGCATAAATCTTATTCCAAATGTTAATTTATGCGTTTCACAAGATCTACTTTGCTTTACAGCCAGAGAATGGCTTTTCTCAGTAGCTCAATGGCTCAATTTCCATAGTAGTGCCACTCCAAGAAAATTGAGGGGTTATCAGACTGAGAATTTTTGTTTTGGGAGTCTAAATTTTATTCTGCCCCAGTATGAGCACTGTAATTTGCACACACACACACACACACAAAAATATTATAAACATAGTGTAACTGTGAAATGAAAACAAAAATCTCTATATAATCATCCCAAATTCTTTCATAAAGGAATACATTTGTGTTACCAACAGAGGACTTTGTCTATACATTGCAAATGTACATGTGAAAATAAATTCCAGCACATTGATTAGGTTAATACCATCTAAGAAAGGGGATTGACCATCATGATAAGAACAAACTGTAATGAATGGTGTATTGGGTTGGAAATTTAGTACTCTGAGCATGAGCTGGCCCCTATCACTAATCCATCATGAAATCAGAGGTGAGGTGCAAGATAATTTGGCCTGGCGTTAAGGTTATCAATTCATCTCTGTTTGACTGGAACTGTCCTAATTTTAAAACTGGAAGGCCTACATCTCAGAAACCCTTGCAGTTCCAGGCAAACAGTCCCAGGCAAACAGTTAGCTGAACATAAAGGGAGAAAACATTGACAACACTGAGTGAGATCTATATGTTAGGCTAGCATGGGAAGTCGGGAAAGGAAGGGCAATGACTTAAAACAGTAATGAACTGCAAAGAGGAAGTACTGGCCAGAAGTATTTTTGGACTACAGACTGTACAACATCTACAGTTCCAGGACTGGACTTCCCCAACTCTCAGTTGATTTAAAACTATTCCAGAAGATGTTGGCTTGTTACAAGATACAGATCTGCCAGGACAGACCTTTCTGCTTTTAGGATTACACAGTTACACCTCCCTTTCTATGCCTCACCTGCTTCCTTTGCCTCTTCTGTTTCAACTAAACTTGCCTTTGACTTTCTCCTGGTTGCTTTTCAGACAGCCTGCGTAAACTTTCCCTACATGCATTCCAGCTGGCCTGACCACACTTTAACTTAGTTATTCACACTTGAACATTCTGTTTCAATAACTTCCTTCTGGAAAGAGCCTATATCATGGCATCTAATTGCTTCATCTGACATTTGTTTCTAGGATTTCCCATGCTAAGGATAGAGGCTCTGACCCCACTCACGTTTTTAGAATGCAAACAGCTTTATTGTAAAGGAGATCATGCAACCATTTTCCATTTTGCATCTCTTTTTCCTTCAGAAACTAAATTCCTGTAAATGGGTTAAATAATATGTCTTCATTAAGTTTTGTTTTCCCAGTGCAGAAAAATTCTTCTCTGTATCATATAAAATGTCACTTATTAATCCAATTTGCAATGCTTTGGTTATATTCCTTATTCTTTTTGGCTTTGATGAACTCATGAATTTATGAAGTGTGAGGGTGCGTAGAAGAGCAGAAATCATTTTTAAAATTTTAATTTATTTCTTAGATGACTTTTATTCTACAAATGTGTCTTGGTGTCTGTTACGTGATAGACTCTCAAGGTGAAAAAGACCTCTGAAAAGATTGTAGGAAGCAAAGGTGAACCTGAGCTATTCCAAGGCCGTAGCAGAGAGCCTGTCATGTCGCAGGTACCAAAGTATGTGACCAGCAATATAAGAGGTAGTTATTTAATAAAAATATTTTGTCGATTGTTTTTGTGATTTTTTTGTACTCTGTAATTTGTTTTTATTTTTTATACTCTAATTACATATTCACTTTTATATCTAATTTTGAACTAGTAAATTTCCTAAATGGTGTCCCCCAAATTGTATACACTTCCAGCACCACAAAGCTTGCATTCACCTATGTTCATTTTTAAAAATTACTAAAATATTTAGTTCTAAGCCTTGTGCTTCTGTTTCAAAAAAAAGTTTTATTGGATGTCCTCTGTTTTCTACAACAGAAACTGCTAGCTGCACTAAGAATTAATCTGATTTCTAGAAAATTAGAAATGTAGTAGACATCAGCAATTATAAGGATTCATTGTACTTTCATGACATAAGAAATAAAGATTTGTGTGGCTTGAAAAAATTCTTGTTAGCTTCACAAGTATTTCTGCCTAACTGTTGGTATGGCTATTGCTTGGGAGAGAGTTTCTTGTGGTCATGAAAAGTTTTTATACTTTCACCCATTCTTCTAACAGTGGTTTAAAGAGATTGGTGAAACCAAAGAGAAAAGAAGATAAAAGAGAGGGGTTTTAGCTAGTTCCCAACACTTCATATTTATTAAGTTATAAACCATGTGCTCTATGCATGCTTCCTATAATCTCTTACTTAAGGTTTTGTGACAGGTTTAATATAGCAAAATTAGACATGCTGCTACAGTCCTTCTGACAACTACCTGGTTTCCATGCACTAATACCACTGGCTTCTTGCCTAACACAAATACACTTGAAAAGAAGGCCATGAACACTCTGGGTGAAATCAGGAAGCCTGAAAATAAGAAGTAGGTTTTAGCATGCAAAATACTAAATGCTCCCAAGGAATCTTTAGGCATTAGTCAGCACTGACTGGCTTGGAAGAAAGAGGAAAATGATCATGTACTTGTTACAGGTATTTAAAACTGTCCAATACAAGAGAAATCACCTAAAATAATATTAAACTAAAAATAAGATTGTGTAACTATTGTTTCACTTCTTATCCAGTTAGAGTCTTTGGAATACATTCAGATAAAATACTTTCACGATAAATGCATTTCTTTCTACACAAGTAAACTTGGAAAGGTACATGTGGAAGAAATATATGAAATAGATTTCACTTTACTTGCATCAGAGCAGCTTCATCATTTTTGGGGGGTTAGACTAGACAATTCATGGGGCCTAGTAACTCAAGAAGATGAATAACAGATTTAAAACCATTGCTTGCCCTTTGGTTAATAATCTTAGCAATAAACATATCTTCAAAGTATTGGTAAATGCTAAATATCAACATAGCATTACCACTTTAGGGGCTGATAGGGAAAAGTGAGTATAAAATAAAGAATATTAGAAAAAAATTAAATTCCTGAAAATCCAATGCCATATTCTCATCAGACAAGCAATGGAGGAAAGGGGAAAATGGAACGGCAATCCAACAGATCCAATGTTCAGAGGGTTATAAACCTAATTGATATAATTTTCTCCCTTTTGTTCACTTGTGTAGATACTTACATTTTGAACTTACTTGCTCCATCATACACTCAGTCATATTTTATATTCATATTACATGTTTGTTATCTACTTGTATTTTCAAGGTAGCTTTGAGTAGTATTTATGTTGTGATTTTTGGTGTTACTTTACCCTCCAATGAACCATTTTTGAGCCATTTATTCATTTTGGTGAATCAAGGAAATAACTAAACTAAATAACTTTAAAAAAAGGTGAAATTTAATAAAATGTATACAACCATAAATGAGCAACATAGAAGTGTACTAGTTTAAATGACTGTTACCTATTTATTTATGGATTCTCCATGATGAACTTATCTATACAGTTTTGAAACAGAAACATAATCATTAAAAACATAAAAATTATTAAGAATATGATAAGATATTTGGGAAAATTATAATAAAAACATAATACATATCAGATTCGAAACTTTAAAACTGTGACAATAGCAAATATTGCTGAGATTATGGAAAAGCAGGAAATATTATATGTTTGATGGGGAGGTAAATTAATACAACCCCTTTGAAAAACGTGTCAGTTTCTAGAAAAAAGCTATAATGTGTATGATTTTTTACCCAGCAATTCTACTGTATTCATACTCATTTTAAATGATACAAATGAGCACAAGAAAACATGCACAAAATGTTTACTGTGGAGTTGTTATTGTGAAAAAGTAGAAAAAAATATTTACTGAGAAAAGGAGAAGTAACTCAATGAAAAAAATAATGAAAGACTTGCAATCCAGATAGTTGATGTTATGAAATATGGATTTAAAATAATTATAATTAATATGTTTTAAAAAATAGGAACCAAAATGGGAAATTTTGCCAGAGCCCTGGACCTGATATAAAAAAAGCATAGGCCAGGCACGGTGGCTCACACCTGTAATCCTAGCACTTTGGGAGGCCGAGGCTGGCGGATCACCTGAGTTCGGGAGTTCGTGACCAGCCTGACCAACATGGAGAAACCCCATCTCTACTAAAACTACAAATTAGCCGGGCGAGGTGGTGCATGCCTGTAATCCCAGCTACTCAGGAGGCTGAGGCAGGGGAATTGCTTGGACCCAGGAGATGAGGTTGCAGTGAGCCAAGATCACGCCATTGCATTCCAGCCTGGGGAAAAAGAGTGAAATTCTGTCTCAAATAAATAAATAAGTAAATAAAATAAACAAAAAAGCATAAATAGGAATCCTAGATAATTGAAAAAATAACTTCTAAAATTAAGACTTTGATGGATGATGTAAGAGTAAATTAGATTGAGCAGGAAGAGAGGAGGCTTAGTATATAGAAAGATAGGTCAGATAAAATGATATAGGATCACGCCAGAGAGAAAAAATGATGAAAAATGTACAAAAGAACATAAGAGGTAAGTGAAGTCAGGTGAAAAATTCTATTGGTGATATAATTGGAATCTCAGAAAGAGAGAAGAAAAAGAATGAAGTAAAACTTTCTAGGACTGATAAATTCATGAAGTTACATATTCAAGAAGCTCTAGAATCACAAGGCAGGAAATACACAAAGAACACTATACAGGTACATATACCAAACTGCTGGAACTGAAAATCTAAGAGAAATCTTCTTAAAAACAGCCAGGCAACAAAGCACATTACCTTCAAGGGATCAATAAGATTGATAATGGGCTTCTCAACAGAGAAAAATGGAAACACATTTTTGGAAGAATGTAATAGAATGACGTTTTTAAGGTGCTGAAAGACAAAAGAAAACCTTGCCTAGGATTTTAAATCCAGTGAAGAAATGCCTCAAAAATTAAAGTGAAATAAAGACGGGTCTTAATAAAACAGAAACTGAAATAACATATTACCAGTAGGTCCACATTAAATGAAATAATATGCTACCAGTAGATCCACACTAAATAATATATTATCAATAGATCCACATTTTCCTTTCAGGTAGAAGGAAAATGATCAGAGCTGGGGACACAGGTATTAAGAAAATGAAATAAGGGGCATTAAAATCAGTAAATATGTAACTTGAATTTGATATTTATAGTATAAAACAGTAGTAACAGTTTTTATTAGATTGAAATATACATAAACATAGAGTTAAAATGCATGACAATACTATCACAAGGACTGATGAGCCATAAATAGAATTAAAATGTTCTAAGTTCTTTGCATTGTCTGGGATGTGGCAAAAGTAATATATGGCATGAAAACCTAGCCCAGAGAAAATGTCTGTAGATGTTCAAATAGCAAAGCAGTTGTTAAGGCCAGAAGAATTACCAGAGATAAAGGGTTAAAATAATCAATAACTACCAAGATAATAACAATTATGAATATGAATATACCTAATGAAATAGTCAACATATAAAGCATAAACATAGAAAACCAAAAGGAAAAATAGACTAATCCACAAATATTGCAGGAAATTTAACAAAAACAGACCTACATATGTATTGTTAATGATATATGGCAAAAGCACTTCCACAGCACTACAAACAAAGGATGGACTTTTCAATAAATGATTCTTTTGATATCAAATGGAAGAAAAATTAATCACATGAACAATTCTAAGTGAACTATAGACCTAAATGTGAAGTGTAAAAGAAGAGAGTCTCCTAAAGTTTAATAGCAGAATAGCTTCATTACTTTATGGCTAGCAAGTAGAATAAAAAATTTTGATCATAAAGGAAAGTTCAATTATTAGACTCCTTTAAAATTAAGAACAACTTTTTATCCAAAGACTCCATTAAGAGAGTTAAAGACAAGCCACAGAATGGGAAAAAGTATCTGTAATTCAAATATTTAATAAAGGCCTTGAATCTAGAAGATATAAGGAATTCCTCAAATCCATGAACACACTACAAGACCACCCCCACCTTAATCCTCATGGGATGGGCACGTAACAAAGTGGATACTCAAGTAACTAATAAACATATGAATAAGTGCTCAACATTATTAGTAAATAGAAAAACACAAATTAAAACCACAGTAAAATACCATCAAATTGACATGAAAATGACTATTTTTTTTTAAGTTGACAATAGTAAGTACTGACAAAATTATAGGGCATCTGGAGTTCTTATACACCGCTGGCAGAAATGTAAATTGGTACAATCAATTTAACAGTATCTAAAGCTGTGACCCAAATACGCAAATACTGTGACCCAGCAATTCCATTCCTAGGTATATCTCCAGTAGGAATGCACAAAAATTTTCATAGCAGCATTACTCATTTATAAACTAAAAAAGATCTAAATATTCATCAACAATAGAATGGATAAATAAATTATTGTATATTCACACAATGTAATACTAAAACAATATGGATGAATATCACAAACACTATTTTGGACAAAAGAAGCTAGAAACAAAAGGTGTATACTATATGATTCCAATTATATAAACTTCAAAACAAAACTCATCTAAGGTTATAGAAATCAATAGAGTAGTTATCTTTCAGTAGGCAATGCTGCCAGTGTCTTCTTTCTTCCTCCTTTGGTAGACGGTTTCTCAGGTGTTTTCACTTTTTACAAATATATTAAGCTGCTCACTTTGGAAATAGGTACTTTTCTCTATTATGATATATGCATAAATATCTTACTATAAATTGCTTTTAAAAAGAACAAAGTAAAAAGATGAGGTGCCTAGAAATCAAACATATATGTCTTTAAGACAAAATATTGAAGGAGAGTGAGGTTGTTAACAGAGGACTAGAAAGAAAGATGTAAAGAATAAGAATAATGGTAAAGTCAAAGATCAAGAAATGTGATGGTCAATTCATTTGGAAGAACACATCTATAGACATATCTCCAAAGGAAAAAAGATTAGAAGATTCAGTTCTAGATAGTACCTTCAATTTCCTAGGTGGCAATGATTATTTCTGTATGTATTCCCAACATCTCAGTAGAGTGTCTTACACATAGAACCTGCTCAATAAATGTTTAATTACTTGCACAGGAGTTTTACAGAAGCAGCTTTTGTTTGAAAGACAAACATGTAGCCAAGGGGGGAGGAAGATAACTCCTAACCGCATCTTCCACATTCCTGGACCTTGACCTCAAACTTTAATATTTAAGCTAATTCTACGATGGACAGAGGATCATGTTTTGAGAGGCTAAACAAAATGCAGAATTTGAATCACTTTAGTTTTTTTCTCCTCTGAGTAATAGTTATGTTGCGGGTAATCAGTTTCATGTTTCAGATATCTGCTTAAAATACATTTAAATGCATAAGATTAAGATAATGTGATTTATAAAGAAGAATTATAAACATTTGATTTCTATAGATACATTCTATTATGAATGAGCAATGACCATATTTACATTTAAGTACATTTAAGTACAATGACTCAATGCTGTGAGTCTGAAGAAAATAGGTAATGGATACATAGCATTATATATTCTCTTACATAACTCTTTAAGCATTTGAATATAAACTTGCAACATGTTTCCACACATGCAAACCTTGAGAAAATATATTTAGTCAATCACTAGGTTATTCAGATAAGAGTTTTATTGATTGGATATGTGGACCACACCAACTGCTTCTTCCATACAATTTATTGTTTGAATGTAAGGTCATATTTTACCCTTCTGTATTTGTGAAGGCACCATGGCCATTCTACTTTCAAATGAGAGTATTTAGTATCCTTTGATTCAGTTTTCTGGATGTGGCCTCAAACCAATAAATATTGGTTCTCTTTTGTGTTATGCCCAATTTCTAATTTATTTTTAATCACAGTTTATATAATTATTATAAAAATATAGAAGTAAGTAAAAAAAGAATTGAGGTTTCCCATTTTTATCCTCTTATATCCCCCAGAGGTAAGAATTCCTTTCAACCTGGAGTATGTTTCTATTAGGAGTATTTTTGACAAATGCTAATCCCCAATACGAAAATAAGTGTGAAATTCTAAGATCTCACTTAAAACAATCTTAGATTATCAATGTCATACAGTATATTAAGACAAGAGATATGATGCTTCGGAAATTCAGACCTGATGCTTTTCCGTAAAGATGAGTAATCAAGAATAGGAATCGGGAATAAGAACAATTTTAATATTATTGCTCTATTCATTCTGGCAGAAAGCCAGAAGTAGTAGTCCCAAAATTATAACAATCTCTTAGCTTGCCAAATTCTGCATTTGAAAAAAACATCAAAAATAGCAAATAAAAAAGTAATGTTAATATTAACAAACTCTGTCGAAAGGCTTCAGTGGCCCAGGGTCTTTATTTTCTACAAACAATACTCTTTTTCCTATCTTCTAAACTTTAACAGAACTTACTTTCTTGATTGATTACTTCCTCAGGCAACTCTCATGTAAATCTTAAAGTTTGTATTTTCTTTTTCACCTGACTGTAAGATCCATAAAGCAAGGACTTTACTTACTCATTTTTATCCACAGTCCTTAGCCTTATGTATGGCACCTGATAGGGGCTGGATTAATAAATCCAGTCACCGAAAAAAAAATGGGAAAGATAAGAAAGAAAGATTTTAGGATCCAGTTACAAATAATCTTGAGTTGTCTGTAAGAGGAAAATAATCAAATCACCACTGTCCAGAATGCTAAGCGGCTGTTCATGCACTCATTTGTTCAACAAACATACTCAGAACCTTTATATGTAAAAGACTTGCCAAAGAGTAATCAGGCCTTGTAAGAGACAGTTGGTTTCAGTTCATCTAAATAACTATTATTCAATGTGATCAGAGTATCTTACACTTGCTTGCAGATTCTTTGAATCTACCAGAATTCCTGTGAATTATATGAATAATACTTTTAGTTAAATTTTAAGTTGAAACTTAATATAAAATTTTTAGTCTCTATGAATAAGTCATGTCCGAGCACATCAGTGCGACTACTCAGATTTGACCTTCACACCAGACTTCTTGCTTTGTCAATCTTATTTTGAACATTTTTTAAATTACTGTTTTTTTTTCATTTACTTATTTATTTTAGCACTCAAATTTGGAAAGAAGTACATTTTCAAGTGGCATTAATAAAATTACTAGTTTGATTAGAAGATGTGTGTGTGTGTATGAGTGTGCTGATTACCTCCAGTGTCCCAAGGCTTCATGAAAATGTCCTGCACAATTTCCATATTTTATATTTGTTACTGGGTGTAAGAGGTCACTAAAGCAACTCTACAAAAGTGAGAAGTGACACATCAATAACTTGGCATGTTTTCATTCTTTTTGTTGTTGTTGTTAGAGACAGGATCTTGCTCTGTCACCCACACTAGAGTGCAGTGGTACAATCATAGCTCACCACAACCTCGAACTTCCAGGCTCAAGGGATCCTCCCACATCAGCCTCCCCAGTAGCTGGGATTACGGGTGTGAGCCACCACACCTGGCTTGGCATGTCTTTTTGACATAAGCTCATTAGTTGACAAGCTAAATGAAGTCAATGAAGCCAAAAGTAAACTCTGCACTACTTTTTAAAAATACTAAACTTATTTTTATTTTAGCTTAGAGTCATCTGATTATACATTTTTAGGGACTACAACAGTTCATCTTTTAGACTTGGAGAATAATTTATAGTGAATTTGTTGATTTCATTCAATTCTCAAATATTAATAGTTATTGAGAAATTACTTCAGTAGAATTTCAACAAGTCCATATGGCAGAGAGAGTAAAACATACTCAAAGGTAGGAAAATACTCAGAATACTTGAGAGCAGCCCATGGTCCAATTTGGCTCCAAATATTGAATGCCGTAGAAATCAGGGAGCAGGGAGCCTGGGCTGGATCACAGAGGGCCTTGAATACAATTGATAAGTGTTCGCCTTTAATTCCTAAGCAATTGAAAGCCATGTGAGGTTTTCATAAGAGGAGTGACACTTCTAAGTGACAAACTTAGAAAACCTGTTCAAGAAAATTAATCTGGAAATAGTATCAAGATTGCATAAAGTGAGGAGAAGATTAGTAAGAAGCCATTAGAATACAATTCAATACATATTCTTCAAATTCTACTGGATTTCTGCCTAATTGAATTTCTGATGAGCCAGGATAACATGCTTCTTAAAACAGAAATATTTCAGATTCATATTAAGCTCACATTTACTTAACTCCCATTATGTTCACATACATTATCTCATTAAACGCTTACAAGAGATTTCATTGATGAGAAAACTGAAAATCAGGGAAGGTAACTTGTTCGATTGCACAGGTAATAAGCCATGACAAAATCGAATGCTTAGAAGTAGAAGAGAGAATGAAATTAAACCGGCAGTTCCAGGGAAAATACATTGCATAAACTAGAGTTAGGGAAAGACTCAAACTAAAGAGGACACTGCAATCATTTATATTTATTAAAAGCAGACATGCATTAATATGTATTTGCTGGTCTGCTTTGAGTACTAAACTAGTCTCTTCACTTCCCTTGCAGTAAAGAACTACAACAAATTTCACATGCTTTTGACCATTTTGTTTTCTGGGTTTTTGTTGCTGTTGCTGTTGTGTGTTTATTTGCTGGTTTATTTTGTGATATGGAGAGAAGGGTGCCTATAAAGAATCAATTATCTAAGTTGCTGCCTAAGACCTGTTGCTTGTTTCAAGTGGTTTTTAGTCTAGAATATAGTGATGTCCTCTCCTCCCTTTTGTAAAGTGCAGAAGTGCACATGTGCTATTTGCCTTTAATGTATAAATACATTCTCTTTCTCTTAGAGTCATACTTTTAAAATAGTTTGCAAAAATTAAAAACAAACTAACCCAGGTGAAATATTAGAAAGTAGCATATTCCCACCATGTTGAGAAGTCTTACGTTACACCACTGGAAGTCAGTATTTGTCAGTTAAGGTTTTACGTTTAAAAACAGAAGAATGGATTCTGAATTAATTGCCCTTCTAAATCAAGAGGTAAAGCTGAAACACCTTGCCATTTATTGTGTAGGTGAATTTTTTTTTCACCAAAGCCAATTGCAAGTTTTGATAAACTAAAACCTACACATTTTTCTTACCTTGGTTTAAATCATACTTTTACTTTGCTTTCAACAAGGATGCTTATTTATAAATCAGAAATAATCCAAGAAAAAGATGACATTAATAAATATGGGTGGGAGGGGGCTAATTGGGTACATCACAGTATAGGAAATAATACTCTGAAAGGTGTAGCACTTTGGAATATGAAAGATGGAGTCAGTGCAACCTTTATACTTCAGCCCTTTTCTCCCCCTAAATTACATTTCTTGGGCAGGGGTGCCTATTGGCCAAAGGAAAGTTTAGTGAATCAGGCCTTAAATTACTGCACTTAGTAATTGTTGACATATGTGTACTTTACAATGCTAATTTATTTCACCATGAGCCCAGTGTTTATGAACACACAAAAGCAGATTTATAGTATGTGAGATTAAGAACATTTTTATTCTTTATTTCAGATTTTGAGGTTAGATAGAATAAAAAATATAAAATGCATTTGAAAATGGTGTGAATCTTCCCAACACAAAGCACAGTGAACTGTAAAATGTTACTTCATGAATAATTGAGAAATAAAATAATTTGATTTAAAGGACAGTAAAACATATGTTTGAAATTCTAAGATGATTTGAAGATCTTAGATCTAAGGTCATGTTAACAGATAAGATCTTGAGGGATCACAGGATTAAGTTATGTTTTTAGTACTGAGGCTACCCAACATTTACTGAGCTCTCATTCTTTACCTGGCACTATTCTAAGCCTTTCACACTGATTATCTCATTTAGTCATCATCACGACCATCTGAACTAGCCACTGCTGATACTCCCATATGCCAGATGAAACCTTTTGAGTCAGAAAACTTCCCCAAAGTCATACAGTCAATAAGCAGGTGACTCAAAGTCAAACCCTGGGTATATAGAGTATATAGAAATAATAGTTTCTTAGTTGATTGGTATTTCTTAAGAAATAGTAACTTAATTTAATATCCATAGATAAAGGTTGAGATAGAGCTAAACAAAAGTTAATTAAATTAAATTATAAGAGAGCTGAAACTCACATGAGCAAAGATCACTGAGAAAAAAAGTATTAAACTTGGTACAGGACCTGTTCTTTACTTTCCTCCTTATCTTTCCTCCCTTTTTGTTTTCCTATCACTGTAAAGGAATAAGTGAATAAAATCATGAGAATTTAATAAATGCTTACTGTATTAGTTCATTTTCACACTGCTACAAATAACTACCTGAGACTGGGTAATTTATAAAGGAAAGAGGTTTAATTGATTCATGGTCCCACATGGCTGAGGAGGCCTCAGGAAACTTAGAATCATGGCTGAAGGTAAAGGAGAAGCAAGCACGTCTTACATGGCAGCAGGTGAGAGAGAGATAGAGAATGTGAAGGGGAAGCGCCACACTTTTAAACCACCAGATCTCGTGATAACTCACTCACTGTCACGAGAACAGCATTGGGGAAACTGCCCCCATAATCCAATCACCTCCAACCAAGTCCCTTCCTTGACATGTGGGGATTACAATTTGACATGAGATTTGGGTGGGGACACAGAGCCAAATGTATTACTTACTGTATATGCCAGTCTGTGTAAGGTACTGAAAGAAGCATACTGATTACCAATGATGCCCAGTTATTAATAAAAAGCAAGACATGAAACAACAGAAGACAATGGTCAATGATTAATGAAAATTACATGGCAGAGATAATACATGCACAAAAGTCCAGTTTTATTTTTAATTATTTTACCCAATTTCCAGAAGATATGAAATATTCAAATAGAAAAGAAAGGTACAGGAAAAGATAAATTGTTGGAGGGTAAAAAATAGAAATAATGCCATGGTTTGAAATACAACCATACTGTATTTGTAAGATGCTAAAGAGACTCAGTGGACAAGAGTGAAGGTATATTTTCAGGGAGTTTTTGAAAACTATTCAAAAAGTGGGGTTGCATTGAAGAGGAATTTGAAAACTTTTTAAAAAGTAATTTAACTTTATCTAAAATATACAGGTGTTTGCAGAACAGCCTGATCTCTCATATTCCACACGCCCGTAAATTTTTTGGCCAATCTTTCCCTTGAGTGTTTGGCAGCTGTTTATGAGGACAAAACTGGGTTTCTCAATCTTGGCACTACTGATATTTTGAATTGCATAATTCTTTGTTGTGGGGTTCTGTCTCGTGCATTATCAGAATGTAGCAGCATCCTCAGCCTCTACACATCCTTCCTCCCAGTTGTGACAAGTAAAAACATGTCCAGACATTATCAATTGTTCCCTGGGGGAGCAAAATCACCTTGTCTTTTTGGACTCAAGTGCATGATACACTTCTGTTTATAAAAGGAATTTTTAAAGTACATATGTGGCATTGTTTATGTGGACAAGGAAGAACCACATTTAAATGTTCTTATTTGGATTTCAAAATGCAATTAATTATTGATTCTATGCAGTTTGCCATGATAAACTGGATTTCTATTTTAAGGAAAGGAAAGACATTCCGTTTTTGCTGTTCTTGGAAATCTGTTATTAATAAAAAATCAGCTAACTGGGATACTCCCACTACTTCCTCATCATTTTAAACAAAATGTATTTTACTCTATATTAGTTTTCTCCTGTCCTGCCTCTTCAGAATGCGCTTTTGGTTGGGTCTTTTATATGTGTTCTGTCTTCTCAACCAAACTGCAAGCCCTTAGGAAGCATTTATGCTTAGATAGACATTTTCTAAAAGCATGCTTCAGCAAATATCAATAAATATTATTTGGTTAAAACAAAATTAAACTATTTTATAATAGCATTCCTATTTGTATCTATATGTTGCATGTCTACAACTAAAATGTTCAAGAATATTAAATCTTTAAAACTATGTTTGAATACATGGAAAGGTATTTTATATAATAATACTTTAATAATAACCGTTTCTTTGAGAATTATTAGCAGTTAGAAAATAATTCCTTTCTGAATTTCTAAAAATGTTTAGATTTTCAGTTCAAACTCTTTCTTTTGTGAATATAGATAATTTAAGCACAAAATGAGATTTTGTTTCTTTTTTTCCTTGGAAATTTTGTTTGAATTCTCTTAGATGCTCAAGTTGAAATATTATGTAATTCAAAAACATCTATAATCTAAAAAAATGAAAAATTATAATTTCTAAAAAAAGTTGAACAAAAATATAATCTCTGCCATAGTTCAGTAAAACATCAGAAGTAAGTAGTATACATGTGCTGAGAACGAATTTTTTATATATAGGATGGACTTTGCTCTCTATAATTTACGAGAGTAAATGAAACACATAAACTGCATCTTTTCATTTGCCAGCTGGTACTGCCATCTGCGATTCCAGGTACATGGAGAATGTGGGTAAAGGCCCAGGAGCGTCCTCTCAGAAACCCACCTGCCTGTTTGGCCATCTGCTGCGGAAACTGCAGTCAACACACACTCGATCTGCAACAATCCCCAGCTCTGGCACCTCACAGTGTTCTCTGGGGCACCTATTATCTGGACCAGAGCTGGTGTTCATACTCCTCCTGGATGCTGCTTCCTTCTGTCCTGCATGCCTAATTAGATGTCATTTTTTTCTCCTCCTCCATTGTATCCTAACTCTACTCAGAGACCTTCTGTCCATGCCACAGGAGAGTAAAATCCCCAGACTCTAATCTAAGACCATGGTTCTTCCTATTACTTCCATTGACTCCTTTAATAAAACGATAGAGTTCTTGAACTCTAGCCTAACTATATGAATGAAGTTGGAGCTTTTTGTAACCTTTTGTGGATTTTTTTTTCTGTAGATGAGAAAATGCAATATCTCAAAAACAGAAAATCATGATTAAAGTGTCCTTAATATGGAAATTATGCACCTCATCTTTTAATGGGAATATAGTACCCAGGACTGAGGAAGGGTGTTTCATCATCAAAACACTATAATTGAACATTTTGAGCATTTGGGTTTCTTTTCACCCCATCCTGAAAGGACAAACTGCAAAAGCCATTTAATCCAGTTATTTGGCGTCTTCTTTCTCATCAATACTAGAAGCACATTGTTGGCATAAATGACTTTTCTTAACAGACATGTTACTGACATTTTTGCCAAGAATATGTCCATTTAAAAAAGTTCATTGCATATACACTTTAATGGATTTTCCTATAATTCACCAGGTTGTGGGAAAACCTGGCTCAATGTCTGCACACCTTTGGAATACTGAGACCTATTCAGTTTAATATTGTTATTGGTATTACTGCCATACCAAGTTACTGCTATGCAGTCTTTTTATCTTTTATGCTTCTGGAATGATCGATTCTCAGGCAAGCAGTGCAGAAAGCCTCCTACTCCCTTAAAAATAATGAGCTACAACAACATCTTCGCCTGCCTGCAATTTTAGGCTTACTATTTCACTGAATCTGAGAAGCCCTTTAAACAATTAAGTGACTCAGTATCATTTCCTGAATCATAATTGTATTTATCAGCAATGTATAAGGCAGAAGAAGACATAGTTCTTCCCCCAAATTCCCAATTATGTTATTCATGCACTTCTAGGATGGTTCCCTAAATAGTGTCATTGAATTGAAGCAACTGCTGTATCACAAGTCATATGAACAAGGAAGGAAGAAAGAAACCCATCCTAGCACAATGGCATATGGGGTTCTGCAGCCTCTGTTTCCTGAAAGCAGAAGCAACTGTAAAAGCACAGAGAAATCTAAATGGCCACTAATAAGGAAACTAGGAAGTAAATTGTGATATACTCATATAATAACATTATGTAGTCATTTAAAATTATGTGTACAAAGATAATGGCATAGTGGCATGGAGCAATGCTTATGACAGAAAATTATTTTTTAGATGCAGAATATAATTTATTTGCCCAGTATGACCTTAACTGTGTAAAAATATATGCATAGAAAATAAATAGAAAGCAAATTGAAACAAAATGTTATCAGTGGTCATCTCTGGATATTGGAATTATGTGTAATCATTATTTAATTACATTTCTTTATCTTTCAAAGTTTCTACCAATGTTTATTAATTCAGTGTTTAGAAAGGAAAAGAAAAACTTCTCTTCATAAATGAAGAGAAACATTCTGAGAAAAGGATGTTGTGAATAGGAAAATGTCCTGTAAGGTACGGAACAAATTATAGATTATCTTTCTATAGAAAGATTGCCATTTAAAAGCAGAAAATATCCTTAAGATTCAAAGAAGGTCAGTTATGAAACAGCAGGCGTAAAAACCCTGAGTGACCATAGGCTGTTTGGCCATCTGTCTTAAGCTAACTCTTATAAGTAGAAAGATCAAGGCAAAACCAGAAAATGAATTCCTTTACAGAGGAAAGGTATTGAGAAGTTAGAAAGATTTGAGCTCAGGTATTTATCAACCTTTAGAAACCACACCCCCTCTTCACCAGAAAAAAACGCCAACTCTCCTTTTTATCAAAATAAAAATCTCTATAGCTCCAATCGTGTATTTAAGTTTATTTAATCTGATTCAATTCAGTTCATTTTAATTCAGTTGAACAAATATTTATTGAAAACATCATATGCCTGACTCAGTATTAGCTACTAGGAATATGAGGAAAACAGAGAGCAAAAAGATCTTAACAGAGCTTCTGTTCCAGGGATGCACACATCTCATTTCAGTGTGCCATCAGCAGAGAGGAAGAAGTACAGGTATGGAGAGGAAAAAAGAGAGGTGACCCTCACTTGGATGCCTGGATGCTCCTTGGAAAAGTTCTTGCAGGAAGTGACACCTGAGTTTGAATGTGAAGTAGGAAACAGATAACAAATGCATGTGTATTTGTGTGCATGCTTTATATGCTTGTTGGAGGCCAAGAGGCTTAGGAAATGGGTTGAGATTAAAGGGCATGTGCAAAAACAAGAAAGAGACAGTTTGAAGCATTTGAAAAGTGAAGCAAGTTTGGCTTGGTTCAAGCCAGCATTTAAATTAGGGACTAAAAAGAGGAAGAAAGGATCGCTTGTGCAATTTAAGAATTGGAATTCATTTTCCAGGAAATAGGAAGACATTTAAGGGTCTAGAATGTGAAATAATTTGCTCACATCTGATTTAAGAAGCATACTGTAATTGTGGATGCTTCACTTTATTGTATTTTATGAAGTTTTTTTCTAAATATGCAATGATGTTAACAATTTCTTATGTTTTTCAAATTAACCTCTCCTACATTTCAACCTTCTTCCCTAGAAGCTGGGTTTACACTCTTAATTTGGAGCTGAATATTATTGATCTTTAATGTGAAAACTCAAAGAATCCCCAAACGTTATAATATCTAAACATCTAAACATAGGGAATCAAGGTCAAAGTTTGGTGAATTTCAGAATCTCTGAGAAGGATTAGAGCCAATTGAAACACTTTTCATTTAAATAATCATTAGGAAAACATTTTACTTCTGAAAAACATGAGAAGGAAGACATAAAGGACTTTTTCTCCATCTCTATCTCCCTCCTTTCATCCCTCCTTCCTTTCCTCGACCTCTTTTCTTCCTTTTGTTCTTCTTGTCTCTCTTGCTCCCTTTTTTTGTCCTTATCTCTTTTCCTTTATTCTTCCAACATTTACTAAGCATTTATCCTTAGAACAGATATTTATGATATGGTCTCTTCCTCCTGAGGTTTGTAATCTAACTAGGAAGATACAAAATTAAATAAATTTGAATTAGTCAAGAAAAAAAAGTGAGGCAGTATACTATTAAGTGCCAGAATGAATAGTGAAAATTTTAAATTCTCTGAGTTCTGAGTAGAAAAGATGTTTGTGAGCTGGAATTGCTGAGAAAGGCTAGATTTAACTTAATTTGATTTGACTAGATTGGGACTAGATTTGAACTCAAAAAAATTTTGAAAGATTTGAAACATGAAACAGTCTTCTCAACTGAGGAGCCATTTGCAAACGCTACAATAATAAAACTTAAATGTTGAAATGGAAAGACTTGAAGTTAGAAGCCATATAAACTTCTCAATTTGGTTGTCTGTAATGATTAGAAGGAGAAGCCATTCTCTTTGGAGTTTATTTTCTGCTAAATAGAGGCTATGAATTATATAAGAGATAAGAAATTGGGCTTGAAAGTATGTTAGCTAATTAGAAAATATGATGGAAACTTTTTGCCTCATGCACACGATTTTGACTTTAGTCATGTATTCAATAAAGATATTTACCCCCTTTAACATGTGACTTTTTATAATCCTTTGCATGAAAAGGCTTATGAATTTCTTTTTCAAGTACCATTCATAGTCTCAGCATTATTGAATGACATAAATTTTTTCTGGTACTTAATATGGTCTATATATATATATATATATATATTTACACACACACACACACATATATACACACACACGCATATATGATCTGATATGGTTTTTCTCTGTTTCCCCACCAAAATCTCATCTTAAATTGTACTCTCATAATTCTCATGTGTTGTGGGAGGGACCTAGTGGGAGACAATTTGAATCAGGGGGGTGGTTTCGCCCATACTGTTGTCGTGGTCGTGAATAAGTCTCACAAGATCTGATGGTTTTATCAGGGGTTTCCACTTTTGCATCTTCCTCATTTTCTCTTGTTGCCGCCACGTAAGAAGTGCCTTTCATCTCCTGTCATTATTCTGAGGCCTCCTCAGCCATGTGGAACTGTAAGTCCAATTAAATTTTTTTCCTCCCAGTCTCGGGTATGTCTTTATCAGCAGCGTAAAAATGGACTAATACATGGTCTTAGAAGTCTAAATACTCAAATTCAAAAGTTCTGCATATTAATTAATAAATTTATTTGATGATTCTCTATTCATTTTCAGTGTCTCTTAGTATCTTGAGGCTGTGTTAGTGACGATGTATGCTCGCTTTTCTAGTTTTCAGGGTACTCTTGAATTCCTAAGTAGGCACTACTGCTTTTTGTGACAACTCATCAGCAAGTCTTAATTTTTATTTTTAGAGATGATTTTCAACATTAACAAGTTTTTTTGAAAAATTTAGATAAAATGATTTAAGTGTATTCTACCTAGGACAGGGCTTCTCCACCTGCATTATTGACATTTTAGGCTGCATAATTAATTCCGTTGTGGGAGTGCTGCCTTATAGATTGTAGGATGTTTATCAACATCCCTGGCCTCTACTCACTAGCAACCAGTAGTACATTCCTCCTTTGGACAAATAACTATGTCAATGAACATTGAAAAATGTGCCCTTGTGAAACAAAAATTATCCCAGTTGAGAACCACTGACATAGGGCTTCCCTTGCAGAACCATCAGATGCTCCAACCTGGCAAATGTAAAACAGCAGCTTTGATCTGACATATTGGTTTCATGAGGCATGGTATATCTATGGACATTAAAGCCTGATATCAAATTTCCATTTGCTGTGGGATTGAGAAATACAAATTTATGAACTTAGACTTGGTTAGTTTTACATTTCCTTTCTTTTGCACCATCATTAGAATGAATAAAATCCACAACAAACAATTTAATCCCTCTCAATGTGAACCTTGAGTCATCAGAGAGGTAAAGAGTCTTCTTTAGATTATCCAAATGTTTGCAACTGTCCTTATAGAAAGGAATTATCCTTTCTACACTGTTACTGTATAGTAAGTTTTTATACTACTTAAAACTTACTATGCTATTAAAAATAGTTTTTACAAATATTTCAATCTTTTTAAAATTTGGTCTCAATGTATGGTAGAGTTACTTGATTAAGAATTTATCACCTGGTAGTTGGAGGATGAGGGTCGAAAATCTACTTATCAAGTACTATGCTCACTACCTGGGTGGCAAAATCATTGGTACACCCAACCCCAGCGACACGCAATTTACCCATGTAACACTCTAGCACATGTACCCAATGAAACTAAAATAAAAGTTGAAAAAGAATAAAAAAGAGTTTATTACTTGGTTCTATCTTTTGCTCCTAATTGAAAGACATATTTTTCCCAGAGCCCTTTAAACCATGTCTACTTACAAGCTGTGTTTCCATGTGTTTAACATAACACATCTAGAAAATGTGACTGGGATGGATCAAATACCACAAAAATAATTAAAGCTGAAGTTATATGATATATCTTATAATTGTTCTCGATACTTTAGGAAAGGCTCAATTTTAATTTTACATAGCTTTAAATACTGTACTGAAATAGCTCTATGAAGCTTTTTAATTTTGAGATTCAGATAATATATGATACTTCATTTATATACACCAGAAGCAATTTATGTGCTAATATCCTCACTTCTGATTAGGCACACCAGAATATTTCTAATTTAATTGCTTATATATCAAATGGTGTTTCTCCCCCAAGCAGAATCACTCTTTATTTCAGAATTCACTTCCACTAGGCAGCCTACACATTAATAATTTCTTAATGCAATGGGAATAGTTTTTGTTTGCAAAACAATTCTTATCTTCTCTTCATTCTGTAAGAAATCTATGTCTCTACGCATATAGTAAAGAGGAAAACTACATGCTCACTAAGCTTCCTTTCCATAATGGATACACTGTTTAACTCTGTTCTTAAATGTTTATGTGCAATTTCTTTCTAATGCAAGGAATTTCAATATATCTAAATATTCAACACAACACATACAGCTATATTTATATATCAAATATAAACAAAGCTATCAAAAGATAATTAGGTGAAATGTGTATGTTTTGTCATAATTAATATTCTGTCAATAGGCTAGATAAGAAAACTCCAAGGGTTAATGTTTTGCTGGGCTGCCAGATACTGTTGCCAGTGAATTTTTCTAGCTCACTCCATTAATCCAGTCAGCACAATGGATCAGACTAGAGATGTGTCTCCATAAATCACTCTGAAGTGCTGGGGGGTAGGAGTATCTAATTAATCAGCACTGTCATTATGTTTGACTTGTAGCTGCCTTACTGTGTTTGGGATGGAGATTCAGTGTGTTTAACCCACATGCTCTTACACAGATCTCCAACGGTGGTGTAAATTTTAACGCTTTTGCAGAAAAAAGTCAACCAGTGTGATTCAATCATATTTTTCATATTTTTAAGGATATGACCCCCACATTACTTTCAGTAATTTCCCCATTCACCACAGATCTCCTTTTGTACAGATAAAATACATATTTCAGTATTAACGTTTGAGTGAATAGTATGGTCAAGACAAAAATATGCCTTGAAATATTTTCTTAAATAACTGGTAGGAATAGCATACCAAAAATGGGAAGAACTTTTGGATTTTAGTTTATTCTCACCATTAACGAAAATTTATTTCTGTATCTTTTGTTTTGCTCTTAAACCTCACTCTTTTGGGATGATATATTTTCTTGTAGTTCTCTTCCTTCACACGAGTATTCCCTAGTATAGCAATTATTTTATAGTTTAAAAATCATGTAAGTAGATATAACCCATTTCCCAAATGAGTGAAATACCTCAAAAATGGCCAAGGAGATATAGCTAATACAAGGTTGAAGTCAGTCTAGATCACGTTTCTTATCATTTAGATTTTCATGAACGTATGAGGGATAGAGTATAAAATAAATTGGCGGGGCGTGGTGGCTCACACCTGTAATCCCAGCACTTTGGGAGGCCAAGGCAGGCAGATCACCTGAGGTCAGGAGTTCAAGACCAGCCTGACCAACATGGAGAAACCCTGTCTCTACTAAAAATACAACGTTAGCCAGGCATGGTGGCGCATGCCTGTAATTCCAACTACTCAGGAGGCTGAGGCAGGAGAATCAGTTGAATCCGGGAGGCGGAGGTTGCCGTGAGCCAAGATCACACCACTGCACTCCAGCCTGGTCAACAAGAGCAAAACTCTGTCTCAAAAAAAAAAAAGTATAAGATAAATAGATTTTTACATGTAGCTTGAGGAATCCACCATTACTTTATATCAAAATCCAGTATTGTTTATGACAGCTAATTGCTAGATAATGCTATAAAACTAGAACTTTTCCCCACCAAAAAAAAAAAAAAAAAACATGCAAAATAATAGCATATAGGCAGTATTATCAATCTTGTAAAAAAAAAAAAGTAGTTTTGGATTTCTGCTATGAGTTCATAGACACACACATGCATATAGATATGTGACAGTCTTGGAGGAGAAACACTTATTCCAATAATGATGCTATTGGTTGTTAAATAATTTATCTCTTGACTGTTTACCATAATGGTTAATCTTAATTGTTAAGAATGAATTTTCTTGTAAATAATAGTCAAATGTCCTCCAGAAGTAAATATAGTGACTAAGTGCATGAACTAACTAGACAATGCTGAATAGTATAAAATTGACAAGGGGAACTTCAGAACTAGAAATTTATTTATATTAAAATTTTACTTATGAAAAAATTGTATAGTACATTTGCCAGAAAGCTAAAGTTAAGTCTGATAATAAAAATGTATTGGTCTAAGTCCTCATACTTGGATTACATGTGCTCTTACTTTCAGCCAAATAATGGAGAATTATCAGATAAACAGGTAGGTAAGTAGATTAGCTACATAGATATACATTCATATACATCATGTATATACATTTGTATAACATAAATTTACACAAAAACAAATATACATAGTTTATATATTTTACATTATATTATACATAGAACATATTATATATAGTTATATATAGTATTATATGTAATAATAACTATTGGATATTTTCATTTAAGGCATGTCGGATAAAGATCAGAATATAATTTTGTAATTTCTTTTCTAAATCGATCAAATTTACTTTTTAAAAAAAACTTGTTCTTACAATCAAAGATGGTGCCAGCACTCCTCATCATCAACGAATTGATCTACTTTTTCTTTTCCAGTGGTCAGGATACACTTACAAACTATCTTCCCTCCCATTATAATTGGAAGTACACATTTGCAAGTTAAATGAGATGACAAGTTTATTTGTGATTATGCAACAGAGTAAGTCTCTGTGATGAATTTGGGGGTGAGCTTCTCATTTTGGTCATACATTAATTAACTGGTCTAATGGACTTTGCAACGAGATTTTAGAAATTGAGGAGTAACTGAAAAATATTTACCCAATAGTATCACAACTCCCCAATGACCAAAACACTAAACTCCATAAAACGCATTTGCTAAGGTAATGAAAGAGAAGGCACTATCTTAGAGTATCCCTTTTCCTGCAAATATGTTTTATATATAAAACTTAAATATAAATATAAGAACAAAGCTGCAAAATGAGAAACATATTTTAGACTTTTAAGAATTGTTAAAAATGTCAAGGCAAATACCCAAAAATAAACACACTTTACTATGGCTGCAGAGTTTTCAGTAGAAAGAACTTTTGAAGATGAAGTTTTTTGTGGAGTGTTACACACAAAAGTAGGTGTAATATTTAAATGTTTATATTTATTATAATTATTATGCTGGTAATGACTTTTAAAATGCTGTTATATTGAGGAGTGTTGAATTACCCATCCATCCTGAACTTTTGACAAGCTTCTGACTGTAAATTTGTGGGATCTTGGTCATTTATATTTTTGTTTCCAGATATATATTATTTTGAACCTATATTATATGTAGGACATTACACAAGTCTCTGAATCAAATATATAAAATTCACCTAGTCTCATTTCCTAACAATTCTCATGTATATTCAAATATAACTTTTTATCTTTCTGCTGTTAAATAACATTATTATTTATGAAAGACATAAATTTGGGCTTTCTTTGTTTTTAAAAAAAAGATCAATTTTGATTAGGGTTCAACTTCAGTTGTCCTAATTTTTACTAAAGTTTCATATCTATAGTATCAAAGAAAATATAAGTAAACTTCGATATATGTTTAAGATGATCATTTTACCTTACTAATAGGCTAAAAAATGTTTGGTTTCATCAAATAAATTGTTTTCCACTTAAAATAGTTTAAACTTTGTGTGGAATTTCTTACTTTTTCCACCAGTAAATGTTCTGGGGAACCTACCTCAATGATGAGCAATGCAGGGAAAGAGGAAATAAAGACCCCCTTTTTAAAGGCATGAAGATGAACTGGTAAAGCATCTGTAACACAAAAATAATACAATGAAATATAGCACAAGGGCTAAGTGACTGCTAAAAAGAAAGATAGAAGGGGTGAGAAAGAACATTGAGTGCTAGGGAAATTAAGAAGGCTGACTTTGGAGGCAGGGTTCCAAGGTGTTTAAAAGTGAGAAGGTCTTTTTAAGTGTGAGAAGTAATGATAGTATAGGCAGAGATAATGAAGTAGAAATAATCAGACCATTACAAGTAGAGCAATACAGCTTGAGTGACAAGTGGGAAATAATGATGAAAAGAAAGGTTGAAGCAAGATATCAAAAGCCCTAAATTCTAGCAAAACAGTTCATAGTTACCCCATTAGCCATGGGCAGCTCTGGATACTTCCGATGAGATTATAATTAATCTAGTATTTGTGCAGGAAGATCTGCCTTTGGGTGATAGGAACCAAAAAGGATGTTTAGGAGGATGCTGAAGGAGAAATCTAGATGAGAGTGATAAATGATAAGGACCTGGAATACAGTAGTGACAGTGGGAACTGCCGAGAAGGGAAGGGCCTGAGGAATTATCTTTCATGCTTCTAACTAATGGACTGTTACCAAGTCCTACAGCAGTTAGAAAGGAGGGAGGGCCCCAAATTAACTCTAGGTTCTTAGGATGATTGAAATTCTGACAGTAACAATATTGGACAAAATAAGAAAGTCAGAAGAGAACATTTTTTTAAAAAAAGAAACCACAGTCTTTAAGTCTTTATTTTAGACATGATGGCTTAAGAGTAGTATTGGAGAATAATTTTTCATCATAGTTATACTGATAAAACACATAAGGTGAATTTGTGATAACTATTTCATTATTTTGAGCAATGTGGAAATCTAATATGGATTCCAGTTTTCATTATACTTTTGGAATTGAATTATTTAATTTGTTGCTATAGAAGAAACTATGATTATCGGTTATTAATCAACCATTCTTTCCCATATAGAATCAATGTGTGTGTGTGTATGTATAGAAAGTAAAACTTACTTTTATTCTCAATAAAAAGTATTGAAAATATTTAAATATTTTAAAAGTATTTGCATTCAAAGTAAAAGTTTAATAGTCATAAATGTTTTAATTTTTAATAATTATGACTGAAAATAATCATAGTATGTAGTAAATATCATAAAACATCACTTCTGATGATATAGCACATTGTTTTCAACTTTGCAGAACATTTATTAGCTCAAGGCTGAAATCATTTTAAATTCAAACTTACAAGAAAAGACTAGTAGATAATATGTATTATCACAATAGCAAATTTAGAATCATAACCCTAGAAAGGCTCCTTCTCACATGCAGAGTAAGACAAATTGGCATTTACCAGTTGTATTGCTTTTTACAGGAAGATGACCATGATAGGCCACTAATGCATAAATAAATATTTTAGAGTGGAATACTTCAACACACAAACACACACAGGCATACACAGACACAGACACGTAGATTTATTGGCATCAAACACTGTTGATTAAAAGTTAGAAACATCATACTGACCATATTCAGAAAGCTTTTGAAACAATTTCATAACCATATGAAATGAACTACAGGACAGAGAACCCTTATATTTCATAAGCACTATATGCTTTAGGCAAAAACACACTAGAACCATAGGCTGTTACCATTTGTAGGAAGGAAAGCTCTTGGGTGGCCCTCAGGGGACACCCTAGGCAAAAGGATATTACTGTAATCTAATCTGTATAGAAAATCATCACAGAAGTGGGAAAAGAGAGAAATGATGAAATTCTCCATTTTGGATCAAGATGTGGGGAAAAAAATCAAATCCATTATGAGTAACATTGTTTGAAAATACAGAAACTAGCGTATAACTCTATTTCACTCTATTCACCTTATTAAAAAATGCCATGTTTTCTTGCATATTTTGAGAGGATAAATGTTTTATAAAGGCCCATACTTAAAAAATATTCCAACTGAAGTGGCATTCTGTAGATACAGTGAAAGAGAGTAAGATATCAGAATCCCTCCTGAAGAGTAAAGTCATCCTAGGAATTATCTTATTGTGCTTTGTTGTTCAAAGAGATCACCTAAAGTGAGAGTTTCCTCTGAAGTTGATGGGATTCAAAGCTTGGAACTATGTTAAAAGTTTCAAAGGAGATTGAAGGCTGTATGATATTCCAAACAGAGACAGCACTATGAGCCCACAGCAACATTTAGGATTATCCACATTCTTGTTGAGGTTCCTGTAAAAGGCTTCCATTTCAAGTGCTAAAAATTTTCCAGGAATTCCAGTTATTTTATATATTCCTTCATTCACTAATTCATTCATTGATTCATTGATTGATTCATTCATTCGTATATTAAGTCTACCAATACTTGTGAAACTTACAATGAACTAGACATTTTTTGTAAGGCACTGTGGATAACAAAGGTGAGTAAAAAGAAGACATGATTCTTTCATAGAATTTACAATCATATGGGGGAAGACGGTAATTACTAAAATAATCTCAATAAAGAAAACAAAATTTATAACTGAAATAATGGAAGTTCAGCTATAGAAAACACAGATGCATAATGACCTGTATACATCATTACCTGTATTTTTAAAACAAATACAGTTGGTTTAATTGCTGATGTATTTTTTGAGTTACATGTATATTGCATAAGTTAATTTTATTTTATATATATATAAATTTTATTTATTAGGAGATATAACAATTGTATAAACATTTAATATAATTTTTCTCAAATTACATTATGTATGTTTGTAGATGAACTTTAGTTTAATACAAGTTTGAACTTTAAGAAGAAATCTTCTGTATAAATTTATGGGAAAATAAATTTTATTTTCTCACCAAGATAACACTATTGCTATTAATAAAAATTGTTATTATAAAAAATAGCCACTTGGGAGTACTTTCTTTCCAAATCCTTATATATAACTTATTCATGTGAATAATTTTTCCTTAAACTTATTTTTATGAACTGTGAGGACAAGGTAGAGTATTTAAAGATCAAGGAAATCAGTGGAAAGAGGGAGGCAATTACATTTTATTTCCTAAAGCATCACAGTGATATAGCAGTATAAATATGCTTCGTGAGAATTCTGGGCTGGGTTTAAAAAAGAGTACACAAAGCCATCAAACACAAGAACACGATTTCTCTTAGACATCAGATTTTCTCATGTACTATTGAATTTCTTCCCACCAACCTGAAGCTCTTGCATGAAAATGGCAGCAGAAGCATCATCTATCCTCTGACATCTGTGCGCACACACACACACACACACTAGTGGCAGGCACACAAGCCATGAGAGCATAAAACTAGGCTAGAGGTCTGGATGCATCATCTGGTACCTGTTATAAGTCAACAAGATCCTGTGCTAAGTGGCTTCACAGATTGCACCAAGCAAGAAGCAAGCCCCAGGAGAAAAAGCCAAGGCAATATTGCTCCAAAGGGCTGTAGAATTGTGGCAGTGGTCTCAGTTAGTGACATTGATGATACAGACGACAATTAGGAGAAAGGGTTTAGAATGTGAATGGGGAGCAATTCAGCTGCTACAATATCCATCAACAGACTGTTGCCTGAGGCGAAAGGGACCCTGCTGTCCTTTGTTTTTCTGTTCAAACTAGAAGATTGGGGAGACGTGGGGGAGTGAAAGCGGAATGTATAAAATTCATCATAACTGAAATTTTTTGAGCTAAATGTTGTTGAATAATTTAAAGTGGCCATTTCTTAGAAATAGAGTTGGTTGTTCCCTCCAGCTTTAATAAATGTGAGATATCCTACAGCACTGAGATAGTTCTCAACTTAAAAAAATTTGAAGAAAAAAACCTTTAAAGAAAAAAGGTTTCTACCTGCTCAGCTTAACTACTAAGTGTTCACCTATGTCTTCCTTTTCTTAATAAGCCTTGTAATAATCTCCAGCAATATGGTGGTGTGTAGCCATTGTTTAAACTATCATTAGCTTTGTGGTTGTCACTTGAATGGCATTGAACAAACTTTGTTTCAGGTTCTCTATATAGCCCTCCTACTTAGGCTTACTATATAGTTTAACATAAAACCATAAACAGACTGCAGCTCACCAATTTTTTTAATTAAATGATTTTTTTAAAAGTTAAATGAGTTTTTTTGAAAATTAAAATTTATATATGCTAAGGAATTTAATGTCATTGATTTTCATGAAAAATTAGCATTTTTCTGGGAGGAATCCTACGAGTCAATTTATCGTATGGTTATAATAGCAATAAAACTGAAACTATCAAAAAGTCAAAATTTTTTGAACTCTAGAATGTATAAAATCTAGAAGGTGTCAAAAGGCAAGATTTTACTCATGTGCTGTCTCTGAAATGAAAAAGACAGAATAGTAGTAGCAGGTTAAATGTCTTGCCTTTATGTCCCAGAAAGAAGAAATACTGCGCAAGTCTAACAATAGATTTTTCATCATATTTCATATATTTCTTATAACTAAATTCCATAGAAGTGCCACAAGAAATATACTTCTAATGCTACTTGGATAATTTTGCTTTGGTTCTCAGAATAAAAGCAAGGATCCCAGAATATATAGAGAAAAATGTTCAGTATTTGATGTTTAAACGTTCAACTCAGAAAAAATTCTCTTGAGTTCCAACAGATGTATAGTCTGTAAAATAAGAGCTATTTGATATATTCTTTTTAATACCTCAGAAAATATGGTTTATTATGCTATTTATAAATGGAAGCTTAAGCAATTTATTTTCAAAAGACATCCTAGCTCCAGTGCTTAATGACAAATTAGAGAATGACAAGCTTCTCATTTACACAATATATACTGAGTTAAAAAATATTAAAACATATTTTGCAGAGAATACCTTTTATTTCAAACATATGACTTTATTATATTTTAGTTAATTCTTTATTTGATTAGCAGATAACCTCCTTTGTAAGGAGCCTAAATATAATGCAACAGAAATAAGAAAACAGGTCAAATAAAGATTCTGTTAGATCCCAGTGACTTTTATTAGTGTTTTTCTGTATTTATGGTTAATTATGTTTACAAGGGAAATACCAAAAACAACTTATCACCATGAATTCTAAAATCATACAAACTTGCACCTGAGAAGAATTTTCAATGGGAAACAAAATCAGGCCAACCTCAATCATGGCTTATTAAATTACAGCTGGTCCAAAACTGTTTGATATTCAAGCAGCTAATTAGCAATGGAGATGGCTAATTCAAACTCTGGGCTTTGATCTCCAGTTCACCCAATATTTATTAGGTTTATTTTAAAAAGAATGAAAAGGGAAAGTATCCTGAAAGCTGGAGGAGACAGTCTGAACAGTAGTTTACTTATAATTTACAGACTTGTGGTACTTAATATATAATGCAATAATCTTCCTGGTGCCATTTGCCATTTGGACGCTGCTACAGATTATAGCTTAGGGCACTGCATCTGTGCACAGATCTGGCAGGAAATGGTCTAAAATCTTGAACAGCTGAGCATGATGTTTTGGTATAGCTGCAAAATTCAACCTCTGCTCCAGAGGTCACTGCATGCTTCTGTCCTGACAGCCCAAATTGTTAAGCATGTGACTAATATGCATACAGAACACAGGCTGCCTGACGTCTGCTACAAGCTTGATGGCTGGTTAGCGGCTAGTCTTAATTTTATGTGACAATCCTATGTAGGAAGTGCTGTGGGGGTGACTAAATGGAGCATATTGATGTCCCACTGGGTGTAGCCCCTGTTGTTTTGACAAATTCTCCTTAGCATTTATCAATCAGGCCTACAATGGGGAGTGCGCTGAATATCTAATTCAGACATGCTAGTCAGGGCTAATAGAGCAAGATAGCATGTTATTCAATTTGTACTTGTTAGCGATGTCCCACTGTCACTGGGCAATTTACCTTCACACTTCACAAATGAAAAGAGAAATTTGCTGGGCTTCAAACACTTACATGAGTTACAAGCAAAATTTTAATTAGCATGTCATTACAGCAATAATTTATTGCTTCTTTGTAGTTTTCCTCGCATACAGATTATGTTTTTCCTATTTTAGAACGGATGCCCTCAAGGCTTGTGAAGCAGGTATTAATAAGGACAGCTAACAAGCATTACTAAAAGATACATATGAATATTTTCTTTCTGTGGAGTTTTAAATATTTACGTATGAAAATAAAATTGATCCATGAGATTTTTATTTTGGGTGATTCGCTCAGTGTTTTACCAATTCTGTTCTAATATGGTGTTTGTTTATTTTAACAGGTTCTACCATGTTTCGATTTCCTCCTAAATGTCACACGTGTGGGCAAACTAAAGAAAGTATGCTACAATTGTTAAAAGCTCTTGATGTAAGCAAGGGAAACTTCTGTAGTTCTACCATGAGCACTTGTGAATATACAAGAGTTTTTCCAGAGTATGAACAAAGCAGCATCCACTGTTTTCTACCAACTGTTTATGGAGAGTTGTCTAGAAAGCAAAATCTTAATCAACTGGCAAATTGAACATCTTAAGAAAGGAAAGCAAAAAGGAGGAGCTGGTAGTCGCTCTCCATGTGTGGCCTCAATCTGGCATCCTTAGAGTACAAAAGTGAAAGAATGACCTATATATTATCTAAAGACAGAAACAAAGGAAATAGTGTGAATATACAAAAATGGCAAATATAAACAGATTAAAATATAAATGGAGTAAACACTTTGATTATGGTATTGGCATAGTTTGAAGAATTATGATTGTCAAAACCTCCTTGTGTGAAAGGTGCAGTCAGACCACTCAAAGAGACAATTAGTGGGTTTTCACAGCAAGCAAATAACTCAGTGTTATTTTGCATATATTTACCCAATCTATAGAAACATGGCTTAATGATTAAACTTCTTCATATGTGTCCACATTTAGAGAAATATGACTTTATCACTATGAATTCCAAACTGCCAATTTTACAAAATATGACTTTATGACCACCTTGCAACGAAGCTTGCTGTCAAACAGAATGGGATCTTGGGCTGCACCTCTCCTACACTTAAAGTGGCAGGATAGTGTCTTACTCACTTATTCATCTTTATATGTTATTTACTAACTAGCATGGTGCAGAGACCTAGCAAGAGCTTGATACTAACTACTGAAAGCATGAACATTTGAACTTACATGTTTTTCAAAGAAGCAAGAGGTAAGAAAATAGACATTAAAAATCTTATGATAAAGAAACCAGATGGAAATCAAATGATAAAACATTTACTACTTCTTCTCCCTGACCCCCATGTCTAATCCATTAGCCCCTGTGGCTATTTATCTTCTAAATATTTCTCCCTATATTCCAAATTGCTTGATAATAAACTCTACCTCCCAAATCCAAGATGTTAAACTTCTATTCTGGGTTATCATGAAGTATATTCTTTCAGACTTTAAACTTATTTTCTACAATGTAGCTGGAGTAACTTTTACAAAACACATATCTAGTCATGTCACCACTCAGTTTAGAACTCTTCAATGTCTGTTGCTTTTAGAATACTGACAATTTCTTAATATGGTTCCACTGCATTTCCCTGCCCCATATCCCACTCAGTCACCTGCATTTAACGGATCTCTTTTTCAGTTTGTATCATTTGGTGTGCTTACCCCAGGACCCATGCACATATGGTTTTCTCCATTTGGAATGCTCTTCTCTTCCTCATGGTTTAGTCCATTCTTACTTATCCTTTCATAAGAAAGCTTTCCTGAGTTCTCAGAATAATCAAGTCTTCCTTTTCAACACAGAGTACCACATTTAATTTCATGTTTCTTTGTGTGGTTATATGATTAATTAATATATGTCTTCTTTTAAAGTTGCAATTTCTACAAGAACAGAAGTCTTGTTTATTTTTGTGTCCCTGGCATATTGCTGAGTGACCAATAAATATTTTCTGAATAAATAATGAGAGTAAACATGCTGTGTACTCAGCACTGAGCCATCCTGAAACTAACTATAAAAGAAGTATGAAGTCCTTGTGGTCTCTCGTTTTTGCCTCCCTACTCTTGGATATCCCTGCCCTCACTCCACACTATAATTTCCAGAAGGCACTTGCCCTGCTATCTTCTACCTCCAGGTCCTTGAAGTTGCTGTTCTCTTTCTGTGGAAACTTCCCTCTGTGCTCAGTCTCCATCTTCCTGTCCCCACCCTGATTTCTACCAAATGTAAATCTCTGATGAAGATGCACTTTCTCCTTCCCTGCCCCCAGTGTGTGGATTGGGAGCCCTATTATATTCTTCCACTCTGTGTCTGTATGCGACTGCATTTATCAGAGAATGCACCTGTCTAGTCAGCAGTAAGGCATGATTTGGAAGGGCAAGGGCTTTTTTTTTGTTTTTTGAGATGGAGTCTGGCTACAACGCCCAGGCTGGAGTACAGTGGCGCGATCCCGGCTCACTGCAACCTTCGTTTCCCGGGTTCAAGCAATTCTCCTGCCTCAGCCTCCAGAGTAGCTGGGACTACAGGCGTGCGCCACCATGCATGGCTAATTTTTGTATTTTAAGTAGAGACGGGGTTTCACCATGTTGGCCAGGCTGGTCTCAAATTCCTGACCTCAAGTAATCCGCCTGCCTTGGCCTCCCAAAGTGCTGGGATTACAGGCATGAGGCAAGGTCTTTTAAACAGCCAAAATCTCTATTAACTGCTTTCCAAAATCATGCTAAATAACATTAAAAATAAAAGCTAGATTCTAGTTATGATATAATTATGAGATAGATCACTAAAGCATACCCTTTCCCAGACTCCCTCACCAGCTCCACCTTTACCAACAGAAAAATTAGGAGCTAGGAGAAACACTAGGGGAAATAGAAAATCTACATATTGTAATCACTCGTATCTCAAAGTTGGCAGTGGTTCTGATAATCAAAGAGGCACTTACTGTTCTTGTCTCCAAGATTTTCCATAACGCAAATATAAATGAAATTTTTTCATGAAGTGCTTCTATGTCTGCAGATGAATATCTTTGAGTATCAACAAGGTATGTGCCTTAATGTGTATTACCAGCTTTTAAATATCATTAAACTTTCAAAATCAGACTTATATTGAAGTCAAAATACAAGCAGATTTATAAAAATAATTAAAACAAGAGCAAAAAGATTTTTAAGGTAGATAGTCCAAATATCTATTCAGTTTTAAGATTTGTAGCTAGAAAAATTTACTGTTAGAAAACTATAGAGATAGAAAATGCTTATCATGCCTTAAATTTAAAAATTAGGCTAGAATACATTTCAATTAAATAAAGAGAAAAGAAAAAATCTACTAAAAGGAAACAACTTAGAATAGTGACATTATTAGCAATAGTTTCTATTTTTAAATTTCCAAATAGTTTTACATAGTTATAGTATTTCTATCATTCAAAAATAATATAAACAATTTGGAAGAATAAAGATGCAAACAAACAAGGATAATAAAAGGAAGCTTAAAACAAAATGTTTCTGCTATCAAAATGTGTTCATAAAACTAATCAGAGAGGAGTCGAGTTCTCAACAACTAAGATTTATCCTTTAGTAAATTTTAGATGAGCTTCTTTTTAAGTGAGTACGATACAAAATATACATGAAAATGAAATCTGTTGGGTGCTGGATAAGTAATAATTGTAAAAAACAAAAACAAACAAAAAAGCTGCATTTAGTTCTGCATTCATGGTAAAATGGCACCATTTGAAAGCCCCAACCCAAAAACTTAATTTCCTGTTCCCTTCACTTTTTGTTGTTCCTTTAACCAAGCAGGATTTGTTTACATTTCAGTTGCAGGTCAAGTCGTATACTCCTATAAATAACTTATTTTCATTAAAAGTTTAATTTTCTGTTTCTTCCTGTGCACTTTCAGAACACTTCCAAAAAATAAGAGTATTAGCTGAATAGAGGATCCAGCATGGCTTATATAATCTGTTCTGTGGGTTTCCAAGTCCCTGTGGGATACATTTTATTATCTCCATTTTACAGATAAGGAAACTGAAACTCAGAGAGTTTAGGTTATTTACCTAAGGTCACTTGGGGAGTAAGTGGCAGGGTGAGAAAGGGAGCACAGGCCCGTGGGACTCCAGAGCTCTCTTTCCCTTGCACTAGTTGCCTCCCTGGAAAGTTAAATATTTGGTGATGGCAGCTGTTAGGCCTCTGAAGGAGATCATGATGTTCTTAGTTCAGATTTTTATTGCTAAAAAAAATTGTGGTAAAGCCCTAAAAAAAGAGGTCAGTGGTATTATTCATGTCTTTGGTCTTCCAGTCACTGAAATGAATATTTCTACATACAAAGCACCACTCTTGGTGTTCTAGATGACGCAGACATTAATAATATATGGTTATTGCTCTCTAGGGTCTAATAAACACTTTGGGGAGAAAAGGCCTATGGTGTGTGAGAGAAACAGCCATTAGGGTTTTCTGGTAGCAAGCAACACAAACCAACGCAGGCCAATTTCAGCTAAAAACAATGTTCATTGGAAGGGAATGGGAGTAACCCAGAAAGCTGAAGGAAAAACTGTACAGTCAGGCCACATAATGGACAAGAATATGGCAGCTTCAAAACTCGAATAGCTATATTACTTATTGATAACACTTATTTAGCACTTTTTCTGTACCTGGCCCTGTTCTAAGTGTTACATGTATTAGCATCCGTAATCCACACCACAATGCAATATGATAGGTATTATTAGTATTATTACCATAAGGAAATTGAGACATAGAGAAGTTAAGTAACTTGCCCCAAATCTCACCACTATCTTTCGGGCTCCACTGAATTCTGAAAGATTTTCATTTTTGTGACACTTTCGTCAAGATTAAGATTCAGGAAGTCTAATTTGGGTGATGTCCCTGACTTTAGCCAAGAGATGGACAGTAGTCCTCCAAGATGATGGTACTGGAAAAAATTGGGTAGGCAAAAATAACAGATGTCCTCAGTATTGCAGAGATGTTAAAAGCAAGCTGTGGAGAATGAGGACATTTTTATGTACCAGTTGGGTTACAAGCTTTGAGGTTCAAAGATCTTTCCTCATTTTACAGGAGTCTCACAACAGGGAGATTTGGAACCAGTCATTAGAGCACTAAGCTGGGGTGACTCTGCTTCCCAGTGATTGTAGGATGTCATGTGGGCACTTCTTTAGCAAAAGGAGAGGACAGAACTAAGACTCTAAGATGGGAAAAGCAGTCTGAGGATGCTGACAGTTTCTAAAGGGTATCTGGGAAATACTCTGTTTGTTAGGGTCCTGGCTGGCCTCCTTTAATGTCAGGGTTAAAATGGTCACAAATTGAGGATACATTGATATTAATGTAGAATTTGTTAACTGAATAATATCTTTTTCAGCACCTCATCTTCTCGTCTCCAGCCTATCACCCTCACATGGTTCTCCCACTCACAACTTTCAATCTGGGCCTCCCTACCTGAAAAAGAGAGAAGTCAACTTCAACAAAGCATTCATTCATGTGTTCATTCAACTAGTACCTGTAACTCTCATGCTACCTGAGCATGACAGAAACTCTTCTTACCCTGAGGTCTGAGCGAACAGTCTTGGTGGGGAATATAGAAGAGTAATCCGGCCATGATGGTATAGGGCGTTACCTGCGATAGAGGGGATTGTAGTGGGTGCTATGGAAGCACATAAAAGAGCTATCTGACAGAGTCGCGGGTAATTAAAAAAGGCTTACTGGGGGCCGGCATGGTGGCTCATGCCTGTAATCCCAACACTTTGGGAGGCCCAGGTGGGCGGATTGCCTGAGCTCAGGAGTTCGAACCCACTCTGGCCAACATGGTGAAACCCTGTCTCTACTAAAATATCAAAAAATTAGCAGGGCATGGTGGCAGGTGCCTGTAATCCCAGCTACTCAGCAGGCTGAGGCGGGAGAATCACTTGAGCTCAGGTGGCGGAGGTTATAGTTAGCTGAGATAGTGCCATTGCACTCCAGCTTGGGCGACAGAGTGAGACTCTGTCCTTAAAAAAAAAAAAAAAAAAAAAAAAAAAAAAAAGAAGGCTTACTGGAAGAAGTTATTAAAGGAGAACTTGAAGGGGGGAAAAAAAAGCCGAGGTTGGGGAAAGAAGTGTATCAGGCAGAGGGAATATTTAGGTGTAAGGCCAACTGAGGGGACTAGGGCCTGTAGTGAGAGGAAGGGCCATGAGGAAGAGGCTGTCTAATGCTTCAATCTGCTTGAGACAGGGAATAAAACAGATCCAGAAGTAATCACACTGTCAACTGAATTAAAATAAGAGCCAGAGAGGATTCTAGGAGGGTGAGAATCCAGAATCATCTCAGCAGTGAGAATCTCAAAGACCTTCTCAGGAGAGAGAGGATTTTGAATGAGTCTTGGGAGATGAATATTTTCAACCAGCAGAAATAAAGGAAAGGGCCTATCTGCAGAAAGAAAGGTTGCATTGCAGGAGGAAAGGCCTGAGGTAGACCAGGGTAGCCACTCTTTGTTTTGTTTCCTTTGTACAATCTTACACCTGCCTAGATGTTTGTCCACCAACTCTACATTTTGTTTGTTGCTTTCTTATTCTTTCCTCTAGATTCCTGTAAGTACATTCTCCACAAAGACATCCAGGCCAGCAGAGGTAGAAATAGGTGTCTTTCTCTATGCTATCAAAGTTATTGTTTCATTTCCTTTTGTATTCTCTAGGATTTAGCACAATTCCGAAAACATACTAAGTGTTTAATGGTTTTGATGAGTCAATTTGACTAGTCAACTAGTGAGCATATGGGCAGACAGGCTTGCACAATACTGTAGTTCTGGAGTCAGACTAGTTGGATTCAAATTCTGGTTGTGCTACTTTCTAGATAAGTGACCTTAGGTCAATTGTGTCAACCTCAGCTTTTTTATTGGTAAGACGGAGATAATAATAAAATCTCTTCTAGGTTTCTTGGAAAATTCAATGTGAGGTACTTAGCAGAGTGCTTGGCACAGAGTGAGCATGTAACGTATGTCAATTGTGTTGGTAATGCTGATATTATAATATGATACCTTCTGTCTCATGCTGCGCACGTATATGGCAACAATATGGAAGAAATCCACTAAAATTTGGCAATTGTAAGAAAAAGCCTTCAGACAAAGGGCAGAATGTTTCTTAACTTAAGAAGGGATGACAATGAGGATAGAAAAATAAAGTCGAGCCTGGACAGCTCCGTTAGACAAGTCCACAGTTAGTACCAGAAGTTAAAGTGCTCCCTGGAATTTATAATGAGATTGCCAGAAGGTTCCACTAAGGCTAGAAAACAGTCGCAAAAAAAAAAAAAAAAAAAAAAAAAAATCACTGGCATTCCCCTGTTGTCTTTTAAATTGTAGCTTCTTTCCTCCCTTATTGTGTGTTGACATGCTCCTTCACACTATGCTGAACTACCTACGTGATACTTTACTTGGCCTGCCTTTCCCCATGTTCCTGGTTCTATAAAATCCAAAAGAAACTCCATTCTGGCTTATTCACTCAGAAGTGGTAAAGAAAAATGTAATTAAATTAAATATTTTGTTCCTTAAGTCACTACACATTCATTCAAACACTATGGAGAGTTTATATTTGTTGCAGGAATAGAAATACTTAAATAAAATTGAGACCCTTACTCTAATAGAAATAATAACTCATATTTCAAGAAAGGTAGCTGATTAATTTATGTTAGGTAGCATTTCAGACAGTGTGGGGCAGATACATTGGGAAGCTACTAAAACTACGGATAATCATCTACTCCTCTTGTATCCAGGTGTGACCTCAGTAATGATTTCCAGATTTCATGACTACTTCTAACAATGATTATAATTACTGAAAGAGAAGAAGAATTTTCAAATATATGAGTACAGTAAACATGTCATACAGTTATTACGTAGCATATGTTTAACTCTTGGCATTTGTGTTTTTGGTATAAATGTGTAATACGGACGTTAACAGCACCATCTCAGAATCCAGACATCTTTCAATTCAAACCCATTTTCACCCTTGTTAGCAATGTGAGCTTGGGTAAATTACTTAGTTCTCTAAGTTCAGTTTATTTCTTTGTACAATGAAACTGCAGGAGTATTAATGATTAAATAAATTTGTTTAAATGGTTATCAATGTACACTGTAGCATAATTAATAAATATGTAATTGAAATCTGGAGTTAATCTATTGGTGCTAATTTCTTCTTCTGCATCATGTGGATACATGTACGTTTCTGACATACGTGTGTACACAAAACATCTGCAAACACTCTCCAGAGTGCCAAAGCCAATAAATGCACAATCCCACAAGTCTATACATTCCACTGTCTCATTCATGTGAATTTATAACATCTCACTCTAATAAGACATTTATGTTTTATTCTTTTCCTTTATTCTTAATACAAAGAAACATTAGCATATTCAATAGTGGTTGCCTTCTGGTGCTAATCTCAAAATCTAATGTTATTTAAGAAAATTTTTCCGGAGTGGAAGGTTGAACTAATAGAAATCTACAATTCATTTTAGGAACAAACAGGAAAATGCCCAGGGGGTTTCTTCTGAAAATTAAAATTTGTTACTTACCCGTCACTTTTCTCTTTCAACTAGCTAAGGTCATCAGCGTATCTAGGGTGGTAGAGAAATAAGAATAAACGATAGCTGTGAGATTAGTTCATCAGTCTTCTAGATTTCATACTGCAATTTTTATCTGTCTTTGGGTTAATGAGAAGTAGCTTGTCTTTATTCTTTAGTTTAGATAGCCATATATTACTTACTGCTTTTGGGTACAAGGCCAAACCAAACCATGTTGATCATCACAACATAAATGTTAACACAACTTTGCCAAATGATGTTTAAATGGTGAACTCAAGAATAAAGATTACAGAAACCACTCTTTGACATTCTGCACACCGAACAAACTAGTTGACTCAATTTTTTACTTTTCCGCTAAACCGAATGACATCATGTTGACATTTCTTGATGCTAGAATTGACTATGGCAAAATGAACACACAAAAAATGTCTTTTGTATTTTCTAAACAAACTTTGCAAACAAAATGGGCAAGATGCATATTTAGGGTCAGAAAATTTAGTGAAGAGATAGTTTATTTTAATTCAAACTGCATTATTGGCTTAGAAACATACACATATATCCTCATTCTGTGGCCATCAAGTGTGCTTGAAAATTTCATTGACAAGAAAGGGAGTTTTGCATGAGAAGTTCCTTGGTATACAGTGATAATTTTCTCCAAAGCACATTTTATTCTCAGGAGGCACCACTGTGTTGGACAGGAATTGTATGTGAAGCTAAAATTATGTTTCACCACGTGTGAAAATAACCAGTTTCTTGCTACCTGAGTTTTTTCTTTGTAAATCCTTAGGCAAGAGAGTTTTTATACATGATGAGTAAAATATCTAAAATATAGTAAATTTGTTATTGTTTATTATCTCTTCAAATTTCAGCTTTGAACATCTTTGGTGAATATTAGCCATTCGGTAACAGATTTCCAAAATTATTTAGTCCTCTGGTTTACTCAGCTATATTAAGTTTGGATTCTCAAATATATATACACATACATATATAGTTATGGTTATGGTTATTAGCTAATTACTATTTTAGTTTTTCTGAATTTTTTTCTTCAACATTTCCTTGAATAAAGTGTTTTCAGAGAGGAATATTTGCACGATTTTTATTGGAAAGTGAGAATTTAACATAAACATTATATAATTCCATTTTATTGTGTGATCTCATAAAAATATAATGGGTAGTTAAATTTTAATAGACACTTATTTGGCATATAATAATGCAGTCATTTCATGGGGTTATTACAGATGACATTATTTCAAAAGCAATATGATATGTTTGAAATTTGGAAAAATAATTTACGTTGTAAAATGCTAATAAAAATATAGATTTCTATAACGAAACTAACTTCCTGTACTACTTTTCTTCTAAAATGTTTCAAAACCTGTGTTCTTACATTTATATCAAGAATATTTAGATATTTTAATCTGAATTCCAGGATGCCAAAGTCCTTAAAAAATGAACTCTCAAATTTTTTTGTATTGTTATGTAGAGAGATACAAAGTGCAAACAGGTTATGTGATTCACATAGAATATTTTAAAACTAGACACATATTATTGGCTATTTTTTACTTCAAAATTCTATCTAAGGGGTTAAAAGTGGCTAAAGAAATATGTCTATATCTTAGCAATGATTTTTTAGTGTAACAAATTCAGGTCATTTTTCTCATTCTTTTGATGTGATTCTAGACTTTTACAAGTTCAGTCATTATTCCTGCTTCACAGAATATTGATAAGCTTATCAATGTATGTACATATGTATATATACGTTATATATATATGTTAGAGTACATAGAGCGTTCATAGAGCGTACTCTACCATATATATGTACATATATTGATAAGCTTATATATTGATAAGCTTATGCATCTGTGCAATTTCCTGTATATATATGTTACAGTGCATATCTCTAATATATACAGAAAATTGCACAGATGCGTAAAAATCATAAAGTTCATAAAATAGTAATATGAAGTCTTCATGATGTAATGGAAAGAACCCTCAGTTAGAAATCACAAGAATTTTGAGCTCTTAACTCTCAATTAGAAATCAAAGGAATTTCAATTTCAATTAGAAATCAAAGGAATTTCGATTTCAATTAGAAGTCAAAGGAATTTCGATTTCAATTAGAAATCAAAAGAATTTAGGCTCTATTTACCCTTAGTTTTCCTCATTGATAAAACGCAATCCTATAGGAAAACAGGAAATGGGCATAGAATTGCTGAGAAATACACATACATTAAATACACATACATGCATAGATGGGTAAAAATCATAAAGTTTATAAAATAGTCATATGAGATCTTCATGGTGTAATGGAAAGAACCCTTAGAAATCAAGAATTTTGAGTTCTTAGGCAAGCCATTTAGCCTCTATTAATTCTTAGTTTTCTCATTTTTAAACTGCAATCCCATAGGAGAACACAAAGGAAATGGGCATAGAATTGTTGAGAGATACACATACATTAAATTTACATGCATATAAAAGTAGTTTTTAAAACACCTTTTATTTTGAGGATCAGATACAAATATTTTTATTTTTTCTTGCCAATTAAAATGTCTTGGTCTCTTTCGAATGCTTCATATTTGTGGTTTTGATTCAGTAATTTAAAAGAGATGGGAACTTCCATACCAAAGACACATTGAAGTTGCCATGATGAAAACTGACACTTACTCAATTAATAACCTTGATAAGTAACCTAGCACTACTGTCCTTTCCTACTTGAGTGGAAAATAGACATTACCTAACAAAGAAGATTCTTCTCTCCCTTCTTTGAAGTCCCTTCAATTCTCATGGTAAGTCATTTAATGATTTGGGGGAACACTGATTTGGTATCATCCATACTCTTAATACAAACACAGGACCTCTAGGGGGTAGGTTTGGTTGGCTATCACATTTCTATATTATTGCACTGTTGCATGCTATTTTAAGCATGCTTAAACGAGGCAGACTTTTAGTTTAAGAAAAATATGTTACAAAAATAATAGAGCCCTTGACTTTGGGAAATCTATCTTTATTTTTTCATTGTCTATACATTACTATGAAAATACCAAGCATCAAACAATAACATGCATTGGTCCAATGTTATGGAAAATTGAAAGTACCAAAATACAAAACAATATAAGCAGACTTGATATATTTAATTACCTTCTATGGAACTTATATTAGAAATTTTCAAGCAACATAGCAGCACTGAGCCTCACTCATATATACAGACATTCATATTTTGTGTCAGACACTTGAGGAAAATCCAAAATTTAAAATTTAATATATGATCACTCTAAGAAATACTTTTCTTTCTAAATAAAAAAATTGTAGAACAAAGCTAATAATTGTCATTTTCATTTATCATGTGTGTTTTTCTTTTTGTTTCTTCTTTTGAATTTTTAACAATCAAGTTTGGAGACTCTTTGCTGGTGTGTTGGAGAGTTTGAACATATACCTAATTAAAAAAAAAATAAAAATCAGCAACACCCACAAAGCAGTGTCACCAAACAATAAATACTGCTTCCCTCTAAAATATCGCTTAAAGATGAATGCATTTCGGGAGTTGAAAGGTGGCGGCGCACCTGCGGCACAACCTTACATGAAAAATAAAGACAACTGGGTTGTAGGGTGCCTTTCCCTCTTCAAAATAAAATTCTTTACAATATGCAAGACAAATGGCACAAAAGTGAAAGGGCAGTGATGCAGATTGGATAGGCTTACAGCGTAATTGAATTAAGGCTTGTGTGCCACATATGACCACAAAGCAGGCCTATGGCTCCAGCCTGCTGAATGGAGGTGGCTGGCCTGTCAATAAAGACCCTTTAAACTGGTTAAATGCATCATAAGCGTGTGCAGAGAGCTTTCTAGCTAACAGGTGGCTGAGTAAACCTCAGCTGGTGCCACACAGGGCTGTCGCATTGACCTTCTTTAGGATAATTTCAGTCCTCTTTTTTTTAAAAAAATTTGTTACTGTACTCGCTGTGGTGAAAACAATTTAGGGATGAATAATTTCTTTTGGTCCCTAGAGGCACCAGTGGCGCTCTCTCTCACCCTTTCCCTTTTTTTCTTGTACTTTCTGTCTCACCCCCTCTTTTTCCCGGTCTTGCGTCTGAATTTACATAAAGGAACAGTGACAACAGCAAGCTGAAAGGCATAGCTGGTGGGAGGATTAAGTATATCATTGAAAGGAATTATGTTGTAAATGACTGGGAGGGGTAGGGGCTTCTGTTCCTTGCTCCCATCTGGTCCTTAAAGAATACCTTGTTGTAATTACCCCCAGATGGTTTGTGCTACACTGGGGTCTGGACAGCCAGGTGCCACTGTGCCCTGCTGGGTGTGATATTCATTGCTACATGCAGTGACAAAAATGGACTTTATTGAAACCTAATTTCTTCCAGGGTATTACACAAATATGAAATGAACCCAGTTCATCGAGAGAGAGCTTTGTTTGTTTCCAAGCCGAAACGGTCTCACCTAAGATAAGGCTGCCTGGTTATTTCACTTTTCACAACTATCCTAAAAGGAAGAAGCAAAAACAATTTACAGTATGTGCTGGGTTTAATTCAATATTTTAAATAATGGAAATAGCATCGATGGCAGGTTTTTATTCCTGACGGTTAGGTAGTTTTACATTAGTATCTACCTAAAACTTTCAAGACCATGTTTCGAGTATTTTATTATTCGAATTAACAAGAAGTAAAGTAAATTATAGTATCCAGGCCATAAACACATTTTGATATTAGTGAGTGGATTCTTATATAACTTAAAATTTAATCACACATTATTTACTGTAAAATATAGCTCATCAGCTAATTTTAAAAACAAATTTGAGCATTTGTGTTGTACTTTAGCAATGATATTAATATAGAAAAATAAGAAAATGAGAAATGAATATTAAAAGTTAGCTGTGTGTTGCACAAAAGTGGAATTTTACAAAATTGCACTTATATTAACTATCAGGATATTTAACTTTTAATTTTAATGTTATTAATACATTTTAGAAGCATCAGTAATCTGAAAATAAAGATAAACATCATAATTTTATGTTTTGTTTATATTCAGTTTATTGTATGACATTTGCAATACATCTAATAATTCTTATGTGAGAATTGCATAACAGAATTTCTATCAGATCTTGCCAAATTAAAAACTAAATATTCCTACATTCCACATTTTTCTTATTATAATTTTGGCTATATTAACATTTTACAAAGTTACTCAAATTCATTACTTTATTAAATTTTCAATGTAGAATTTGGACAATTTTAATATGAAAATAAAACGGGAATTAAAAGGAAGAGCAGAATATGGAAATTTTTATACTCCTTTTATTTTCCCCCTTAAGTTATAAGTTTTTATACGGCATAAAGAAAACATACACAGGGTTAATCTTAATACGAATATTTTTCTTTAATATATTTAAGCAATGTGTTAAACTGTGTGTTGGATAAAAACAAAATCAAAATGCTTCTTGATGCATATATAAGAGAGATTTAAATATATAGACAAATAGGGGGAATGGTTTTAAATACTGGCAAGTTATGTGTTAGGAGCAATTGTTCTGCAACACAACTTTTTGAACAGGTTTTATGTACTTTGTGAATAAAACTTTGAGCTGACAGTCTTTCTGTCTATAAATGCAGTCCCAACATTCTATCCAAATTTTACTGTATTTTTGAGGTAAAATCATTCTATTAGAATCCATAATATACACACAATATCTAGGAAGACAATGACAGAAGTAAAATAATTTTGAAGGAGGAACTGGACTTTGGCATCCTGGGCTTGACCATGGCTGCTCATGAGCCCCCCTGATCTTGGTCATCCATTTAAACTTCATTAAACTTCAGTTTCCTCTTGCAAAATGATTGTAAAGGAGCTTGATTTCAAGATCAGATTTGTGTTTTTAAAGATACATGTGTTTGGCGTTATTGTGAAAGATACAAGAAAGAGTGTAAGACTACAGTAGTCCAAGTATTCATGATTAGGACTTAAATAATAACAGGTCGGATGGAATGGAGCAGAGAGCAGAAGAAGAGTTTTAACAATGGGAAGAAATAGAAGTGAGAAATTTTAAGTATTCCATCCATTTTTTTTTTCACTTTTGAAGCATTCTGGAAGACTTTTGAAGCACTTTTATAAATATTGTATTAGGATATGTTTTTTAATGTAAGAGATTTCTGTTGCAGTTTTTTTCCCTTCTTTCTCTATTTCATTCTCTTCATTGAGCCAAGCATTTCCATGGAACCTGGTTCCTTGATACTTAATCACTTGGAAAAGGGAATTTGAGAAGATTAGCACAAAAGCATAAGAAATGCCTATGCTTTCTTTCCTAACATACTTAATGCTCAGGTTTCTGGATAATCTGGCTTAACCTTTGGACAATTTCTTGTGCAAAATAATGGTTTTGGGCCTTACTCTGCAGCAACTTGACACAGGTTATGATTGATTTAAGATCCTCCATTTATTGAGTAATGCCAATTTACCTGGAGTATCACTAGGATATTCTACACACACACACACACACACACGTTTAATAGACTTATACGTCTTAGCAAATGAAAGTCATAGTTCATGATATTTGGAAAGTGAAGAATAATTTTTGTGAATAATTCTGTTAGAGTTTCAAAAGCATCTATTTTCAATAATACATTCAGCTTCAGACATAATAATCCATATTATCCTTACATGTATATAATGAGATGTTCTTATTATTCTTATATGAAATTAATAGATCTTGAAATTAGAGTCTTTAAAATTGTCAACTCAAATTTTTCACCCCTTACAATGATTTCTTCTACATTAAACTTATACATTTATACAGCTGGTTGTCTAGATTTTTAATATAATACAAAGCTCTTTATCTTTATAAAGCAACTAATTTTAATGTGGAGATGCTATGATTACTAAAAAACAGTTCTTACTTTAAGTTGAAATGTGCCTTTTTGTAATTTAGTTTCCTGTTATTTTAAGAGCAATTCTTTTTTGCCACCTGAAGAAACACTATTGATAGCCAAATTTAGATATCACAATGTATTTTTTAATTCTAGCCCTTTCCAGAATTCTTAAGACTCTAGATGTGCCTTCTTAATTTTTCCCCAGGATGTCCTCTTCATGCTCCAAAACATTTCTGAGGAATCTTCCACCTGCACTGAGATTTTTTGAGTCCAGAGATTATTTCTTATTCATTGGTGTATTTCTAATGCCTAACCAAGTAGTTGGAATCTAATAGGCCTGAAATTCAGAGATTATTTCTTATTCATTGGTGTATTTCTAATACCTAACCAAGTAGTTAGAATCTAATAGGCCTGAAACAGCTATTTATTGAATACATAAGCACTTATTATTCAACGTTTATTATTTCCTATATGCAAATAAAGAATTCAGGTAAAATTATGAAATTATCTCCATTCTCAAATAATTTTAAAACAAAACTTTGAGGACTAAGATGGTGCCATGGAAAAGATTGAAACAAAATCCAACTAGACTTCAGAGCATGAAGATATTATGCCCAGTATATTCTGGGGGGAAAGCTTTACAATTTTCTTCTTTGCATCGTTCTTACAGAAGGTTATGATTTCACATATGAAAACAGGGTGAGGGAAAGCATCCCAGGTAGATACATTGTCAGGAAAAGATCTCTCATTGGAGGTAACAGTGACTTCATACATGATTCCTTAGGCATTGGCCATTAAAATGTTTTGAGTGAGAGTGCTCCGTGACAGCTGTGTGCCATGAAGAAGTAGAGGAAAAGGTGTTCCTTAAGGACCAATGGATGAGATAAAGCAGCAGCATTTAAGCCCAACACTCGTATAGTCAAATCCTAGAACCTCTGCCCTCATCCTAATTATTACTGCATCTTTAGGGTGTATAAAGTCAGAAAGCTTGTTATGAAGGGAAAACACATTTCCTTCCACATTTAGTTTCCATTTTCTTAAGGATAATTGAATTGTAATAACAATGATTCACATAGGATTCCAGAAAAGCTATAAATTGATGATTTAGTACATATCACTTGCTACACAAATGATGTGAGGTGGGGAATGAGGCAGGTCAGTTGGGAGAAATGCCACTTCAGAAGTGCTCTCCTGGATTAAAATGTGCATTTTAGACTTTGACTTCTCTGGATTCTTTGCTGAAATATAAGATTTTCTTTTTTTTTTTTTTAACTTTTATTTTAGGTTCAGGGGTATATGTGCAGGTTTGTTATGTAAGTAAATTTTATATCATGGGAATTCAGTATACAAATTATTTTCTCATCCAGTTACTAAGCATAGTACCTGATAGGTAGTTTTTCTATTTTCTTCCTCCACCCTCCACCCTCAAGTAGGCCCTGGTGCCTGTTGTCACCACCTTTGTGTCCCTTTGTACTCAGTGTTTAGCTTGCACTTATAAGTGAGAACATGTGGTATTTGGTTTTCTGTTCCAGTGTTAGTTTTCTTAGGATTATGGCCTCCAGCTCTATTCATGTTGCTGCAAAGGGCATAATCTTGTTCTTTTTAATGGCTGCATAGTATTCCATGGTGTATATGTATCACATTTTGTTTATCCAGTTTATCCTGTTGATGGGCACTTGGGTTGATTCCATGTCTTTGCTATTGTGAATAGTACCACAATGAACATATGCATGCATGTTTCTTTATGGCAGAACAATTTCTATTCCTTTGGGTATATATCCAATAATGGAATTGCTGGGTCCAGTGGTGTTTCTGTTTTAAGTTCTTTGTACAAAAGCATAAGAAATGCCTATGCTTTCTTTCCTAACATACTTAATGCCACACTGATTTCCACAATAGCTGAACTAATTTACATTCCCACCAGCAGTGTATAAGCAATTCCTTTTCTCCATAACCTCACTAGCAACTGTTGTTTTTTGAATTTTTAATAAAAGCCATTCTGACTAGTGTGAGAAGGTATCTCATTGTGGTTTTAAGTTGCATTTCTCAAATGATTAGATCATGTTGAGCATTTTTTCATATACTTGTTGGCCACTTATGTGTTTTCTTTAAAGAAGTGTCTATTCATGTCCTTTGCCCACTTTTTAGTGGTTTTGTTTTGTCTTGTTTTGTTTTTTTTTGCTTGTTAATGACATATAAGATTTTTTAAAGTTTCCTTCTAAGCTTGGAACAGAAGATTGAAAGTAAGGACATGAGAAGCACCGACACAAATTTCCCCATGTTTTGTACAATTCTGTAATTCCTGCTCTAACAATACTGGTGAGCTGGGGGAAAAAAAAGGAAGAAGGAAAACCTTGTTTAGATATTTGCCATTGCCTTCGAATTGGTCTTTTTTAGATTTTATCCTCTTCCAGGCCTCCTTTTTTTCCTGGAATTATTTTTCTTAAATACAAATTTTAATTCCCTGTTCCATTCTTATTGTCTATAAGTCCAAGCTCTTAATTAAACATGGTTTACAAAGCCTTTTAGAGTTTGGCTTCTTCCTGTCTCTTTAACCTCATCTCATTCAGTGTCCCTTCTTGTCCCAGTCTTCAGGTGGAAGGAAAATATTATTACTATACCATCCTGCCTTCATGCAGGAGCTTTCCCCATTTTAAGTTTGATGAACTCCTGTTCTTCTGTCCAAAACCAGCCAAAGTGATTGCTTGGGCAGTACATTTACTAAAATTAGAACAAAAGAGAGACAATTAGCATGGCCCCTGAGCAAGAATGACGTGCAAATTCATGAAGTATTCTATATTTTTATTCCATATGTTTCCACTTTTATGAGGGTACCTAGAGTAGTCAAATTCTTGAGATAAATATTAAAATGGTGGCTGGCAAGGGCTGAGGGAGGGAGGAATGGGGAGTTATTGTATAATAGGCACAGAGATTCAGATTTGTAAGATAAAAAGAGTTCTGTGGGGGTGGATTAGTAGCAAAACAATGTGAATGTATTTAATGCCACTGAACAGTACATTCAAAAATGGTCAAGATAAATTTCATGGTGTGCGTATTTTACCACAATTTTTAAAAACAGTCCAAGTTCCGTGGTCCCTTTCCTCTGAACCCAACCTCAGAGGGAGTTAAGCACTTCCATTATTTAATCAGTAGACTGAAATAGCTGCACCCTAAGTGATTGTTAAGGACTATAACCTTGAACTCACTGTTGCTTGACACTCATCAAATGCTTGGTTGGGCAACATAAATTTGCAAAGGATTGCCTGAGTGATATATAGTCCATGTGTTCCTATAGATACAAAAAAAAAAAAAATCCTAAGAATAAGCTTCACAAGCAGAAATTTACACACCTGGACCATATGGTCTGCCCTCTTGTAAAACTGCTTTTATTGTATATAATTTGGCATTATGTCATCATTGGTCCATGCTAGCAGCCACTATAAGAAATAGCCCTATGAAGTCGATTTAATATATGGATGTTGTTGAGGATGGCACGTTGTTCATTTTTTGATCACCTACAGGAAAAATTTTCATATCAGCACTAGGAATAAGTTTATTTTCTTTTTCTTTGGAGATAATATAAATGGTGTAATTGATTATGTTCTGATTTTTCTTACCTTCCAAAAAGCTTAGAGGCCAAATGCTTATTCTGGCATTTTTCTAGACCGTAACTATGTATTCTGTACACCTATATATTGTTGAGTTCAAATTATCTACGCAAAGTTATTTTTTTCCTCTGGATTTAGTACTCCAGTATTCATTTTTTCCTTTTATTTCATGTTGTGAGCCACTTTAAATACATTCTTGAATAAACATAAACTAATAAATTCATTCTTTCCTCTATGCTCTTACTGGATATTGCATATATTTGTATCATTACTTTTATCACCATTAATTTGTATTTACATATGTGCCATTCACATTGGACAATAAGCACTTTTAAAAAAACTTTTATTTTAGGATCAGGGGTACATCTGCAGGTTTGTAATATAGGTAAACTCCTGTCATGGAGGTTTATTGTACAGATTATTTTATCATCCAGGTATTAGGCCTAGTACCCATTAGTTATGTTTCCTGCTCCTCTTCCTCCTCCCACCATCCATCCTCCAGTAGCCCTAGTGTCTGCTGTTCCCCTCTATGTGTCCATGGTTCTCATCATTTAGCTCCTACTTTTAAGTGACAACATGCAGTATTTAGTTTTCTGTTCCTGCTCTAGTTTGCTAAGGCTAATGGCCTCCAGCTCCATTCATGTTCCTGCAAAGGATATGATCTGTTTTATGGCTCTTTTGTTACTGCATGGTATTCCATGGTATTATATGTACCACTTTTTCTTTATCCAGTCTACCATTGATGGGCATTTAGGTTGATTTAATGTCTTTGCTATTGTGAATAGTGCTGCAATGAACATATACTTGCATGTGTCTTTTTTTTTTTTTTTTTTAGCAGAGAGGGGGTTTCACTGTGTTAGCCGGGATGGTCTCGATCTCCTGACCCTGTGATCCGCCCGCCTCGGCCCCCCAAAGTGCTGGGATTAGAGGCGTGAGCCACCGCGCCTGGCCTTGCATGTGTCTTTATTATAGAACAATTTATATTCCTTTCGTACATACTCAGTAATGGGATTGCTGGGTCGAATTGTAGTTTTGTTTCTGGCTCTTTGAGGAATTGCCACACTGCTTTCCACAGGGGTTGAACTAGTTTACACCCACCAACAATGCGTAAGCGTTCCTTTCTCTTCACAACTTGGCCAGCATGTGTTATTTTTTGACTTTTCAGTAATAGCCATCCTGACTGGTGTGAGACAATATCTCATTGTGGTTTTGATTTGCTTTTTTCTAATGATCAGTGATATTGAGCTTTTTTTCACATTCTTGTTGGCCACATGCATATCTTTTTTTGAGAAGTGTCTGTTCATGTTCTTTGCCTACTTTTTAATGTTTTTTTCTTGTAATTGTTGAAGCTCCATATAGATGCTAGATATTAGACTTTTGTTAATGCATAGTTTGCAAAAACTTTCTCTTATTCCGTAGTTGTCTATTTACTCTGTTGACAGTTTCTTTTGCTGTGCAGAAGCCTAGGTTGTCTTCCAAGGCTTTTTATAGTTTTGGGTTTTACATTTAAGTCTTCAATCCATCTCAAGTTGATTTTTGTGTATGGTGTGATGAAGGAGTCCAGTTTCAATCTTCTGCATATGGCTAGCCAGTTATCCCAGCACTATTTATTGAACAGGGAGTCATTTCCCCATTGCTTGCTTTTGTCAGCTTTGTTGAAGGTCAGGTGGTTGTAAGTGTGCAGCCTTTTTACTGGGCCTTCTATTTTTTTCCATTGGTCTATGTGTCTGTTTTTGTACCAGTACCATTATGTTTTGGTTACTGTAGCCCAGTAGTATAGTTTGAAGTTGCGTAGTATGATGCTTCCAGCTTTGTTCTTTTTGCTTAGGAATGCCTTGGCTTTTCTGACTCCTTCTCGGTTTCATATGAATTTTAAACTAGTTTTTTCTAGTTCTGTGAAGAATATCATTGGTAGTTTGATAGGAATAGTGTTGAATCTATAAATTGCTTTGGGTAGTATGGCCATGTTGACAATATTGATTCTTCCTATCCATGAGTATGAAATGGTTTTCCATTTGTTTGTGTCTTCTCTGATTTATTTGACCAGTGTTTTGTAGTTCTCTTTGTAGAGATCTTTTACCTACCTGTTTAGCTGTATTCCTAGGTATTTTATTCTTTTTGTGGCAATTGTGAATGAGAATGTATTCCTGATTTGTCTCTCACTTTGACTATTATTAATGTATAGGAATGCTAGTGATTTTTGTATGTTGATTTTGTATCCTGAGATTCTGCTCAAGTTGTTTATCAGCTGAAGGAGTTTTGGACAGACTGTGAAGTTTTCTACACATAGAATTATGTCATCTGAAAACAGGGATAGTTTGACTTCCTCTCCTCCTATTTCATTGGCCTTTATTTCTTTCTCTTACCTGATTGCTGTGCTCAAGATTTCCAATACTATGTTGAATAGGTGTGATGAAAGAGAGCATCCTTGTTTCATGCTGGTTTTCAAGGGGAATGCTTCCAGCTTTTGCCCAGTTATATGATGTTGGCTGTCGGTTTGTCACAGATGGCTCTTATTACTTTGAGGTATGTTCCTTCAATACTTAGTTTATTGAGAGTTTTTAATATAAAGGGGTGTTGAATTTTATTGAGAGCTTTTTCTGAATCTACTGAAATAATCATATGGTTTTTGTCTTTAGTTCTGTTCATGTGATGAATCACCTTTATTGATTTGCATATGTTGAAGCAACCATGCATCCCAGGAATAAAGCCTACTTGTCTGTGATGGAAGGCTTCTTGACATGCTGCTGGATTTGGTTGGTCAGTGTTTGTTGAGGATTTTTTGTATCAGTGTCCATCAAGAATATTGGTTTGAGTTTTCTTTTTTTGTTGTGTCTCTGCCAGGTTTTGGTATCAGGATGATGCTGGCCTATAGAACGAGTTAGAAAGGAGTCCCTCCTTCTCAATTTTTTTGGAATAGTTTTAGTAGAAATGGTACCAGCTCCTTTTTGTACATCTGGTAGAATTCAGCTGTGAATCTATCTGGTCCTGGGATTTTTTTGGTTAGTAGGCTATTTATTACTGATTCCATTTTGGAGCTTGTTATTTGTCTATTCAGGGATTCAATTTCTTCCTGGTTTAGTCTTTGCAGGGTATATATGTCCAGGAATTTATCATTTCTTCTAAATTTTCTAGTTTGTATGCATAGAGGTGTTCACAGTATTCTCTGATGGTTATTTCTACTTCTGTGGGGTCAGTGGTAACATCCTCTTTGTCATTCTAATTGTGTTTATCTGGATCTTTTCTCTTCTTTGTCTAGCTAGTGTTCTATCTATTTTATTAATTTTTTAAAAAGACAACTAATAGATTTGTTGATCTTTTTAATGGTTTTTTTGTGTTTCAGTCTCCTTTAGTTCAGTTCTGGTTTTGGTGATTTCTTGTCTTCTGCTGATTGTGGAGTTAGTTTGCTCTTGGTTTGCTAGTTCTCTTAGTTGTGATGTTAAGTTGTTAAATTGAGATCGTTCTACCTTTTTGATGTGGGTGTTTAGTGCTATAAATTTCCATCTTAACACTGCCTTAGCTGTGTCCCAGAGATTCTGGTATGTTGTATCTTTGTTCTTATTAGTTTCAAATAACTTTTTGATTGCTGCCTTAATTTCATTATTTACCCAAATGTCATTCAGGAGCAGGTTATTTAATTTCCATGTAACTGTATGGTTTTGAGCAATTTTCTTAGACTTGATTATTAATTTTATTGTGTCAGGGTCAGGGAGAGTGGTTGGTATGATTTTAGTTCTTTTGTATTTGCTAAGGATTATTTTATGTCTCATTGTGTGGTCAATTTTAGAGTATGTGCCATGTGGCAATGAGAAGAATGTATATTCCGTCCTTTTAGGGTGGAGAGCTCTGTAGATGACTAGCAGGTCCATTTGATTCAATGCTGAGTTAAAGTCTTGAATATCTTCATGAATTTTCTGTCTTGATAAACTGTCAGAGTGGTGTTGAGGTCTCCCACTGTTATTAGGTGGGAGTCTAAGTCTGTCCAAAGGTCTCTAAGAACTTACTTTATGAATCTGGGTGATCCTGTGTTGGATGCATATATACTTAGGATAGTTAGGTCTTCTTGTTGAATAGAACTCTTTACTATTATATAATTTCCTTCTTTGTCTTTTTTGATTTTTGTTGGTTTAAAGCCTGTTTTGTCTGAAATTAGGGTTGCAACCACTGCTTTTTTGTGTTTTCCATTAGCTTGGTAAATTTTTCTCCATCCCTTTATTTTGAGCCAATGGGTGTCATTGTCTGTGGATGGGTCTCTTGAAGACAGCATACCATTGGGTCTTGGTTCTTTATCCAGCTTGTCACACTATGCCTTTTAATTGGGGCATTTAGCCCATTTCAGGGTTAGTGCTGATGTGTATGGATTTGATCCTGTTATCATGATGTTAGCTGAATATTTTGCAGACTTTTTGTGTAATTGCTTTACAGTGTCACTGGTCTGTGTACTTAAGTGTTTTTGTAGAGGCTGGTAAGGGTCTTTTTACCCATATTTAGTTCTTCCTTCAGGAGCTCTCATAAGGTAGGTCTGGTGGTAATGAATTCCTTCACCACTTGCTTGTCTGAAAATAATCCTATTTATCCTTCACTTATGAAGCTTAGTTTTGTAAGATATGAAATTCTTAGTTAGAATTTCTTTTCTTGGCCACATGTGGCGGCTCATGCCTGTAATCTCAACATTTTGGGAGGCAGAGTTGGGCAGGTCACGAGGTCAGGAATTTGAGATCAGCCTTTCCAACATAGTGAAACTGTCTCTATTAAAAATACAAAAAATTAGATGGGCGTGGTGGTGGCGCCTGTAAACCTAGCTACTTAGGGGGCTGAGGCAAGAGAATCACTTGAACCTGGAAGACAGATTTGGCAGTGAGCTGAGATCATGCCACTGCACACCAGCCCAGGCAACAGTGCAAGACTCTGTCTCAAAAAAAAGAATATTTTTCTTTTCTTTAAAAATTTCTTTTCTTTAAGAATTTATTTTCTTTAAGAATATTGAATACCAGCCCCCAGTCCTTCTGGCTTATAGGATTTCTGCTGAGAGATCCACTGTTAGTCTGATGGGTTTCCCTTTGTAGGTGACCTGACCTTTCTTACTAGCTGCCTTTAAAATGTTTTCTTTCATTTTGACCTTGGAGAATATGATGATTATGTGTCTTGGTGATGATCTTCTTGTGGAGTATCTTCCTGGGGTTATCTGCATTTCCTGAATTTGAATATTGGCCTCTCTAGCTAGATTGGAGAAGTTCTGTGGATGATATGCTGTAATATGTTTTCCAAGTTGCTTCTATTCTCCCCATCTCTCTTGAGTGACACTATTGAGTCATAGATTTGGTCTCTTTACACAATCCTGTATTTCTCAGAGGTTTTATTCATTGCTTTTCATTATTTTTTCTCTATTCTTGCCTGTCTCTTATTTCAGAAAGCAAGTCTTCAAGCTCTGAGACTCCTTTCTCAGCTGACCTATTCTCCTATTAATATGAATGATTGCATTATAAAATTCTTATAGTGTGTTTTTCAGCTCCATCTGGTCAGTTTAAAGCTTTTCTATAATGGGTATTTTGTCTGTCATCTTCTGTTTTATTTTATTGTGATTATTAGCTTCCTTGGATTGAGTTTCAATGTACTCCTCCATCTCCATGATCTTTGTTCCTATCCATATTTTGATATCTATTTCTGTCATTGAAGCTATTTCAGCCCTGTTCAGATTCCTTCCTGGAGGCCTAGTGCAGTCATTTGTTGGAAAGAAGGTACACTGGCTTTTTGGGTTGTCAGAGCTCTTGCACTTGTTCCTTTTCATCTTTGTGGGCTGATGTTTCTTCAATCTTTGAAGTTACTGTCGTTTGGATAAGTTTTTTTTTTCTTTTATCCTACTTGATGAACTTGAGGGTTTGATTGTGATTTAAGTTGAGTTCAACTGACTGGCTTCATTTCTGGAAGATTTTAGGGGGCCAAGACTCAGCTCACAACTCCTGGACTGTGTACTCTAACTCAGACACCTGGGACTGATTCTCTCATTATGTATCCAAGCATACTGTTCTTCCTAGTAACCAGTCTGTCTGTAACAACACCTCATCTTACCTCTGAAACATTTCTCAAACCTTCTCTTGTAAATCATTCTACCATGAATTATCTCCTGAAGGATCTTAGGTGAAAACCAGGATTATTCCAACAATCTCCAAAAATCCATCCTTTTTTGACTACTGATATTTAAATTGTAAATATTACTGTCACAGGATCGTTGGGGTGTCATTTTTCTGGCCAGAAACCTCTATGGCCAGTGATGCCTTTGCCTGAGGTCTTGTCCTGCCTCCAGAAGCATGAAGTACACAGACAAGTGGAGGGTGAGCAAGACAAAGAGAAGCTTTATTGAGTGTTAGAACAGCTTAGAGGAGACCAGCAGTGGGGAACTCCTCTCTGTAGGCAGGTTGTCCAGTTGAGTGTTCAACTCTCAGCAGAGAGGAGGCCTGGAGTGGGTGGATCCTCTCTGCAGGCAGGTCATTCTGACAAGTGTTTGCTCTCAGCAGAGAGGGTAGCTCCTCTCTCTAGCTGGTCCTCCTGTTGTCTGCAGCTCTCAGCATGGAGGCCCTGCAGAGGGTATCTTCTCTCTGCAGCTTGTCTTCCCAATGTCTGCCCTGCTTTGGCTGACTCTGGGATTTTCATGGTCTTCAGAGCAGGGAAAGTGCCTGCTGACTGGCCCATGAGCAGCCACGGTCAAGCCCAGGAAAAAGTACCATGGGTTCCCCCTCTAGTCTGTAGGACTGGCAGCCTGGCCTGAAGTTGAGGCTTCACCAGGGATCCACCCCCTTCCACCCAGGAGCCTGTCTGCCTTCTGCTGAGGTCCATGGTGCCAAGGCTGCCAGCACCAAAGTACACCTCCAGGCCAGCACCCAGCCACCCTTAGCCCCTGCCTGGGCTTCCTCTCCCATGCTCCTCAGTGCCCAAAGTCCAAAGGGGGCCAAGGCAGCACAGGGCTGGCGTGTCATAGCAGCCCCAAGTGTGCACACACCCAGCCTGGCTGTGACAGTGCCTGGGCTTGGCCCCAACCCCACTCTGAGATCAAACCCAGTGCCAGGAACGGGGAGAGGCCAGGCAGTGGGAACATACACCCCTGAGCCTCTGGGGACAGGGGGTCTTCCTGGCTCCCAAGGGTGCAGACTGCACTCAGGTCCTGCACCTGGGAGGGCAGCTGCAGCTGCACCCAGGAAGCCTGTGAGAGAGTTGGGGAGTTTTCCCAGGCCCCCAAGAGCACAGAGACGCTGGGGACCAGAGGGTCCGGAGCCGTGGCAGGGCTGCTGCAGGGCACCTGGGGAGGGCAGGTTCCTGTCTGCTCCATGGAGTAGGGAGGGTGGCTCCTGCCTTCTCTGTGGAACATTATAGCCCCATCAGCGCCTCCCTGCTGCAGCCCGTGTCTTGGCAGCAGCTGCTCTAGATGGGCTCCTGCTGCTGTCAATCTACTGATATTTAAATTGCAAATATTACCATGTATCTTATTTGCTTAAAACACTTTAGTGGCTCTGTACTGCTCACAAGATTCATTTTCTTCTCTTTAGCATGGCATGTGTGATTTCTGGCTGCTGTTCTACCTATGCCTGAGGAGTAAACCTCCAGCAATGCCTTAAATACTTGTGGTTTCTTGCACACACTACGCTGTTTCTAGTCTCCAAGATGTTGCTGGCACCACTCTCTTTACTTGAGGAATCTCTTCTTCTTCTACCATCAAGGTAATTGAAAGAACATAGGTGTTAAAGTCAAACAAATCCAAGGTTCAGGTTTTAGTCGCACCATGTGATGTTCCTAGAACGTGAATCGTAGAGAATTGGTCAAAATGTTACTGATAGGACTTTGCATGTGAATTATTATCAAAACAACCTATTTAATGAATTTGCAAAAATCAACCTCCTTGCTTTAGGTGAAATTTTAAACTCCACTAAGTATCTATTTATGATATTGAGTCTTCATTCACTAATCTTTCACAGGCAGTTAACACAGGTTTATATTCTAAATGAATTGAAGGATATATACAGATTATTACCAATAAGCTATTTCACAAAATTCAAAATAAATTGTAAGGGGCTTGTCTTTTCTTTCATATTTTTAATAAATATGATGAAGGTAATTAAATACATTCTCTCAGCTTAGTGTATTAATGAATCAAATATTTTTATTCTAAGTCATGCAATTAAAGTGTTGGCTCTGTGTGTGTGTATGTGTGTGTGTGTATTTAGTTGACTCTAGTGGCAGATGTATAAATATATATCTTGCTTTTAAGTGTTTTCATTAAGAAGAAAATATAGTTTTATACTTATTGGCAGGTGTCTCCCAAACATCTTTTTATTCTAGAACTTGCAAACTGTGGTGGCTTTTCTCTCATTCTGAAAATTGCAACCATGTGCTTCAAAGAACAAAGGAATTATGACAGTAGAACAATCACTTCCAGTGAGATATAGTAGGTAGAAAGTGCTGTAGGTACCACTGTAGCAATAAAAGAATCATTAGCACAGAAGATCCTAGAAAGAAATGTAGGACAAGAAGAATCAGCACAGCAAAGTGAAATCCCAGAAGGTCCTCATTAGCCTCCTGTTGAAAGAAGAGCTCAGGCTCCAAGAATTCTCTTACTCCATTTTAGTTGGAAAACTTGACTTTCATAAGAGTAACAGTTCCCTTGACATCTTCTTTTGAAATTCTAGGTTCTTCTCAGAACCAGGAAGACAATGAGGTAGGCCCAGAAAGGTCTTCACAAGCCAGAAACAACCTTTAATAGCATGAAGGTCACAGTGAATTAAAATTCGGTGTTAACTCAGCTCTTCCTTTGGTTAGAAGCCATAGCATAAAATAAAATAAATTTGTTTAGACTTAACTTCTCGAACATTGGAAGGATTACAAATGATTTAAATTTAATTTGCTCTAATTACATATAATTTTTTTCCTCAATAGCTATATTAAAAAGGAAATTTTTTTTAAAGTATCTTCATAAATAAACGTAACAAAAGCTTCTAAGTGAAAATATATTCTGTCACTTTTGACCATATATTGCTAGTGATTTTTAAAGTAAATTTTCAACACCTTAGGGATAGATACAGAAAAAAAAATGTATGCCATTGTACATTTCAGAAAAGGCAAATGTTAAACTTAGTACAGTATACGATATTTAAAGTTAGGGCAATGCCTCCAATTTTTACTTTTAACAATTTTTTCTCAAATTTCACAGACAGACTTTGCATAGATCATGAAATGGTATTTCCTAAGGCATAAAACCAAGTTTATTTTGCCTTAAAGTTTCATAGTTTTAGGAGGCACTCAAGATATTTTCATCTGCTTTAGGCAAGAAGAGATAATAAGAGCAAATATGTTATTTTAGAAAGCACAAAAATCAAAACATAAAAGACAAATTTCTGTGTCACCTCCTCTCACACCTTAACTTCCATGTTCTTTCTGTTCCCTTAAAAGAAAAAGAGGAAAGGATGAAATGAGGAGGAGAATGGAAGCGGGAGAGGGACTGGCCTAAAGAAAAATGTGCAGTGGTCTCCAAATAGACGTATTTTCTCTGTATTCAGCTCTTCAGGTTTTGTTTGCTTTGCCTTGCTGACCTCCCCTGGCCTAGTGAAAATTCTCTTCTGCAGCCTACTTTCTACGGAACCTTATTTCCCCAAAGTCCCTGGCTGCGGCTCTGCCTCAGCATCCTCAAAACACTTCCTCCACGAAAACAATCCATTCTCTGAGCTGCAGTGTTAACTAGCGGCACAGCTGGAATCTGACACTGCGATTTGACTTCCTTTTAGGCGGGCAGGTAAATTACCATTTTTGATGCACAGTGTTTTTCAGGCCTCCTTCTTAGAATTCTAATGCCTCGGTTAGTCTTGGCCTCAAATTGTCATAACTCAGCATCTGATTCACACTTAGGTTTTTATTTTTTTAATGCTAAAAAGTAGAAAAATGCAAAATTTGTGTAAAAACACTCTCCCAAAATTACAAATGATAACTTTTTATAATTTTAACATATATATTTAATATATTATATATTTTATATATGTAGAAGACAAATACACACAGATGCATACACATTTACACAAATATACACATACTCTATTTCATGTAGAAAAATACAGAGTAAATGAAGGTCTTCATTCCTCAAATACATTACCCACTCTTTCCCTCCTGTAATCAATGCCAAGATATTGTTTTGATTCCTTCCAGTCAATCTGTGTTCTAATGTTTTCACATACATATGTGTGTGTATCTCAACTGACAATATATTGGATTGCTTTTTGTGTTTATAAAAGTTTATATAAATGCTATTGTGTCATTCAGCATATTACCTGACAATGCATTTTTTGTACCATCCTTTATGTATATGTTTGTATGTGTGTGTATGTGTGTCTATGTGTGTTTGTGTGTTAGGTTACAACTGCTGTTCATACCACAGTTTATTCACCCCTTTTCCTATTGATGCTCAGTTTTTTTGTCATTGTTTTTCATTACAAATAATATTAAAAGGAACATTCTTGTACACATACTTGAGAGAGTGTACTTGCTGGATCATAAGGTATGCACATATTCAGCTTCAATAGATATTACCAAGATATTTTCTAAAGTGGTTGTACCAATGTACATTTCACAGGATCAGAGGCAGAGTATACATGTTTCCATTGTTGCACACCTTTCCCAATGCTTCATTTTGTAAGGCTTACATTTTTTTTGGCAATATGATAGGTACAAAATGTTATCTCAGTGTAGTTTTAATTTGCAGCTCCTTGCTTGTTGTTAATAAGTTTCAGCATCTTTCATTTTCTTGTTGACCATTCAGATTTTTCTTTCCTAAATTACTGTTTCTGACATTTGACTTTTTTTATCTTGGGCTGCTTTATTTCTTCTTTTCTTTCTCTCCTTCTCCCTCCCTGATATTTTTTCTTGTCTCTTTCTTTTCCTTTTTTTATTTTTATTTTTTGATTATCAAAGATTATAGCCTTTATTAAAAATTCTCAGCCGGGCATAGTGGCTCTTCACACCTGTATTCCCAGCACTTTGGGAGGCCAAGGCTGGTGGATAACCTGAGGTCAGGAGTTTGAGACCAGTCTGGCCAACATGGTGAAACCCCGTCTCTACTAAACATACAAAAATTAGCTGGGCATGGTGGTGGGCACCTGTAATCCCAGCTGAGATCATGCCATTGCACTCCAACCTGGGAGACAAGAGCGAAACTCTGTCTCAAAAAAAAATTAAAATTCTCTCAGTGTGTGACTTTTAAAATTTTGGGCTCATAGTACCACTGGCCATAGAGAAGTTTAAATTTTGAGGTAAGCAAATATACTAATCTATTTCTTTTCTTTTTCTTGTGATACAGAGTCTCGCTCTGTCACCCAGGCTGGAGTGCAATGGCACAATCTTGGCTCACTGCAACCTCCACCTCCCAGGTTCAAGCGATTCTCCTGCTTCAGCCTCCCAAGTAGCTGGGACTACAGGCATACACCACCATGCCCAGCTGATTTTTGTATATTTAGTAGAGACGGGGTTTCACCAAGTTGGCCAGGCTGGTCTCGAACTCCTGACCTCAGGTTATCCACCTGCCTTGGTCTCCCAAAGTGCTGGGATTACAGGCATGAGCCACTGTGCCTGGCCTAATCTATTTATTTTCTTCCGGGTCATCCTATTGTGCATTTCTGAAAGAATCCTTTCTTAACCCATGTTTACGAAGTTCTTTTCTTTTTTTTTTTTTTCAACAGAGATGGGGTCTCACTATATTGCCCAGGCTGGTCTTGAACTCCTGGGCTCAAGCCATCCGCCTGCCTCAGTCCTGCAACTTGCTGGGATTACACGCATAAGCCATCAGTCCAAGCCAATATGTTCTTCTAAATATTCATTTTATATATGTATTTATTTATATGTAATACTTCTACACATTTATAGAGTACATGTGTTATTTTATTACATGCATAGGATGTGTAATAATCAAGTCAGGGTATTTAGGATATCCATCATCTTGAGACTTTATCACTTCTATGTGTTAGGAACTTTAAACTCCTCTCTTCCAGCTATTTTCAAATATACCATACATTATTATTAAGCTATAGTCATCCCACTCCGCTATTGAACATTAAAACCTACTCAGTCCATCTGTGTGTTTCTGCCCATTAACCAACTTCCGTTTATCACCCTCTCCCCACACACACTCTTTCCAGCCTCTGGTAACCATCATTCAACTATCTGCTTCCAAGAAATCAGCATTTCACTCCCACATATGAGGGAGAGCATGTGATATTTGTCTTTCTGTGCCTGACTTATTTGACTTAACATACTGACCTCCCGTTCCATCCATGTGGCTTCAAATGACATTGTTTCATTGTTTTTTATGGCTGCGTGGTATTCTATTGTGTATATATAACACATTTTCTTTATCCATTCATCTATTGATGAACACTTAGGTTGATTCAGTTTCTTTGCTATTGTAAATAGTGCTGTAATAAACATGGAGATGCATGAATCTCTTACATAAACTGACTTCTTTTTATTTGGATAAATATCCAATAGTGGGATTACTAAACTCAACGGGAGTCCTATTTTTCATTTTTTGAAAATTCTCCATCTGTCTTTCATAATAGCTATACTAATTTACAATCCTACAAACAGTGTATAACAGCTCCCTTCTCTCTGCATCCTCACAAGTATCCACTGTTTTTTTGTCTTTTTAATAATGCCATTCTAACTGGGGTAAGATGTTATCTTATTATGGCTTTGATTTACATTCTCCTGATGATTAGTGATATTTAACTTATTTTTCATATGCCCGTTGGCCATTTGTATGTCTTCTTTTGAGAAATGTCTACTTATGTCATTTGCCCACTTTTTAATGGGATATTAAAAAAAAAAACTATTGTTCAAATTCCTTCTACATTCTGGATACTACTTTCTTGTCAGGAGAAGAGTTTTCAAACATTTTCTCCTATTCGTCAGATTGCCTCTTAACTCTGTTGATTATTTCCTTTGCTGTGCAGAAGCTTTCTAGTTTAATATAGTTTCCTTTGTCTATTTTTGGTTTATTTGCCTTGCTTTTGAGGCCTTAGCCATAAAATCTTTGCCTACAAAATTATGCTGAATTTCTCATGTGTTTTCTTCTAGTGGTTTTATAGTTCTGAGTCTTACATTTAAATCTTTATCTTGCGATGATGTTTGTATATTGTGAAAGATAGGGTTGCAGTTTCACTTTCTGCATATGAATATTCAAATTTCCCAGCACCATTTTATTGAAGAGGATATCCCTTCCCTAATATATGTTCTTGGAGCTTTTGTCAAAAATCAGCTGGCTGTAAATAAGTGACTTTATTTCTGGGTTTTCTATTCCATTCCATTGGTCTATGTGTCTATTTTTATGTAACCATACCATGTCATTTTGGTTGTTACAGCCTAGTAATATATTTTAAAGTCAGGTAGCATGATGTCTCCAGCTTTGTTCTTCTTGCTCAGGATCACTTTGACTATTTGGGCTCTTTTTTGGTTCCATCTGAATTGTAGGAATGTTTTCCCAATTTCTGTGAACAATGACATTGGTGTTTTGATAGAGATTGTATTGAATCTCTAGATTGCTTTAGGCAATATTGCCATTTTTACAATATTAATTCTTCTGATCCATAAGCATGGAATGTCTTTCTATTTGTGTCCCCCTCAATTTCTTTCTTTGGTGTTTTGTAGTTTTCCTTGTAGAGGCCTTTTACCCTCATGGTTAAATTTATTCCTAGGTATTTTATTTTCTCATAGATATTGTAAAAACAATTTCCTTATTGATTTATTTCTCAGTGAGATTGTTATTAGCGTAAAGAAATGCTACTTATTTTTGTATGTTGATTTTGTATCCTGCAACTTTACTGACTTCATTTATAACATCTAAGAGTTTATTGATGGAGTCTTTAGGTTTTTCTAGGTATAAGATCATGCCACCTGGAAAGAAGGATAATTTGACTTCCTTTTTATAATTTGAATGCCTTTTATTTATTTCTCTTGCCTGGTTGCTCTGGTTAGGACTTCCAGTACAGTGTTGAAAAGAGTGGTGAAAATAAGCATCCTTGTCTTATTCAAGTTCATATAGAAAAGCTTTCAAATTTGCCCATTTAGTATGATGTTAGCTGTGGGTTTGTCATATCTGAGCTTTATTATGTTGAGGAGATATAGTCTTTCTATGCCTAATTTGTTGAGAGTTTTTTTTCCAAGAAGGAATGCTGAATTTTATCAAATGCTTTTCTCCATCTATTGGTTTTGTCCTTCATTTTGTTGTGATGTATTATAATTATTGATTTGCATATGTTGAACCATCCTTGAAGCCCTGAGATAAATCTCACCAGATCATGGTGTATTATCTTCTGGATATGCTGTTAAATTCAATTTTCTAGTATTTTATTGTGGATTTATGCATCTATGTCCATCAGGGATATTGGCTGATAGTTTTCTTTTCTTGTTGCATCCATGTCTGGTTTTGGTGTCAGTGTAATACAGACCTTGTGGGATGAGTTAGGGAGAATTTCTTTCTCTTCAATTTTTTTAGAATAGTTGGAGGAGAACTTGGTGTTAGTTCTTTGTAAGTTTGTTAAAATTCGACAGTGAAGCCATCCAATCCTGGGCTTTTCTTTGTTAGGAGACCTTTTATTACTGATTCAAATTCATTACTCAGGATTGGCCTGCCCAGGTTTCTTATTTCTTACAGGTTCAATCTTGTTAAGTTGTATGTGTCCAGCAATGTATTTATTTCCTCTACGTCCTTTCTTATTTCCTACAGATTCAATCTTGGGAAGTTGTATGTGTCCAGTAATGTATTTCTTTCCTCTAGATTTTCAAGTTTGTTAGTAAATAGTTATCCATAATAATCTCCGATGATATTTTTTACTTATTTGGAATCAGTTGTTAATGTCTCCTTTTTTTCTTTCTGATTCAGTTTATTTGGGTTTTCTCTCTTTTTTTCTAGGAAGCTAATGGTTTGTCAAATTTGTTTGTCTGTCCAAAAAAAAAAAAAAAAAAAAAAAACAACTTTCGGTTTTGCTTGGTTTTACTTATTCTTTAGAATTTTTTTTTAGTCTCTATTTTGTTTAGTTCTGCTCTGATCTTTGTTATTTATTTCCTTCTACTAATTTTTGGTATTTTTGTTGTTGTTGCTGTTCCTATAATTTCAACTTTTATTTTAGATCCAGGGGATACATGTGCAGATTTGTTACATGGGTATATTGCATGATACTGAGGTTTGGGGTATGATTACTCCCAACACCCAGATAGTGGACACGCTACCCAATAGTTTAACTCTTGTCCCCCTTCCTCCCTCCTCTAGTAGTCCCCAGTGTCTGCTGTTGTTATCTTTATGTCAATGTGTACCCAATATTTAGCTCTCACTTATAACTGAGAACATGTGGTATTTGGTTTTCTGTTCCTATGTTAATTCACTGAGGATAAGTCCTCCAGCTGCACCCATATTGTTGCGAAGGACATGATTCCATTCTTTTTTATAGCTGCATCGATTCCCTGATGTATATGTACCACATTTTCTTTGTCCAGTTCACCACTGATGGTCCTAGATTGATTCTATATCTTTGCTACTGTGAACAGTGCTGTAATTAACATACACATGCATGCGTCTTTTTGGTAGAGTCATTTATTTTCCTTTGGATATACATCCAGTAATAGGATTGCTGGGTTGAATGTACTTTTGTGTTAAGTTCTTTGAGAAGCTTCCCAACGGCTTTCTACAGTGCTTGAACTAATTTATATTCCCACCAATAATATATAAGCATTCCCTTTTCTCTGCAGCTTCACCAGCATCTGTTGTTTTTTGACTTTTTAATAGTAGCCATTCAGACTGGTGTGAGATGGTATCTCATTGTGGTTTTGATTTGCATTTCTCTGATGATTAGTGATGTTAATCATTTTTCATATCTTTGGTGGTTGCTTGTATGTTTTTTTTTAAGAAGTGTCTGTTTATGTCCTCTTCCACTCTTCAATGGGGTTATTTGTTTTTTGCTTGTTGAATTGTTTAAGTTCCTTATATATTCTGAATATTAGGCCTTTGACAGATGTATAGCTTGTAAGTATTTTCTCCCATTCTGTAAGCTGTTTACTCCATTGATAGTTTCTTTTACTGTGCAGAAGCTCTTTAGTTTATTTGGGTCCCACTTGCCAATTTTGGTTTTTGTTGCAATTACTTTTGAGGACCTAGTAATAAATTCTTCCCCAAGGCATATGTCCACAATAATGTTTCTTAGGTTTTCTACCAGAATTTTGAAGTCTGAGGTCTTACATTTAAATCTTTAATCTGTCTTGAGATAACTTTACTATATGATGAAATGTTGGGGTCTGGTTTCTTCTGCATATGGCTAGCCATCTATCCCAGAACCATTTATTGAACAGGAAGTTATTTCCCCATAGCTTATTTTTGTCTGTTTTGTCAAAATTAGATGGCTGTGTGTTTGCAGCTTTATTTCTGTGGCTTTCTATTCTGTTCCATTGGTCTATGGGTGTTTTTGTACCAGTATCATGCTGTTTTTGTTACTGTGGCCTGATAGTATAGTTTGAAGTCAGGTAATGTGATGCCTCCAGATTTGTTCTTTTTGCTTATCATTATTTTGGCTTTTGAAGCTCTTTTTTTGGTTCCATATGAATTGTAGAACTTTTTTTTTTCCTAGTTCTGTGAAAAATGACCTTGGAATTTGATAGAAATGGCATTGAATCTGTTGATTGCTTTGAGCAGTATGGCCATTTTAGCAATCTTGATTCTTCCAATTCATGAGCATAGAATATTTTTCTATTTGTTTGTGTTGTGTACGATTTATTTCAGCAGTGTTTTTCAGTTCTCTTTGTGGAGATCTTTCACCACTTTGGTTAGATGTATTCTTAGGTATTTTGTTTTATTTTCTGTGGTTACTTTAAATGGAATTGTATATTTTAATAGAATTGCATTTTTGGATGCTGTTGGTGTATAGAAATGCTACTGACTTTGTACATTGATTTTGTATCCTGAAACTTTGCCAAAATTGTTTACCAGTTCCAGTAGCATTTTGGTGGAGTCTTTAGGGCTTCCTAGGTACAGAATCGCATTGTCAGTGAAGAAAAAATGCATTCATTTCTTCTTTTCCTATTTAGATGCCTTTTATTTCTTTCTCATGCCTGATTGCTCTAGCTTAGATTTCCAGTACTATGTTGCACAGGAGTGGAAGAGTAGGGATCCTTGTTTTGTTCTAGTTCTCAAGGGGCATGCTTCCAGCTTTTTCCCATTCAGTATGATGTTGGCTATGAGTTTGTCATAGATGGCTCTTATTATTTTGCGACATGTTCCTTCTATGCCTAGTCTCTTGAGGGTTTTTATCATGAAAGGATCTTGAATTTTATCAAAAGCTCTTGCTGCATCTACTGAGATGATCATATGGTTTTTGTTTTTAATTCTGTTTAAATGGTAAGTCATATTTATTGATATACATATGTTGAATCAACTTTGCATCCCAGGAATGAAACCAAGTTGATCATGGTGAATTAACTGTTTGATGTGCTGTTTGATTTGGTTTGCTAGTATTTTGTTGAGGATTTTTGTGTCTCTGTTTATAAGGAATATTGACCTGTAGTTTTCTCTTTTTTTGTGATCTTTGCCGGGTTTTGGTATCAGCATGATGTTTGCCACATAAAATGAGTTAGGCAGGAGTCTCTTATCCTCAACTTTTTGGAATAGTTCCAGTAGAATTTGTACCAGCTCTTTTTGTATGTTTGGTAGAATTTGGCTCTGACTCTATTTGGCCTAGGGTTTTTTTTTTTTTCTGGTAGGGTTTTTTAAATTACTGATTCAATTTTGCAACTTGATATTGGACTGTTTAGGATTTCAATTTCTTCTTGGTTGAAGCTTGGGAGATTGTGTGTTTCCAGAATTCATCCATTTCTTCTAGATTTTTCCGTTTGTGTGCATAGAGGGGTTCATAATAATCTGTGAAGATCTTTCATATTTCTGTGAGATGGGTTGTAATGTTACCCTTGTCATTTCAGGTTGAGCTTATTTGAATCTTCTCTTTTTTTTCTGCTAATCTAGCAAATGGCCTATTGATCTTGTTTATTCTGCCAAAGAACAAACTTCGGTTTCATTGATTCTTTGTGTGGACTTTTCCTTTCAATTTCATTCAGTTCTGCTCTGAGTTTAGTTATTTCTTTTCTTCTGCTAGCTTTGGGGTTAGTTGGTTCCTGTTTTTCTAGTTCCTCTAGTTTTGATGTGAGATTGTTAATTTGAGAGCTTTCTAACTTTTCGAGGTAGGTGTTTAGTGCTATAAACTTTCCTCTTAACACTGTTTTTGCTATATCCCAGAGATTCTTGTATGTCGTATCTCTGTTTTCATTTATTTCAAAGGATTTATTGATTTGTTACTTAATTTTATTGTTTCCTCAAAAATCATTCAGGAGTAAGTTGTTTAATTTCTATGTTATTGTGTGATACTGAGGTAAGTTCTTGGTATTTATTTCTATTTTTATATGACTGTAGTCTGAGAGTATGGTTGATATGATTTCAAGTTTTTTGAGTTGACTGAGACTTGCTTTATAACCAAGCAGGTGATTGAGTATGTTATGTATGCAGATGAGAAGAAAGTATATTCTGTGGTTAATGAGTGGAGTATTCTGTAGATGTCTATTAGATCCAATTGGTCAAGGATCAAATTTAAGTCCAGAACCCTTTTGTTAGTTTCCTATCTCCAAGATGTGTCAAATGCTGTCAGTGGGTGTTGAAGTCCCCCACTACAATCGTCTGAGTCTTTTTGTAGGTCTAGAACTACTTGTTTTATTAATCTGGGTGCTCCATTTTGTGTGTGTACATATTTAGGATAGTTAAGTCTTGTTGAATTGAATGCTTTAATCATTATTTAGTGCCTTTCTTTGTCATTTTTTACTGTTGCTGGCTTACAGTCTGTTTTATCTGATGTAAGAATAGGGACTCTTCCTCTTTTTTGTTTTCTGTTTTTGTGATAGATCTTTCTCCAACCCCTTACTTTAAGTCTGCGGGTGTCATCCTGTGTGAGATGGGTCTTTTGAAGGCAGCAAAAGGTAGGTATTTTTTTTAAATCCAACTTATTACTCTGTATCTTTTAAGTAGGGGGTGTAGACTGTTTACATTCAAGGTTAATCTTGATATGTGAGGTTTTGATCTTATTGTGAAGTTATTAGTTGTTGCTTTGTACTTTCTATTGTGTGGTTATTTGATAGGTCCCATGGGCTATGTAATTAAGTGGTTTTCTGGTAGCAGGTGTCATTCTTTTGTTTCCATATTTAGAACTCCCTTAAGGATTTCTTGTAAGACTGGTCCAGTGGTAATAAATGCCCTTAGTGCTTGCTTGTATGGAAACAATTTTATTTCAGCTTTGCTTATGAAGCTTGGTTTGACAGGATATAAAATTCTCACTTGAATTTTTTTTTCTTTAAGAATGTTAAAAATACCTCTTGACCTTGTGATCTGCCCACTTTGGCTTCCCAAAGTGCTGGGATTACAAGTGTGAGCCACCATGCCCCACGGATCTTGTTCCTTTTAATATCTGCATAGCATTCCCTGGGATATATGTAACACATTTTCTTTATTCAGTCTATACTGATGGACACTTGTTTGATTTCTTATCTTCACTATTGTGAATAGTGATGCAAAGAACATATACTTGCATGTGTCTTTATGATGGAACAATTTATATTTCTTTGGGTACATACTCAGTAATGGGATTCCAAGGTTGAATGGTAGTTCTATATCTGGATCTTTGAGGAATTGCCAAACTGCTTTCCACAGGGTTGAACTAATTTACACTCCCACCAACAATGTGTAAGCATTCCTTTTTCTTCACAACCGCACCAGCATGTGTTATTTTTTGACTTTTCAATAACGGCCATTCTGACTGTATGAGATGTTATCTCATTGTGGTTTTAATTTGCATTTCTCTAATGATCAGTGACAGTGAGCTTTTTTAAATGTTTGTTGGCTGCATGTATGTCTTCCTTTGAGAAGTGTCTGTCCATGTCCTTTGCCCATTTTTTAATGGGGTTGTTATTTTTTTCTTGTAAATTTGTTTGTTACAGATGCTGAATATGAGACCTTTGTCAGATGAATAGATTGCAAAAGTTTTCTCCCATTCTGTGGGTTGTCTGTTTGCTCTGTTGATAGTTTATTTTGCTGTGCAGAAGCTCTTTAGTTTAATTAGGTCTTATTTGCAAAATTTTGCTTTTATTGCAATTGCTTTTGGCATCTTTGTCATGAAATCTTTGCCCATGCCAGACACATAGGCCAATGGAACATAAAAGAGAACCCAGACATAAGATCATACACCTACAAACATCTGATCTTCGACAAACCTGACAAAAACAAGCAATGGGGAAAGGATTCCCTACTTAATAAATGGTGCTGGGAGAACTGGCTAGTCATATGCAGAAAATTGAAACTGGACCCCCTCCTTCCACCATATACAAAATTCAACTCATGATGGATTAGAGACTTCAATGTAAAGCCCAAAACCATAAGAACCCTAGAAGAAAACTTTGATCTGATTCCTCTATAATCTCTCAAGCTACAACTCTAACACTTTGCTCTATGAGTTCCCTCTTAATCTGGCACCTGAAGATTTTCTTTTCTTTTCCAAGTTGAAAAATGATTTTATTTGTGTGTTTTGTTTTATTGTTGTTTTATATTTTATCTAGAATTACATATTTTGTAAGTTAATTAGGTAAATTGTAATTTTTTAAAACATTTTTGACATGTGAAAGACTTTGAAACCATGCACTGTCAACAGTTTTTATTGAATGCATTGTAATCATAAAATAGATAACCATGTATAACTAAGTATATATACTTCAGTTTGGCTGGAAAAGGATCAGATCTTCAGTAATAATTGGAATTCTGTAAGACATGTGTATCTAACTGTCCTTTACTCAGCTGTCAAAAAGTTTGGTTCAAACATCATCAACTCCAAACTTCCTTTCGATTTTTCCAGATAGGTAGACCATAGATTCCCTCTAGGGGTTATATGTGAAATAAGCCATCTTCTTTTTCTGTGTCTGTGGCTGTGAGTGTTCTGGGTTTCCACCAAAGGGTATTCTCCCTACCCTGGAGAAGGTGAAGATTGGCATGGAAGTGGTGTTGGAGAATATCTCTTCACCTGCTGGTTTGAGGGCCTTCATCTCTAGTCAGGTAAGTATTTTATATTTTCTTTAACCATGTTCTAGAAAGAGATCTTTTGTTCTTGCTGTGCCTTTCTGAAAGCTGTAGATGCTGCTTTTGTAGTCCTAGCTACTTGGGAAGGGCAAAGGTAACTTGAGCCTAGGATTTTGAGACTGTGATAAGTTATGACTGCACCACTGCACTCCAGCCTGGACTACACAGTGAGAACCTGCATTCTTCAACAAATGGAAGTGACATCTGAATCCACTTTAAAGAGTTTCATTAGGAAACTGGACACTGGAAAGTGACTTTTTGTTTTTTTCTCATTCCTTGTTCAGTCCTGACAGGGAGGAGACATTCAAACCTTAGTCATTCTCATTTAAATTGGCTGTCATTGACTGAATTGTCTTCGTTCATCTCTGCTGGCATTGTATGGCATTTATGTTTTCTGGACTGATTTGGTATTGGGTCCCCATTGGGTGCCCTCCTCACCTCTATTAGTCGTTGCTCTTTTTCATGCCTTACCCAAGCCTCTTTAGAGAGTGCTAGAAACCTAAGAATGCTGTCTCTGGGTACTTGGAGATTACAGACTAATGGTGGAAGGAGAAGAAAGGGTTACTTCAGACCTATCACCCTAGACTTGTTTTGTTTTTGTTTTTAACCATATCTGTACTGTTCAAGGGGTTGGATTCATAAAATTATCAGACCTGGTAAGTTTCCTGAGTACAACCTGGGAAGCAAGAGAGAAGTTCACCTTGGTGCTGGGATCTATCTAATCCTCATCTGGGCCAAATTGTACATTTTTAAATTACATTAGAATAAATTAAAAATAAATGGAAAAGTATAGGCTAAGTTATTAATTAATTATGTTAATATGTAGTTTTTTTTTTTTTTTTTTTTGAGACGGAGTCTCGCTCTGTTGCCCAGGCTGGAGTGCAGTGGCGGGATCTCGGCTCACTGCAAGCTCCGCCTCCCGGGTTCACGCCATTCTCCTGCCTCAGCCTCCCAAGTAGCTGGGACTACAGGCGCCCGCCACTACGCCCGGCTAATTTTTTGTATTTTTAGTAGAGACGGGGTTTCACTGTTTTAGCCGGGATGGTCTCGATCTCCTGACCTCGTGATCCGCCCGCCTCGGCCTCCCAAAGTGTAATATGTAGTTTTACACATACATAGAAAACACACTTACTATGATCATTATACCAAATTTAAAAAGGTAATTTTTAAATTTGTAATTGCTTACATAAGCAATTCATAATACTTTAAACTAATATAAAACACGATACCAAATTTTCTGTATTTTAGTCTTTCCTACATCATATCCCTGAAATTAGTATTACGTTTCACTACAGCAACGATGTCAAATCACTAGAGTTAGATAAAAAAGCCAGGCTAAGGTGATAAAATAGAGCTCCATGTTCTTTATGATTTTGCTATTTCTGAGACAATATTTTTAGAGTTGTTTAGGCTGTGATGCTTTTAGTTGTAACCTCTGTGCCAGAGATTTTCATGCTCTTCAAAATTCTCATAGATCACATCCTCACCCAGAAACCTGAATAAATTTCTCTACTGCTCAGGGGACTGAGATTAACTTTCTAATATGAGAGAATGCTGAATAAAATGGTAGTGGATTTTTTTTTTTGCTTGAAAAATGGTAGGTTGAGAAGATTAAATTAGATAATGCATATAAAGTTGATATTATGCATCTAGCATAAAGTAAATGTTCAATAAGTAATAATGTTTGCTGTTACTGCATTAATGTCTTTCAAAAACTATTCCCCCAAAGTTTGCTGCTCCATCCTTAGAGTCATCTAACCACTGGCTACTGGTTTGGGAAACAAGAATAAAACAAATGTTACAATGTACATAACAAGATTCCTTATTTACAAACATGGAAATTATAGCAAGTAAACAGCAAATACAATTTCAAATAGGCATGTTTCTCCAATGATAACAGACAAGCCTTAGCGATAACCCTTTACTTATACACTATCCTCAGGCAAATGTGATGTTTTATATAAATGAATTTTGCATATACCAAATCTTACTGCTTAAATAATCATTTTTTGATGAAAACTGTTCTAAATTATATTGCATTTCCCCCTCCTTCCTAATCAGCATTTCTAATTTCTTGTTACCTGGATGACAGGTTATCAGTAATTAGATCAGCCACTATCTTAAATTTATGGGTTTACCCATAGGACAATACAGGATTTGAGGGTTTGAGGGCAATTTTCTTTTTTTTTTTTTTTTTTTAGTTTATAAAGAAGAGAAATTTATTTTCTTATTGGTCTAGAGTGTAAGAAGTCCAAAATCATCAAGATGTTGACAGGTTCAGTGTCTGCTAAGGGCCTGGTCTCTGCTTTCAAGATGGTGCCTTGAGTACTGCTTTCTCTGGAAGGGATGCATTGTCTTTACATGGTGGAAGGCAGAAGGACAAACGAGCCTAGCTAATTCCCTCCAGCCCTTTTATAAAGTTGCTTATCCCATTCATGAGGGCTCTGCCCTCATGACTTAATCACCTCCTAAAGGCCCCACCTCTTAATACTGTTGCATTGGGGATTTAAGTTTGTTTTTTTTTTTAATGCTTTAAGTTCTAAGGTACATGTACACAATGTGCAGGTTTGTTACATATGTATACATGTGCCATGTTGGTGTGCTGCACCTGTTAACTTGTAATTTATATTAGGTATATCTCCTAATGCTGTCCCTCCCCCATCCTTCCACCCCACAACAGGCCCCAGTGTGTGAAGTTCCCCACCCTGTGTCCAAGTGTTTTCACTGTTCGATTCCCATCTATGAGTGAGAACATGCAGTATTTGGTTTTCTGCCCTTGCAATAGTTTGCTGAGAATGATGGTTTCTAGCTTCATCCATGTCGCTACAAAGGACATGAACTCATCTTTTTTTATGACTGGATAATATTCCATGGTGTATATGTGCCACATTTTCTTAATCCAGTCTATCATTGATGGACATTTGGGTTGGTTCCAAATCTTTGCTATTGTGAATAGTGCCGCAGTAAACCTATGTGTGCATGTGTCTTTATGGCAGCATGATTTATAATCCTTTGGGTATATACCCAGTAATGGGATGGCTGGGTCAAATGGTATTTCTAGTTCTAGATCCTTGAGGAATCGCCACACTGTCTTCCACAATGGTTGAACTAGTTTACAGTCCCACCAACAGTGTAAAAGTGTTCCTATTTCTCCACATCCTCTCCAGCACCTGTTGTTTCCTGACTTTTTAATGATTGCCATTCTAACTGGTGTGAGATAGTATCTCATAGTGGTTTTGATTTGCATTTCTCTGATGGCCAGTGATGATGAGCATTTTTTCATGTGTCTTTTGGCTGCATAAATGTCTTCTTTTGAGAAGTGTCTGTTCATGTCCTTCGCCCACTTTTTGATGGGGTTGTTTGTTTTTTTCTTGTAAATTTGTTTGAGTTCATTGTAGATTCTGGATATTAGCCCTTTGTCAGATGAGTAGGTTGCGAAAATTTTCTCCCATTTTGTAGGTTGCCTGTTCACTCTGATGGTAGTTTCTTTTGCTGTGCAGAAGCTCTTTAGTTTAATTAGATCCCATTTGTCAATTTTGCCTTTTGTTGCCATTGCTTTTGGTGTTTTAGTTGTGAAGTCCTTGCCCATGCCTGTGGCCTGAATGGTACTGCTTAGGTTTTCTTCTAGAGTTTTTATGGTTTTAGGTCTAACAATTAATCCTTTAATCCATCTTGAATTAATTTTTGTATAAGGTGTAAGGAAGGGATCCAGTTTCAGCTTTCTACATATGGCTAGCCAGTTTTCCCAGCACCATTTATTAAATAGGGAATCCTTTCCCCATTGCTTGTTTTTGTCAGGTTTGTCAAAGATCAGATAGTTGTAGACATGTGGTATTATTTCTGAGAGCTCTATTCTGTTCCATTGGTCTATATCTCTGTTTTGGTACCAGTAGCATGCTGTTTTGGTTACTGTAGCCTTCTAGTATAGTTTGAAGTCAGGTAGCATGATGCCTCCAGCTTTGTTCTTTTGGCTTAGGATTACCTTGGCAATGTGGGCTCTTTTTTGGTTCCATATGAACTTTAAAGTAGTTTTTTCCAGTTCTGTGAAGAAAGTCATTGGTAGCTTGATGGGGATGGCATTGAATCTATGAATTACCTTGGGCAGTATGGCCATTTTCACAATATTGATTCTTCCCATCCATAAGCATGGAATGTTCTTCCATTTGTTTGTATCCTCTTTTATTTCATTGAGCAGTGTTTTGTAGTTCTCCTTGAAGAGGTCCTTCATATCCCATGTAAGTTGGATTCTTAGGTATTTTATTCTCTTTGAAGCAATTGTGAATGGGAGTTCACTCATGATTTGGCTCTCTGTCTGTTATTGGTGTATAAGAATGCTTGTGATTTTTGCACACTGATTTTGTATCCTGAGACTGCTAAAGTTGCTTATCAGCTTAAGGAGATTTTGAGCTGAGACGATGGGTTTTCCTAAATATACAATCATGTCATCTGCAAACAGGGACAATTTGACTTCCTCTTTTCCTAATTGAATACCCTTTATTTCTTTCTCTTGCCTGATTGCCCTGGCCAGAACTTCCAACAACACTATGTTGAATACGAGTGGTGAGAGACGGCATCCCTGTCTTATGCCAGTTTTCAAAGGGAATACTTCCAGTTTTCGCCCATTCAGTATGATATTGGTTGTGGGTTTGTCATAAATAGCTCTTATTATTTTGAGATACATCCCATCAATACCTAGTTTATTGAGAGTTTTTAGCATGAAGGGCTACTGAATTTTGTTGAAGGCCTTTTCTGCATCTATTGAGATAATCATGTGGTTTTTGTCTTTTGTTCTGTTTATATGATGGATTACTTTTATTGGTTTGCATATATTGAACCAGCCTTGCATCCCAGGGATGAAGCCAACTTGATTGTGGTGGAGAAGCTTTTTGATGTGCTGCTGGATTCGGTTTGCCAGTATTTTATTGAGGATTTTTGCATCGATGTTCATCAGGGATATTGGTCTAAAATTCTCTTTTTTGGTTGTGTCTCTGCCCGGCTTTGGTATCAGGATGATGTTGGCCTCAAAAAATGAGTTAAGGAGGATTCCCTCTTTTTCTATTGATTGGAATAGTTTCAGAAGGGATGGTACCAGCTCCTCTTTGTACCTCTGGTAGAATTCGGCTGTGAATCCATCTGGTCCTGGACTTTTTTTGGTTGGTAGGCTATTAATTATTGTTGAGGGCAATTTTCATTCACAAAATGACTTCTTTTTTTTTCTTTTCTTTTTTTTTTTTAAGACAATCAGTCTAAGCTGTATTAAGAGTGCATAGGAAATAGAAATGAAATGAGTAGACTCTTTTTTTGCATGTTGGAAAAGTGTCCAGTAGAGAAAGCTCAATCAAAGTTGCTGAAGATTGGTAATAACAGGTGTTTCATCTTGAAAACTGGACAGCTCGTGAACGTTTCCAGTTTTTCCTTCTTCAAAGTGCAATTCCCAGAGATTCTGTGATTCTGTGTCAGTACTACATCTAAACAAATAACCTGAGTGATTCTGGTGTAAATGGTCTGTGGAACACACTTCAAGCAACAGTTTCTAGGCTTTCTGGGATAGGCACTAAAATGATTCACAGCTAGTGTCTTCTCTTTCTCTCTCTCCCCCTCTGTGTATATGTGTGTGTGTGTGTGTGTGTGTGTGTGTGTGTGTGTGCCAAAGCCAAATGAAAAGATAAGGTATCATGAAAAGAACAAAATGGATAAGGAATATATTCTAATCCTGGCTCAGCCAATAACTGATTGGATGATCTTGCATATTATTTCAAGATCAACAACATATACACAAGATCATCCAATACATAAAATCCCCTTGTATCTTATATATTGGATGATTTTGTGTATTATTTCATCTATAGACCTTAACTTCCTTAACTTCCTCATCTGTAAAATAAAGGCTTGAAGAAACTAGAGATCACTCAAGTCCTCTTTCATCAAAATCTTGTTGAGATCTTCTCCAAATAGGATACCATTGAATTGCATTTTATAGTCTTACAGCCAGTAGTAATAACTAGTATCATGATCAATTACATTACGTATTCTGCACACACTATCCAGAATAATTTTTGTAAAATACAAGTCAGATCATACTTTTGATGAACCCTGCAATGACATCTCGTTGCACTAGCAATCAATCCCGACTCATTACCCTATTCTGCAAGCCGTGCTGACTAATTCCTAGACTCACCTTGCTTCATACTCTTGCTTTCTTTTGCCTCAACTACACTGGCCTTCCTTTCATGTAGCTTGGCTTTTCATGGCCTTTATCTTTCTACGTCAAGCCTGGGAATTCGGTGAAGAATTAGAAGACAGTACTTTCTGAATTCCCCATGACTCTGATTTGTGCCAGTCAGGCGTCAGCTCAAATGTCCACTAGTCAAAGAGGACTTCCCAGACCAGGCTGACAAAGGCATTGCCACCCACCCCACATGCCCTCTGTACCCACATTTGCCAGCTTTGCTTTTCAGGGTACTTTTCATGAGATGATGTTGTACTTATTTACTTCTGTCCTTTCAGGTTTCCTTGTTTAAAGAATAAACTCCATGAAAGCAGAAACTTTGTCCATCTTGCTCAACAATAAACTTTGAGAACTTAAAACAATGCCTGGCACAAAATACAAGTTGAGTGAAGAAAAAAAAGGCACCAAAACACTTGGTGTCTTGTTTGAAGTATGACATTTTCCAGGTTTCTATTGCACCAAATTTCTTGAAATAAATTAGTCCTTGATTTCTCTTGAACTTCTGACAAAATTAACAATGATTTTGAGGTGGATACAATCAATTACTTCAAATCTGGTTGCCAAGTATTTCTGGAACTTAACCAATGATAAAATATGTAAAGATAATATAGTGGCTAATTGCCAGTAACCTGAAACATTGGCATATATTCCTTCAAATTCCTTTCAATAATTAATGCTGCCTCATCTTAATTTCATAGTACATTTTTATAGAATTATCTATCTCCCTGAGAAGAAATGAAATATAGGTCTTAAAAATATCAAATTGTATTCATTTTAATCTGAGCTTCCTCAAGTCCCTCAAGGAAAAGGCATCCTTCTAATGATAAAGTCCAGCTACTAAGTGTAATGCCTATACCTGCACTTAGATGTTCCCTACTTCTGAGCACTTGCCTCCCATGTGACATGTTTTTCTCACATGTTCGCTCTTCCTTGCCACTGACTTTTTTTGCCATCACTTAACTTGAAGAACTTTCACTTGACTTTGCTGCCCCCTCTAGATACCATAAATTTCTCTTCTTTCTTTGTGAAATTATTCTGAGGAGTGGTCAGCTTTTATGATCTACAGTTGATCTACAATTTCTTTTCAGTTCTTTCCGTCTGGCTTTGACTCTCACACACTTATGAAACTGCACTCTAGAAGGGATGCTGTGATTGATCTTTTTTTCTGCTAAAACAGGTGGTATTTGTTCTTTCCAATTCTCCCAGGGACTTTCTAGCATTCAATATTATTGAACTACAAACCTATGCTATACAGTTGTCATTTCTTATTATCCACACAAAAACCTTTTAAGTAGGTATTATTAATCCCATTTTACAGTTGGGAAAATTGAAGTTCAGGAGCATTAAATAACAGCCCAGAAGAGGTGGAGGCAGATTCATATTAATTTCTTTCTACTAGATCATATTAATTTTCAAAAGCAAAGAAGCACAGGGTGAGAATGGGGGAGATTTAGTATGTTTACTATGTTCTGATCATTTTATTTGTTTATTTGTGTATTTTTTGAACAGAGGCTGCAGTGCAGTGGTGCGGTCTCAGCTACTGCAACTTCCACCTCGAGGGTTCAAGTAGCTCCCCTGCCTCAGCATCCTGAGTAGCTGGGATTGCATGCACCACCATGCCCAGATAAATTTTGCATTTTTAGTAGAGATGGGGTTTAACCACGTTGCCCAGGTTGGTCTCGAACTCCTTACCTCAGATGATCCACCTGTCTTGGCCTCCCAAAGTGCTGGGATTACAGGCGTGAGCCACTTTGCCCAGCCCTGATGGTTTTATTTTTATAAAGGCAGATGTTAACCTAAGCAGACTAGCTCTAAGTATTGATGAAAATCCTTGATAACATATTATATAATGTATTACAGCCTAAGTTATCTATGCCCAGAAAAAGTTGGAAAAATTATATGCCAACATATATTTTCACAAGTGAACAGCTTTGGAGGAGATAGGTCTATGAGTGGCCTTCTTTCAGATTTTGTATATTTTCTGATTTCTTATTATTGTATTATATTCTGACAAATACACAAATAATGGAGTGAGAAAACAAAACTTATTCTTTTAGTCAAAATATATTATTGAAATTTTACTTGAAAACTAGGTTCTAGGCTCTGGGGATACAATGAAGAATAAGACTCACTTGATCATTGTTTGCAAGGAGCTGTTAAAGACACAAAGTGTTTGATGTGGGGAGTACAAAGTGCTATGATACAACCAAGAAGAGAATGAAATCTAGACTCGATTCATGCAGGAAGGCTTCCTGGAAGAAGTCCTATCTAAATGTAAACTTGATAACTTGGGGGCAGTTAGTTAGCTGAAAGGAAGCAAGAAATACTCTAGGAATAGAAAAATAAAACAAGACCAGTTCATATGGGTCTTAAAAGTTTTATCAGTAACTTGGCTGGGACTTCAAAGGCAATTAAATAATTTAATCGGATGTAGGGGTGAGGATGGTTAAAGATCACAGTCAGATTGATTTTAGAAAGAGTACATAAACACCATAAAATTGATATGAACTTCAATTGCGCATTAGAAAGACTTGTGGAAGTTTCATAATATATCAGTTCTGAGACCCATCCCAGACCAGTAAAACTTTGCAAATAAGGTCCATGTGCATGCATATGTGTGTGTATACATAAATACATACATATATGTAGCTCTCTGGGTTATTCCAGCATACAACTAGGATGGAAAAACACTCTATTAAAAACAGTAGTGTGCTGAAACCAGCTCATAAGCTCAAAAAAGCCAAATGTTATCATCACTTCCCAGCCCAATGTCAGTGACTGAAATCACATTGGGCAGCTCAAAATTAGTCATGCTGTATTTATCACACAAAAACTGGAAAATACTACAAATTGAAGCTTTCCTTTTATTCAGAGAAACAGTTGTTAAACATTTACACACTACCAATAGAGGATATAAGCAAGACAGATATAGAGAAACCAGTTGGCTCTGATAGTAAAAACCCAGAGAAGAGATTTATGAAATATTTAAGTTGGAGAAATACAGAATTTGGTAATCAATTGACTATTGGGTTAGGGGAGTAAATGTCCAACAATGATAGACTGGATTAAGAAAATGTGGCACATATACACCATGGAATACTATGCAGCCATAAAAAATGATGAGTTCATGTCCTTTGTAGGGACATGGATGAAGCTGGAAACCATCATTCTCAGCAAACTATCGCAAGGACAAAAAAACCAAACACCGCATGTTCTCACTCATAGGTGGGAATTGAACAATGAGAGCACATGGACACAGTAAGGGGAACATCACACACTGGGGACTGTTGTGGGGTGGGGGGAGGGGGGAGGGATAGCATTAGGAGATATACCTAATGCTAAATGATGAGTTAATGGGTGCAGCACAGCAACATGGCACATGTATACATATGTAACAAACCTGCACGTTGTGCACATGTATCCTAAAACTTAAAGTATAATAATAATGAAATTAAAAAAAATTACTGCCAAATTTCTGACTTGGATAACTGGGTTTATCCATCACTAAGGTAGCAAATACATGAGAGGAGAAGTCCATTTAGGTGAGAGTAGAGGATCTAGACACAGAAATTTTGGCATATTGAATCTAAGGTTTCATGGAACATCCACTTGGAAGTGTCCACCAGCCAACTGGATACACATCTCTAAAAGGTAAGAGAGAGTGGTCAGGACTAGATGTAACGATCTGAGCCTCATCCTCTTATAATTCTACTTGAAGCCTATGGCAGTAGCAGAGGTCACCTAGTGAGCGTGCACCAAGTAAAGCATGAAGGGGTCTTGGACAGAGCTATGAAAGAAAACCAATGTTATGAGACAATCAGTGGAGGAGGAGCCAACAGAGAGGTTTAATGGGGATGGTCAGAAAGAGAGGAGGGCAGGCAGAATTGAGCGGTGTCACAAAAACTAAGGAAAGAGAGTAACTCAAGAAAGGAATGGCATCTTGGTAAATGCTGCTGAGATGTAAGGTAAAGACTAGATGTCAGATTGCAGTGGATTGGGACTTGAAGGAATGATAAATTCTTTGAAGATTATTATGGAAAAAGAAAATCTTTAAGTGTTTATTATTGTTGTTTTAAAGTTGGAGAAATGAGCAATTTTTTTAAATGGCGGATTTGGGTGATTAAGGAAGATATTGAAGGAAGGGGAGAGAAAAAGAGAAGTAAGAATGTTAAAGAAACAGAGGTGGTGGGATTCAGAGTGCAGAAGGATCAGCTTTAGGCTAGGCAGACTGCTCCTTTTCTACACCAGCTAGAGAGGAGGAAGAAAGGAACCAGGACAGCTGCTGGAAAATTGTGAAGGTTTTGTGAAAAGAAGTTGAAGAAATCTGACAGCATCCATTTGCTTTGTGGAAGAGAAGGTAAACAAATTCTCCAAGAGGGATCTGTGAGGTTGTAGGGTCAGAGCTGTGAGAAGACTTAAGAACTTTGTAAATAGTTGCTGAGGATAAAAGGAAAGAGAGCTAAGAGGAGAAATAGAAGTATTTCCAGGCTACATTGAAGACCCAGGAAGATTGAACATGTTGTGTTTATAGCATTTCCAATCTCTGTGTTCATGTGTTTTTCTATAATAATAAAAATTATTTTAAAATAATTTTCATCTCATTATTGTTAATATAGTTTTATACTATGTCATATACCATTATACCCCTCCATTTTTTGTTGTTGTTGCTCCCAATTGTTGGAATTTTAGAGTGTATTCAGTTTGGGCTATTTTAAATAAAACTGCTGTAAATAACTTTATTGATAACTCTTTTCTAAAAGTTTGAGTAGATCAAACTCTTCACAGATATTAACAATCTTGTAAAAAATACAATCTCCATTGATTCTTTCTAACAGATTTTCCTAGTCTTATATCAACATTAGAAAGGCTTATTTAAAATATGCTAACTTAATATGTAAGTCATTATATTATATAATGTTATTAGTCTTCTTTGACTACTACTGTAGTTGAATATTTTCCCCAATGCTTGTTGCACTACTAGAATAAATTCCCTTGAAACGTTTTTTCTTCCTTAGCTAGAAAATGAACTTTTTCTTCTTTGCTTATCAGAAGTTCCTTCAGGACTTTTTCAGAGAAATTATCAATGTACCCAGAAATGTAGATATCACCTAAACCCCAGTTCTTATATGTAGGCTCACATCTGTTATCTTTTTATATTAGCAAATAGTTATGAATCATTGCTTCAATTATAATCTTTCTAGTTGCTGTATCACAATTCTTTATGAGTAGCCTTGCCTCTCACTTAAATTGTAACCTTGCATTTTGATTCAGGGTACCAGCCCCTCAGCTTGAATGCATTCTGGTGAGAGAAGGCAATCCTATTATAGGAGCAACAGCTTCATCCTTGAGAAAAGATAAAATTCCAAAAAGCATAAGACTAAGGAAAGGAGACATGAGGTGGTATAACCAAGGGGTTTGGGGAAGTGGGAAGGTATCATGAAGGTGCTGTCAGGGGGAAGGCAATGACAAAAATGGGAGAGATGAATGCGATGCTTAGTTAATTTAATAATAGATTGTGAATAAATGTGTTAACTAACATTAGCATTATCGTTGTGTCTACAATTCTACTATATAATCTTGTGTAATTTTTTAAAAAATAGTGATTTTTTGTTCATCTTGGGACACCTATTTCACTCTTCTGTTTCTGAAAATATTAGAGATTATACATAGTGACTCTGATATTACATTTATAGGTTATTTTATATCACTCTGGAATGTAAGGCTTTTGGTTTTCTTTTCAGATAGAATTTAAGGAAGATGATTGCAATTCATCTGAGAATTAACAATAATTCTAAATGTGGATGTCCCCTTACTGCCTCATTACTCAGCTTAGACTTTACTTGTCATTTGCTCCACAATATCTGATCAACATTTGCATCCACACATCAGAAGGGATTAGCTCTAGCACCCTACTTTGTGATTTGAACAAAGATTACTCATAAAATGGAAAAATTTCCTTGAGTAACATCAATAAGCCATCTCTATAGAATATAGTAAATATAAAATAATTTCTAATCCTGGAAATTGCACTGTGCCATGAGGAAAAGATGTAGGCAAAGCAATGAATGAAAATTAAAAGGACAAAGAATCCAGAAATGCAAGTGTTGGAGAATACAAATAATACTTGCAAAAAGTGAGCTTGGATCTCAGACCATTAGATTCATTTACATAATAAAATTTCCAGAGTAAAAAAGAAAAGGATGCCAGATTATCATGACTTCATAAAAATAGAGACTGAGGGTGGGGCCTGTAATCCCAGCACTTTGGGAGGCCGAGGCGGGCAGATCGCCTGAGGTCAGGAGTTCAAGATCAGCCTGGCCAACATAGTGAAACCCCATCTCTACTAAAAATACAAAAATTAGCTGGGCGTGGTTGCACGTGCCTGTAATCTCAGCTACTCAGGAGGTTGAGGCAGGAGAATTGCTTGAACCCAGTAGGCGGAGGTTGCAGTGAGCTGAGATGATGCCATTGCACTCCAGCCTGGGTGACAAGAGTGAAACTCCGTCTCAAAACAAAAAATAAACAAACAAAAAATAGACACTGAGATGACCCAACTTTCTTTGCCCTGATTCCGGATTCACTATCATGCCTGGAAATTATAATTTGGATTGTGGCATGCACTGCAGCATGAGGAGAAATGCTCACTCTCTGCAGATGAGACGAATCGGCTCATCTATAAATTAAGAGGTTGGCAGTTTGGGTTTATGGGTTAATCTCCTGTTATACTGGCTAATGTGCCTGCATATACACTGTTGATAAGAGCTGAGACTTGCATAAAGAGGTATAAATCTATTCTTCTTTTCTCTATACACACTTCCCTTGCAGACATTTTTCTAGATAAGAAGAACATTTGATTAGATAATTCACTTTAGACTGGGTGCAGTGGCTCATGCCTATAATCCCAGAACTTTGGGAGGCCAAGGCAGGCGGATCACTTGAGGTTGGGAGTTCAAGACCAGCCTGGCCAACATGGTGAAACCCCGTCTCTACTAAACGTACAATAATAATAATAATAACAATAATAATAATATCCAGGCATGGTGGCTCATGCTTGTAATCCTAGCTACTTGGGAGGCTGAGGCAGGAGGATTGCTTAAACCTGGGAGGCAGAGGTTGCAGTGAGCTGAGATTGTACCACTTTGCGCTACAGCCTGGGCTACAGAGTGAGACCTTGTCTCAAAAGAAAAAAAAAAAGATAATTCACTCTAAAATTATATATTTAGAAAATGTTGAGTTTGTGGATTTGCCACATGAATTTATTAACATATCACAGTACAGTACAAAACATTCACGAGAAGATGTTCTATGAAAAATGTTCTTACTTTAGAGCAGCTAAAAACTATGGCTTCAAAATTAATGTTCCAAAATGGTAGTATCCACACTTATAAAACTACATACTTTAATAAATAATACTGTACCTTGTAATCGAAGACATAATATCAAATATAAAAAATTAAAACTTTCACTAATATGGCATACTATTTTAAAATACTTTAAAATCGATATACAGGGTCATAAAAATGAAAAAGATTAATTTTAATTTTGGAAAAGAGAAGATTAAATTTGTTTCTGAAAATAAAGTGATATATCACTCTGCAAAATATGGTTATGAATAATGTTTTTGTTGTGTTTCTATTCTCTTTTGTATAGTAGAATTCATTTTTAAGGAAGTCAGGAAAAGATAAATAATATTTTCCAAAATTATTAAATACTTACTGTGTCTGTTTCAATTTTTGTTATCTTTTAATATAAAGATATTTTCATAGAAAAATGACTTTGGAAAAAATAAATAGAGAAGCTTTTGCCCTTTAATGAATGTGACTAAACAAACACCAAAGAAATGATGACAGATACATTACTCATGTCTTTCCCTTAGACATAGATGGTCAAAAATCTGTTCTGGACTTCAGCTACAAAATATGTGACTAAATTTTCAATTAAATATATTTCTAGTCAATATTTAAATTTAAATTAACATTTTGTCATATGAAAAATCACTGATTTGATGGTATAAAACTTTTATTTCTAATCTTTTACCTCCTCTTTTAATTTTTCCTCCTTGAACCCTGCCATAGTAGTGAAAATCTTTCTTAAATATAAACATTTTCTCTGAGCACCAAATCGTATTTCTTTACTTTCATTTAGAAATGGAATATGTAAGGGGGTGACTTACCTTGAATGTCTTACCAATATGATTACATCATCACTGTTATTGATGGCACTCCCGCCAATGAGCCAAACCTGTGGATATTGCAATTGCTCACAGTACTTGTCGTAAATATACTTCCTTTCTCTCACATACACTGGTGGTCTTGCCACTCTTGACCCGCCAAAAATATGCGCTCTGTTTTGAAGATTTTGTTTTGCATTCAGAATGGCCTTAATTTTCATTTGGTTTGTTAAGTCCTAAAGCTAATAATATACATTTTTTAAAGGTTTGGAAAGCCATGTTTATGTTCATTTTGCAGTCATTATTACCTGTAGTATTTTACAGTCTACCTCATTCACCTCAATATTTGGTTATTCTACCACACAAATTTCTTGAGTTTATCAATTGTCTTCTCCTCTTATGTATGTACACTAATTGTGCTATTTTATGGATTGATTCCCAAGGAATAATTACTAGGTTTGAAAGAAGGGACCAAATCTACTCAACCCATACCTAAACAAACAAAAACAAAAAATAGAGCAATAAATGACTGAGCTGTTTTTCAGGTAAGTACCTCATTAGGTCAAAGTGTTCCCTTGATTTGCATGTAACTGAAAATGATAGCATAATAATATCACAAATAAACTATGTTTTGACTAATAAAATGATATTCACATCATAGTATGAATGTTCAGGAAAGAGTATTGCTTTTAAAATTGTCTTCTAAATTAATGAAACAACTCTCCTCTGATGCCTGACTTTAAGTTTATTTTCCAGATGTAAAAAAAGGTGGAAGGTGGGTTGATTCTTTAAGGGAAGAGACTGAAGCATCCAGTGGTTAGTAACAGTTGATGACCATATACCAAAAGACTCAAACCTTTTGCTGTTAAGAGAGGAAAATGTAATACACTAAAAACATGGTTTTAATTTTCCTTCATTGAACTCTTTAAGGGAATCATTTATGGACGTCTTTTTTTAAAAAAAAATAGTATATTTGCAAATAAAAATCAGTGCTCAGATTCTCATAATACACTTCTGATTTTATTTTAAATTGTTTTCATATTTCTCTATTCGGTTATCTGCAATTAGTGAATAACATTTTTAGGAAGTATATATTGAATTGAATTACGTTGTATAGACAATGTGAAGAAATCTGCTACTGCTGTATCATAAGAGGATGCTTACGTAAGGGGGAAAATATCTGGCAATTATAAATACAATATGTTTTCATTTGTTAATTTATTTTTTCATTACTGCCAGCTTTAATTCTTTAGGCCTAAAATAATCTAATTTTGTCTTGGTAAAAGTTTATTATTTTAAAGAAATTATTGCAACAAAAATAAGGAAATATGATTTATCTCTACTTCAAATAAAGGGCAAAAATCAGGAAATGTAAATTAACTCATATTCCCTGTTTCCTGAAATTCTTATCTTTTCTCCATGTATTAGTCCATTCTCAAATTGCTATAAAGAAATACCCGAGACTGGGTAATTCATAAACAAAAGGGGTTTAATTGACTCACAGTTCCACATGGCTGGGAAGGCTTCAGGAAACTTACAGTCATGGCAGAAAGCGAAGGGGAAGCAAGGCACCTTCTTCACAAGGCAGCAGGAGGGAGAAGCACCAGCAGAGCAAGTGCCAGACACTTGAAAAACTGTGAGATCTCATGAGAACTCACTCTCTATCACAAGAACAGCATGGGGGAAACTGCCCCCATGATCCAATCACTTCCCACGAGTCCCTCCCACAAGACATGGGGATTATGGGAACTACAATTCAAAATGAGATTTGGGTGGGGACACAGCCAAACCATATCATTCCACCCCTGGTCCTTTCCAAATTTCATGTCCTTCTCACATTTCAAGACACAATCATGCCTTTCCAACAGTCCACCAAAGTTTTAACTCATTCCAGCATTAACCCAAAAGTCTAAGTCCAAAGTGTCATCTGAGACAAGGCAAGTCCCTTCTGCCTATGAGCCTGTAAAATCAAAAGCCAGTTAGTTACTTCCTAGATACAATGGGGATACAGGCATTGGGTAAATATACACAAATGAGAGAAACTGGCCAAAACAAAGAGGTTACAGGCCTCATGTGAGTTCAAAATCTAATAGGGCAGTCATTAAATCTTAAAATTACAAAATATTCTCCTTTGACTCAGTCTCACATTCAGGTCACGCTGATGCAACATGTGGGATCCCATGGCCTTGGGCAGCTCCACCCCTGTAGCTTTGCAGGGTACAGCCCCCCTCCTGGCTGCTTTCACTGGCTGGCATTGAGTGTCTGCAGCTTTTCCAGGCACACAGTGCAAGCTGTCAGTGGGTCTACCATTCTGGGGTCTGAAGGATGGTGGCCTTCTTCTCATAGCTCCAGTAGGCAGTGCCCCAGTGGGGACTTTGTGTGAGGGCTCTGACTCCACATTTCCCTTCGTACTGCCCAAGCAGAGGTTCTCCATAAGAGCTCTGCTTCTGCAGCCAAAGCTTCTGCCTGGACATCCAGGCATTTCCATACATTCTCTGAAATTCAGACAGAGGTTTTCAAACCTCAATTCTTGTCTTCTGTGCACCCACAGGCTCAACACCACATGGAAGCTGCAAGACTTGGGGCTTGCACCCTCTGAAGCAATGAACCAAGCTGTACCTTGGCCCTTTTAGTCATGGCTGGAGCTGAAGCAGATGGGACACAGGGTACCATGTCTCGAGGCTGCACAGAGCAGGGGGGGCCTGGGCCGGGTCCACGAAACCATTTTTCCCTCCTAGGCTTTTGGGCCTGTGATGGGGGGTGCTGCTGTGAAGGTCTCTGACATGTCCTGGAGACATTTTCCCCATTGTCTTGGTGATTAACATTCAGCTCCTTGTTACTTATGCAAACTTCTGCTGCTGGCTTGAATTTCTCCCCACAAAAGGATTTTTCTTTTTTACCACAACCTCAGGCTGCAAATTTTCCAAACTTTTATGTTCTGTCACCTCTTGAGCAATTTGGTTCTCAGAAATTTCTTCCACCAGTTATCCTAAATCATCTATCTCAAGTTCAAATTTCCTCCGATCTCTAGGGCAGGGCAAAATGCCACCAGTCTCTTCACTAAAGCAAAGCGTAGCAAGAGTCACCTTTATTCCAGTTCCCAAAAAGTTCCTCATCTCCATTTGAGACATCCTCAGCCTGGACTTCGTTGTCCATATCACGAACAGCATTTTGGTCAAAGCCATTCAACAAGTCTCTAGGAAGTTCCAAACTTTCCCATGTCTTCCTGTCTTCTTCTGAGCCCTCTAAACTGTTCCAACCTTTTCCTGTTACTCAGTTCCAAAGTCACTACTTTCACATTATGGAGTATTCTTTTTTTTTTTTTTGAGATGGAGTCTTGCTCTGTCACCAGGCTGGAGTGCAGCGGCACGATCTCAGCTCACTGCAACTTCCGCCTCCCAGGTTCAAGTGATTCCCCTGCCTCAGCCTCCTGAATAGCTGGGACTACAGGCACATGCCACCATGCCAGACTATTTTTTTGTATTTTAGCAGAGATGGAGTTTCACTATGTTGGCCAGGATGGTCTCAATCTCCGGACCTTATGATCTGTCCACCTTGGCCTCCCAAAGTGCTGGGATTACAGTTGTGAGCCACCTCACCTGGCCATTTTGGGGTATTCTTATAGCAGCACCCCACCCTTGGTGTCAATTTGCTGTATTAGTCTGTTCTCATATTGCTCTAAGAAAATACCGAGACTGGGTAATTTATAAAGGAAAGAGGTTTGACTGACTCATAGTCCCACATGGCTGGGAAGGCCTCAAGAAATTTACAATCATGGCAGAAGGCAAAGGGGAAAGAAGGCATCTTTTTTATAAGGTGGCGGGAGAGAGATGTGCCTGCAGAGGAAATGCGACACTTATAAAACCAGCAGATCTCATGAGAACTCACTCATATCATGAGAACAGTATGGGGGAAATTGCTCCCATGATCGAATCACTTCCCACTGGGTCCCTCCCACAACATGTATGGATTATGGGAACTACAATTCAACATGAGATTTGGGTGAGGACACAGACAAACCATATCATCCCAGAAACATACAGTTCAAAGCATAGATCTAAATGTCAGATTTTCTACTCTAGATTTGTAATAGTTCACACTGACCACTAAAGTTTCCAGTGTTTCGTCTATCTTCTCTTTGTTTGGCAAAGAAATCGATCATCTAATTATATCAGCTTAGTGTAATCATTAATTTAGCACATTACACTGAACTAAGAATACTGCACTAAAAGTGAGAAAAAAAAATAACAAATGTAGACGGGTCTTGATAATCTTGCTCCTGTTTTATTTCTCCAGTTCACAAATTTCCTCACGTGTGTCTTCATAATTATTGAACTCATTCCATTTGATTAAAATCTTCATCTATCTAAACCTACAAACCATTTCTTCTTTCTTATTTTGGCTTTCTGATTACATAGCCTCCAAACTCACAGTCTTCCAGGACCATCTAGAATGAGGCTTGATTACAGCGTTTCTTTGCCTTTAGAGTGATCAGCTCTTTCTAAATCTTGCTTCTTAGTCTTTCTAAGATTCAACTGATTTACCATTTCTTCAGCTGCCATTCTAATTCAAGAATAAGTTTTTGTACACTTGAACAGCAACTACGGACTCTGAGCCACTCTTCTTTCCTCTTTTTCTTACCCCAATTATAAACTCAACTTGGAATATACAGATTTTGTTCATCAATCTCAAGACAGGTTATGCGACCTTCTCTTATAAAACTCTGTGAGAGTTGGTTTAGCCAGTTTCCTACATTTTTCAACAAGGCATACTTATTCCCATCTCTCCAAAACTGATCATGTAGTTCTTCCATAGTTTCTTCCCCTTGCCTCCCCTTCATTGATTGCTCTTCGTAAATTTCAATGCAAACTCCTCTTCTCCTAAGTATTGCCATGACATCTTGGATCACGCTAAATTTTCTCATTATTTCATAGTTTGGGCTACACCTTTACATACTTGCTGCCCATAAACAAAATACTCCATTCATTTCTCCAATTTTAACTTTTTTTTTGCACCAATTAAATTTTAAATTTTCTGAAGGTTTATAACGTATCTTCAATTTCTCTACTTCTATTATCGACAAAGCTTTGTTCTAGTAAGACAGAGTTTGAGGGCTTTTAGTTCATCAAACCTAAGACCCTTTGATACTTGATCTTACCAGAAGGCATCAACAGAATATTTTTATACAACTGTATTATCATTTCTACTTAGATTATAGGTATTGTAAGATGCTATAAAATATAAGCAGCTGTAATTCGGAAAAATGTAAAAAGCTTTATCATAAATATAAAAAATAGTGTTTTCTGAAAATCTGGAGTATCTCAGGCATTGTACTAAGCAAATTTATATTTTATTTAGTTTCTTCAATGTAAATCATAACATGGTAATGATAAATTCATTTTATAAATGCACATATTAAGGTTTGTTGAGGTTAAATAACTTGTCCAAGGTCATAGGCCTAGAAGGTATTAGAATAATCTTAGAATCTAGTCCAATAAGACAGTTATATAACAGAGCTGGAAAACAGAGCTAGCCCTACTTCTATCATAAACGACGACCTATTGGGGTGCCATGTGAAACACTTAAAGTCCACATGTACTCTCATGTTTCTTTCTGTTCCCTATACTGGGAAAACAAAATTTAATTCATTTCCTTTATTGGAGTCTTCTTTAGAGGAGAAATCTGGACCAAGGATAAATTATAAACATTATTAACATGAAGATACATTTAAATTCCTGCAAATGAGTAACTATCTCCAAGGTAAATGTGTATAAAATTAATTAGAGGACTCAAGAATGAGCATGAAGGAATCTAGGCATTTGGAAGCAAAAATAATAAAAATGAAGAAACCAGAGAGGAAGAAAAGAAGCAGCCGCTGAGTTGAGGCAAACCAGGAGAGTGCTGCTGTGAATGTTAAGAGAGGACAGTATTTCAAGAAAGGAGTGGTTGACTTCTGAAGAGTATTCAAAGTTTAAGTAATAATTCAGAGTGCTCTTTGGAAATAGGTTCTTGGACATCCTTGTATTTTGATAAGGGCACTTCCAGTGGAATTATGGGGTGAAAATCACTCTGTTGTGGGTTGAGTTGTGGAAGGTGAAGACACACAAATAACTAATGTAGACAACTCTTTTAGAAGTTTAACTTTGAAGGGACACAGATAAATGAGATTGTAGCTGAGGAAAAGGGATGAATTCTTATTTATGATGGCAGATTACAGACTATGTTTATGTGCTGATGAGAATGGTACAGTAGAAGGGGAGAGAGAAGATAACTAAAAGAGGTAGAGCCCCAGGAACTTTGAGTATCGGAGAAGAATGAGATAAAGAAGGAGTATAGGAATTTGCGTTCGATGCTGGTAGAGGTGAATTATCCTCAGTTGAAATAAGAGGGAAAAAAAAGATAGATTTCAGTATAGGTAGGATTTTAGATTTGGCATAGAAAATGTAAAATATTTCCTATCATACGGCTTCTATTTCCTCAATAAAATTTGAGGTAAGGCCATCCCCTGATACTAATAGTGGAGTAGAGATGAGGACTGTTTGAGGAAAGGGAAGAATATCTAAAATAGTCTTTTTAGTAGTAGGAAAAGTAAGCCTGCTATAGGAACATAAGATTTCAGGGCATTATTGAGTGTCTATTTAATCTTTGAATTTTAAAGTGAAATCAGTCAGCTTGTTATGGTAATTTTCTCCTGCATTCCCGGGCACTTGGCTCCATCCACCTTCAAGCTAGAAATAGGGTATGAAATCTTTCTCATGCTTAGAGTCTCTGATTTGCTCTTCTGCTAGCAACCAGAGCAATTTCTCTGGTTTTAAAGGGTTTATTTAAGTAGGTTAGCTCCATTCAGATAACTTCTCTTTCTCATAGTTAACTGTGCCCTACAACGTAACCCGATTACAGGAGAAACAATTCCTTGTGTTCGCATTCCCAAGGATTAGGGTAGAAAATCTTAGGGACCATTTAGGAATTCCACCTACCTTTCTTGGTAAGCAGCAAGAAAGAGCAACATGACATGTGCCCTTGACACTGAGATGATGAATTGTCCTAGAAAAGGTATGTAGGTGAATCTGGTCTCTTAGGCATCTCATTATCCGTGGGAAGACATGAATCCTTTAACATGAAACACGAGGCCTTTCATGACTGACTCCTTAATACCTGTTCAGCCTCATCTCTCAAATTCCCCTCTCAGTGGCCCTACACACCAATATCCCAGAATGCTTCCATTTCCCCAATCATGCCATGTTCTCTCAGGCCACTTAGTAAAGAAACATATTTTAAAATGCACCTCTGAATTCCTTTCAGCCAATTCCTAGTAAAGAGTGGTAAATGACCATCCCACTGAGAGCTATGAAACTTAATGTCTTAAGATATGTGGACATTATAGGCTTTCAATAATGTAAACACTGGATAAATATGTAATGGAAAAATAATGCTATTAATTTCCAGTTCACAACCAACAACTCAGCTTCTGTTTGTGTAAAATGAAGAGATTGAATTGAAGGCTCTATAATGCTTCTTCAGTCTTTATTATCTAAATTTTACAGCATTGATCACTATGCTAGTTAGTATGAACACATAAAAATTTGAAAGACATAATACATGCCTATAGAACACTAAAATGTAAAGAGTATGATAACAGTCTCATATACAAATGAATTCCAAGGCATTAAGCCTGTCAACAGGTTATATTAATAGCATAAGAATCTTGTAATTACTTAAGTCCGAGAACAAAACAAAGATCTATATTAACATGTAGAAAGAATAGGAGTTTATAAATAAACCAACGTAGATTTGTTTCTGAAAGGAGGGATAAAGAAATACGACCAATTTCAAGAAAGAATAAATAGCAGCATTTTGGTATAGGAAACAATGAGCCAAAGGAGCCCACACTCTTAGCTTGGTGGTAGGGATCAGAGAAGTACACATGAAAGATGATGGCGTCTTTACTTCATTCAGATTTATGAGAAAATTCTTCAAAAGTGAAGCTGGAGGAGAATGTCAAAAAGTTGACATTTTCCAGAGTCAAACTTGAGAATTCGGCAAGATAGTAAATTTGCCAGAGACTCTAAATAGAATGTGTTATTTAGAAAGATACCAAGGTTAACTTGTTGAAATTAAGTGCCATCTGCAGAGAAATGGAACCTAAAGCTGGAAAATGAGAGATCACAGAGATACAAGCCATGTCTATTCATTGTTCAATATGGACAAGTAGATCAGGAAGAAAAGAAGTCAGTTGTTCTGAAGTTTTAAAAGTGTATTGGCCTTTCCTTTGTTTTATTGGATGTTTTCATCAATTAATGAACAGAAATTTGGAGAGGCTAAATAGTGGTTACTGGGAGGGACCTGGAAACTATAAGCACTGGGTAAAATACTTTACCTCTTGAGGACTCAGTTTTTATATCTATGAAAAATCAAAGGAGTTAAAATAGAAAAAACACTTAGGAGAGAGTACCTGGTACCCAACAGCATTGTCTGTTTTTTCCTTTGTATTATTAATTGTGTAGGTATGACATTGTTTGCAAGTCAAACGGAATTTTAGAGGCCCTTTGAGAGTTTTCACACTTGTTTCAGAAACACTTCCTTATTTGAGGCTCTTAGGAATGAGTGAATGAGTACCAGGGAGATTAAGTCCTACCTTACAATCACAGAGCTCTTAAGTGAGGTGCTGGAGCTCTTGTGAGCACAATTTGTCGCCCTATAGTGAATACAACTTGAAGAAGAGCTAAAGGAAGTTAGAGGAAAGTGAGCACAGAATCACAGGGCAGAGACCTAGCAGATTAATAAGTGAAAGAGAAAATTAGCTAATCAGGTAAAAGACTAAACAGAAAGAACATCAATCAACAATATTCTTTAAAATGGTATTGCTGTACTTGAAGATGGTAATGAAATACCCATTAATAGAAAAATCAGAGATATGAAAAAACCCAGAGTTATCTTCCTTCTTCGAATTTTATTTTTGTCTCTAAATTTTATTAAATTGAATTCATTATGTAGGTTTAAAGGAGGCTTAATATTACTCACCTCTAAAAAGATTTATTTATTGCAAAATTTCAGCAATCTTTTATTCCAGGCTCCTCCTGCAAATACGGATTCTCAAGTTAATAAAGAAAATAAAAGAAACAAAGTATCAAGGATAATTTGAGACTACTATTATTGATTTAACTTAGACTACATGCCAAATTATTTACACAACTCAAACAAATTTAAAGTTGGTTGTATGTGGAAAGCATACATTTTTTCATTGCGTATATTCCCAATTTTACTTACTTATCCTATAATATTGCTCTATTGGCAAATCAGATTGGCTATTAGTTTTCTTGGAAATAATAACAGTCCAAGTAAGATATATCAGTTACTGCTACAGTCACTAATCAAATGTTTCTCTGGTCCTAATTAAAAACAAGTTAAGGCAACAAGAATCCATATGTAACAGTCTTGGTGTTGGCATAACTTAGCAAAAGATCACATGAAGAGTTGAATCTTCTAAATATCTGCTGAAATAACATATTGATTCTTTTTTTAAAGTAACTTGGTAAAGAAAAGGAAATTGTTCATGATTATTCAGTCTCTACTGAAAATCACATAAAATAGCCTTCAGTAGGTCAAAACAAATTTTAATTTACGCTATTTGATAAATAGCCTTGTGATAATTTTGAATGATACAATTGACTTGCAGACCTAGGAAGCCAATTCTTTTGAAGAGCAAAGCAAATTATTAAAGACATTTTTATCCTCTCTCTACTAGGATATTGATTCATTTCTGTGTAACAGAAAAAAAAAGAAAATTGTAATTATAGCAGCACTGTTCATTCTATTATAAGTAGAGGACTACCAACATTTCCATTATTAACCCCTATTGTCACTGGTTCATGATCTCAGCAGTAAACTTGGCATAGATGATACCTCCTTGGGAGTACATTTTTTTCATCATGTTTCTTAAGCCATTTGTCTATTTATGAATTATACAATTGCCAGAAATGATGTACATTCAATAGACTTTTGATTTCCAATCACTCTGAATGAAGGTTTATATGTGAAATGAAAGCACTGGCTTCAAAATATTCTACTTTTTTTTGGCATTTTTGGTTTGTCCTTTTTATTTTCTTAATTCCTCAACATGTCTGTTTAAGGCTAAATTTTAATATAAATTAAGGAAACCTGTTCTCAAGCAATTGGCTCACTTCACCCGTGTTAACAATTGGCACAGATTGCTAGGTGGAAAAGTCAGCTGTGATGATTGGTATCAATTGCCAGCTGACTGAAATAATGCTCTTGGCTTTCTAACAATTCACTTAGTCTATCACGTGCCAGCAGAGACCTATTTAACATGCATTTTGAAACTCCTGATTCATAAAAGTGTCAACTAACACAGAATTGTTTCTTAGAGGGAAAGTGTTACATCATAAATGAAATTATACACTCTATCATATATGTATGATGATGTGTATATGTTGTATATATTATTTACAATATGCGTGTATAATGTACAGTTAAAGAAAGCTAAAAGAAATACCCATTTACCCACCACAAGCTTAACAGAATGTGACTAGGACCGTTAAATTCCCTAGACACCTTTCCATTATTGAATCTCCCTTCCTCCTCCAAGAGGTAACCTAATTTTAAATTTGTAGCATAATAAAAAAAATAATTTCCACCCTTTTCTTTGATTTATTCATCTGTAAATAACATATTACTTAGTTGTCTTATTTTGGATGTTTAAATAACTAGAATTATGCTGAGTTTATTACTTAATCATTAAAAAATTAATTCAGTTAAATGTTTTGAGGATTCATCCAGATTATTACAAGCAGTTGTAGCTTATTTCCATTGCTATATAGCATTCCATGGTTCGACCCCTCAATCATTTTTTCAACCCATCATAAATTATCCAATCTACGGTTGATGGACTCCGAGTTGCATCTAGTTTTTGCTACACACAGCAATTTCATGCGTATATTCCCTGAGCTGTATTAGGAGTTAAAATTATTTAAAATAATTGTATAAATATCAAATTATACTATTTCAGCATTAGAGATTTAGACATAATTTTTATCCAAAGCCTAATTAACTTCTGAATTCTAAAGCCTAACAGACTTTGCAATACAAACTGAGATACTAATTTCTTACTATAAAGGTATTTTGAAGAACTCAGGATTGATACCTCCAGCACATGTTATATGTGCACATAGCGTTTCTCCAATTTGAATATGCTGTCTGTGAGTCTACAGAAGTATTGCCCAATAGATTCTCTTGGAAAAATCAGTTGTTCTCTTTATGCTTATATATTGTTCCTAGAAACAATATTACTATGGAAATGATTATTTGTGCCCACTCCCATTAAGGGTTTTGTTTCAATATTTAATCTTCCCCTTCTACTGCTCCTGCTTTCTCCTCCTTTAAGCCCTTGCTAGTGTTGATCCTCTTGCCTGAACAATCCTCCTTGTGGTCAGTTCATCATTAAATCTGAATCAGTCTCCATCTCCCTTTCCAGCCCTGTTTTGAATCTCTCTCCTACACAAGCTAAATATTTTTAAAAAAATTTCAACTTTCAGGCCGGGCGCAGAGGCTCATGCCTGTAATCCCAGCACTTTGGGAGGCCAAGGCGGGCGGATCACAAGGTCAGCAGATTGAGCCCATACTGGCCCACATGTTGAAAGCCTGTCTCTACCAAAACTACAAAAAAGAGCTAGGTGTGGTGGCATGTGCCTGTAATCCCAGGTACTCGGGAGGCTGAGGCAAGAGTATCGCTTGAACCAGGGAGTCAGAGGTTGCAGTGAGCTGAGATCACACCACTGCACTCCAGACTGGCGACAGAGCAAGACTCTGTCTCAAATAAAAAAAAAAAAAAATCAACTTTCATTTTAGATACAGGGGGTACATGTACAGGTTTGTTACATGGGAATATTGTGTGATGCTGAGGCTTGGGGTATGGATCCCATAACCCAGGTAGTGAGCATAGTACCCAACAGGCAGTTTTTCAACCCATGCACCTCTCCCTCCCTGCCTCTAGCAGTCTACAGTGTTTATTATTCTCATATTTATGTCCATGTCTGCTCAGTGTTTAGCTTCCACTACTAAGTAAGAACATGCAGTATTTCATTTTCTGTTCCTGCATTAATTTGCTTAGGATTATGGCATTCAATTGCATCCATGTTGCTGCAAAGAACGTGATTTCATTCTTCTTTGTGGCTGCATAGTATTCCATGGTGTATATGTACCACATTTTCTTTATTCAATCTACCATTGATGAGCACCTGGGTTTATTTCATGTCTTTGCTATTGTGTTAGCGCAGTGATGAAGATACAAGGGCAGGTATCTTTTTGGTAGAATGATTCATTTTCCTTTGGCAGATACCCAGTAATGGGATTACTGGGTCGAATGGTAACTCTGTTTTAAGTTCTTTGAGGAATCTCCAGACTGCTTTCCACAGTGGCTGAACTAATTTAGATTCTCACCAACAGTGTATAAGTGTTCCCTTGTTCCCTTTTCTCTTCAGGCTCACCAGCATCTGTTGTTTTTTAACTTTTTAATAAAAATCATTCTGACTAGTATGAGATGGTGTCCACCTCAATGTGGTTTTGATTTGCATTTCTCTGATGATTAATGATACCGAACATTTTTTTTCATATGTTTGTTGGCCACTTGTATATCTTGTTTTGAGAAGATTCTGTTCATGAACTTTGCCTATTTTTAATGGGGTTGTTTGATTTTCCCTTGTTTTCCCTTGTTGATTTGTTTAAGTTCCCTGCAGATTGCGGATATTAGGCCTATGTTGGATACATAGTATGCAAATTTCTTCTCCCATTCTGTAGGTTGTCTGTTTACTCTGTTGATAGTTTCTTTGCTGTGCAGAAGCTCTTTAGTTTAATTAGGTCCCACCTGTCTATTTTTGTTTTTGTTGCAGTTGCTTTTGGGGACTTAGCCAAAAATTTGTTGCCAAGGCCAGTGTCAAGAAGAGTATTTCCTGGGTTGTCTTCTAGGATTTTTATAGTTTGAGGTCTTACATTTAAAGCTTTAATCCATTTTGAGCTAATTTTAACCAAAATAGCGTGGTATTGGTACAAAAACAGACACATAGACCAGTGGGACAGAATAGAAAACTCAGAAATAAAGCCACACAGCTACAGTCATCTGATCTTTGATAAGACCAACAAAAAACAGCAATGGGGAAAGCACTCCGTATTCAATAAATGATGCTGGGTTAACTGGCTAGCCATAAATACCTTTTGCATTTTGTTAAAGGTATTGCCTTGTATACAATGCTGTTCTCTAAATGATTCTACCTTTCAAGTAATCCCTTTGATATTTATTATCTTATTTGTAAAACACTTTCTTTTTAATTTTTGAATAAATGAGGGGGTTATCAATGGCTTGGCACCATAGCTTTTATTTCTCTTGTATTTGCTGCATGACTTTAGTATGCACTAAGTTATTTTGTCTCTGGGTTTTAGGATTTTTAAATGCTTTCCTTCTTGTTCTGCCCCCCTTGCACAATAGCCCCATATTTCAGAATTTTCTTGATGCCCAGATATAGACCCTTAGAATTTCATTCATTCATTTAACAAATATGCCTTGCATACCATACAATATGGGCCAAGCAATGTGGTAAGCACTGAGTAGACAGAGCAAAGAAATACGGTCCTCGCTCTCAAGCAGTTCACAGTAGGAGTAAAATATTTTAAATACATATTAAATACTACGATATAATATGTAAACAGATTGACAGAGATAAACAGTGGGCATTATGAGAGCTATAAAATTGTCACACATTTAATAGCACAGGGAAGATGGGGAGATCAGATTATCAGGCAGGTGAAGGGGTAGGGTCAACATCCTTCACAATGGACACAGCAGTAAGTGGTGAATATTAAACTATTAGCTTGACGTGGTATTTTCACCAGTGACAGAAAAACAAGAGATGACGTTATGAGGCTGGAGGTAGAGACAGAGGCAAGATCATGGAGGGCTGGTATGCATTGTTCAGAAGCTAAGGCTTTTTTTTTTTTTTTTTTTTGAGACGGAGTCTCGCTCTGTCGCCCGGGCTGGACAGGCTGGAGTTCAGTGGCGCGATCTCGGCTCACTGCAAGCTCCGCTTCCCGGCTTCACGCCATTCTCCTGCCTCAGCCTCCCGATCAGCTGGGACTATAGGCGCCTGCCATCATGCCCGGCTAATTTTTTTTGTATCTTTAGTAGAGACGGGGTTTCACCGTGTTAGCCAGGATGGTCTCGATTTCCTGACCTCGTGATCCGCCCGCCTCGGCCTCCCGGAAGCTAAGGCTTTTCTTTAAGGTGAGGGGAAGCTTTGAAGAATTTAAGGAGAGAATTGAAAAGATCTGACAATGATATTAGATAGATTCTTTAAACACTAATGGGGTCAGATATGATGAAGTAGAAGACCGTTGCAATAGTCTTAGAGATGATGAGAAACTCTGAATCAAGGGGTAGAAAGAATGAGATGTAGAAATTCCATAACCTGGTCTATATCTTGTTCATTTTTCTTCCTAGTATCTTTCTCTACCTAGCATCTGGCATATCTATTTGTTTATTTTAACTGCTCTGACTGGAAGGCAAACTCTATGAGAAATAAAGACATTGCCTATTTTGATCACTATCCCAAATCCACCACCTGAACAGCACCTGACACGAACAGCACTCAATAAATACTTGTAGGTCCAATGAATGATTTATGTGAGAGGTAAGAACTAGACATGACAGGGATGACATCTAGGTTTCTAACCTGAAGGTCTCCTGAGTGGACAACGATGCCTCCAACTGAGAGATTATAAAAAATAAAACACAGTCAGGAAGAAAGATGGTAAATCGATATTTTGTAAGCTGTGTTTGGTGAATAATTTTCTAATCTGATAAGGTGAATTGAATTGAAATGTTACTATCATATGATAATATTTGATTGGGATTTAAATGTCTTACCTCAAAAAAGGTAGTAATTATTTTCCTGTTTTTAATTTTAAACACACAGGGACAATTACCAAGAAATAATTTTGAGAGAACCTGTAATCATTTCTACTGACAGTGTAGTTTCTCCTCCACAAATAAGTCATTCATTTCTTCATTCACTCATTTATCATTTTTTTGCTGTTGTTGTTGCTGCTTTTTATGAATATGGCTCAATGAAAAAGAAAGTATTCTGATTCTTATCTTCATTGGGAACTACATGATGCTATATGCCAGGGTCAACTGCCAAGGTCAGGCTGCTCAAGGGATCTTTCTGACCTTCAGGATTCTAAGAACATTTGATTGATGAGTATCAACTTGCTAACTCCATGTACAAATAAAATTACATGAAAGAAAGTTATTAATAAAATAGCAAATAAAAATTTAAAAACATTTTAATTATTGTTTAAATTTTTTCCTCTCAATGTGTTATCTCACAATTTAACTTGAGAACTGTGATGCATGACGAATGCTTTAATCTACTCTCACATGATTCTTAAAGGACAAGGCCGAAAGATTGTGTGAATCCATCTTTTCCAGAATTTGAGTAAAACAGATGCATTTAAGAGTAGAACTGAGGAAGCAAGTTGTATTAGTATGTTACTAAAAGTTATACCAATATTTACCTAAAAATTATCAAGTTGATTGAATAGACCCTGAAAATGTTACATTTTAAAGTCTTCATAATTATTAAAATGGAATGATGTATCGAGAATGTCCAACAATTGGTTTATTTCCAAAATGAAAACAAGTTTTGAACTGAGTAATTTAAACCACTGATAGGGAGAAAATGGTGGCACAACTGTGGCTTCTATTTGGCACACATAGCCCTGCCTCATTTGGGATTCCTGGATTGTGAGCTGCTTGTCTTGTATTTGGCATTTTAGAGTGCAACTGGGACTTTGCATAAATATTTGCAGAATGGCAAGCTTCAAAAGAATAAAATTTATGTCACATATAGAAATTTAGTTTGAAAGGCATTGCTTCTACTCTGAAATAATATAGACTTGACAACCAAATACCTTAGGATATATGCCCTTACAGCATTAATATACCTTATTAATTAAGAGTGATTTTATCTAAGTTTGTCATCTGGGCTATAGTCATTTAAAAACAACACCCTGAACTGAACTGTTTTGCTACTGTATTGGCTCTCTTACTCCCCTTTTCAAAGTCTTAATGAAAACTTCAGTGTAGGCAAAACGTAAGTATTTTTTCATTGATTTTTAAGTTTCACTTTTTATTACCCCTTAAAGTTATTTTAGTTCAAAATAAAGATGAAGATGAGCTCAAGGTATGGCCTCCTTTCTTTTCTAACACTTCATCAAAATGGTAGCAGCGAATTCAAAAGAAAGCATATTCAGAAAAAAAATAGATGAAATGGGGGTAGGAGTCCTTATTAGAGAGGAGAGGCATAGGTAATTTTCTTCTGGAAGAATCAAATGAATGAGAATGACTTGCTGAATAAAAGAAGTTGGAGAAATCTGAAGTCCAGAATACACAGAAGATAAGTCTTGCCACATGTGTGGGAATATATCTTTCCAACAGAATCCCTGAGAAGACCTACAGTTTCTCTTGGCAAATAGGGAGATCAGGAATGAGTGGAGGAGCGGAAAGCAGAGTGATTCACTGAAGGACTGTTTCCAGAGCAGCTGCTCTGGTCATCTCTCTATCCTTTCTCTCACCCTCTTTACCCAAACCAACTGGCTGTCTTCTGTTTACCCTGAGGCAGGACATGGACAACTGTTCTCTACAGAAAATGAACCATCTGTCTCAGAAAAGCTAGGACTGCTGGTGAGGGTACTGGAGCCCCAGAGAGAAAACCTCTTTATTTTAGCAAAAGAAGGGCTTTCTCCATATCCACACTAACTAAAGGTAAGTTTATTAAGTGACATTTTCTATTCACATACACAGAACCCCCAGGCAACCAACCCCTTCAATGGAGAGAACTTGTAGGATCATAGAGATGCTTATGTATTAGAAAAGGGAACTTGTACTAGATACCTTTACTAATTAGTCTATGTCTTTATTCTATATAATCACAGATAGTCAGTAATCACTAGACAAATATTCATAACACGTAAGAGAACTAAGATGAATGAAATTTGATGACATTTAACATTATGAAAAAGAAAATCCAAAATGAATAAATAAGGCCACTAACTCCAAAGGTTACAAATAATTCAGGAAAGACATTTGAAAATTCTAACTAATATCCACAGAGAGATCCTAGAATATATTACAACCACAAAACAAGAAGAGAATGTTATTAAACAAAACACTATCCAAAACAATATAAGATCTTGGGAAATAAAAACAAGATTGACAATATAAGAAGGTCAATAAAGAGTCTGAAAGAAAACGTTGAGGAAATTTTTTAGAACTTAACAGCTAAACAGGTGAAGAAAATGAGAAAAAAATATAACAGAGAAGTTGAGTACATTCATATAAAAAATATTAAGCTAATAAGAATTTCAGGGAAAAGTAAAGAAAATGAAAGGGTAACAATTATGAAAGTAATGAAAGATTTTGCATCAAGCAAATTTCATAGACCCTCTGAACCTTAGTTTTGTTCTCTGTAAAATGAGAATAACATTCCTTTTCATACAGTTTTATTGTTGAGTGTTGAATGTAATAATGTAGATAATATCAATTACAGGGCCTGCTTAATAAATGCTAGTTATGAATAAAATTTGTCTAGGTCTCATTTTTTTCATCTGTAAAAATGGAGACATTAATACCTCACAGTGTTGCTGTGAGAATTAAATGATATCTCTATCTATCTCTCCATTGTTATAACATATACCTGTTATAAAACCAATTGTTAGGAAATAAGATTTCTCTTTCTTTTAGTCCTACTCATGTTCAAGGTTTTAGGTTTTCTACCACTTCTTCCTAGTAAGATATTTGAATTTTGATGCACGGTGCAAAAGCAAACACGTCTTTAATGATAGAATGAATCTCATTTGTTTCACTAAGCAACTATATAATCTTAAGGATGTAACATACACTCTGTCTTAAGTATCTTAGCTATTATTAAACTGGCATAAAAATACCTGCCTTATTTAGACAACAGTATTCTGCATATCAAGTCAGCTTCATCTATAAGTGAATCATACATTTAGGCAAGAGAGTAGTCTACCCTTGAGAGTGAAGCAAGATAGAGTGAAGTTGCTGTTGACCATGCAGAACTTAAAGCAAAAACACCACAAGGTGGATAAGGATGAAGCGAATGGAGAATTGAAGAATTGAGAAATGACATGGGCTAATTCCGAGCATCCATCAACCAAAGTATTATGAAACAAATTACTTAGCAGTGGGCATCACTGCTCAAGAAATGAAATGAGCAGCATGAAGCAACTCCAGCTGGGAAGTGTTCCCTGGTCTGCTGACCTCAGAGACGACTGCTGCATGTGTTTTGAGCACAACTTGAACAAACCAACGGTAGTTGTACAATCCTCCCAGCCATTGATCTCGAAATGTTTATGATACTTGTCACCCTGTACCTTGTTTTAGAGTTATGAATAGATGATTCCTTTCTAATATTTGTGCTTAAAAATGCCTACAAGATTATAAGCTCTTAAAAGACAAAATCTGCGTCTAATTTATTTTTACATTCCTTTCTGTCATTAGCATAGTATCTCTAAGCAGTACGTGGTTGAAGGTAATTGAATAAAATTATGAGTAGAAGGGAAAGCAAAATGAAACAAAAAAGGTTAATAAAAACATATGTGTTAAAAGAAAGAGGAAAGATGACTAAAACTTAGGACTGCTAATGTTAAACTCTAAAAAGCATTGGGAATGGCTCTTATTGAAAGATTTAAAAGAATATCAATAGGTATAATAGACTAGAATGGTAAAACAAGTGGAAAATAAATGCTGTTTGGTAGACTATGTTCAAGACTAGAGGTGCAGGGATGTCAATTATATATCAATAAAGAAAGGATTTTGATTGGCCAGCCAAGATTTTTCCCCATGAGATCACTGAAATATATAAAGATCATGTACTAATATGACCAGTATCTTTTTACTCAATGAGGGGTTGAGAAAGGAAATTTATATGCAAGAAGGAGAAAGGCACATTGGCTCTTTATGCAGATTTTTCTTATATGTGTGTTCAACAGACATGACAACCTTAAAATAAGTCACTTAATATTTTTGGGGGGAAAGAATAATTATCATCAAAGGCTAATGATTTGTGGGCTAAGTTTAGGCACAGTTTCTGTGGATGACATACTTGATAAGGAAGAACTCTAAATTTGGAAAATATGGCAGGTATTATTAGAAGAACCAAGGCATTAATTGGACAAAACAAAAAATAAAAATGTATAAATGTGAGATACTATTGATGATAGAGAAGAGATGGATGACCCAGTGAGAAATGGCAAATATTTAGAAAGGAAGACAATGTAGCAATAATCCAGGAATGAAAAATAAGCAAAGTAGAATCAAAGGCAAACCTGTGGGAAATTTGTAAGTCAATATTAGAGGACAAAGCAAGATTGGTCAAGCAGATTTTGTGCTAGTTTTTTCCTTAACGATGATGTATGGCTTCCACACATTTTGAAGACTAGTGAAAAAAAATTCTATTTGAAAAGAAAAGATTTCTGAAAATTAAAAGACAATGAAAAATAGAAATAAAATGGAAAGGTATGGTGAAGAAGATAAAACAGAGGCCAAAGCTTGACAGCCAATGAAAGAAAATAGTAAAAAAAAAAAAAAAAAAAAAAAAAAAAAAAATCAATTGGCAATAGAAAATAGAATTAGGACACCATTTTCCTATTTAACAAACTTCTAGTTGAAACCAACTAAAGTTTTAAGTCAGAAGAGCCTGCACTGCAGGCGTGAAGATATGGTTGAGAATGGACACATGAGCAAAGAGCTAAATGTGCCGGAACAACAAAGCTATGGTCTCTTTATGAAAAAGGAAGGAGAAGAAAGAAAGAAAGAAAGAAAGAAAGAAAGAAAGAAAGAAAGAAAGAAAGAAAGAAAGAAAGAAAGAAAGAAAGAAAGAAAGAAAGAAAGAAAGAAAGAAAGAAAGAAGGAAGGAAGGAAGGAAGGAAGGAAGGAAGGAAGGAAGGAAGGAAGGAAGGAAGGAAAGAAAGAAAGAAAGAAAGGGAATTTTAAGACAGAGAAATCAGAGAGGTTTCTAAATACATGAGGTTTTCAGAGAATGAATTGGGTATATGGATAAAAATACGATAAAACGAGACCAAAACAAAAATTAAGAACAAGGGCATTTTGAACTGTGGCGTGTTTAAGCAGTGTTGCTGGTTTTGTTTAATGACTATTGTTGGTTGGATAGAATTCAAGCCAGAAAGGCCAGAATTCAGCAGGTGTACGAAGACTTTTGGGCATGTATATTGCATTCTAATGGGGAGGGGGTGAAAAGGGGAAATATCTGAATACATTAATTCTTCAATTTTAAAAGCAGGAGTAATATTTAAAGGGCAAGTATTTCATACATACTTATTTGTATATGAAGATGTATGTATATGTGCATACATAGGTGTGTTATATATAATATGGATGTATATATAATACATCTATATTAATATATAAAGATATAGATGTTGATCTTTAATTTTTGAGTATGGGGCACTGATATAGGTGGTAATTAAACAATCTATAGACACAAGCTTGGAAACAGAAATTCTCCAGATAAAATACAGCACAAATCTTGCTTTTTCCTTTGTGACTACCAAGAAATGTGTATAGCTTGTTGTGATTTTCATATTTTTGTTTGTTAAAATCTTTGCCCACAATACTTCTTAGCAGTCACATTGCCAGATATGGTTCTCTCTCCAGATTAAGATAAATGGACATAGGCTTTAATAAACACTTAGTTTTAGAGTCAAAACTAATTGTTCATATGCATAGATTTTTAACAAGTCTTTCATTACAAAACTATATTTCCTTTCTTCCTTTCTAACTTGGGAAATAATATGGCAAGTAAAGCTTTCAGGGGGGCCAAGAATTTATTGCTATCTCAGCAAAACAGCCGGTCACTAAATCAGTAACAAAAGACAATAGTGTCAGAGTCAAATCAGTCCATAACCTTCTGACTAGATCCCTTAAGGCAATCCAACAACCCCATGGTACATTCAACACTGCAAGCAAGTACAAAGCTAGCCCTGGATCCATTCAAAGGACAAGTCACGGGCCCTGATGCTCTTGCTGGAAGCATGACCTGTATTTCAATTTCTGACAACCTTGTAAAGCGGCTGCCAAGTGTGACTGCTGATATGAGACAGATTGCTCAAGGACACAGAAGCTGAACAGGAATAAAGGGAACTGTGCCAATGAGAATCAGAAAGAGAACTGACTGCTCAAGGTGCAGATCCATGTGAGCATCTTTAGTAGACATAGACATGCTGTTGGGTGGAGAAGAGTAAATGCATATTCAAATCAGAAGCATTCACTAACAAGATGTCTTTGGTCCTGTGTAATTTGTCTTCTTCATTAAGGCTTTGAAAGCTCTGCTGGGACAGGTAACATATTAAATCATTATCAATTTTTAACAACTTACTATTAAAAAAAAAGCTTAGAAAAGAATTTCCCAGGATCTAACGGAATGCAGTGAGAGTTAAGCATGAAGAAGAAGGAAGAGGAAGTCAAGGAGATTGCCAAAGAGAGAAAACAACCATAAAAGGGTGGTGAAGAGAGATTCCTCCAAATGCACAATTTTGCTTACACTGGGCTCTTTCTATTGCCACATTTAAGACTTTGTGTATTTACATGCCCAAAAAAGTAGAAGGAGCCTGCTAATAGTCATCTCTATTATTTTTCTGCAGAAATGAGATATTTGAAGATTTCTGCCCTCTCTTTCTTCTCTGTCCTTATCCCCCACTTTAGAGTCTGCTTGGGCTCTCTACATAGAGATAATTTGAAGAGTAAGATATTTGTAGGCAGTGACCGTGTTAAAGGTTTTTTTCTATATCTCAAGTGGTAGGGGTTAGGACAATGTTAAGGAGCCTACAGAGGCTTAAAAAAATACTTGTCTGACACATTGATTGACTGATGAGCTTATTTCAATCCTTTAAGTCTGAGGGAACAACTTTCTCAGGGTCAAAAGACCACAGCCTAGTTCTGGCTTTTCACTAACTAGTTTGGGTGGCCTGAGGCTAACCACTTAACCTAGAAAACTAACACTTTTTCACAAAGATAGAATACAGTGTCTTCTGGACTTTTGCCTTACAAATTACTACTACTTGGACTTGGTTTAAAGATGTAGTAAGATAATTTATGTAAAGAATACTTAAAGAAAGAATAATCATAATATGTTAGGCAGTACCATCACAAATGTAGCAAATAAAAAAGCTATCAGTATAAACACCGCACTGAGGTATGCCCATTTGCCCTTTTAACAAACTATTTGTACATCTCATGCCTTAATACAAAAACTTAGTAGTCAAGATACTCAGAATAATCCTCCTAAGGAGAAAAAAATTGCACATATTATCAAACTTTGAGTGGTTAAGAGTAAAGAATGAGACACTTTCTTCTCCAGTATCTAGAGAATGTTGTAGCTAGCATAGCATTTGATTATTTTCTCCATCTTTTAGATGGTAAAGGGTCAAGGACATGAAAACATGGAAAAGGCTAATTATAACACAGATTTATGAATCTTATTGATTACAACAAATATCCATTTCTCATCTACACAACCTGCGTAGGTTCCCATTGGTGACAGGAAACTGGCATAGCACTAGTCCTTGCGGTTATGAAGTGTATCATACATAGGATGGTAGTTAAAATCTCCTTCTTCACCAAGAGCAGAACGAGTAAACAATAATTTAAGTGAATATATCTGCCAGAGTTCTTGGGATAAAGTAATAGAAACTATCTCTGGATGATTTAAACAGTACGGGAATGTCTTGAAAAAGTACTGGGTTACTAGGGAGGGTGTGGTAGTAGGAAAAATAGAGGACTAGAAATTGGAAGGGACAAGGAAGCTATGGTCAGCCAGATGAAGAGACAAACCGTGCTACAAAACTTGTACTATAGGCAGGGCTTGGTGGCGTATGCCTGTAATCCCAGCACTTTGGGAAGCCGAGGCGGGTGGATCACAAGGTCAGGAGTTTGTGACCAGCCTGGCCAGTATGGTGAAACCCCGTCTCTACTAAGAATACAAAAAGTAGCCGGGCATGGTGGTGCACCCCTGTAGTCCCAGCTACTCGGGAGGCTGAGGCAGAAGAATCGCTTGAACCCAGGAGGTGGAGGTTGCAGTGAGCCGAGATTGCGCCACTGCACTCCAGCCTGGGCGACAGAGGGAGACTCATTCTCAAAACAAACAAACAAACAAAAAAACTTGTACCATAAAGACACAACTGTCATTGCTGCTGGTCACAGAATGCACAGTGTTCCCTGCCACCATCACTGGCTCCAGACAGTGACCACCACTCCTAGAGAGGCTTCCACAGCAGTCACTGTTGTCACTCTCTCCAGAATGAATTCTCTACTATTCCTGCTTCTTCACGTCATGAATCCTTGACTCAAAATCTTGGGCTGGGGCATCTTATCGTCTGGGTCCACATCACATGCCTGAACCGTAGTTGCCAAAGAAGCTGGAATAATGAGGAAGGAAACTTTTAGCTTATATAGTGGGATGTGAGCAAATAGCTCTGACCTAAGATAGAAAAGATAAGGGCATTAGGGAAGCACAAAGAATGGAAGAAATCCAGAGGAGAAAGAGTTCATGTCAAAACCAGGATCTAGGTAGACTTTTTAGAAGACCTGTTCTTTGGGCTAGATGGGATGAATTTTCACAGGTAGAGGAGAGGGGAGACGGCATCTCAGTACTGTGGAGAGTGAAGCAGAGGCATGGAACTACAGAGGAGAGGACATGTATTGGATTTTGTGCTTCTATCCTATGCAACTATTTTCTGTTATTTATCTCTGTCACTTTTGAGAAATGTGGGAAATTCATCCTTAGAAAATGAATCTTGAGATGTCCAGGGCCTTCTGGTGCCAATCTGTTTCAAGCACTATTTATCACATCTCTTAGACATTGCTTATTCTGATATTGAAGAAAGGAGTCACTTTGGTTAATGTGTCTGAATCCCTGATCGTGGGCCCATTCATTCAAAGATGAAGTATGGGCACCTTTCACATATAGATATCCTACTGTAAATCACTTGGTATGATAATGCATTTAGCTATATAACACATCATTTGGTATTGTTATTAAATCTTTCCTGTTTGAATACTTTGACTCTCTCATTAGATTGAGAATTCTTTAAGGGCAGGTTTACAAGTTATACAGATTTTTAAATTTGCCAGTGCCACCTTGCCCTCCCATCCCTGTCAATCCAATTTCTGAGAAATTGTACAGCAGTAAAATTCTCCCTTGGGTATGGAATTGAGTTTACCTACCAACTTTTGTTTGCCTGTGTGCCAGTAGGACCAGGAAGAGGCTGTGAAGTCATGGGAATATTATTTAATTTTACTGTGCCTCAGTTTTACCATCTATAATATGGGTAAAATAATAGTATCTACCACAGAGAGCAATTGTGAAAGTCAAATGACATAGTAACAAATTAGTTCTGTGCCTACAGTATAGCAAACACTCAATAAATGTGTTTATTATTATTATTGACTTCATAGTATGTAGCAGAATGGCTGTTACCATTAGCAGTTTTCCCATCCATCCCTAGAATTGTGGGGTTGGCTTTAAAGAAGAGGCATTGTTGTCCACACCACCTCCACGATCTTCCCATATTAATTGTAGGTCTCTGTCTTCTTACACTGCACTTGTAAACTCTGCTTGCAAAGGTATGTCTGACATATGCCATGGCTATAGTAATATCTTGTGCCTTCAGCTAAGATATGTTGAATAAGTGTGTTATCAAAGAGAGGACAGTGCTTGTTCCTTGGAATTTAAAAGACTCCCTTTGTAGTTGTACATTAATAAACATGTAAACCTATGTTGGTTTTCAAGTTTGCCTGCCGGTAAAACTGAAACAGGTAATGCTGCTCTTGCAATTCTGCCCCTCTCTCCCAGATGCTCTTTTATATCTTAGAGTTGAAAGCCTTTGCTCTTTTTTCCCTGTTAGAATGTCAATTCTTCATAGTTCCAGTTTACCAGATATTGGGAGCAGTGGTAGCAGCGCAGATTTGCACTCTATAAAGAGGTAATTTAAACCATAAAGTTTTCAGGAGATTTTCCTCTCTTGGTAGAAATTGGGCATTGAGATGGGTACTGAAGATAAGGGTAGTGAGTGAGATTAGCATAAATATTCTATGTATATCTTTAGGACATGAATTCTATGCACCTTTGCATCAGTTAGGATATTTTCATCTGCAAAGCCTACGCTAACTAGAACAGTTGTAACAAGAAGAAAATGCACTCTGCCATGTGAACAGTAACCCAGAGGTTGGGTGATGACTGAGCCAGCTACTTCAATCTGTCATTCAGGAGCAGAATGCTTCCATTCCCCATCTCTGACATCTTGGTTTTGTCTTTATCCTGAGGGAGACAGCAAGAGCAGTGGCAGGAATCTCATACAGTGGTGATGTCCTGAGGAAGAAGAAAGGCATCTTGTGCTTCTCTTTTCCTAAATCGAGGAAACTTCCCACACACTCCTCTGCAGTATCTCTCTCTGTCTCATCAACCAAAATGTGTTCACATTCTCGTTTCTCAGCCACTGTTAGCAAACAATAAGATAATCCTAAAACTCATTAGACCTGCCTCAGCACTGGGGGTAGAGTCAGATTTCCCTGAGACACATGGTTTTGGAGAAGAATAAGTGCTTCAAAAAAATCAAAATTCTCTTTAGGAAAAAAAGAAAGTAGAGGGTAGTCTGTAGACAACCAAGTATTTTCTACATACTTTTATAATAATCTTATTTTTTATCAACAAACAGTAATTATATCTCAAAATGAAATAAGTACCTGGAAAAAAATCTTGGGTAAAGCATTTTTCAATAGTGAGAAGCAAAGCTTTTAAAATAGCATGGGGGCCGGGTGCAGTGGCTCACACCTGTAATCCTAATACTTTGGGAGGCTGAGGCGGGCAGATCACAAGGTCAGGAGTTCGAGACCAGCCTGACATGGTGAAACGTCGTCTCTACGAAAAATACAACATTAGCCAGGCATGGTGGCATGGGCCTGTAATCCCAACTACTCAGGAGGCTGAGGCAGGAGAATCGCTTGAACCTGAGAGGCGGAGGTTGCAGGGAGCCGAGATGGTGCCATTGCACTCCAGCCTGGACTACAGAGCGAGACTCCGTCTCGAAAAAAAAAAATAATAATAATAGCAAAATAAAATAGCATGGGGATGAAGATTGTTGAGGAGTGGTATGAACATTTATCTAGACTAGAAAAGTGGCTCAAATCAGAGAAGAAAAATGAGGAATCAAATAAGCACGTGGCCAATTCTTCCTGCTGAGTCAGGCTTAACATGTAGCCACTGCTGTCTTTTCACTTGAACTTTACTCTCAGCTGTGGAATGTCCTGTAAAAGGCTGTGGGGTTTTATTTAGCTAAGATTCATGGCAGTAGACAAAGTAGCACATTTCTATAAGCTTTTGGATAAGGTTTCAGTTTCACTGACTGAAGAGTAAGGTGTTACGGTTCTGCAATCAGGTTGTCCCTTATGTTTTAGTTTCTGAAAACAGTTTGTCATTGAGAAATTCTAACCTTTTAAACTAAAAAATTACACCAGACATAAACTAAGTTAATTTTTTTTCCTGCAGCAAGTCATGTGTTTTTCACCTAGACAAAATAAGCACTATAGGCAGGTGTCTGAAAGAAAAAGGAAATCCAAATGAATTACATTTTTAAACAGTCTTAATCCTATTTGGTCAGGAGTAAAGTTTCCTAAAAACTAAAGCTCTGGCTCCTGGTGCCTGTCATCAAATTACCACTGAATATTCTACCACACCTTGACTTACCCTGTAAGTAGAATCCAAGAAAGATTAAGACTTTGTGGAGATAATAGGTAGGAACTTAAATAGAGAAATAAAAAATACTGGTATGGGTGTACTTTGTTCTAGTGAATGTTTTCTTAGAAACTGAAGAAAAACCAAAAGCCAGAGAAGTTCACAGGGAAGGATTCAGTAGATCCTTGGGAAATATGGCCCAAAAATTTAGTCAAAATTTAGCTTGGTTGACAAAAAGAAAACGGAGGACACATTAATTGGAAGAGTACAACTGCACTCAGCAGAAACAGCAAAAGAGGCTGAGTTCTGCAAAAGACTTAGGGAGAGAAGGAATTATAAGAAATATAGAATTCAGACTGTTTTTACAGATATGCTTCATTCAAGTTTTTCCTCTTTCTCAGGCTTAATGCCTCTAAGAGAACAATTCAAATGAGCAAACCCTGTTGATGCCTATGCTATGTGATGCAAGACCAAGAATGACTTAAGGAGAAACATATACTTAGTGTTAACACAAGGCAGAATGTTTTATAAAAAAAGGTTAGAATATTTTTAAATGTGGAAACTTTAAACACTTTGAGGAGGAGATAATGTATGAACTGAACTTTGAGAATAGGTAAGTCTTTGACAGTTGACTATGTGAATATAAAGCACTGTTGAGTAAGAGCACTAGAGCATTGGAAGCAAGTATTGCAGAAGTAGCAAGCATCCTATTGTGGCTATGCATTCAGGCATTAGAGAGAGGGGAGGACATTCACATAAAAACATTACAGGTAATAAAGTAGGATGAGATTAGATGACAAAGAGCTGTGCAAACTTGAACTTGGTTCTTTGTCCCGTGAGCAGTTATTGAAGGTTTTAAAGCAGGACAATAATACAATCAGAAAAGAACATAATTTTGATGTCAGTGTGGAAGACAGAGAGGACCAACCATGAGGAGACTGTTGAAATACTCAGAGTTGCTGGTAAGGAGAACACGAACAAAAACTGCGTTGGTAGAAATTGGGGTGGATAAACAGAAGTAAAAGATACAAAAGAGGTAATATAAGTAGAATTTTTTGACTCAACTGATAGGAGCATAAGGAAGAGAGAAGAGCTGATGATGACCCTGATATTTGGAGCCTGAGCAAAAGGGAATGCATTGTTTCTGGCTTAAGGTGGTTGATTCAGTTTGGGATGTATTGAATTATGCGGCATGTGCTTAGACATTTGGGTCTAGATTCTTAGAATATAGATGTTCAAAACATTTGCATTGAGATAATCTTTAGAGTTGTTAAGTGTTTAGAATCCGAAGGGGAAAACAAGAGAGAAGAAAAAGAACAGGAACTAAACCATAAGGATTAAGAAGAGCAAATAGGGGCCTGTAATAGTGAAAGCCACATTGTGAAATCCGCAGTTTTTATGGGATTTCCTGCACTCACCTTTCTCATCTTCAATCTTAAAAATATGAAATGTTAGTCAGTTAAATTGTATATTTTCAAGTTCTTCCATGGCACTGTAAAAAATTAGATGACTTCACAGTTATACATCAATTAATCTAAATGAGTACATTTTATACTGTAATAGTGCTCTATAATTTGATGTTATTTTAAAAAAGCAAACAAACCTTGAACACTATAGGATTGTGATTTTAAAGGGTGTAGTTGCAAGGAGTAAGGGTCTTTATCCAAGGAGAAAAAAGGATGGATTACAGATTCTAAAATAGAAATTAGTCTTAATTTACTCATATATTTACTTCTGTGCTGCTTAAGGATGGAGAATGTTTGTTGGGAAAATCTGACTTAGTACTTCTTCTCGGAGCCATAATAAATACTATTTCCATGGTATTTAATAGGTATATGGACCTTAGATAAGCACACACAAATAATTCAAACTTCTAATTTCAATCAACGCATTTGACCTCTTCTTTCCATCTTGCCCTCTCCATCTCTCAAATGCAAGGAAGCAAAGACTCATGCAGGTACCTGAGTCTGGGAGTCAAGAGAGCACTGTTACTTAGTCTGTTTGTCTGACACCCAGAACAATGTACTCCACGCTTGTGTCCTTCTGAGTGAAATGAAGAGATTGACTGCAAAATGCCCCTGATTAAGCTCCTTCTTTCAAAGTAGAAACACATGAATTAGAGTTGCCTGACATTTTCCTGAGGAGAAATTTGAGTGGGGCTCAGGGTACTTCACTTCATCCAGAAATTTTCTCTAGCATCTTCAAAGACCCTGGAGAATTCCCTCGCAGTGGTACTAGGAACCAGCAGGAAAATAAACCCTCTTACTCTTAGGGCACCTCTCACCGGGGGAATCCCTCCTCCTTTGTTTCCAAGACTTCAACTCTTTTTTTTTTTTTTTTTTTGAGACGGAGTCTCGCTCTGTCGCCCAGGTCGGACTGCGGACTGCAGTGGCGCAATCTTGGCTCACTGCAAGCTCCACTTCTTGGGTTCACGCCATTCTCCTGCCTCAGCCTCCCGAGTAGCTGGGACTACAGGCGCCCGCCACCGCGCCCGGCTAATTTTTTGTATTTTTAGTAGAGACGGGGTTTCACCTTGTTAGCCAGGATGATCTCGATCTCCTGACCTCATGATCCACCCGCCTCGGCCTCCCAAAGTGCTGGGATTACAGGCGTGAGCCACCGCGCCCGGCCGACTTCAACTCTTCCTGTTGTCTGCATTGTATCAGCACAAGACACAACACTATGGTTCTTTCAAGGACCACCAAGTACTGTGGCTTACCTGACCACCTGACAGCCCACAGCCATTTCTAATCACAACGCTGGCTGGACCAGTTCCCCCTATGTCTCCACCACTGCTTGTGGTGGTGAGGAGACTTACATCCCTGTATACGCTTTTACTCACACAGTTCACAGGGTGTTTCCTAACTTTTTGGGGAGGCATCAGTGGGATTTTGCACCAGCTAATGGTGCTCCAGACAAATCAGACTTGCCTAATTTACATGATATAATAGCTCTGCATGCACGTTTTTGCCTTCCATATTTCTGAAGGATTCACTGAAGCTATAGTCAGGAATAATAAATTTGAGGGTAGCATTAAACGTTGAACTTATACTCTTGCCATATTACCCCAATTGGCTCAAAGCCATGAAGATACTAATGGCATTTTCGTGGCATTTCCCCCAAATTTGTAATCACTGTACAAGTTAAAGATATTTGCAGGAGAAAAGGTCCAAGATATTGTAAGGGATAATTGGAAGGACAGCTGAGAAAGGAATGAGGCCAGTAGACCCAAGTTCAGGTAAGCTGATTTATTGTCAGTCCTGCCGGGCTACCTCCTGACAAAAGCTTACAGACTACAGCAGGGCTTTATAGTGCGAGGAACTGGGTCAGGGTGGTGGAGCTGAGTTGGGTGTGCAGGAGGGCTGAGTCGGGGTGGGGGAGCTGAGTCGGGGGTGCAGGTGTCTTGACCGCATCCTGGAGATGTTTTTTGCCAGTTTTGTTATGCGAAGTGAACAGACATGTTAACTGCATCCTGTAACTGCCTGGACAAACAGTTACTGGAGGGGTCAGTGAAGGGGAGGGTTGTCTTTTGCCCTGAGGTACCTGTGTGGAGAGTGCAAGAGACTGTATTGTAAGGCCTGTGGGAGGGGAAGGGAATGGTCTGGTCGGGGTGACCCTAACAGATATCAGGTCAAATAGGATAAAAATAAAACCACCATGTAGAAATCATTAGCAAGTAGGTTATAATCTGTGTCAGTATACACCTTGATATCACCTTTATTCTATCTCTTTTGTTTAGCTTCTTTTTCCACCAATGGTAATTTATTGTTCCTTATGGATTGTTTTTCAATCCTGAAAATTATGGTATCTCATAGTAATTACTTGAAAATCTCTGACGAGTCTTATTTGTGTCATATTAGGTTCATTCAGTCTTTTTATAAATTATGTAGTCATCTACCTTAATATTTCAATGTTTTAATTATACTGAAAACTGTAGAATAAAAGATGATCATGAAAAATTCGCTGCATAGATAACTGCCTTGAGTTACTTTTTTCTCTACTTTCACTTGTCTAGCATTGGTCTAAAAACCTCGGAGGAAATGAAGTTGTGAGGAGGCAGGCAGTATTCCAAAAAATAAAAGGGGGGCTTAGCTAAAAAACAAATGGATAAAATGTTGCTAAATTATCAGGAATTCGTTGTGTAAGAACTTTGGTATGTACATTAATGTTGTGTATAAAGAAATAGTTCCAATATTTAACATTTATTCTTTCAAATCTCGTGCCAGATTATAATGATTTATTTTTAGGAAAATAATGTTTGTATCTTATCATGCTCTTCAGTTTTAGATAGATATTTTCTTCAGCAAAGACTACATCTGATTCAAGAATTTTATGTTTGAACTTTTCTCTTATTTAAACAAGGAGAAGTGCCTCTAAAATTGCTACCAGAAAGGAGTCTTAATCCAGACCCCAAAAGAGGGTTCTTGGACCTTGGGCAAGAAAGAATTCAGGGCGAGTCCATAGAATAAAGTGAAAGCACGTTTATTAAGAAAGTAAAAGAATACAAAATACTCCATAGGCAGAACAGCAGCATGGGCTGCTCGACTGAGTATACTTATAGTTATTTCTTAATTGTATGCTAAACAGGGGGTGAATTATTAATGAGTTTTCCAGGAAAGGGGAGGGTATTTCCTGGAACTGAGGGTTCCTTCCCTTTTTAGACCATATAGGGTAACTTCTGGACATTGCCATGGCATTTGTAAGCTGTCCTGGTGCTAGAGGGAATGTCTTTCAGCATGCGAATGCATTAGAATTAATGTGTAATGAGTAATAAGGAGACCAGAGGTCACTTTCGTCACCATCTTTGTTTTGGCGGGTTTTGGCCACCTTCTGGCTTCTTTACCATATCCTGTCTTATCAGCAAGGTCTTTGTGACCTGTATCTTGTGTCAAACTCCTATCTCATCCTGTGGCTAAGAATGCCTAACCTCCTGGGAATATAGCCCAGTAGGTCTCAGACTTACTTTACTCAGCCCCTATTCAAGATGGAGTCGCTGTGGTTCAAACACCTCTGACAAAATCATGTACAAAAAATGATTTGTATAGATGGAAAAGAGACATAACAGTAACTGAAAAGGCTATTTTATAAAATAGAGATAATATCTCCTCTGACCTCAAGCCACCTCAAGGAGGTCACTGGGTTTTGTTGCAACATGAGGAGTTGTTTAGCCAAAAAGTTGTACAGGATGAATTAAGACACTGAAAGACAGAAGATCTGCCTGCCCAGGTAAATGACTCCTTTCCTGTGAGCTCAATGTTAATGTAAAATCAGTTACTTGAAGTACGTGAGTGATGTGTGAAGTTACATGAGGAAAACTTTAGAAACAAAAATAGATGAATTTGCAACAGATAATTTTCTAAAGAAAAAACTTTACAACACAAAAGTTAGACTGGACTGGAAGTTTTCATAACTATCCACCAAGGCCTAAGACTTTAAATAAGTAGTTTAAAGGCAGTAACAATGCAACAGAAAAAAAAGCTAATCCAGAGAAAAAAATCAGTTAGCACTAGGAAACATAAAAATAATCTACCGCAAAGAAGAAAGCAATAGCAAAACTGTAGGGATATTTGTTTATCATGATAGAGATTTGCTCTTTGGATCACAATTAAATATATATCCTTCCCATTTCTTTATATCTCTCTGTGTTGTCTAGCAGTCCTCTCTCTAGCAATTGGATTCCAACATCTAAAGTTAAAGTTTTCCCTACCTGCAGTGGAATTTCATCATTTCTTCTAATGGCAGTGTTACAGTAGGTAGCTAGTCAGGTATGAGCAGAGCAGGAGACAGCTCCCTCTATCCCCCACCAAGAATGTCAGGTGACCATCAGGTGATGGTCAGACGGTTGTTAACTGTTTCTCGAAAATAATAATTGGTGGCAGCCAGTGTCAGGGAAAGGCAGTCTCCTAATAGAAAAGAACTGAAACCGGTGATCAGCAGCTTCCTGGTAAGATCTCAGGAGTTGTGCGAGTGGGCTCAAGCATGCACATTAAGAGGCAAAATGGTGGAGATTAACTGATACGTTCTAGGGCCATTCGACTGGTAAGGGAAGAATGCCTCAAGTGAGCATGTGTACAATTCCAGTACATTCTCCCCTCCCAAGCAGTAGCAGGACACTGCAACATGCAGACAGCCCACCCCTAGAGAACAATCGGGAGAACGAATGCAAGACCTGTAAGTATGGCAACATAAAACCCTAGGTCAAAGGTCAAACAGGGCACTTGATTTCTCAAGTTGCCTGCTTGGACCTCTTCCAAGTGTACTTAATTTCCTTTCATTCCTACTCTAAAGCTTTTTAATAAACTCACTCCTGTCCCAAAACTCGCCTCAGTCTCTCCTTCTGCCTTATGCCCCTCAGTGGAATTCTTTCTTCTGAGGAGGCAAGAATTGAGGTTGCTGCAGACCCATAGGGATTTGCTGCTGCTAACATACTTTGTTGCCATGTTACTCAGATACATTCCACCGTTAACAGCAGCACAGTTACAGTCTCTGTAGTCCGGTGGGTCACAGTGTGTGTGGTGTTTGTGTGTGTGCACATTGGATTGGGGAAGTCAAAATCCAAAAAGGCTATTGGAAGTGTTATTTGTTTCGACATGAAGCCACAAACATCCAAAAGAACTCAGTATTTTTTCTACTTCATTTATTTTTAAGAATTATTAATATTCTTCAAACAAAAAATGCAGAAAATTAAAAATACCTGCATCTTGCAGGCACGGCATTTTTGGAAAATTGTTTTTCTTTATCTATTACTTGGTTTCTTAACTAATAACCTAAACCAGAATAATAATAAAGATATTATTTATACCAGACACTTATTCTCCAAAAGTCTGTGTAGCTTGGATTATATAAAAGAAATTTTATTAAACAGTAATTTATTTAAGTGTGAATACCATACATTTCCAGATTTGTATTGTCCTGCAAATGTAGACTTCACAAAAAGATTTATATAATTAATGCCATTATAATTGGGATATATCTATTGTGATATGACTGTGTGCCTTATATAGAAAGCTCATGAATCAGTATGTCCTGATATTAGTACTGATAAATCAAAAGAACATATACTATCCTAAAGCTGGCATGATTTGGAGACTATTTGAGGTCCTAGCAATATTTCATTGAAGAAAAATGAACAAGGATTTGGAATTAGCTTGGGTAATTTTGCCACTGTGTCTCCAGAAAGGATTAACTTAAGTAGTCTTATATCTGAATTGAGTCTGTAAGAGTTGTTTTATTTGAGATAACAACGTTTCCGTCCTTGAAGGTGGTGAAGTGCCACATAGGTGGTGTACCTACTCCCTGGCAAACACTAGAAATCAACTGTGCACTTGTTTTAGGAGAGAGTTTCTTTGTAGAGGTAAAGCATTTTTTAAACCTGAGAATGTCTCTATTTTTTATTATTTTTCTTTGTCTGATCTTTGGAACATTCACATTTTAAGCGCTGAGAAACATTTTCAAATACTTCCCTGTGTTCTTTGATGACAATAAAAAAAGAGACAGCAGATATTTCAACAGAGTTCATTTTTACAGCATGAGTTTCTCACTTGCTATATAAAGAGTGAATAAAGATATATTATTTTAGTGAACTCATATTTATAATGTACATAAGTATACCTTGAAGATAAAAATAGGATGAAATCCCAATATCTGTTTTACCAGACGCACTTATATATTAAACTTAATAGAGGACCACCATTTATACTAAATATGTAAGTGTTTTTGTTTGATGAACAAACATTTGTGCTATCACATTGGGGATTAAGTAAAAAATAAAAAACATTTGGAGAGGTTATATCATATATGTTGGAAGTAGGATATAACACTGATATGCCTTACACTATAAATGTGGAAAATTAGAATTTCTGTACCAAAAATGCATGATATTAAAAAGTAAAATTTTATTTTGGCAAAGGTTAATAAGGAAAGACCTTATATTTTTGTTAATACTTTATTTTGTTCTCCATAGTTATTTGAAGTTTACTTTCTAATGATTTTAACTTCAAATATTTAACAAAATGCTCTCTATTTTAAACTCAGGAGCCTTGATTAATATAACTAATGAACAGCTTAAAATATAAAACATCCATGAGATTACATTATGTTTCATTTTAACAAGTTTTAGAATTTGAAGGCAACCAGTAACTAAGTATAACATAAAATGAAAACTAACCTGGCCTAATTAGACTATATTCTCTAATATACACAGCTATTCAAGATGTCTGATTATTTTCTATTTTTCCCTTTCTTTTTGGTAGAAAGAAGAAACATTTTTTTAAAGGTACTTGAATTTCGTCACCAGCTGCCTTTCTCTTTTACATTGTTATTAGGAATTTTAGTATATCCTACATGGTCTTTGTGTGCACATGTGTGTGCAAGGATGACTTTTCTAACATTATATTTTTAAATCTGACAAGGTCATATAAGCTGGGGAAAAAAAGCAAAGGGTCATCAAAAGGGGAAAAATAACAGAACTACGGTGAAATGGCTCTCTGTCGGCCTTGGTATTGATTCAGAGTGTGTCAAAAGGGTCTTTTGTCGTGCCCCTACCACAGCATACTAATTTGCTAGATCAAGTCTGTCAGAATATCGACTGGAAGTAAAAAACTACAGTGGCAGCTTTTGTGTTTCCTACAGCAGGGAGCCTATGTGTGAAACAGGATTATCAGGGGGTCATGAAGAGAGTCAAAGGATGTCCATCACTTCCCTTCTGGTAATGTAATGGGGCGGGCGCCTGGGTGTGATTAAGATGTAGGAGACGGGAGGCATTGCGGTGAACAAATCAGGAACACACACATGCAAATCAGGTTGGCTGCTGTTAACCACATATTTTTAATGAAAAATTCAATAGTAGACCAAACAAATATCTAAACAGCTGCATTCAGCTAACATATCAAATGGCCTATTCAACATCTTTTCTTGAAAACCAAATATACGAAACATGGAAATGCTTATCAAGTCTGCATTTTTCTTTAAATATCACTTTGCAATCTACAAGTGTTTCTTCTGCAGCCTGTGTGTTTTTGGCTCAGCTAACAGACTATTAAATATCGATTTTTTTAAATAAAATAAGATATACTACTTACCAAGTCCTGGATCAGCCTCACCATAGCCCTTGGTATTAGAGAGTTTGGGCTCAGTTCTATTTACTGGCTTTCTTGCATTAGCAAAATAGTGTCCTTTAGTGGAAAAAAAAATGTGTGATAGAAAATTCATAGATTTGTAAGAATATTGATGCCTAGGTAGAGACTTTGGAATTTTGATAGTATAGTAAACATATCAATACTGTATATAGAACACAGATAAAAATGATGTAAGAATTTTTCATAATAGCAGCTGAGATTTTTTGTATCATTTTATTTCTAGTTCTGTAGCACTCTGTATTGGGTATTTATTTATTCTCTCTTGCGAAATGCTGATTTAAGTTTCCACTCTCTACCTGGTACTGGTTATGTGCTGAAACTGCAGAAATGAATAAGATAAGTTCTCTGTCTTTAAGGCAAAGCAATCGTATGGGAGCATATTTCTATTTGTAATCTTGCTGATTCTCTATCTCAAGGTAGATGGAAAATATCAGAAGGGCTGGTATGTCACCAGATAGTTTTCGGGAGTTTGTTGATTGGCTCTGCCTTTAATAAGCCATCAGGAAGTAGGAACAAAGGGTGAACTTAAAAAGTTCCAGGCTGCATTGTTTTCAAAGACAGTTCTAGCTCAGTTTATGGTAGAGGTTCTACTCTAAGTTCTACTGGGAGCAGTGACTTGTCTTTCATCCAAAACATGAGAACCAAGGAACCATAAATCAGAAGACCTCTGGATCTTATCGTATCTTAACTTTTACAACTGAGGGGCTGTGTTTAATTGGGAGCTATGATCTGAAATACATACTTCCTTGCTTTAAAGCTTCATGTTAATGAAGCTCCTGGTTGTGACTAGGGTAAAGAGGTATTTGCTAGTTAATATTCAATAATACAAGACCTAATGTGCTCTTCAGAGGTTAGCTCTTTTTATTGTTTTTATTTGTTTGTTTTCCTCTTAATTCGCCTCATCTTTGTTTTCCACAAGACACTAATTCTCAGCCTTCCCTGCTAGGGCTTTTTCCCCTTTCTCCTAATCTTGCAAAGTTGGAGGTCCTGGGTTCCTTTCACCTCTCTTACTAAACATTCTCTCTCTCTGACTGACTTTACTGTCATGGCTTTACATGTCCTTTACAACTCATTACATGCAGTTCTATGTCTCTGGTCCAGGTCCCTTGCTTGACATGTCATAGGTACCATTAACCTCATGGGTCCAGAACTTATTTCTTCCTCAATTGTCTCCATCTCAGTAAATGTGTCACCAAATCTTTCACTGTTAAAGCCAAAAATTTATTTTAAGGTTGGGCATGGGGGGAAGAATCATGCTTGATTCTGTATATTCCCTCATCTTCACAGGACATAGGTAATCCATCAAGTGCTGAAGGTTCTACTTCCAATACATATCTTCAATATGTCCATTTTTCTCTAAATCCACTACTTCTACCCTAATTGCCATATTAGGTCTCAACTACAATAGCCTCCTAACTGGTCTTCCAGTATTGACTCTTGTCCCTTTACAATCCGTTCCTTAATTATTTTATTCAAAACATTTAAAAAGCATTTGGATCTAATATCTTTGTGTTGCTGCCAAGCTGTTAGGCCTCTTTAGTGAGCTTTTATGCCTAGGTTTCCATCAGTGTAGAGCCTAGTTTGATATACTCAATATAGCATTTCACTACAATAACATATTGTCTGCATTGTTCTCAGGTTATTTTATACAACTCAGTCTCAAATGTAGATCATTTAAATAATAATAATAAAGCATTATGCTAGGGATAGTGGTAAGTGCTTTTCATATGTGAACTCACCTTATTGATAATTATATTATTATCTCCACCTTATAAATGAGAGAGCTAGAGCACAGGGAAATTAAATAATAAGCTTAAGTTTATAAAACTGGTAAATGGTTTGTGATGAGTGTGTCTCATATTTTAGGACCGTATATAGCACAGGGCCACACACAAAATAGATTATTAAGTAATACTTACAGAATGAAATTGCAAGAGAAATAAGGTTAATCCAAAGATTTATGTTACACTTTCTGTTCCTATTCATTCTTCAGGTGTCCACCAAGGAAAACATACTAAAAAGAAAAAAAGAATCAATCATATGAAACCATATCAACATCCTTCTAATCAATTCACTTAAATAATTTTACTTTCTCACTTTAAGAATTATTAAATAGGCTAAATAGCTTTGAAATTTCCCTGACAAAAATGGAAGTTGGATGCCATTAAGATAATCAAACTAGGTCCAGCTGGTATACAAGGGAGAAATGGCTGATTATATGATCAGTAAAGGAAAATATGCTCCATAATGCCCTGATGCTATACAGAAGAAATCCAACTCAATCAAAGTGGAGTAAGCCTGGCCCTTCCAGCTGTGACACTGTGACTACTTCCTTCTATAGCATAGCTTCCCTCCACCAAATTAGAAGAATTATGGCTATTGGAGTCTATAAAAAATTTATAAATGTGTGTGTGTGTATGTATGTATGTATATACATACGTATATATATACACATATATATAGAGAGAGAGAAAGTTAGAAAGACACACATATACACACACATATAATGGTTACTTGAGAAAAATTAAAATTGTAGAAAAAATAAGATAATAAATTATACTAAATTAAATATATCTCACTCAATGCCTACAAATTATTATTAATTTAGACTGAATAACAGTAATCAGAATCATGTTAGTTTTGTGCCATTTATAACCAGTATTTCAATGTGAGCTGAAGTCTAAAGAGGTATTTTATTTAAGAGGTGGAGGTTTTTTCCTTTTCTTTTTGATCACAGTGAATGAGATTGGAAGAGTTTTCTTATACATGTATAACCTTCATCACTTCATATGACCATGAATCATAACTATGATGAAATGTTCACAAAAATCTAATACATAATTGCTCAAACAAGAATATCTTCTAAGAGTTAGCCTCCAGTTTTAAAGATTCCCTGAGCAGGTTTGATTATCATTGAAAATCTTATTTATTAAAGTATGAAAGTTTTTTCATCACACCACACTCCAAAGCTGACTTTTCAAATGTTCATCCGTATTCCCATGAGTTAACAGAAAATATTCGTGAAGAGAAGGAAAATCCAGGCACACACTAAACTTCCATTTGTGAGAGCAGGTTAGGTCCTGAGAATCCAATCCCTTCTGAAAGGAGATCAAAGCCACACAACTCAACACATGTTTGTGATATCTAATTTATATCAGGACTAGATGAATCCAGATGCACATTGGGTCCTACATCTTGAACTATTTGCCAAATGTTTGAGACTTAATAAAATCTAAACTCCACCTGGCACCTTTAGGTTAATTTTAAAGCAATCATTATTCCCTAGAAAACTGAAAACATGTGTTTCTGATTTGTTCACACTTAAGTCATCAAAATATTATTTTCCAAAGTGATTTCATATCCAAGAAACCTTTTGGATGTTCTTTTTGCTAGAAGTGAGAAATTTGGTTTTGCCTAAGGAATTTGACTACTACCTCTTTTATGATAGGTTTCTGTAGTTGTGATGGGCAGACAGATGCTTTAAGTAACACCAGCCAGCATCAAACACCCACTGTCTACACCAGACCCCTCCACTTTAAAATCGAGAAACCAAAATGCTCCATCTTCTTCAGTATTCTGTGTTGCCTTTGAGGAAAGATTTCCAATTGCTAGAGGAAAGAGATAAGCTTAGTTGTGATCTTCATTCATCCATCTAATAGAGCTGAGATGTTTGAGAAGACTCAATCTCTTCGGGCCTTGTCTATCTTATCTGCAAAATTCTGATAAGAAATGTTATTACTTATTGCAGGAATTAGGTTTAAGACTTTCCTTGCAATTTGATTCCTAAAAAACATTTGTAAACCACTCAGAGGACTCTAAAGCACAATTCCAGATGTGGTACGAAGAAGCCAAAGGGACAACAGATTTGCCTGTTTTTAATTAAAATAAAAATATCAGAACAGAGGAAAACTTAGATTCCAAGGGATTCTGATTCCTAAAATATTATTGGGTCTCCCTAACCCTATATCCACCCTTGCCCTGATCCCTTCATAGTCTAGTCTCCAGGCAGCAACCTTTAAAAAGGAAATTACATTATGTCATACCTAAACAGAAACATCCTAATGGCTTCTCATTATACTCAAAGAAAAATTCCATGTGCTACCACAGCCTAGGACAAGGTTCTACCGCACCTGGGCTCTGGCCCCTGCCTGATCTCATCTACCACCGTGCATTGCACATTACACAGACAGGCTGCCTGCTCCCAAGTGCACCCACGGTCATTGTTCTCACCACTCCCTCTGCCTGCAGTACTCTTCCAGAGAACCCCAAGTCTCACTTTTTCCCTTCGTTGAGTCTACCCTCAAATAGTATCTACCCCATAGGATGTTCCCCAACCACCACAAGTCAGAGAGCATCCCAAGGTATTATCTATTTCCCTATTTTGTTTTACTTTTCTTCAAGCCTTTGTACTCCTTGACATTATATCTACTTGGTATTTTGTAGACTTTGTTTGTTCTGTATTCCAGGCAGCTACAAACATTGGCTGATAATCGATATGTTTTTGAATAAATACAGAAAAGATACACTTTTTAAAAAATAGACTTCATTTTTACAGCAGTATTAGGTTCACAGTAAAGTTAAGTGGAGGGTAAAGAGAGCTCCCATATATCCCATCCCCTACACAGGCATAGGCTCCCCCATTTTCAACATCCCCACTAGGGTGGTGCATTGGTTACAGTTGATAAACCTACACTGACACATAATTATCGCCCAGAGCCCATAGTTTATATTAGTGTTCACTCTTGGTGTTGTACATTCTGAGGATCTCGACAAATGTATAATGAATGTATCCACCATTATAGTATCATACAGAGTTGATACTAATGATACTAATGATATAGTATCATTATAGTATCATACAGATGCTAAAATTGCTTCACTGAAGTAGATGATTTTCACTGCTCTAAAAATCCTTTATGCTGCACCAATTCATTCCTCTTCCTTTCCTAATTCTTAGAAACCACTGATCATTAATCTCTCAAAAGGTACACTTTTAAAATCCATGTTAAAAAATTACTTCAAGTAAATTCTACCAATTAATATATCTCCAATAACGTATGGAATGATTATTTTTTACCACACCCTCTACCAGTTAATATGCCCTCCACCAGTTAATATACCCTCCAGTAATATATACAGTAACTGTTTTTTACCGCACTTTCAACAACATTGGGTTGTTAATATATCTAATTTGCTAGGGGATGTTTATATTTATTTCTTTGTGGAAAGCAAACATTTATGGTTGTCTAAATGACTAATTTTGGACATCAGTCTTTCTGCTTTTATTGGAACTATTCATGCCATTAGCCCACATTTTAATTTAGTTACACATCTTTTAAAAATTAATAATAACTATTTTACATAAAATATTGACTGTCATATATGTTGTATTATTTTCCAGTTTGTTTTGTGAATACATTAATGTTATTTTAAAAAGTGCTTTTATTAATGAAGTCTAGTAATCTTATTTGTGTGAATCTTCTTTTGCTTGTAAATTAATGTTCACCTATAGTTTCTTCTGCTCTCTTATAGTACCACTCAAAGGTAAACATTTTAAAGCAATGGACTATTTTTATTTGTTTAGTTTTACTTTGCAACTGAATGCTAATTGATACTTTTGTGTAACAGAAATAACCATGGTGAATGTTCATGAAGTAACCTAAGAATAAATTATTTCTAATATAGTAGGTTTATCTTAAAGGGTACTTTAAGGTATAAGAAATATACCCTTCTCAGTTTTTCAAACTTCACAAAATATTTGACTCCAGAGGTTCTCCATATTTATTACTAGTCAAATTTAATTATTTAATGATTATGGGAAGGTATTTTGACCTCTCAAATTCATATTTAAAGTTTCAATTCATTCATCTTATCTTAGAAGGAGTTCACAACTCATTTTTGAATCTATTTAATTTTGTATTCTAGATTTCTTTCATTTATGGGGTTATTTATTCATTCACTTATATTAAAATATTTATGGGACCCTTATCACAAGAGAAGTGCTATATTAGACACTCTAGAAGTTGTCTGGAAAAAAAGGAATTGGATGCTGTCTCTGTCTATACAAAATTTACAACCTATTTGGCAAAGGAGCCAAAATAATAATGATAACGGTAATACTAATACAAATTTAAAAATGAACTTAGTGATCCCTGTGAGTTGAAAAAATATTTGTTATCTCTAGATAGAGGATGAGAAAAGATGCCATGGAGGAGGGGAATTCTGGCTGAGATTTCAAATGGGAGAATGTAAAAGAGAAGGGAATTCCAGGCAAAAGCAACAGCATGAACAAAAAACACAAAGTTGAAAAACACATAGATGGTTATTGAATGCTTATAAAATATCAAGCACTGTGACAGGAACCAAAAACCAATGACTGTAGGGGCATGTTAGGAAATTACAGTATCATGTTAAGCCAAGTGTTTGGAATATTGACCTAAAATGTTAAGTCAATATTGGTTGAATACCTATGTTGTAGTAAGCAGATATTGTCTCATTTCATCCTGTCAACACTATAAAATAGCGTTGATATCTCCATTTTATCACTGTGGAGCCTAGAGCACAGGAAGGTTAAGTAATTTGCCCAAGTTCACTCAGCTAATAAGTGGTGAAGGTAGAATTCAAACCCAGGAGGATTGGCTTTAAAGACCATGCCATTAATAATGATGCTAAAACTGCTTCAATGAAGTAGATGATAAGTGGTGAAGTTAGAATTCAAACCCAGGAGGATTGGCTTTAAAGACCATGCCATTAATAATGATGCTAAAACTGCTTCAATGAAGTAGATGATAAGTGGTGGAGAAGCTATCAAAGGTTTCTGAATAGTTGAGTAACATTGACATAAACTAGAGTGTACAAAATTTATTCAAAAGTAGTGTTTAGGAAAGTTTAAAGAGAGAAAGAGACTAAAGGCATAGAAACTATTTCAAAGGCTTTTAAAGTGATCTGGGAGTCTTAAATACCTTAGCAAACTTAAAGAGTAAGATCGATGATTGTTAGGAACCAGTTGGATACGGGGACAAGGAAAAAGATAGAGTCAACAATAACTCTGAATTTAATCAAAGTGACAAAAGACGATGTTTTTCTTGACAAAAATAGAGATCCCCGATAGAGGTACACACCTCAGAAGATCAGTGCTTGATCAACATTTAACATCTCCCCCTGAGAGATATGACATAGCTAGCTGGAAATGTAAAATATGAACTGCAGAAATTGCATGGCTGAATACAAAGATTTGGGAGTATTCCTCAAAACCTTGAGGTTCAATGTTCTTGCCAACTGATAAAACATAAAAGAGAAAACAAAATGGTCAAAGAGCATGTGGAGTGCAGATGACAGACAAGAAGGATCATTTGAAGGGTGCAAAGAAATTGTGAAGAACTCAGTCCAATTTAAAATAGCTACAAAAATAAAAAATAAAATAAAATACCTAGGAATACATTTAACCAAGAAGGTGAGAGATCTCCACAAGGAGAACTACACAACACTGATGAAAGAAATTATATATGTCACACACAAATGGAAAAACATACCATGCTCATTGACTGAAAGAATCATTATGGTTAAAATGACCATATTGCTCAAAGCAATCTACAGATTCAACACAATCCCTATCAAATTACCAATGTCATTTTTCACTGAATTAGAAAAATCAAACCTAAAATTCATACGAAATTAAAAAAAAAAAACCCAAATAGCCGAAACAATCCTAAGCAGAAAGAACAAGCTGGAGGCAACACATTACTTCGCTTCAGATTACATTGTAAGACTATATTAACCAAAACAGCATGCTACTGGTATAAAAATAGACACATAGATCAATGGAACAGAAGAAAGAACCTGGAAATCAAGCCGCATACCTATGAGCAACTAATCCTTGACAAATTCAACAAAAATATACACTGGGGAAAGGGCACCCTATTCAGCAAATTGTTCTGGGAAAATTGGATAGTCATATGCAGAAGAATGAAACTGAACTCATATTTTAATTATATAGAAAAATTAACTCTAGATGGATTAAAGACTTAAATGTAAGATATGAAACTGTAAATATCCTAGAAGAAAACCTAGGAAAAATTTTTCTAGACATTTGGCTAAGCAAAGAACTTAAGATCAAGTCCTCAAAAGCAAATAGAATTTTAAAAAATAGACAAATGGAACTTAATTAAACTAAAGAGCTTTCTTTCTGCACAGTAAACGAAACAGTCAACAGAGTAAGTAGAAAACCTGCAGGATGGGAAAAAATATTTGCAAACTATGCATCTAAAAGGGCTAATATCCAGAACTCAAACAATGTAAGAAACTCAAAAAACTCAATATGAAAAAAATAAATAACTTCAAGAGTGGGCAAAGGATGTGAACAGACATTTTTCAAAAGAAGACAAACAAGCAACCAACAAACATGAAAATACGGTCAACACTGTTAATCATCAGAGAAAAGCAAATGAAAAGGCAAATGAGATACCGTCTTATACCAGTCAGAATGGCTATTACTAAAAAGTCAAAAAACAACAGATGTTAGTGAGTATGTGGAAAAAAAGGAACACTTAGACACTGTTAGTGGAAATGTAAATTAGTATAGCCTTTATGGAAAACAGTATGGAGACTTCTCAAAGAAATAAAAATACAAATTCCCTTTCCAAAGGGAAATAAATCATTATATCTATATCTATATCTATATATCAAAATGATACCTGCATTTGTAGGTTTATTGCAGTGCTATTCACAACAGCAAAATCAAGGAATCAGCCTAAGTGTCCATCAATGGATAATTGGAGAAAGAGAATGCAATATATGTGTGTATATATATACACACATATATGTATATTGCATATATATTGTATGTTGTATACAGACACAATATTGCATATATATACTATATATATATATATACACACACACACCACGGTATACTACTCAGCCACAGAGAAAACAATGAAATTTTGTCTCCTGTAGCAACATGGATAGAATTAGTGGTCATTATCCTAAGTGAAATAACTCAGAAACAAAGTCAAATACTGAATGTTCTCATTTATAAGTAGGAGCTAAACAAAGGGTACTGTGATGGTTAATACTGAGTGTCAACTTGATTGGATCGAAGGATGTAAAGTATTGATCCTGGGTGTGTCTGTGAGGGTGTTGCCAAAGGATATTAACATTTGAGTCAGTCGGCTGGGGATGGCAGACACACCCTTGATCTGGTGGGCACCATCTAATCAGCTGCCAGTGAATACAGAGCAGGCAGAAAAATGTGAAAAAGCGAGACTGGCCTAGGTTCCCAGCCTACATCTTTCTCCTGTGCCGGATGCTTCCTGCCCTCAAACATAGGACTACAAATTCTTCAGTTTTGAGACTCAAACTGGCTCTCCTTGCTCCTCAAGCTTGCAGACAGCTTATTGTGGGACCTTGTGGTCAGGAAAGTTAATATTTAATAAACTCATATATATATTAATGAACACATATATATATGTATATATAGGCACTAATAGGAGATATATATATATATATATATACATCCTATTAGTTCTGTTTCTCTAGAGAACCCTGACTATTACAGGTGTACATGGACATTTAGAGTTGAATAACAGACATTAAAGGCTACAAAAGGTGGGAGAGTGAGAGGTGAGGGAGGGTTGAAAATTATCTATCAGGTACAAATGTTAACCATTCAGGTGATGGGTACAATAAAAGCCCTGACTCCATCACTATACAATACATGCATGTGAGAAATCTGCCCTTGTATCCCCTAAATCTATAAAAATAATAAAAGAAAGAGAAAATTGTGAAGAAAACCAAGAGAAAAGAAAATTTCAAAGAGGATCAACACAAAGGTTCAAAATGCTGTAAAAAGGTTGCATAGTACTGAGGAACTGTCATTTTATTTGGTGACTACTTTAGGCCTTTAGAGAGTGATATGTAGAACTTTTAGTAGAGTAATGCAGAAAAAAAGACTCAGATGGCAAAAGAAAAAGGGCAACCTAGTTGTTAAAGGAAGTAGCAGTGTAGAAAGCAACTTACAACTCAAGAAATGTGGTAGCAGAGGAAAAATGAGAGAATAATAAATTGTGTGTGGCAAAGTCAATGGGAAAAGCATTTTAGTGATGGAGAGTTCAGAGAATTGTTAACAGGGGAGAGTAAAATTAGGAAAGGATAGCCTAAACAAGGAAATAATAAGAGCTTCCACTGAGCACTTACTATGTCCTAGATATTATTATGTTTTACATGGATTTTCTCTTTCCCACATAATTTTAATAGGTCCTCCCTCATCTTTTTTTTTTTTTTTTTTTTTTTGATCTGGAGTCTGTCAACCAGGCTGGAGTGCAGTGGTGCGATCTCAGCTCACTGCAACCTCCCCCTCTCCAGTCGAAACGATTCTCCTGCCTCAGCCTCCTGAGTTGCTGGGACTACAGGCATGTGCCATCACACCCGGCTAATTTTTGTATTTTTAGTAGAGATGGGGTTTTGCCATGTTGGCCAGGCTGGTCTCAAACTCCTGACTTCCAGTGGTCCACCTGCTTCGGTCTCCCAAAGTGCCGGGATTACAAGTGTGAGCCACTGCGTCTGGCCCAATAGGTCCCATTTCTAACATAAGAGAAAACAGAAGCACCCTAAGGTTAAGTAACTTGCCTGGGGTCACACAGACAGGAAGGTGTGGATCCACAGTGGATGGTGCCAGAGCTCTTCCCACCATGCGTCCTCAGTCTAGAGAAAGCCCAGGCAAGAGCAATAAGGATAGACAATATTCGCAAAGAAAAGATACCAAAATATTAATGAAGATTGCTTCTAGGTAATGAGATCTAGACACACTAGGGGGAAAGAGGGCATCTTTCTAATTTTGACGCTATTTTATTTTATGCAATGAACAGAATTGTAAACAGTATCAAGAATAAAAACAACAGCCTGAACTTAATGATGAGATTTTACTGTTAGTCCAAACTACACCCTATTGGCTATAAAAATAAGCTTTTTTTTTTTTTTTTTTTTTTTTTTTGAGACAGAATCTCACTCTGTCACCCAGACTGGAGTGCAGTGGCGTGATTTCGGCTCACTGCAACCTCCGCCTCCCGGGTTCAAGCGATTCTCCTGCCTCAGCCTCCCAAGTAGCTGGGACTACAGGTGCACACCACCACGCCCGACTAATTTTTGTATTTTTAGTAGAGACAGAGTTTCACCACGTTGGCCAGGATGGTTTGGATCTCCTGATCTCATGATCTGCCCGCCTTGGCCTCCCAAAGTGCTGGGATTACAGGCATGAACCACTGCGCCTGGCCGCTATTTTTTAAATATGAAAGTAACACGGCAAAAACTTTAAACCATAATACTAAGAGGCAGCAATAATTTTTAGGTAGTTTTCAGACATCTGTGCATATATAAGTGATGTATGTGTGTATATATTTCTGTATCTTGATATTAAAATAACAAAAAATGTTTGAGTGTGTACAATTTCATCACTTAATTTTTCTGAGCAGCTTCACCATAGTTTCTTATATTTATATACAATGACATATTTAATTAAAGCTTTATTTCTGTACATTTACCTTTTGGTGACTTTTTTATTATTAAAAATAGTGACAATGAAATCTGTCCAATTGTATGAGTATTTTCTAGATTTGAAATTGCATTTTAAACTTGGATAGATATTGCCAAATTTATATTCATAGAGGTTGTACTGATTTCCATTCCCATTAAGACGCTACCTATTGATCCAAACTCTTGGCTAATTTATGTATTGACAACTTTTAAATTTTTGATTGTCTGATATACATAAATTTGTGTCATTTTAACTTACACTTATACAATTATGTGGGAAGTTGAACATTTTTCATGCTTTTATAAAAGCCATTGGATTTTAAGTATAGTAACAAAGATATAAATATGCTGGCCAAAAATAAGAGGGAGAAATAAACACTTCTATGAGTTAAAAGAGGCCTAAGATAAAAAGAGTGGAAAAAGAAATGGCATGAGGAAAATTAACATTAACCTTTTGATGTAGAAATAGATGGACTAGCTTCAGAGAGGAAGTACATTCCTTTTTCTGAGATAAGAAGAGGGGATGAGAAGACTGGATAGAACAAAAGAATGGCTGTGAAGTACAGAAGTAAAAAAATTGAGATAGTTGATGATAGATTACTTCAAGGTGCTCAAGGTGAGAGACAGAGATAAGGTCATTAACTTATCTAATTTCAATTTCTTTATTTTTAGTATGGATCAGATCAGATGATCCTTCCAACTCTGATTAGCCCAGTATCTGGATCGAGATAAGGCACCCATAGGAGTTTCCCAAAGTGTGTTTTGATAATTTGAACATAATAGGGTTAAAAAGAGGCAAGGTAACTGGAGTGGTGTGATAACCCTGGGAAGAGGCTGCCCACAGAGTTTCAGGTGAGAGAAGAGCCTGTGAGGACAGCAGAGGATGAATGGAGTTAGCACTGGTGAGAGCTGAGGGCAGGATACAGCAAGGGCTGAGAGCAGATGTGAGAGTAATAAAGTGGAGAGAATGATGTGTATCCTGACTCTTGGTACAGTATTCTTTCTAGAGTGACATACTATTTTTTAAGTTAATTCAAGAATTCAGAAATAGTTTGATTAAATTACACCATCAAGATATAATTGCATATTGTAAAACAGTCCCAATGTTAGGTGCAAACAGATCATGAATAATACATGATTTTTACTAAAGCAGTGAACTAAATTTTAATATAAAATTATATCTCAGAATATGTCTGTTTCTGATAATACCATGTTTCATTGAAACTAAGATGTCATTAATAGAAAAGTATATAATTACTCATCACTAAAAAAAATCTGCAATTAAACTAGCCCTCAATTTCAGAGAGCTTGCAATATTTTAAAGAATGTTAATATATGAAATATATTATATTTTATATGTATTATATATGTAAGTTCATTTAGCCATTGTCTTTAAAATAAAGCCACTGGCAAATAAATAGACCATAAAATTTTAAAAAGATATGTACATATTACTTTTATTGCTTTAGTATACAGGAATGTACATTTTAGGGTCACAAAATTAGGTTTAAAATTGTACTTTGTAAAAAAAAAAATCTGTTTACTAGTTGCTTATACCAGAAAAGGCACAAAGAATACCTAAAAGGAAGAGATTTGGAAGAACCTAGTAATAGAACAAAACTAAAAACCATCTTTGTCAACACTTTGGTCAACAAAGCAAAACAAATGCAGAGTACTTACAAAATAATAATGGGAAAAAAACACACACAAATTAGAACCCATGGGGTTTGGCCAACACTATTTTTAGAGAAAATCTATAGTCTTAAAATTCCTTGCAAGAAGAAATAAAAATAAAATGTAAGTATTCAATAGCAAGAAAAGATAAAATATATGAGAAGAACTGACTTACAGTTAAAAGCAAATTCAATAAAATGTGAAAAGAAAGCAATCCAACAGTTACTTGTTTATAGGGAAATCCGATGTAATAGAAAAGTTAATAACCACTTAATTTAAGTAAATGATGAGAAATCATCATATATGAAGTTAGAAGTATCATTGGGAAAGTAGCAAATTAAAAATGAGATACAATTGTAAGTGCAGACACAAAAACAATTAAATTAAAAGTAAGAAAATTATTTTGCACAGAGTAAAATAAAAATATACTGAAATTATAAATCTTACTCTTTAAAATGAATGATTTTCTATTAAAATATAAATGAGAAAGTAATAACAAATTAACAAACCCATTGCTATAGAAGAAACTAAGAAAATCACAAGTCACTCGCATCAGCAAAAACATTTGCCTCAGACAGTTTCACAAATCAGTTTATCAATTCTTTCAAACCTATAAAGAACATGTAGGTTATTTTAACAATTTTAGGTCATATATAGAAGAGAAAATTTCTTAGTCTTCCAAGGCCAGTGTCAAATGTAACAAAGAGAGTACAAGAATATTTATAAATATTTATAAGAATAAATATAAAATATTTAATAGTAAAACATGCACATGTGCACACATACACACACACACACACACACACACACACACACACACACACACAATTCTTGCCCAAACCCAAGGCTTAAAACCTATTCCTTAGAGGTTAATAATTACTAACAACTCCCATATCTATATAACGTACTTAAAAAAATACAAAGATTTCACTATTCATACTTTTTTTGCAACTTGGCTTTTGTTTCGTTAAACAATATATATTTGAAGCCTATCCATATTGACACAAAAATTTATGTAATGTTTTTTCAGCTACTTAGTTTTAAATCATATCTCTGGCATAATTTTTAATAGTATGAATGAATATATAGTTTTAAAAAACTATCATATTACATATAGTATTCATGAATATGGATGCTAAAATCCTAAATTTCATATTGGACAGAGAAAAATAGTAAAATGTGATCAAGTTGAGTTCATCCCAGGAATGTAAAGATGGTTTGACCATAGAAATGCTATATGTCAAAGGTTAAAAGCATATGATCAAAGCATATGAACATACTACAAGATGGTGGGCCAGATATCCCTTGCTTGCTGCCCTTCCAGATCTAGATGAGTTGAGATTTATTTCAAATCGACAAGACAAAACAATCTAAGGAATGGGGCAACTCCCAGAGTAATAAATATAAAAGGTCAATAAACATGTAAAAAAAGTATATTCTTTTCCATATTTAAAGAAACACACACTAAATATGGTATGGTTTGTCACTTATCCATTCAACAAGATTGCATACTTTTATAATACCAGTGTTGTCAAGAATGCTCTGAGAGTGATTAGGGAATGTGAACAGGCACACATAATGCAAATTTTGCACTATCAATCAGTTTAAATGTGAAACGCATATAATTTTGACCCAGACTTTCCATCTCAGGAATTTATCGAATAGAAAAACCAGACAAAATAAAGATGTAAATACATGCAGATTGAGCATTGTTTGCTTGTACTATTAAATATTTTTAAGTATATACATTCATTATTTTAATAAAATCTATTATATTAAAATAAATATATTGGTAAAATAGGTCTATGAAGGTATTCTATTTACATGGACCATCTACATATTTGTTTATGAACCACAGTTGTCAGATTTTAGCTTTCATTTGTGCTATATTGTAGCTGCACACCTACCATTATGCCTTAACACCTAGAAGGTACTCACTAATTATTTGTATATTGCATGAATGATTGAAAAATAAATGAATGAAGCCAAAAAGACATGTTAAAATATTCCTATCCTTTCCTTTAGAATTCTAATGCCTGCACTGATGAGAGGACAAAGCATCTGTAGACTTTTTTTTCCCACTGTCTTACCAATGATTCATTTTTAAAACGAAGTGAAACATTATCTCTAATTATAACAGCAATCTGCTGCTCTGAGGTTTTCAAGCCCTGTTTAAATACCAAAGTGGATTCCTTCAATGACTGTATTCTTTCATCCATCCCTCTAATTTTTATTTTAAAGCCATCAAATCCCTGAGTAATTGAGTCCATTTTTACATCTATCACATCCAGTCACTTTTTTTTTCAGTGCTTGGCTCTGAGATTTACACAATCTATGGAATTTTCTCTGTGGCTCTAGATTCAGTTTTGAACTGCCCATTCACTGAAACAAATCTTAGCAAAGTTTCCAAATCCTCCCTTTACATATTGCAGCTCAGCCTTACCTTCTGCTTTGCCCTTTAACTATTAAAAATATAGATATAAATGATATAGGTTTAGGTATTGGTATAGGTATAAGTATACTTACATTTGGACTCTGGTCTAAAGGAGTGGTTTGCATTTTGATTCCCTATAATGCTGTCTCCATTTCTTGCAAAGGAGGAAATGACTGTGGACAATTATCCCCAAATATGTCTTTCTCATTGGTCGTGGGAACCCCTATGCCGTGTGTCCCTGTTAATGGCAGCGGGAATATGCTTCGCTTTCCAGGCTGATTCACAATCTGCTTACGTTTGTTTAGTTGTAAGATTTTTCCTTTTGTCCTCCTGTGATCAGCTTACATTCTTATGAGGAGGTTGGGTCTCCGTCTCTTGGGAGTTTGGGTAGTGGCTCTGTTTAAAGGCAGAGTTTCATAGGTAAGTACCCTGGAGGCTGTGTACTTTTTGCCATTATCTCTTTGATATACAAAGGTAAGATTTAGCAATTGCCAGTAATAAGTTTTCCTCATAATAATCTAAACACTTTACATCTACATAGTGTTTTTTAGTGCTCAAAGTAGTTTTAGACTCATTATTCTCATTATATGTTCCTCTCTATACTCATTATAATTCATTTAATCATAACAATCCTGTGATGAAGACAAGTCAGGTATAATATTTGCTTTTTTAAAAAAAGAAGTTACTAACTAGCTAGAGTGACTAACTAAAAGTCACATGATTCTCTCGTGGCACTATAAATACTAAATCCCAGATTTTCTGACTTTTTTCACGGTATATGAATTCATTCATATTAATTAAGAATTCAAAAGATTTTAAAATTTCTTGAGAAAATTAAAACTTAGTTTTATAGAACATTGGCTTTTGGAAAGTTTATGGATAAGTCTAATTTGCTCTAAATATATTTCTATAACATAAATTAGCTCATATGTGATGATAGACAGGGTAATGATGTCAGTATAAGGCAGATGTATTGCCTTTAACTCTGTAAATAAGGCGCATTAAGCTTTATTTACATTTCCTTTTAAGCTGCACTCTCCTTTTTAAGGTAAATAAATCTTACATTTACTCTAATCTTTCTTTAATAGGAAATTTAGCATGTCTGCTTAACTGTGCTAGTATTTTCATTAGAATTGTTATTGGTTTGTTAAGCTGTAGTTACAAGTTTAACAGAATCTAAATGACTGATGGTTGTTTAGCCAAAGGTAATACAAGGAGAGAAAGATAATGAATGGGTGCAAGATATATTTTTGACATAGCACCAGTTGGACTTGTGGATGGATTAAATGGGCAGATGAACCATTGAACTGTAGCAATAAGGAAGAGTGATGCCGAGATTCAGAGTGGAATGTCCAAACTCTAGATTTGTGTTGTGTTGACATTTTGATGGTACTATATAAATTAAGGTATGAGCAAGAGTGGGCAACTCAAAGGGAAAAGAAGACCAGGAAATTAGAGAGGAGGACTTCAAGGAAGAGGAGATACTGAAGTCAAGAAGAATGGAGATAGTAATAAAGATGGACAAGAAGGCTGTGAGTCAGTAGCTAAAGTTCTCTCACCTTTGAGAAGAGAAGCCAAAATCTCCTATACTGTTTGAAGGCCTCCTTAGTTACCAATAGGACAGAAAGTTGAATTTGTTGTTTAAGGAGCATGAAGATCTTGTTCTTCCATTTCTTGGCATGGAATAACATTACATGATACTGTTTGCATGTTTGTTCCCTCCAAATCTCATGTTGAAATGTAATCCCCAATGTTGAAGGTGGGCCCTGGTGAGAAATGTTAGGATTATGGGAGTGGATCCCTCATGAATGTCTTGATGCCATTCTCATGGCAATTAATGAGTTCTCACTCTATGAGTTCACATGAGACCTGGTTGTTTAAAAGAGCCTAGAACTTCCTCCTCTTTCTCTTACTCTCTCTCTTGCCATATGACACGCTGGCCCCCATTCTCCTTCTGCCATGCTTGTAAGCTTCCTGAGGCCTTGCCAGAAACAGATTCTGGCATCATACTTCCTATACAGTCTGCAGAGCCATGAGCCAAAATAAAACTATTTTCTTCATAAATTTCCCAGGCTCCAGAATTCCTTTATAGAAACACAGTGGATTAACACATTACCTAAGATTTAAAACTGCAAATGCATTAATACTGTGTGAATGCTCAAAGCTGTTAGTATGATCAGAGTTTTGTTCCAAGCACTGTCAAATTTTGGATTCAATTGAGCAACATATTTGGGATCAGGTGCATAACTAAAAATGCCTCTAAATAAATATTTTATATTTATTTTCTCATTGCTCCATAGACCAGGTATGAGATGATTTTTCCTATTATCTCCTGATACTATATAGTACATTCTTAGATATTTAATGGAAATAGGTTTTTAATCTCTACATTCTTGTAATATCTATCACTTGAGTACTCACAAACTTGTGTGGCTCTACAGATATTTTTCATAGAAGTAACTACTCAGATTTAGACAAGGTAGAGTGCTCTATCCATGAGTCTCCTCCCACAGCACTTGTTCATGCTTTGTTATATTACTTGTCACATTGTATCATATTTGTCTCATCTTTCTACATGTAAATCTCTCTCTGGACTGTTTGCTTGTCAATGGAATGGTCTGTTTCTAGTTTGCCTGAGTCTAACAGGGTGCCTGTTGTATAATACCTTCTCAATAAATGTTTGAGGAAGGAAGAGAGATACTATAGGGACCATGTCTTGCACTTTGATGTACCCCCAACATACCAAACACAATGTTGTTGGTTTAATCAAAGCTAGATGCTGGGATAAAATGGTAGCAAAGACAGACCCAGCCTCTGCTTCCATAAAGCTTATTGTCTTGTGTCAGATTTATCATAAGTGCTTAATAGATTCATTTTAGTGTTTAATAAATACAAATTAATTCACTTAGATACAATCACCTAAAGCTATTTGAAAAACATCACCATTTCTTCTTTATCATTTAATTTCATATATCTTGTTTGCATATTGGAGTCTTCAGAACTTCCACTTAAATTGTTTGAAGCAAAGCCGCTAAACCTTCACTCATGCCTATATATTTGGCCCCATGGATCCTAGCTCAGTACCACCTCCTGATAATGACAGGGATAATAAATAACATGTGTACAACTTATTGTCATTTACATGGTACTTTCAAAGTCATCATATTTCATAATCATGAGTGCATAAAGGAGGTAGGGCAGGTGCTACTGTCTCTCCAGTGTCACAGGTGAGAAAGTCGAGGTGGTGAGGGCAATTAAATGACATGCTGTCATGCTGTTTTTTAAAATGTTTTGTGAACTACAAAATACTAGGCATCTGTAAAGTTTTGCCTAAATTCACTTAGAGGCTGAATTTGTACCAAAGCCTTTTGGTCCTGAATAATGTGTACATTTCATCCTAATATACTGCCTCTCTATAATACTCAATAATAACCAATACTTATTTTTACCAAATATTTATAGAGCACATAATAAGTGCTAGACATTGTGCAAATAACTTAATATCTTCACCAATTATCTCCACCTCTGCCCTACAGGAACCAAATCCTCTTTTTAAAAAAAAAATTGTTCCACTGAAGGGTTGATTTGCCTGCAGTCTCACAAGTGCAGTGATGTACTACTCACTGACCTCAACCTGGTGCCCACAGTTGTAGATGTGTTGTGATGAATTCAAATGTTGTAATTTTCTTCACAACATTCATTGTTCTCTAGTGCATACAGCACAACAAATGCAAAGCATATCTCATGCCAAAATTCACAGTCACCCATGAATGCATGTGGCTCTGTGTTGAACTTGAGTCATCGGCTTTCTTGTGGAGGACACCTTGAAATTCTTGGTGCTCCTTCCTGCCAACAGACCTTAGCTAGGGCCACCCTGGCTAACCAAGCACACTGTCGTAACTGTTAATCTTGAGATGGCCAGGATCTCATTAAGATTCTTTGCTTCCCAGAAACCTCAACTAACCCCACTCCCACCCTCCAATTCTGCAAACTAAAGTGGCAGACAGTATTGCTAAGCTACAGGAAACTAAAAAAATAAAATGTGTTTTCATACCTTGTCTAAAGGACAAAGGATACATAAATTCAAACTACATTTACATAATTGATGGAAGTGAATTAAGTGGCTCGTAATAGAGCAGAAACTAACCCTAGATAACTTTAAATTGTGGCCTAATTTTAAAATATATTATATTACACACTCATCACCCTAATATATAGAAAAATTATCAATGTCCTCCACAACCGTGCAACCATATCCCAGTTATACAGGGGCTGGTACCTGTTTATTCTTCACATCTCCCATGGCAATAGTAAAAGTCCTGGCCAAAACTGAATGTGAGAATCGAGTTTAGAAAGACTGCTATAGCTGAAATAGCATGCCAATTGTGGCAGAAAATTCTTTTTTTATAATTTGACTCTATTTTTACTAAAACAAGCCATACATGTGTCCCTGATTTATTTGCACACATCCTTTTGCAATATATATCTACGTGTGTGTGTTTGTGTGTGTGTATGTAGGTATGTGTATCTGTCCATCTATAATGGTCTTTTTTAATCTATCAAAAATATTTTCATTTTTGAAAGTCTAAGTGAACAGCTGCCTTCAGCTGAGACACATTTAACTTCCTGACAGGTTCAAGAATTCTAATCCCCAAGGACTAGCACTTTTCTTTTCAGAGCCATCTCCTATCTTTGTGACCCTCTGGGAGGATCCAGCAGTACTCTGTGCATTTGTTATGAATAAAGTAACCCAGAAGTGTCTACTCATTTGCTTTCTAATAAAGTGGAGATGGACTAGTACTGAATGAAATATGCTTCTCTTTCTTTGGAAGTAGAATGTTGGTAAGTGACCTGAGAGGTATTCGAGGCCAGCCCTTATAAACTAGAGATAAAGAATTATGTCAGACATTTTAGGAGAAAAATATATTTTCCACTTTTTTATTTGACGTATAAGGGGTGTTTTCTTTTAAAACTGTTAAAATAATTTAGTAAGTAAATATATGTGCTCATTTATAGTCTCTACATGAAAATAGAAAGTAATAAAAAATAATGAAATAATAAATATTACATTAATTCTATGTAAAAGAATTATATTCAGTTATATGACAGATACTAGGAAATATTTTGTCCAATCTATGTATAATGATATTGGAGGAGGGAAATCTATGAGCAAACTAAGAAATCATAAAGAACACAGATGTATTAAGTCAGTGTCAATTTTACTGTCTTAGAATTTTAAAGAAAAATCTTCCAAATGGATTGGGAATTCAACAGGCACAATAAATTCATTGAAATGTTTAATATTAGCATACTGCATGAAGAAGTTTATTAAATATTCTTAATTGAAAGTAACAATTTAGTGAATGTTAAATTTTAATTTGTGAGACAGTGTTACATTATTTATTTTAATAAGAAAACAGAATATTTTAGATTATCTAGAGGGTGAAATCAGCAAGATATTAGAATAGGAATTTCCAGAGTGATATGGATTGGCTGTGTCCCCACCCAAATCTCATCTTAAATTGTAGCTCCCACAATTCCCACATGTCATGGAAGGGACCTGGTGGAAGGTAATTGAATCATGGGAGTGAGCCTTTCCCATGCTGTGCTCTTGATAGTGAATAAGCCTCATGAGATCTGATGGTTTTATACAGGGGAGTTTCCCTGCACAAGCTCTCTTCTCTTGTTTGCTGCCATGTGAAACATGCCTTTCACCTTCTGTCATGATTGTGAGGCCTGTCCAGCCACACGGAACCATGAGTCCATTAAACCTCTTTCTTTTGTAAATTGCCCAGTCTTGGGTATGAATTTACCAGCAGCATGAAAACGGACTAATACACAGAGCTTGTCTCCTCACAGAAACATCAATCTGAACAACCATCTATGCACAAAAAACCTTCACAAGAGTCAAATAATTCAGATGGGAGCTCACAGCACCTAGGTAGAGAACCAAAACAAGAAAAGATGCATTGAATAGGATAAGAAGGACAGTTTCGCATTACCTATATCATCCCCCTCCCAAGCTCAGCATGAGGAGAGATACATTCCATGTGAAGGAAAGAGAGGGAAGTGAGCACCAGACTTTACCATGGACCCCAGAACCAGTCCCACCCTAGTGGACTCTGTTGCAAGACCAGCCCTTGCAGCCTCAGGCTTTGAGCTTGTCCCTTGTTTTAGGCTTTAGGACAACACCCACAAACACAGGCTATAGGTCTGCTTAATGCCAGGCCAATTCCTGAAACTGCCAGCCCCAGACCAGCACACATGAACCAAGGCTCCAAGCTGGTCCCCATGGCCTTAAGACACAGGCCAGCCTCCAGAGACCCAGGCTAACCCATACAGACTCAGGCTTCAGCCCACTGTAGTACAAGCCAGGTCCGTGGACCAAGGCTCCAGGCCCACTCCATGGTGCAAGGCACGAGGCTTGCTCTCATGAACCCAGATACCAGCCCTACCCAGTGAAAACAGGTGTCAGGCCAACCATCACAGACTCAGGACCAGGACCATCTCCACGGACTCAGGTACCAAGCCGTCATCAGTGCTAGGCCAGTCCCTGACGACTTATGCTCAAGGCTCACCCAGAATCTCTGAGCAGGCTTACTGCTAGAGGGCTTTCCTGCCAAAACTAGTTTGTAAAGACAGAAAAGGGTAACTACTTCTTCAAAAGTACATACACAAATGTAAGGCCACAAGAATCACAAATAATCAGGGAAACATGAACCACCAAAGAAAATAAAGCACCACTAACTCACCCTAAAGAAATGGACATCTGTAAACAAAGAATCCAAGTAGTCACCTTAAAGGAATACAGTGAACAAGAGAATACCGATGAACAACCAGACAAAATCAGGAAAACAATACATGAAGAAAATGGGAATTTAAGAAAAAAGACAGAAAGTGAAAAAGAGCCAAATAGATATTTTGGAACTGAAGAACACAATGACTGAATTGACAAATTCTATACAGAGCTTCAATAGCACACTTAATTTAGCAGAAGAAAGAATCAGTGAGCTCAAAGACAAATCATTTGAAATTGCCCTGTCAGGGGAATAAATAGATACAGTAATTTAAAAAAATGTGAAGAAAGCCTATGTTACTTATGGGACACGATCAAGTGAACTAATTTGCACACTATGGAAATTCCAGAAGTAGCAGAGGAGGAGAAATAGATAGAACGTTTATTTAAAGAAGTAATGACAAAAAACTTCCCAAATTTTGAGATGGAAATGAATATCCAGATCCATGAAGCCCAAAGAACCTCAAATAGATTAAACATAAAAGAGATCTTCATCAAGTCACAATATAATTGAATTCTCAAAAGTCTAAGACAAAGAGACATTTTGAAAGCAGCAAGAGAAAAGTAACTCATCATATAACAAGGGAAGCTCTATGACACTATCAGTGGACTTCTCAGCAGAAACTTTGTAGGCCAGGAGATAGTGGAATAACATGTTAAAAGTAACAAGGAAAAAAAGACTACCAAAAATACTATATCCATCAATGTGATCCTTCAGAAATAAAGTAGTAGTAAAGACCTTCCCAGACAAACATAAGTTGAGGAGTTCATCACCACTAGATTTGACTTATAAGAAATGCTAAAGAGAGTTCATTAAGTTGAAACAAAAGGACTCTGTAAGACTCACCGTAAAGGTAAAATTACAGTCAAATTCAGCATAGGCTAAAACTGTAACCATGGTGTACAAATTATGTTTAACTCTAGCATAAAAGTTAAAATAGAAAAGTATTGAAAAGGGGTACAAACTTTCCGTTATAAAATGAATTTTAGGGGATCTAATGTTCAATATGGTTTCTATAGTTAATAATACCGTATTGTTTACCTAAAATTTGATAAGAAAGTAGATTTAAACTGTCCTCAACACACACACACACACACAAATGGTAATAACTATGGGTATAATGAATGTGTTAATTAATTTAATGGGATAATCTGTACACAATGTATACATATATCAAATTATCACATTGTACACCTTAAATATATAAAATATTTGTCAATCAAATATTTTAAAATAAAAAATATCTAAAATAATTTCTTAATGGATGTACAATGTAAAAAATGTGAATTGTAGCATCAATAACATAAAATGTAGGAGAAGGAGAAATTAAAGTTTACAGTTTTGTATAAAATTGAAGTTAGATTGTTATCAGTTTAAAATAAGCAGTTATAAGATGTTTTATGTAAGCCTCTAGTATCAACAAAGAAAAAGCTCTGTTAGAGATACAAGAGATAAAGCAAAAGAAATTAAAGCGTAAAATAACAAAATATCATTTCACAAAGTACAACAGTAAGAGAGAAACAGAGATACAACAAAACAGTTTGAAAACAATTAATATAATAGCAACCTAAATATTTACCTATTAATAATTGTTGTAAATGTAAATCAAAAGACATAAAGTGACTGAATAAACAGGAATAAAAAAACAGATCCAGGTATATGCTGCTTACAAGAAATTCACTTTAGCTTTAAAGATACATATAGCTAAAAATAAATGTATGGAAAGAAATATTCTGTGCAAATGATAACCAAAGGAGAGCAGGGGTGGCTATATTTATATCAGATAAAATAAACTTTAAGTCAGAAACTGCCACAAGAGACAAAAAAGGGTCATTATATAATAATAAAAGGATAAATTCATCAAGAAGATATCACATATTTAAATAAATATGCAGCCATTATTGGAAAACACCTGAATGTAAAAATCAAATATTAAGAGAAATGAAGAAAGAAATGGTCAGCAAAAGAAAATTGTATGGGGGCTTTAATACCCTACTTTCAACAAGAAATAGATCACACAGATAGAAAATCAGTAAGTAAACAGTGCACTTGAACAAAACTGTAGGCCAAATGGAAGCAACAGACATATACAAGCCATTCTTTCCAATCACAGCAGAATACACATTCTTCTCTAGCACTCATGGTGTATTTTCCAAAATATATCATATGTTAGATCATAAAACATCATATAAAGTATATTTTCTCAGGATAAAGCCAGAAATCAATAAAAGGACAAAAATGAGAAAATTAGCAAATATATGGAAATTTACCAACACACAACCACAAATGAGTCAAAGAAATCAAGTGAAGCTAACAAATGCCTTGAGGCAAATAAAAATAGAAACTACATATGAAAATTTATGGGATACAGCAGAATTATTTCTAAGATGAAAATTTATAGAGATATACACGTGAATTAAAAAAAGAAAGCTCTCTAGTAAACAGCCTGATTTTACAACTCAAAGAACTTGAAAAATGAGAACAAACTAAGCCCAATGTTAGCAGATAGAAGAAAATAATAAAGATCATCCCAGAAGTAAAATGAAATGGAAACTAGAAAAAGATTGGAAAAGATAAATGAAACTAAGAGTTGAGAGAAGACTCAAAGAAATAAAATAAGAAATAAAAGAAGAACACAATATCACAAAAATACAAAGAATTACAAGACTGCAAAAGCAATTATATGCCAACAAATTGGAAAACATACAAAAATTTGACAAATTCCTGCAAACATACAAACTATCAAGGCTTAATCATTAGAAATAGGAAATCTGAACAGACCAATAATGGCCTGTTCAGAGATTTAATCATTAATCAAAAACCTCCCATCAAGGAAACCCCTTAATCTTGTGGCATCTTTGGCAAATTCTACACATATTCAAAGAAGAATTAATTCCAATCCTTCTCAAACTCTTCCAGAAGATTGAAAATGAGGAAACACTTCCAAACTCGTTTTACAAACTAATTTTACACGATATCAAACTTAGATAAGGACAATATAAGAAAAAAAATTTGAGTCTAATATCCCTAATTAACACACATGCGAAAATCTTCAACAAGATACTAATAAACTGAATTCAACAGCACATTAAAAGGATCATACATCATGATCAAATGGAATTTTCCCCTGGGATGCAAGAATAATTCAACATACATAAATCAATAAATGTTATACACCATATTAACAAAAATGAAGGGTAAAAACAATATGATCATCTCAACAGATGAAGAAAAAGCATGTGACAAAATTCTTTTTTTTTTTTACTTTAAGTGCTGGGATACATGTGCAGAACATGTGGGTTTGTTACATAGGTACATGTGTGCCATAGTGGTTTGCTGCACCTACCAACCTGTCACCTAAGTTTTAAGTCCAGCATGCATTAGCTATTTGTCCCGATGCTGTCTCTCCCCTCAGCTCCCCGCCGTCCAACAACAGGAGCTGGTGTGTTGCTCCCCTCCCTGTGTCCATGTGTTCTCATTGTTCCACTCCCACTTATGAATGAGAACATGTGGTGTTTGTGTTAGTTTGCTTAAGATGATGGTTTCCAGCTTCATCCATGTCCCTGCAAAGGACATGATCTCATTCCTTTTTGTGACTGCATAGTATTTCTTGGTGTATACGTACCACATTTTCTTTATCCAGTCTATCATTGATGGGCATTTGGGTTGGTTCCATGTATTTGCTATTGTGAATAGTGCTGAAATAAACTTGTGTGTGCATGTAGCTTTATAATAGAATTATTTATATTCCTTTGGGTATATACTCAGTAATGGGATTTTTGGTTCAAATGGTATTTCTGGTTCTGGATCATTGAGGAATCACCACAGTGTCTTCCACAACGGTTGAACTAATTTACATTCTCATCAACAATGTAAAATCTTTCCTATTTCTCCACAGCCTCACTAGCACCTGTTGTTTCTTGACTTTTTAATAATCACCTTTCTGACTGGCATGAGATGGTATCTCATTGTGGTTTTGATTTGCATTTCTCTAGTGATAAGTGATGTTGAGCTTTTTTTTCATATGTTTCTTGGCCACATGAACCTCTTGTTTTGAGAAGTGTTTGTTCATATTATTTGCCCACTTTTTGATGGTTTTTTTTTTCTTGTAAATTTTCTTAAGTTCCTTGTACATTCTAGATATTAGACCTTTGTCAGATGGGTAGACTGCAAAAATTTTCTCCCATTCTATAGGTCACGTGTTTGGTCTGATGATAGTTTCTTTTGTTGCGCAGAAGCTTTTTAGTTTAATTAGATCCCATTTGTTAATTTTAGCTTTTGTTGCAATTGCTTTTGCTGATTTAATCAAAAAATCTTTGCCCATGCCTATGTCCTAAATGGTATTGCCTAGGATTTTTTTCTAGGGTTTTTAAGGTTTGGGGTTTTATATTTAAGTCTTTAATTGATCTTGAGTTAATTTTTGTATAAGGCGTAAGGAAGGTGTCCATTTGCAGTTTTCTGCATATGGCTAGCTGGTTTTCCTAGCACCATTTATTAAATAGAAAATCTTTTCCTTGTGGCTTGTTTTTGTCAGGTTTGTAGAAAATCAGATGGTTGTAGATGTGTGAACTTAATTCTGAGGTCTCTATTCTGTTCTATTGTTCTGTATATCTGTTTTGGTACCAGTACCATGCTGTTTTGTTTACTGTAGACGTGTAGTATAGTTTGAAGTCAGGTAGCATGATACCTCCAGCTTTTTTTTTTTTTCCTTAGGATTGTCTTGGCTATGTGGGTTCTTTTTTGGTTCCATATGAAATTTAAACTAGTTTTTTCTAATTCTGTGAAGAATGACATTGTAGTTTGATGGGAATAGCATTGAATCTATTAATTGCTTTGGGCAGTATGGCCATTTTCATGATATTGATTCTTTCTATCAAAGAGGATGGAATGTTTTTCCATTTGTCTATGTCCTCTATTATTTCCTTGAGCAGTGGTTTGTAGTTCTCTTTGAAGAGGTCCTTCACATCCCTTGTTAGCTGTATTCCTAGGTATTTTGCTCTGTTTGTGAATGGGGTTCATTCGTGATTTGGCCCTCTGCTTGTCTATTGTTGGTGTACAGGAATGTTTGTGATTTTTGCACATTGATTTTGTATCCTGAGACTTTGTAAAAGTTGCTTATCAGCTTAGTGAGTTTTGGAGCTGAGACGATGAGGTTTTCTAAATACAGGATCATGTCATCTGCAAATAGAGACAATTTGACTTCCTCTCTTCCTATTTGAAGTCTTTATTTCTTTCTCTTGCCTGATTACCCTAGCCAGAACTTTCAATACTAAGTTGAATAGGAGTGGTAAGAGACGGCATCCTTGTCTTGTGCTGGTTTTCAAAGGGAATGCTTCCAGCTTTTGCCCATTCAGTATGATATTGGCTGTGGGTTTGCCATAAATAGCTCTTATTATTTTGAGATAAGTTCCATCGATACCAAGTTTATTGAATTTTTATCATGAAGGGAGGTTGAATTTTACTGAAGGCCTTTTCTGTCTCTATTGAGATCATCATGTGGTTTTTGTAATTGGTTCTCTATATGTGATGGATTACATTTATTGATTCGTGTATATTGAGCAAGCCTTGCATCCCAGGGATGAAGCCAACTTGATCATGGTGGATAAGCTTTTTGATATGCTGCTGGATTCGTTTTTCCAGTGTTTTATTGAAGATTTTCCCATTGATGTTCATCAGGGATATTGGCCTGAAGTTTTCTTTTTTTGTTGTGTCTCTTCCAGGATTTGGTATCAGGATGATGCTGGCCTCATGAAATGAGTTAGGGAGGGAATTGGAAAGGTTTCTGAAGGGATGGTACCAGTTCCTGTTTGTAGCTCTGGTAGAATTTGGCTGTGAATCTGTCTGGTCTTGGGCATTTTTGGTTTGTGGGATATTTATTACTGTCTCAATTTCAGAACTTGTTATTGGTCTATTCAGGGATTTGACTACTTCCTGGTTTGGTCTTGGAAGGGTGTATACGTCCATGAATTTATCCATTTCTTCTAGATTTTCTAGTTTATTTATGTAGAGGTGTTTATAGTGTTCTCTGATGGTTGTTTGAATTTCTGTGGGGTCAATGGTGATATCCCCTTTATCATTTTATGGTATCTATTTGATTCTTCTTTCTTTTATTCTTTATTAGTCTAGCTAGTGGTCTATTTTATTAATTTTTTTTAAAAAACAACTCCTGGACTCATTGATTTTTTGAAGGCTTTTTCATGTCTCTATCTCCTTCAGTTCCACTCTGATCTTAGTGATTTCTTGTCTTCTGCTAGCTTTTGGATTTGTTTGCTCTCACTTCTCTAGTTCTTTTAATTGTGATGGTAGGGTGCTGATTTGAATCTTTCTAGCTTTCTGATGTGGGCATTTAGTGCTATAAATTTCCCTCTTAACACTGCTTTAGCTGCATCCCAGAAACTCTGGTACATTGTATCTTTGCTCTCATTGGTTTCAAAGAACTTCTAGATTACTGCCTTAATTTCATTATATACTCAGGAGTCATTCAGGAGCAGGTTGTTCAGGTTCCACCTAGTTGTGTGGTTTTGAGTGAGTTTCTTAATCCTGAGTTCTAATTTGATTGCACTGTGGTCTGAAAGACTGTTATGATTTCCATTCTTATGCATTTGCTGAGGAGTGTTTTACTTCCAATTATGTGATCAGTTTTAAAGTAAGTGCCACATGGCACTGAGAAGAATGTATAATCTGTTGTTTTGGTGTGGAGAGTTAGGGAGATATCTACTAGGTCCACTTGATCCAGAGCTGAGTTCAAGTTATGAATATCCTTGTTAATTTTCTGTCTCATTGATCTGTCTAATCTTGACAGTGGGGTGTTAAAGTCTCTCACTACTATTCTGTGGGAGTCTAAGTCCCTTTGTCGGTCTCTAAGAACTTGTTTCATGAATCTGGGTGCTCCTGTATTGAGTGCATATATATTTAGAATACTTAGCTATTCTTATTGAATTGATCCCTTTACCATTATGCAATGTCTTTCTTTGTTTTTTTCTTATCTTTATTGGCTTAAAGTCTGTTTTGTCAGAGACTAGGATTGCAACCCCTGCTTTTTTCTCCTTTCCATTTGCTTGGTAAATTTTCCTCCATCCCTTTGTTTTGAGCCTATGTGTGTCTTTCCATGTGAGATGGGTCTCCTGAATACAGCACACCAATGGGTCTTGACTATCCAATTTGTCAGTGTGTGTCTTTTCATTGGGGGCAGTTAGCCCATTTACATTTAAGGTTAATATTGTTATGTGTGAATTTGATCCTGTTATTATGATGTCAGCTGGTTATTTTGTACACTCGTTGATGTCATTTCTTCATTGTATCATTGATCTTTATATTTTCATATGTTTTGCAGTGGCTTACAATGGTTCTTTCCTTCCATATTTAGTGCTTCCTTCAGGAGCTCTTACAAGGCAGGACTGGTTGTGACAAATTCCCTCAGCATTTGCTTGTCTGAAAAGGATTTTATTTTGCCGGTGTTTATGAAGCTTAGTTTGGCTGGATATGATATTCTGGGTTGAAAATTCTTTTCCTTAAGAGTGTTGAATATTGGCCCCCACTCTCTTCTGGCTTTCAGGGTTTCTGCTGAGAGATCCACTGTTAGTCTGATGGGCTTCTTTTTGTAGGTGACCTGGCCTTTCTCTCTGATTGCCCTTAACATTTTTTCCTTTGTTTCAACCTTGGAGAATCTGTTGGGGTTGAACTTATTGTGAAATATATTAGTGGGGTTCTCTGTATTTCCTGAATTTCAAGTTGGCCTGTGTTGCTAGGTTGGGGAAGTTCTTCTGGATAATATCCTGAAGCTTGTTTTTCCAACTTGGATCTATTCTCTTCATCTCTTTCAGGTACTCCAATCAGTCGTAGGTTTGGTCTTTCTACATAGTCCTATATTTCTTCGAGGTTTTGTTCATTCCTTTTCATTCTTTTTTCTCTAATCTTGTCTGCCTGTCGTATTTCACCAAGATAGTCTTCCAGCTCTTATACTGTTTGTTTCTCTTGACTGATTTGACTGTTGATATTTGTGTATGCTTCAGAAAGTTCTTGTACTGCATTTTCAGCTCCATCAGGTCATTTATGTTCCTCTCTAAACTGGTTATTCTAGTTAGCAGCTCCAGTAACCTTTTATCAACGTTCTTAGCTTCTTTGCATTGGGTTAGAACATGCTTTTCTTACCTCAGCTAAGTTTGTCATTACCCACCTTCTGAAATCTACTTCTGTCAATTCATCCATGTTATCCTCTGTCCAGTTCTGCACGCTTGCTGGAGATGTGTTGTGATCATTTTGAAGGGAAGAGGCACTCTGACCTTTTGGGTTTTCAGCATTTTTTTGTAGATTCTTTCCTATTTTCATGAGTTTGCTTAGTTTTGATCTTTGAGCCTACTGACCCTTGGATGAGGTTTTTAGGGGGACCTTTTTTGTTGATGCTGTTGTTGTTGCTTTCAGTTTGTTTGTTTTTCTTTCAATAGTCAGGTCCCTCTTCTGTATGGCTGCTGCGGTTTGCTGGGGGTTCACTTCTGGCCCTGTTCATCTGGTTCACTCCTGTACCTGGAGATGTCACTCGAGGAGGCTGGAGAACAACAAACATGGATGTTTGCTCCTTCATCTGGGATCTCTGACCTCAAGGGGCACCAACCTGATGCCAATAGGAATGCTCCTGTTTAGGATGTCTGATAACCCCTGTTGGGGGATCTCACCTAGCTGGGTGACACAGGAAGCTGGACTCATTTAATGAGGCACTTTGGCTGTCCCTTGGTGGAGTGAATGCAATGCACTCAGGGAAAACCCATTCATCTGGGCTGCCTGGATTCCTCAGAGCTAGCAGCAGGAAAGACTAAGTCTGCTGATTTCTGGAGACTATGGCCACCCCTCCCGCTACGGGCTCAGGCCCAGGGAGATCAGAGTTCTGTCCCCGAGCCCCTAGCTGGAGTTGGAGTTCCTACAGGGAGGCCCTGCAGCCACAGTGTTGGCTGCCACACCTCCCTCAAGGAGCTCAGACCTGTGGCTTACAACACAGGCAGCCGCAGCAGTGGTGATGGCAGCACCCCCAACCTCCACCCCCCCATCCTCTCCCACAGGGAACTAGGCAGGCTTTGGCCAATTCTAGCCAAGAGGGTTTTGAGAATCTGCACAGCTCCATGGTTGGGGCCCAAGGCCCAGGCAGTGTGGGCTCCCAAGTGGGATTTTCCAATCCATGGGTTACGCAGTTCCATGGAAAAAGCATGATTTCCCAGGTTGAGTAACGCTCTCACTTGCTGATTCCCTTGGGTGGAGGTGGGGGCTCCTTGCCCCTTGTGGCCCTCAGGTGGGCCGCCACACCACACTGCTCTTCTTACCTCTCTGTTGGTCATACCACCTGCCTAGTCAGTCCTAATGACAGAACCTGGATACCTCAGTTGCCAGTGCCAGATTCACACACTGTTTTGGGTCTTTGCAGTGGGGGCCTCTGATCACCACTCCTTCTAGTTGGCCCTCTTGGCCCTGCCTCCTATCATCCTATTTTAACCAACTACCAAGTCAAGATGATGCTGGTAAATTCAGGGGGATCTTGAAGGGTAAAGGTTATAAAAACCATTTCACATGGTCAGTGGCTACCAGAGATTGGTGGGTGGCAAGAGTATTTGTTCACTGAGAGCTTTAAAAAGTAACCACCCAATGCCTGAGTTCCTGGCTGGATTCCCCTGACAAAATTCTTTTCATGATAATAATTCTCAAAAATTTGGTATAAATGAAATATATCTCAAAATCATAAAGGTCATTTATGACAACCCACAGTTATTAGCAGAGTCAACAATGAAAAGCTGAAAACTTTTCTTCTAAGATCAGAAACAAGACAAGGAAGCCATTTCTTACCAATTCTATTCAACATAGTTCTGAAAGTTCTATTCAGAACAATTAGACAAGAAAAAAAAAAAAGAGGGCCTCCAAGCCAAAAAAGAAGAAATAAAATTATCTCTGCAGATGACATGATCTTATATATAGAAAACCCTGAAGACTCTACCAAAAAAACTGTGAGAACTAATCAAATTCAGTAAAGTTGCAAGATCAAAATTAACATACAAAAATTGGTTGCATTTTAATACAATAACAATGAACTATCCAAAAAATAAATTAAGAAAATAATTCTATTTACAATAACACTAAAATACCTAAGAATAAATCTAACCAAGAAAGTGAATGACCTATACACTGCAAACTATAAAACATTGATAAAAGAAATTAAAGAAGATAAAATTAATGAAATATTTTATATGCATATATTAGAAGAATAAATATTGTTAAAATGTCTACAGTACCCAAAGCAATCTACTGAATCAATGCAATTCCTATTATAATTTCAATGGCACTTTTCACAATAATAGAAAAAATAATCCTAAACTTCATACAGAAAAGACCCTAAATAAGCAATGCAATCTTGATCAAAAAGAAAGCTGGAGGCATCACACCACCTGATTTCAAAATGTGCTACAAAGCTACACTAATCAAAACAGTATGGTACTAGCATAAATACACACATATAGAGCAATAGAACTGAACAGAAAGTCCAAAAATAAGTCTTCACATTTACTATAAATTGATCTTCAACAAAGGTGCCAAGAAAGCTCAATCGGGGTAGGATAGTGTCTTCAATAAATGGTGATAAGAAAATTTGATATTTACATACAGAAGAATGAAATTGAACTCATTTCTCAAACCATATATAAAAATCAACTCATAATGTATTAAAAGACTTAAATGTAAGACTTGAAATTGTGAAATTACTTGAAGAAAACAGCAGAAAAGCATCTTGGTATCCTTTATGTCGTTTATAATTACAAACTAAATCTATTCACAAAAGAGAACTGAAGTAATACTGATATAATTTATTTTAGAAATCTCTTTTTAAAATAACTGCCATGATATGTCACAACATAGATATGCATAAATTGGCATTTTTCTCTGTTTAGACATAGATATATTTAACATAATTTATAATTGCTTTCATTTTCCATCTAATTTTTATTGTCCAGTCTAGCATTTTGATAACTAGGATAAAGTTTACACAATAATAGTTTTAAAAATAACATTTCTGTGCTCTTTCTCTGAATATATACAAAATTAATATAAAAAATTGAACTCTGATCTAGCAGCAAAATTAATCAATTTTATGAAATGTAAGCTTTAAAAAGATAGAATTTTAAAAATGATGAACCCTTACATCTCTGCCTTCCTCAATATCAATAGGCTATTAGGTTGGTGCAAAAGTAGTTGCGGTTTTTGCCATTACTTTTAATGGTAAAACCTCAATTATTTTTGCACCAACCTAATAATATTCCCATCTCCCCATTTCTTGGTTCATCCATAATATTAGACTATGTAATTTACTAGGCTCATAATTTTAACAGATTTAATTTTGTTTAAAAATCAGTCACAATATTATATTTGCTATGCAACCGTAAACATACAGACTGCTTTTGAATAGGAAGAATGCAGACTAACAATATAGCAGTTGATATGGTTTGGCTGTTTTCCCACCCAAATCTCATCTTGAATTGTAATCTGAATTGTAATCCGAATTGTAATCCCCAGGTGTCAAGGGAGGGACCTGGTGGGAGGTGATTGGATCATGGGTGTGGTTTCTCCCATGCCATTCTTGTGATAGTGAGGGACTTCTCAGGAGAGCTGATGGTTTTAAAAGTGTTTCGAAGTTCCCCCCGTCGAAGCACTTCTCTATCTCCTGCTGCCATGTAAGAAGCTGCCTGCTTTCCTTTCATTTTGCAGCATGAGTCTAGGCTTCCTGAGGCCTCCCCAGCCATGTGGAACTGTGAGTCAATCAAACCTCTTTGTTTATAAATTACCCAGTCTCAGATAGTATCTTTATAGCAATGTAAAATCAGACTAATACAGCAATATATGAATTATCAACCACACAATCAGTGTTAGTAATCTCTGAGTCTCAGAAAAGGCAGTAAAATTGTTAAATTTACTTTTAGTTCCTGTGTGTGTGAGAAAAAGTGAGATGAAGAGAGAGAAGAGACAGAGACTGAGAAATGTTGTAACGTTAATGCACTCATAAATGTATATAGATTATTTAAAATATCTGCATCAGAAAAATATGATGAACTCTCTTTATAAGTTATTATGTCACTAAGATTTTATTATTTTGATGAAATGCACTATGTTAATTCAAATGCAATATACTCATAAGTAACACTTGAGTATGTGAACCACACTTGTCAAAGTAAATGAACAAAATATTATTTTGATGTAGGGCCCTTAAACTCCTTTATGGCATTGGTTTTGTTTACATTGTAATTTTCAAAATTAAGTAATCTACATGGTTCCCTAGTGTGAATTAACAAGTAGCTCTCAATCAATGTTTCACATTTTCTTCAGCAAGCCCATGGAGGAAAACAGTGCCTGTTTTCTTTCTTGTGGTATAAAATTATTGTAGACTATAAATATTCATGCTTCAGTATGAAAATTATATTTTTATAATTTATATTATACCACAATTCCAGAGGTTTCTCTTCATGTATTCGACAAGAAAAAGCAAAACTACCTTCAAAATAATTTCATAATCATGAACCACAGGTGTATATATTTCTAATGTATACATCCTAAGGTCTTTTGCTGAAACTATTTCAGACTATCTTTAATCAGCTACTTGCTAATATAGTCATGTGAGCGAACTGAAGCTATTTCAATGGGCTGCCTGAAGTTCCCTTCTCACCCTCACCAGAAAATGACAAAACAAACGCTGTGCTGTAAGAAGTCTTCATCTTTCATACGTGACAGGCCTAAAATATGTTCTTTTCATTTAAGGGTTCCTTTCATAATATAAGACTTGCCCCTTTAATTTCAGTAAAGGAAAGCAAGAGAATTAAGAATAACACCAATCCACAAAGGCAAACTATCTAGTAAATAAAACATTTTTAAAAAACATTAAAAGGTAGCGGCGATTTCAAAGACAAGTGTTTCATGGTTGGTTGTCATTATTTATTGGAAAAGCCAAATGTGTATCAATGTAGCATTTCACTGGTTGCTATGACTTGAGAGCATGAGAGAATAAACCGAGAGAGTAATCAGTAAAATATGTAAGAGTGGGAGCAGAGGACACCTGTTGCCATATATTTAAAAAACTGTATCTTCAAAGACATGAAAGAACACAAAAATACTACACTATTGCTCTAGTCTCAAAGTCACCAGAGAGAAGCTAGAACTAAAAGGAATGATGATCCTGAACTAATTGGATTTCAAATCAAGATCAAAATGCAGCATGCATTATCCAGAAATGGAACAGTCTAATTTAGTAATTACGGGATCCGCTGCCATTGATTCCATCACAGCTCTCATTGTTTCAGGCATCAGATCCACCCCCACTTCCCCTGGGATGGCACAGCCTTCTCATTTTTTGCTGTTAGGAAACTTCCATCAATGCTTTGTTTCAATTTCTTATTCTCTCGTATCTCCTTTGTATGATAGCCTTTGCTGAGTACAGTTTCAATCGATAGAATAAAATGGTATCCGTAAATACAATTTGGAAATTATTACACATATCTTCATTTCTGGTAAATTCTGTTTTGGGCCTGGGAGCTTTAACCCTTTTATTCTTCTCCATAAGCTAAATCACAGGAATAAATAAAATAAAAGGAAAACAATTTATCATTCATCACAACATGTACAGAGAAAGAAACAGAATGGAAGCAGACTGCCACTGGACTTCCAATATTGAATGGAACACTTGAACTGACACTAAGGAACTATAGCCAGGCAGGGTGGCTCATACCTGTAATCCCAGAACTTTGGGATTACAGGAGCATTGCTTGAGCTCAGGAGTTGGAAGCCAGCCTGGGCAACATATTGAGACCTTGTCTCTACTAAAATTTTTCAAAAATTCAAAATTCATTATTAGTTTTATATTTTAACTTCTGGAAGGATTTTCTATACTTTTCATATTGGTGAGCTCCTCTATATTTGGTCCCTGTGTACAGAGAGTCAGTATAGCTCTGTAGTTAAAACTGATGGCACTAGGACCAGATTGTAGATATACAACCTTTATCTGCCACTATTTGCTCTGTCACCATGCTCAAGTTACTCATTATCCCTATTCCTTAATCTCCATAACTATGAAATGTGGCAGTAATATTCATTTCATAGTCTGATAAAGGATCAATGAGGTAAACATTAAAAGTGCATAGAACAGCATTTGGCGCATAGAAAGCACACAAGAATAATTCATTATCATTATTTGCCATCATGATTATTCATTATTTATTATTACTATATCATTATTGCATCATTATTTATTATTATTATTGCAGTCTCCAGAATTCTTGTGAGAATTATATCCATCCATCTGTCTGATGCTAAAACCAATGGCCTTAGACACTTTCTCAGAACTCAGTACTTCAAGGAAGTAAAGAGAAACGCCTTCCTTCTAAGAAATAATTTTTACTACATCATAACACCTCACCTTTTCTTGTCATCTTTCTTTCATTCATCCAGTATTCAAGTAATATCTATTGGGTAACCTAATATGCTCTAGACACTAGGATAGTGCAACACTACAAACTACAGTTTCTATTTTGGCCCTTTCATACAATTTCTAAGGTTGTTATTTAATGTTTAGTACCAGGAGATACTCGATATTCCAATGTAAGAACTCAAATCATTGGCTTACCAAGAAATAACATGTATAATAAAATTATTGCTGTTTTTCTAGATTAGGTTTGTACTAGTTTCTTAATAATATATTTTAGTCTCTATTTGACTTCAAGACAAATATTTATAGAAACGAATATTTTTACTATGTATTGATGCTTCAGGAAAAAAAAATAAGTTGTTTGCCTTAGAAATGGTCTCTTTGCTTACATATCTTGACAATTACTTAGGTCAGCATATACTTTTTCCATTGGCTCCAGGAGTTACCTTTCAGGAAATTGGAAGTATAGTATTTGGAGTTTCTCATGTTTATAGCTTTCTGTTATCCCAGGGAAAAACAAGAAATCCATTTTGTTGACATTCAAGACATGATGCTTTGCCATGCTGGAAAACCAAGTATTTATAAAACAAGGGCTAAATTTAGATTTAGGAAACTTGAGTTTCCAGCCATGAGGGAATAACAGGGTTTGAAATTATTCTCCTGCCATAAACAACTAGAAAACTGGACAAAATGTAGGAAATAACTATTTTCATACTTTGAGCAGCAGACAGTACAGCACTGGGATCCTTGACAGAAAAGAACCAAAGAAATGAGACTTATTGCTGCCCAGGCTTTCTGCCTAGAGAAAATTTCTACACTGCAATGCAGGGATGGGAAATCCAAATAGATCCTCCTGGCCTCCCTGAGTGAAGAGGTGGGTAGAATTTGCAGGCCATTTACAGGAGGGAGCTATACAGGGTAAGAATTCCAAAAATATGCATAGCAGTCCTTTGAATCTTTGGCTTAATATCAACCTCTGCATGCATAAAGTGAATCCCCAGGAGGCTAGGCAACAACTTCTGAAGAAACGACAATTGCTGGACAGCGGGTACTGAATAATATTCAGAGTTTACACAGGGTCAAGAATTGTTGAAATTTCCACTAGCCAGAATAGAGAAACCTTCTTGACTCATCAAACCATTCAATAGAGGCCGTGAAAGGAGGGTCATGCCTCAGAAACAGGGCTAAATGAGCATTAGAAAAAAACGATACTCTAGTCCTATCCAAAAAGCACTTGAAATTAAGTCTCAAAAAGATAAAGCTTATCCACGAGTAACCTATTTCCTACCGGAATAAAGTCTTATTGGAAGACCACAAAATCCAGCAGTTGACAACATAAAACTTATAAAATCTAGCATTTATTAGATTTAATGTAGCCATGAGGTTATTTCAGGAGGTAAACATGGAGTCATTAGTGCTTTCACCAATATCTGTACTTTTTCAAGCACAAATTAAGCATATACTTCCAAATGCACTTCAAATTAGGTCACAGTAGCCTCTCCTTTTTTATGCCAGACTGATGGATAATGCTTAGACTGTGGTTGTTCTGCTTACTGGAAAATGCAGTGAGAAAACTGTGGAACGAAGACTGCAGCCAATCCTCAATGGACATGTCACATAAGTAAGGAATAAGTTTTATTGTTTAAGTGTCTGAGATTTTTATGTCGTTGTCAGTCTCTGCATAATTAGGTCATCTTTAAGGATACAGTAGAATGGAACTAACAATGAAAAAGAACACTCATAGAATTTCTTAACTGTAAAAACATTAGCATTGATGATCTATTTCAGTGTTTCCCAAGTTTGTTCTAATATGTTTAGGAAATTTTGAGTTAAACAAAGTTAATCGTTAAATGGCTTCCTTTTATTCACTACCTCCTCAGTTTCTTTAACCTGCTGAAATGCCTTTGTACTCCTCAGTTAGGGACCATCTGACATATGATGCTTCCAAATTTAATTGTCCACTCTTGATTTTCAAGTGTCTCCAGCACAAGTGCTCCATGGAATGTTATGCTCCTTTTGGAAATATTGAAATAGTCCAATGCCCTCATTCCCCAAATGAACAAACTGAGGTTATTAATTAATGTATAAATCATACAACTAGAACCCAGTTTTCTTAGTTCTCACTTTTATGCTTTCTGCCACACACTGCATTGCATTACAGCACAGGACAAAGATTACATTTTTTCTTATGGGGTAAGTGCTTTCATAGAGAAGCGTAAAGATTCAAGAAAGTTAAATTCCTCAAGATCTTAGATTTGTGTCTTTCTTGGATAAAACATAAGACAAGATGGAATAAAGAGTGAATCTACATTGATAAAGGTAAAAATAATCAATTTAAATTTAACTTTATGTTTCATTGACAGTGGGCTCATCTGAGCTTCAAGTTTTGGCCTAAATGCCACCTTCTCAGAGCACCTATCTTAGAATTTTCTAGATAACATTTCACATCCCTGCCCCATTGACCAGGCTTGGCGCTCTGTAGGCTCCCTTCCTGTTTTACTTTCCTTCATAAACTTATGATATTCTGACACAGTACATGTGTTCCATATTTACCATCTATCTCCTTCCCCAGTAGAAAAAGTTCAGGGCTATTTGCAGTTGTTCTCCAAGGTATACTCAGCACGTAGAATGGTACCTGGCATATTGTAGTCACTCAATAAATATGTTTAAATTTGTGGATGTATTTTTTATTTGTCTCATGTAGCTCATATGAATTTGAGTACAATAGTTGACTTCCAAAGAAATGCAGCTTTACAATGTTGTTTGGGAAGCATCATATAACATGATAAGTAACTTGTTTGCTAAATCTAATCATATACCTGGTATTCAGAGAATACACAATAAAAATAAGTCTGGTGCTTGCTTCGGCAGCACATATACTAAAATTGGAATGATATAGAGAAGATAAGCATGGCCCCTGCACAAGGATGACACACAAATTTGTGAAGCGTTCCATATTTTTCTGCACATGTATCCCAGAACTTAAAGTAAATTAAATAATAATAATAATAATAAGTCTGGCTACTAAATAGGGTTTTCAGAGCATGATTTCAGAAGAGATGTGAAATAGGTAAATTGATCTTTAAGCTCTTTTTTACATAAAATATTCCCAGTAACCTCCTACTTCCTCCTAGTTGCATAATTCTCTTACTTCTAAAAGCAACTCCATATACATTCTTTGGAAATATTCTATTTTTAGTACATTTTAACACTCCAATCTGCTTCACATTTTGCCTAACTGGTCCTGGTCTTGGCCTTTTGGAGTCTTTTCTCCTAAATAAAGCTAGAATGCCTCCATCATCCTGATTACATGGTTTGCTCAGATGTGCTTGCTGAATTTCATGACCTCACTCCCCCTTATAAACTGGTGAGGATGTACTCATGAGCATGGAGTACATTTTTATCCTTAAAACCACATTCATGGCAGAGAACACACACCAAAGCAAGATTTTTCTTAATCTCTTGCTCAATTCAATATTTTAGAAAATGTTGTAAAAATAGTGGAAGGTGATTTCATTACAAGATTGGGGAAAACACCTCTATCTATGACCATCTTCTATACCTAAATCTCATTTCTATTCAGATAAAAATCTGATTATCCCAAAGTGGCTGGACAGGAAAGTTAATTCAGACAGATATTCTGTTTACTCTCCCTGGTTCTAATAATACATGTTCTGTAAACACCTATCTATATCCAGCAAGCAGTGTACATACAAGTATAAACCGTGAAAATTCTGAGTGGAAGAAACTGGAGGCAAGGTGTAGACCCCTCAGAATCTGCAGTTCTCCAGTGTATTCTCAAAACTGTATCAGCCAGCTGTTGGATATGTGGCTGCAGTGATACGTCAAAAGTCATGATTTCCTTTCTCTAAATCTTTTGAAGATTTTCTCTTCCCAAGAGAACCTCTTGTCTTAAATTAGAGAAATTATTTATTGGATATAAATTTCTGCTTCCAGTATCAAAGTTAGTGAGTTTTAATTAATTCATATTGCTTACTGCACCTGTTCGAGAAGAGCGTTTTCTTTTTTTAATGTAAGCAGTAACCAAAAAGATGACACATTTTGTCTTCTTTCTACACCCAAATGTAAATAATTATGATAACCTCTTGCTATGTGGGAGGCTGCTGTCTAGTGTGATCATTAAATTACAGCTTCTGTATTGTATTCTCCTTGGTTATGTTCATACAAATTCGATAGACTGAATTGCATGTGATGCAGAAAATTCCTATTTGTACTTACAAAATATAGTTTAGCAAATTGCTCTGTGACACTATTCATTTTATTTCCTGAACATTTGTGGTGGGAAATGACTACAGTCCTTATTATTACTATTATTATTATTACAGAGTTCTTCCTTATAAAGAGACTGAAACCTTTTATAAATATTAGTCTTATGAAGAAACACATACAACTGAGGGAAGTCGAGTGTTATTTCATTAGTTCACTGTGGAGAAGTTGATATATAAAGGTTCATAACCTTCTTCAACATCACTCATCCTGTGAAGTACAGAATCAAAGACAGAAAGTACTTCCCTCAATTTCTTGACACCATTTTATCTGCTGGATCATACCTTGATCCAACTACAACTCTTCCAAATGGTAAATTTTTGAGCCATACTGGCTGTAAGACATAGAGAGATTCTTTTATGTTATTTTCCCCATTCTATACTTCAATGTCTGCTCAGTCCTAGGTTAGCACATGCCTCCCCGCTAGAGAACACAAGTGTTAGTGTCATACACGGTGATATGTACATTCTGACAATTCTACTGATACTGGGAACCATGATTCATATTTTATTGCCACCTTACTGGTTTGCTTTTATGGCTGGTTTTATTGCCCCCATATATTTATTCAGAAAGCATCATTTTGAAAATATAAACCTTAAAACAAGAAAGCAGTTGAGGAGAAAAATAGAATGTGTGCTTCTTTGGAATGAGTTTAACAAACTGTGTATTTCAGAACATTTCTACCTTCTGAATTTATTTCTTCGAATGCCCACCCACCTCAAGAAATAAAGATGTTATAAATAGAAGCAGAGATCAGGAGAGCTAGAAGGAATCTTAGAATTAACCTTTCAAATACTATCATTTTGCAGATGAGCAAACGGAGGTCTAGAGCAGGTGAGAAGTGATATGACCAAATACATACTGCCAGTTAAGTTGTAAAGAAATGGCAGCTAGGCCGGGAGCAGTGGCTCACGCCTGTAATCCCAGCACTTTGGGAGGCTGAGGCGGACGGATCACGAGGTCAGGAGATCGAGACCATCCTGGCTAACACGGTGAAACCCCGTCTCTACTAAAAATACAAAAAAAATTAGCCTGGCCTGGTGGCAGGCGCCTATAATCCCACCTACTCGGGAGACTGAGGCAGGAGAATGGCATGAACCCGGGAGGCGGAGCTTGCAATGAGCAGAGATCGCGCCACTGCACTCCAGCCTGTCCAGCCCGGGCGACAGAGCGAGACTCCGTCTCAAAAAAAAAAAAAAAAAATTGCCAGCTATTCTTCCCCCAGCCCCTCACAGTCCAGGACTGTTTTCCACATTTCTGTGCCTCTTAGAAGAGACACTCATTGATTGACAGAGAACCCATCGATTGTTTGCACTTCACTGAGCAGGGTGTCATCGGGACAGAGAAGGGGAGTTCAGAGGAAGAGAAAGATTTTTTATGTTGAGGGACGTTTGCCGATATCATGATTGCTGGGCTCAACTTCTGGAAAGATAGAAAAAGCACAGGAAGCTTTCAAAAAATAGGAGGTATTTATTCTGTTTTCTTAGATGCTATTGTAGATATCTCACAGGACAAGAACCTTAATTAATTTTTGATCAATCAATCAATCATGAAGTATATATTAAGTGCATAATATACATGCAGCACTATACTCCAGTAAGTAGGTGAGTCAAGGAAAATAGTGACTGAAATAAATGGTTTTTGTTTTAGTATTCCCATTCACCATATGTACAAAGGATTCTTGTCTGCAAAATGGAACAATAACCTCACAATATGATTGAAAGAAACAACAAGAAAATTGAGGTTATTTGAATTAAGTAACTATTAGAGTAATTGCTCAATAATATTATTAAAAATTTACATAAAAAGAAATGTATATTTATACAAATGCAAAATATAAAAGTGCCTAAGGCAAAAGGTATCATTGATTATAATCTTATGTGCAATTGAATTGTTCTACCTACTTAATTGTGTCTGGGCTACCTTAGAAAGTGGCTTGTCCCAGACACTTTCTGGAGAAACTTTGCAATGTTACAAACAACTCATATTCCACTTAGAAACTTTAGCTCTGAAATTTTTTTCTATACCTATCTTATCTTTCATGTCCTATAAAACCTATGAAAAATGTATGTGTACATTTTTGCCTTAGTTAAATAAGACCATTTTTGTTCATTGATCCTGATTTATTTATTCCATGATGCTTACTTAAAAAAAAATAGTAACATTTAGTTTTTAGTTCATTGTGAATTTCTACCTATGTTGTCTTAGGTAGAAATTATTTCCCACTTTAACAATAGACCATAAACATCAAGAAAACATTGAGGAATTTTAAAATAAAGTGCCTGTTTTTTATCATTGAGTTAAAAATCAATGGCATTGAAACAAAAACAGGCTCTGCTATTTTTGTACTGGAAAATTATTTTAAAAATCACTTGATATTGAATTTAAAGTTATTATCTTGAGTGAATTTTTATACATTGTTGATCAATTTAAGCATTTAAACTAGATAAAAATTAAATATTTTTATTTTTGAATTTTAAAGGTGAATTCTAACTTCTTTAAAAAAATATAAAATATTTCATATTTTTAAGTTATCTTAAGACTTTTTTCCGTTCTTCAAAAGTTCCCATTTAGGAGATCATAAATGGTATATATACATTTATAAACACAGACAACCCTCAGAGGACCACCCGAATGCTAGAAAGAGATTGCAGAACACAACATCCAATGTTCACAGATAAAATGTAAATGAAGTCAGCTTGCATGCTGTAATTGCTATAAAATCATATTCCATTATTTTTTAAAAATTTCACCAAAAAAGATTGTATATTATGTATGTAAATATTTTCACTTTTTGTTGGTTTCATATTTGTTCTTTTTTTAAAGAACTGTATTTGTTTATTCCATTTCATTTAATTCAACAAGCGGTATATGATCTCTACTACATAGGGCAATCACCTGTATTTTATCTTGCAACTAACAAACTCACTTTACGACATTTATAAGAAAGCAACGTCTATTTTTCTCATATCTAGTTTACACTCACACATACACGCACACTTTGCCTTAGTTTACTCCTTCCTTATTTTCCTGTCACTTTGCCTCTTTAGGTCTACTGCCACTCTGCTTTGTTTGGAGATATGCTGTCTTTGGACTCTGCCCTGATGTTTCTGGATCTCACAGCCCCCAGTGCCATGTTCTTTTCATTCAGAATAGTTCACTAAACTGTAGCTGTGTGGGAATTGATTGGGAGTGCATCTGTAGCTTGGCACTCATTGGGGAAGTACTGCCGACGAAGTCATCAATATGTGCTCCCACACAGCTGGCTCCTCTTAAGTCCACTCTAAGATTCTATATCAGAAACATCAGAGTGAGAATGTGCTTTCTGGAATTGAGAGATGTGCTCTCTGAGAATGTGCTCTCTACCTCCCTGATTTTTTTTTCTTCTCTTTTGATGTTACTGAAACAAGACACACAAAAGATAAATTTGAATCATAAGCAAGAAGGCCAAAAAAATTAACTCATGTTCTATCATTGCCAGTTGATGTGCCTATAAAAATTTGGGACGATTACTCTGTTAATGACTTCACTGAGGGTAAGCCTCTCAGAAACTTTGGTCATAGGATCACAGTGGCTGCAGCTGCCTGAGGCTGGGTGGTTTCAACTTTCAGGCAACTCTTTGAATGTGGGATTTTTATTTCAGTTTATATCTCCCAAGTTTCAATACGAATAAGCTCTAAGACTCGAAGCAAATCTCAGCATACTGAAGTTTAGTAATGGTTCCATCTAAAACCAGACATTATCCATAGTGTGTGCAAGAGGTGACCCAGGTTGATGGAAAGACATTGAGACGTCCACAAACCATTTAAGGAGCCTGAGCTGCATATCGAACTGTTTTATTTTTTAAGAAAAAGTGGTGAGTTTTGCCTGGCTTTTTGTTTTGCTGTCATGATTGTACACAAATGAAACTATAACTATATATTTTATTAAGGGAATATGTTTGCTGTTTGCCAGTTTTGATCATATCCACCTTATGGTTGAACTTAAGGGAATAAAAAGCCATCATGTCAAAAAAAAAAAAAAAAAAAAAAAAAAAAAAAAAAAAAACCTTGGTAACAAAGTCAGTTTATGTGTTAAGAAGAAAAAATGGTCTGGTGGCCTTTGCAGCAAATAAATTCACTGAGGAAATCATGCACAAAAGTTGAAAAAGAGTCATGCAGCCTGGGTTTGTATTTCTGCACATAAAATATTAGAAATTACAAGCAGAAATTAAGCCCTAAGTTTCCTCTCAATTTGAGTTCCTATTTATTTAAGAACATTAAAAAATACAGATAAAAGGGTGAATTATGAGCTTATTACTAGGGATAGTCTAATGACATTATGAAAGTTACATTTGAAGGAAAAAAGAGAAAGTTTTACTACTTAAATGTATTTCTCTAGGCTTTGTGATGTGGTTGTTATCTTGTTCATGCTCATGATGCTAGTTTCCAAAGTGCCATATTGGAGCCTGGGATGTATAACCCATGAGTCTTGCAAAACTCAGTATTTATCCAAAGGCTTTGTAAGGCATATTTATGAATCATATTTTTATCCAAATCTCTGAATATTTTAAATTACTCTAGTTCTATTAGCTAAGAGATATTTAGCATAACACACAAATCAGTTTTGCTGTATGCAACAAGGGAAATTGTTAAAATATGAAATAGATATTTATCTGATTTACAATATGAAATATTTTTAAAAGGAAATTATTGACTCCAACCCAAGTTTTTTCAAAGCCTATTGGCTCTTGAAAGTTGAAATATACATGGTTTAGTTTCAAATATAGCAGTGAGCCATTAAATAAAGAAGATGAAATCACTAAATTAAAAATGATTGCTAATGCTTAAGTGTTCTAGAAAGTGACAACTAAGGGGAAAAATGTAACTATTTTAGAGAATATTTACACTTAGTCTCAAAAAACCCTATATCAACTGAAAGAATTATCTAAAACTAAGCATGTTGTTTTTGGACATAAACACATTTTGAAAATTGTATCTTATATGGAAGGCAAACAAATTGATTCGGATTTGTAAAAGGAATATGTTTGCAGTAAGACTAAACAGTACACTGAAGGATGAAGGTAATTCATAAGGAAACACTTTAGAAAATAAATACTATCTCCAGTTTTAAAACATGCATTATGCCCTGTACTTGCGATTCCATGATAATCATATTCACTTGCAGCTCTGATTCTTTCTTCACCTTCCACTCTCCTAATCACACTACCATAGAATGAGAGGAACATAGCCTAACCCCTTCACTTTACAGACAAGAAAATGGAGCTAAAATAAAATTTTAAGTACAATAGGGCAATCCAGTGGGAAAATTCCCTAAGCAGTTAAGAATAATCTGCTTAACGTGGAGACCTTGATTTCTGTCATTCTCTTTTGTGATAAAAGTAACTCTGCTCTGCTGGAGATAAATCTGAAAGTACACTCAGAAAGTACAAAGACAAGGAAATAAATAAGGAATTGTAAATCTAAAGGTGATGCAAAGATATGCAATAGTTATATTTTTGCTTGCATTACTTGAGACTGCCACAGAATTAAAGAGCAACAAGTTTGGTTTTAGGAAACTAAAATTCCAGCCTCAGTTCTATTATATGTGTGTGCTCTCTTGGTATCTGCTTCCTTACCTCTAAAATGGACATATTAATAGCTATACTGCCTGTGTCACAGGGCCTATGTGAAGATCAGATAAGACAATTGATTTGAAAGGCTATGTAAATTCTAAGGCACTACACAGTGCATGTTTATGGAGTGCAGTGTCACTTATAAATCTTTATATTGCATTGCTTTAGGACAGATTTTATGCCAAATGACACCAAATTAAGGTTCTGAAGAGCAGCCAGTTAATAAACATTAAAACTAAGATATGCTTCCAACAAGTCATACCTGTAGCCATTTCTCACTATTCAACTAACAACTGGGCTCTGCTTCATTACTTGGCAAACCTTGCATCTACGAAACCCTCTCTACAATAATGTAAGGCTGCCAAAGCTACTGTGCATCCTCAGCATGAATACCCATCCTCTATTGACCTTTCTGGTTTTTTGAGCTCTTTGTTTACTCATTTACATATTAGACTTTTAAAATTGTACTCAGCCTTACATCCTTGTGCTATACTGCCCTGAGATTTTTAAAACACATGAAGAACAACAAAAGAGTAAAGGCAACAAGTTCGATACCAAAAGAGCTGCCACAGAATGAAGGGCAAGGACTGCAAGAAAAAAAGCAGATAACCAATGCCTGTCAGAATGACAGGGAGGAGACACTAATATAACTGGACTTCTGACTTACAAAGGAGTTAAAAATGAAACAGCACCAGCTTAAAATCAATATGAAATTCTATAGGCAGCCTTTACAAAGAAATCAAGGGAGGCATAATATGATCTCAGCTGCTCACTCTGGGGAAGACAGGATCACTCCAATGTGCAGTACTAGCTAAACGCAGAAGCCAAGTCCTCCTGAAAGCCCCACTAAAATGGAATTACTGCAATCAGGCACTGTGGTCAGGAGGGCATGGATGAGATTGATGAGGTTATCAAGAGACAAACAGGGAGTGCTGGCCTATGCAAATTGCTAAGCAGAACAGGAAAACATGTTCACATCGCATATTATTAACCGTTTTCTTTCAAAGGACAGAATCAGATTTCTACTTAACCTATCGAGAGACTTTCAAATATGCATCCTCAATTAAACATGAGCAGGAAAGAGCACCAACATCCCACTCAGAACGTCTCCCATCAGTCAGATTTTGCCTTCTAAGTGATGGACTTAAGCTGCCTTTCCTGTCTCACTTCATTGCATTGCTATGGACTCTCACAGTTCTATTGGGCAGAGACCACAGTATATAAAAGCAAGAAAAGAAAATACGCACTTCACCTAGTGGCATCTGCATGTATTTTTTTTTTAATACCTCAAGGTAAATCAGAAACACTGAGAAATCAACGAATTACCAGGTTTATAATGTTTTATCAGAGTTTCCTTGTTGCAGAATCTTTTTGAATAGTTGAGACTGCTACTTTTGACAAGGCTTTCAAACAAAAACTCTTAATGCTGGGAGAGACCCCAGAGAGTACTTTAGCTCTAACTCCTCATTTTACAGGTGGGGACAACTGAGGTCCATTGAGACTGTGTGACTGACTTCAAAAAATCAACATTGGAATCCAGCCAGGAGCTCATCTTTCCCAATTTTCTTGATTCTCAACCCAAAGTTTTCTTCCTCTCTTGCCTCTCGTCCATAGTTAATATATTCCTAGGCTGATAAAAGCAACAAATGATGACCACAAGGGCTTTTAGGAATTAATGCATGTCTAGATAATGTTCATAAAAGTTACAGACCAAAACCATATTTCCTATCAGTAAAATTTGTGAAATGACATCAAATATTGCTGTAACTTGTTTTTGAGGGAAGATGGGTAGAAATTTTCCCATGTTAAAATTTATCTCGAGAGGAATAATTTTAAATTTATTTTAGAGGTGATCCAAGCTTTATTTCATTTCTTGAAAATGTATGTTCTTGTCAAATTTTTAATGTTTCAAAATATTTATTTGAGAACAGTCCTGGGATTTCAAGGCTGGACTGTCAATACTGTGTATCTTTAGATACTCTTGCTGGTATAGACATCAAAAGGACCTAGATCTTTAGCTTATGTCTGAATTAAGAATGTAGTTTCTTTTGTTACTAATAGTTAGCCAAGAGGAATGCCATCACAAAGGAAATTGTAAGAGACAGATACCTTAGTCTGTTACATTTATAAGTTAGTTGGGGTCAAACTCACTATTTCTGCCACCCCTTTACTCCTGAAGAAAGGGGAAAGAAATGTGGTCAATCCAATGTATTGTCTCTGTCCTTATCACAGAAGAACAACATCAAAAAAATGATTTTTCTTTTCTTCTGATATTCTTTGTATGATAGTCGAGGACTTTTGGAAAAGTAAGACAGGGAAGGCTTGTCAAAAGAACAGATCACATATATGCTGAAACCAAATGAGCCTAGAAAGATAAACAGGATCCTACTTAATAAACCATCCCCCCAATTAGACATTGGAGATTCATTTATAGGGGGTTTCCCATGCCCCCTCCTACTTTCTTTCTTCTCCCCTGCTTTACAATATCATTTTCACCCATACCACAAGTTTTGGGTATGGTGCCTCTACTACTTTGGGAGTGACATATTGTAATTTATCAGTGGAGCAAAAATGAAAATCAAATTGACTTAAATTGAAAAGGAAAGAGTATTTACTTTTACACAGTTTCTAGAACTGAAGACCATGTATTCATTTTAAGTCTTCATTCAAAAAGCTGTTTATATCATAGTTAACAATATTTGTGATATATGACTTGGGAGAGATAAGCGTTTTTCTTTTTTTTTAATTGCAGCCTCATTTTTTCCTGTAAAGATGATTTTGATAAGTGTTCTTCTTTGAAAGTTGGGAACCTAGGGAAAGATTAATCTAGCCCAGCAGAGGAACTAAAGTGGCAAAAATTGATTAAGGCATTAAAATACCTACAGTATGTCTAGAAAATATGAGCTGTCTCTAAATGGTCCCAGTAAATCACAAACGAAACTCGAAGGAAGCAGTTAAGAAGAGCTTCCCCAAGTAATAGAAAAGTTTTCAGGGTAAAGTATTTTGAAAGTGTCATTTTATTTTTATATACTGTGCAATCAGGGAGAAATATTTATACAGCTCAGCACAATCTTTTCTCTCCAGGTTTTTAGGAAAGAATAGCCCTAATGCACAGGTAATATTCATATATAATCATCATATAGATATTGTATATACATATATACACACAAATATATTTTATATTAGCTGTGGCCAGTTATATGATGTGATGTGATATAAGAAATCTTTCAAAACCCACTGCTTACATAGGTTGCCTTATAAATCCCCCCATCTTGCCTGAAACTTTCCAACTTTGTCTTTTTCTTCTGGGGTATAGAATTATTTTCTAAATTACCCTATTGAAAAATAGTGTCACTTGGGAGGGAATGACAAAAATCTTGTAGGGATAGGTGAAGTAATCATGATCCCTTTTTACATTATACATTTACCACATTAGTTTGATATGGTTGGTGCAAAAAAAAATGAATTTTGGTTTTGGAAGTGAGAAAGATTTAGAACACGTTTTTTTTTTTTTCATGAGACAAGCAGGCCATGTAAGACCTTACCATGGTGGTCCAGGGACAAAGCAGAAAAGTTGTGACCATTTGGGAGGTTTCAAAGTAGGTCAAAGCAGCCTAAAGATAGAATCAAAATCAGAGTTTTCTCACTTGAACTGGGCTCACAGTGGCTCTTCCAAATCTCTTTAACTCTTCCTTGGTCTCATGAATCTTCTCTCATATTCTCCAAAAAACAATTCTAATTGTCTTAGCACGCACTCCTAATCCCCAATCTACCCTCCTCTCTTTCTCACTGAACAGAAAAAGCCATCATTTACTTTCCTTAGAATAACAAAACCATCCCGGTGAACTTCTCCTCTAAACTCAGGGCCTAGCCCCACTGCAAGAACCCAGCTTTCCCTTTACAATGGTCCCTCTAATGCCTCTGGAAAATATGAACGTGAGAACTTCTACCTTTTTCCCATTGCCCTCAGTACCACTCTTTGGAAAAACATTTTGCTTTTACTCAATCCTGAAGTTACTCTTTTCTACCATCTTACTTTTCTCTCTCCTTTCACTGATAGACTTTAAAAATAGCTGTCTCCACTGCATCCACCTCCTATCCAGTTTTTTCAGTTTGGCTCTGAAGTCTTTCTCTACTTGCTAGCCCAAGAAATCTAAATAATATCTTTGATATATAAGCCAATATTGGATATTTAATAATTAGCCTTTATGTAAATAAATTTCTGCATAAAGCGAATATGCTAGAATTTTCTCATTACATTTATTCTATAGCTTAACGATGGTACTCGGAATTCTAAACGTTTAATTGGAATGGTGAACTCAGAGGTTCAGTTAGGCTGAGATGGAACGAGTTTTTTCTCTAATACTATAATTAATCTTCTATTATAGTGCAAAGAATTCAAAGCACTCTGCTTCAACTAAGCTTTCCCACTAATGACACTTCAACAGATCTGAGCAGGCCCACACATGCCCTGAATGCTCTTTTTGTAGGGTTGAGATAGCAGACTGGTCATCCCTTCTCTTGATATTAGCTGCCAAGAAGCCAGAAATACCATAGTAAAGTAAGCAGAATCAGAGTAGGCAGAAAAGGCATTGCATGTTTATATAATAATGTATTTTATTACGTAGATTGTAGCAAACTTCAGTGGAATGTCCTGGGATTCAAAATTATTCACCACAGTAATTGAGATGTGGGGCCATAATTTCCTAAGGAGTAATTTCAGGTACAAAGTATGGAGGATGTAGAGAGTCACAAATGTTCCTGGATGACTTAGTAACTGACTTCTCCTGAATCCACAGCCATATGACAATCTCTGTATTATTTTACAGATAAAAAATTATCCCTGATTGGAATCAGGGAGGCATGTGCTATTTAAAAAAGAAGAATTTAAAAAGACAGCCAAGAGAAAATCCTTTGGCTCCTGAACTATTTAAATTCTCTACTGTTTGATAGACACCTATTCCAGCAATCATATTTGCATTGCCTCCCTAGGAATAATTTGTGAAAATAGGAATTATACATAAACTGACCAATTAATAAAAAGGGAATTTTTCATATGCCATACTATATACATACATACATACATACATACATACATACATACATACATACATAAGGGCTCCCTGGATTCAGCATCAAAGCGCTTTACTCACTTTCTTCCCACTAACCTACAGGTCTGGGCTCTCAGACTAATCACCTGCATGAGCAGCAGGCTGGCTTCAGGCACAGATAACCTACTGACCGTTCAAACTCCTTACTCAGAAAATGTGTAATAACAATAAGGATATTTATTTCTCCATCATCATTCTTTGTTTCTCTTTTTAAATCTATGTGTTAGCCAAAGAAGTGATAACATTCCCATTGAATTGTTTTTCCTAATTTTTTCGTCATAATATAAACATTGTAATTAAAATAGCTAGAAATTGGTTATCAAAATTAGGTTAAATTATTCTCTTGAATTATCTAATCAGAATATCTGTTGAACTTTTCTGTAAATAGCTTAGTAACATATTTTTGAACAATTAAGCACAAGCTTCCCTATCATAACAAATATGAAGATCAATATTCTCTTCTGCACTGATAATAGCATAGAGAGATAGGATATATCTTATGATCTATCTCCCACAATTCAGAATCTCCTTTTAAAGTCAGTTCACTTGTGGGTTATTTATAGTGGGGAAGAAATTTTCAATATTAAAGGTGCCAAAATTACACTAACTTTATCTTTCTAATCTCTACCTCTTTCATCATCACTATTGTCATTGTCATCATCTTTTTTTTTTTATGTGACAGCACATTTGTCAAGAACATGATGCTATTTTGGTTTTGTTTACACTTTCAGTTTGACCCATTTACCAAACTGGTATATTACCAATTTAGTTAAAATGGCCAAAGCAGACATGTTTTCAGGACTGTAAAAGCACATATCATATTTTAGATAACGTAATCTTAAAAATTTGTTGTGATATTTTAATCATATTTCTTAATTATCTTAATGATAAAAGATGAAAGTCAATCTTCTAATAGAATATTCCATAAAAATAGAAAAATATTTATAAAAATCAGTTCCATACTCCTCAAGTGGCTCTCATTTTTTATAGGAGAATACACAGTCATCTTCAATTGTCATATGAGATAATTCTAGTAAGGATGTAGGAGGAAGTAGCAAGAGCTTCTTTAATGATGGTAATCTGAATTAACCTTCTTTATAAAAATAACCTACTTATTTTATTATACTCTATATTTTAGCCAGTGTTTCCTGATATGGATTCTAATTTAAATACCTTGACTTTTCAAGAAGTGTTTTCTGTATTTCACCTCAAATACCTTTTAAATCAAGATATATAAGTAAATCGACATATAAATGATCTCTGTAGTATATGAAATATGTTCCAAACCAGTTCTAGGAAGTTTAGAGTTTCTTGAAAATAAATAAATATCTGATTTGGTATTAGACATTTATATAATAAATGTGAAGAAAAAAATTGCTTTTATTGCTGAAGCACTTATCTGTAGAATACATACGTGCTGCGCATTAGTAAGTACTAAAAATTTCAATGGTAAGCTCTGATTTGTCTGATTAAAACACAATTCATTATTCCCTTGAGCATTCATAGTCTAATAACATAGATATGAAGTAGTTGATGCTGTCATTAGTGTATTTTAGCAGTGCCACATACTTTCAGAAGTTTTTTTTCTTGTTGGGGATGATAAATTGAAGGAATGCTCACTCCAAAATCGGTGCATCATAGAAGTCTGTGATGCACATTGGGTGAGAGTGCCAATGGGGATTTTCCTTTATCTTTCCAGCATATTTTATTATTAGAGCATGTGTTTTATTACCACTGAGGGTCTTGATGCACCTCATCATGGACAAACAAATAAGCACTGTCACACTGTAAATTCCTAGAAAAAGGTGATTTTTCCCCACCTCTCTCAAAAAGACTATCTAGTACTCAAAGACAAAATGCTTTACCGAAGGCTTTATACTTCCTACTAAGTCCATACTCTTCATGGAGGCTAGCAGAGAGTGTGAGCTCACAGGGTCCTGCTGTTATATTTGGTTGTGTCTCCATCTTTGTCTCTGGGATGGCTCCAGAAGGGCACTGCACATGTTACCATATGTAGAGCATATCATATGTCATCAAAACAACTATTAGTAATGGTTGGCCAGAGAAAGAGACTTATTTAGATTGCTGAAGCTTTTTCATCTTTTTGTTTTGGGGTTTGGACTGGCCAGCATTTTATTATATAAGCAGAGTAATAAATAAGAAAGATCTGCTCCTCCACCCTCCCCACCCTCCTACAGCCCACACCCCAAATCTATCTCCCTACCCAACCCCACCCCTTCTCCCAGTGACATGAATGACTTTGACTATTTTTCTGTAAGGAATCATTTGATTTTGGCCCCTCTCACAGCCAAACGCTTTCACTTCTTAGATGTCTCTGCAAACAGCTAGTTTTATGAAAAAACACATTAGACAAGATATCTGAAAAATAAGGACGTCACTGATGAGTGTTTTTATAGTGTTCACTTAGTAAGTTTGACTTAGATGAAAAATCTGTCTGCAATCCTATTTTTCCCAATTACTAAACCCCCAAAATGAATCAAAGAGGCTTTCTGGTTTAGAATGTTTAGTCCTTTATTTGTTTCACTAATGAAGAAGACATACTGAGATGTTGAAATTTGAGATATTTATTGTTTTTTTTTCTGTTGTTGTTATTTTTGGTTTTGGTTTTGATTTTTCTTGTCGTTTGTTTTTGGATTTGATTTGTTTTTTTGTTGTTGTTTTTGTTTTTGCCACCCAGCTGCCTGTACTATAAACAGCTGTAGCACAGAGGGTGGAAAAAAAAAACACAATAAAGCTTAGAGAGTGAAAATTGTCCAATGCTTCACTAGAGGTTCAGGCTGGTAATCACAAGAAGACACAAACCAATTGTTTATTTTTTCCTGCCTCCAGCAATATTTTTAGCTTACCACATATCTTTTTCATATGGATATGATTTTTCCCCAATGAAAAATATATACTAAGAAGAAGAATGTCTGCAATTAACTAAAATAAAAGAGCATGTGCTCCATGGTATAATAAAGGCAAAAGGGCTCTTTGTGAAGTGACATCGCTCCAGGAAAATTCCTTTCTCTAACTGTGATGCATTTGCTTCTATTCTGCATTGTGAACCTCCCGAAAATAGAAACTTTATGTTTAATTGATTTATTTGTAATGAATCTGGCTCAGGGTGAAGAGTCTTTGAAGCTGATTGATTACTGCAACAAGCTTAAGATTTCATACCACAACAAACCTTTTTGTACTAATAAACAGTGGGACAATAAAGCTCTGGGGCATGGTGTTTCCCTTCACATTAAAGTGAGGATTTGCAACTTAAGTATGTGAGGGACATAGTTTATGTGCTCCCAAGAAGCAGACATAATGAACTATTTCTTTTAATGGCAGATTATCCCTGTTTCTATTTCCTGGAGTGAAGACCTCGCAAATTGATGTATCTGTCCTCTGAGGTTTTCAGAGAGGCATTATGGCATTTTAAAATATTAATATGAGAGTACATTTAGCTGAAAGTAGCTAGTCTAGGAGTCTCTTGTGGCTGCAATGCGGGTCACCAGAGACCTCCTGTCTCTCAAGGCAAATGATTTACTCTAAGTGTATCATTAAGATACACTTTTTGGGAATTTATGATGGTGCTTTTTCACCAAGTTATACCTTTTCCATAAAAATTTAAGTATTTTATGCTATTTTCCCTCACTCTCATTCCTTAAAAACCTGGTCAGTGTCACGGACAAATTGTAAGTACCACCCCCTTCACTGCCACTGTGGGTTTGGGCTGAACACTGATTAAGTAGGACTGGATGTCACATCTTGTTTCAACTTTGCAGAGCGAAGACTATCCTAGGGGATTTGAAAAGAACAGCAATTATTGCTCCAATGGGGAAAGTGGGGAGGGGGTGGAAGGAAGTCCACATTCAATGCATGAGTTAGATAATAGTCATGGAAAAATACTTAATCAAATGGATGCCAAAGAAACTATTCAGGGAACTTTTTGGGACTATTAATTTAAAAAGTTACCTCCATATACTTTTAAAGTGTCCAGGTGACTTGATGTAGCATCTGGCTTTTCAGATTTTAAGAAATCAGGAGATAATTAAGCATATCTGAAGTAGAAAAAGCGACTCAAGTCCAGGCTTTCCTGCGTTATTATTCCCAATGATCATTAGATATCAAGGCCTTAAAATTTGACTTGCTATCAGAGTTACCTTTTCTCTACTGCAGTGAAACAGATTGGGGCTGTAGTCTCTCTGTAGTTTAGTCACTCCTTAAATAATTTTTTAAGTCATCTAAATGGCTCAAGCAAATATGATGCCTTTTATTGCTTGTGTGTTGGTAAAGGCTGTCCATGAATACATCCCGATTTCCTCCTTCAGTCTGACTCTGAAGTTACCGCTTCAGCATAAAGACACCTCAGTTCTATCACACTGTTTTGCTAGGCTTTGTGATGTTGTAATGACAGGCTAGAACAGAAGCATCCATGGTGCGTTTGTCATTGTGTGATCACGGAGTTTAATTTTAAAACTTCTGTGTATGAAGACATGAGTTGATATGTAAAGACTAGAACCAAAAGAAGAAATCTTTAAAATGGTAATGAAGACTCCAACTTACAATCAAAGTCTTGATTTTTTTTCTTTCTGGCAGAGGACCAATCATTTAATTAATTAATTTAGGTTAGAAATCCATTGTCAGTTTGAACAAAGCAAATATAACATCACAGCAGTAAATGTTAAACTCCTTAAATGTCACTCCAGGATTCCCTGTGAGGAGATGATCGTTTTGCTAATGATAACTATCAACAGCAGAGGAACTAGTGAAAGCAACAGCAAATTACTTTTCAAGCAAGATTTCTTAAAATAATCTGTGCGGTTTTATTAGAGGTACTTTAAATGCTGTTTTCAAAGGAGTATTGCAAACTTCCTTGAGTAGGGAGATTATGACTACTGTATATGTATTCTGAAAATGTATTTTAGCTTACTTGTAAATTGATGCAAGATCACAAGAATGATGAATAGAGAAGTAAATAATCTCATTAAGTGACCACACCCTATTTGTTCTATCTGCAAGCTTAACCCAGTTGAGTCTTTTTATGGGATATATGCAAGTCCCATCAAGGAAAACTACAAAAAAATTAATTAAGAGATGCAATGCATTAAATGGCAATAGCCCTTTCTTTATACAGAAACTTTCTTTTATAACATACATATATATTATAATAATGAAAATTGTGTTTTTAAGACGGGATTGTTAAACATAAACTTACTCTGGATAGAGTGTTTAAAAGATTCATATTTAAAATTTTAATTCATGCTAATACGATCTTAGGAAAACAAAAATTTATACTTTGAAATCCAAACTAGTAGTACCGAATCACCAGCACTATTTGCAAAAAGCTGTCAGCATCTATTTAACTCCCCAAATTTTATTACTTTCTGTCTAGACTAGATTCACCTAATACTTTATTGATAAAAACATTTTGTATTTACATCTTAATTCTCATTTAGAAAACGCATAAGAATTCACAGACATTACCTCATTCAAATGTCCACAATGCATCTCTGAAGTAGAGAGGTGACAAGCTTTATAAATGTTAATGGTAATACTAATACCAACAATTATATAGTGCCTTTTTTTCTGTGACGTTCAGAGGATTTCTGTTATATATATTGTTTTATTCCATACAAAACCAAAATGATGTAGATTAAGAGCAAGCATTGTTGACCTAACATGGATGTGATTTTCTTGATATATGTTCCTTCATGAAAATGGTAGGAAGTTACAAGGTACATTGAGCTTACGGAACTGACAAAATCAGCATTTAGCTGGATTTGTTTTGATAATATTTATAAATATCTTTATGAGTATTTCCTTAATATTCCCACTACTCACAGTAATTATTTGCTTAACGACCCCTTTGCCTGAATTAGTCAGCTTCCTCGAGTGCCTGTTCTTTCCCTACCCAGCACTTTACATTAAGGCCAGACCACTCAACAGTGAGTACCTACTACACCTCATCTCAGTTTTTACCTTACTAAAATCATTGAAACTTCCTTAGCCTTAGTTTCCTCATATAAAATAGGGAATACAAAATATCCTGTAATTCCTACCAATTGGTAAAGTAAGTGGTGAAGTAAAACATCCTCCAAATGAAAGTGGTGTAATATATGTGATATTATCCAACACAAAAAAAGTCTTACTTCTATAGGCAATAAGCCTGTAATTTTCATCATTCATATTATCACAGTTGGTATGCCAAATTGAATTAACTGATTGAAAATGAATAATAAAAAAGCCTTTTAAAATATTTTTCATATTAAGATATAGTAATAGGGACCTCAATAGGTTATTGCAAGGATCAACTGAGATAATACAGAAAAAAAGAAATCTGTATTTTGTAATTCTGGCTGTTATTATTTCTGTAATGATCATGTTGATTTACTTGGTCTCTATTTTCCCAAAACACTATAAATATTTTCCCCTGGTGGAAAGTCATATCAAAACTTGTCTAGTTTTCTATTTCATAACCAACATTGAACTTTGTCAAAGTTCATTAACTTCAGGGGATTTGGAGAGGATTTGCTTGAAGATTTCTTACTACTTCTCATTATGATAGAAAACTTTAATACATTTTTTAAGAGACAGAATCTCTCTCTCTGTTGTTCAGACTAGAGTGCAGTGATCCAATCATAGCTCACTGTGACCTTGAACTCTTGGGCTCAAGTGATCCTCATGCCTTGGCCTCTCAAAGTGCTGGGCATGAGCCACCATGCCTGGCCCTATAGAAAATTTTTAAAAGGCTGTCAGCAAAAATGATTTCTTAAAATTGGTGTTCCCCTTGTTAGATAACTCAGTGAGAACCTAATGTAAATCAAAGGTAACAAGAAAAAAAATCTAAGGAAAAGTAACTTTCATAATTACAATATTTTGTCCAAAATGTTTAAAAATGTAAGTAAGTGGCCAATTTTAAGGTTGAATAAAATGTTCTTTCTCTTATATTCTTCCATGTTTTTCTAATAGGATATAGGAAACATCCTGAAGTCTGATTGTACTCAGCTTCACATCAGAAGGAGACACTGTGAAATATAGTTTAAGCATAGTTTACTCTCCTGTAATTATTTTTGCTGCAGTGTAACAGCCCTTCAACTTTTGTTTTTTAATAAACTACATCTGATTACTGGGTGGATAAATCATCTAATCTCTTCCCTACAGTTTCTTTTTTGCAAAAGAAATATGTCATAAAGGGTAGATTCATTACATCTTATCATTAATATGCTTATGTCACTTAGCTATTTATAGAATTACTCTTTATAAAGTTTAAAATGTCCAAATATAAATATTATAGGCTTATAAGAAACTATAAAATAATTTTAAATGATAGGTTTTTACAATAACTGTAAGCTCAAAGTTTTCTACTTCACCTTTAATGACTTGAATACCAAAGTTTATTTAATTGTAACATTTTTGAGGTTTCAATGAGCAGTTCCTTCATCATTTTAAAAGTTATTAAATTGTCCAATTTCCTCTATTGTTAGCATATTTTTAATCATTATTAATTAACATATTCTATAAGAATAGAGTTCTTAAAGTAGTGAAGTGGGAGAATCTCAAATCAAAACATACAGTGTTACAATTAAAAAAGGATGAAAATTTCTGATCTAGACTTGTATTTTAGCATATTAATATTTTCCATGATACTAAATGTCTATGGAATATTATGCCATAAGTAGAATTTTGGTGTCCCTTATAGTGATTATTGACCTACTAAGCCAAAGGTTGACTGTACAACCCCTACTGGGGGATTTAGAAATTGTGGTGTTTACATATGAAACATCTAAATCTATTGCCTGTCTTCTGACCAAAAATCTGCATGATTCATATCCCTTTTAGAGAGCAACCTAAAAGTAAAACAAAAAAGCAATTATAATCATTATTGGTAAATGGGTTCTCATGAATTAAACCTGAACTTCCTGTAATTAAATTGTTAAACAAGAATGATTTAAGATAATTCCCAATCAAATGAGACAAATGGTGGATTCAACTGATGAATTTCTCACTAGGCTGCCACACCATGTAGCTACTCGGAGTGCAAATTAGAAAAGGCATATAGTAGTCATTTTTCTCATACTGAACAGAGAGCTCAGGTTATAAAAAGGTGTGGGGGGATTAGTAGTTTGTTTAGATCTGAGCCAGCTAAATTAATGTTATCCAAAGTGTACCCTGGCCATGCCAATCTGTCATCCTGGTTTTAAAAAGAACACCAAAGACAAGTGTGCAAGTGGACAAAAATACCTTCTTCATTCATAAGAAAGGGATGGGGGTGGGACCAGGCATCCACAGATCAAAGTGGAGTTGACATCTAGAGCTTATTAATAAATCTTATAATTTGGTAGAGAAATACTTTTTCACAAGGGCTCCAGACACTAATTCCAGAATCATTACATGATAGATAAAGACACTTGCAAGTATGAGTAGCCAGAGAATGAATATAGAAGTAAGAGTGACAATACTTAAGTAATGTATTCATCAAATATTCTAAAATACCATTGGAAAAGGAAGTCCTATGGTACTAATTCTCCAATATCTACCCTTAGGCAAGTTGACTTGAGAGCACAGTAACTAGGTCACATTTTAATGTTTATTTTAGCAAATAGATAGGATTGCATTAGCATAGGACAAAGTAAATATTGATTTGAGAACCTACAGCATACAATAAAGCAGCAACCTTCCTAACCCTTTTAAAGAAATCCAGTCATAAATAAAGTTCATCTCCACTATATTTCTTTTTCAAGAAAACAATTGATACATAATTCATTGATAAAGTATCTTCCTCATTATCTTTACTGATTGCTAACCAAATGTCCTAGTCATACTAACATTATAGCATACAGACTGCATTTGTCTAACCTTCTAAAAGGGTATGTTGCACCATATACTGCAATCCTGTTTTATTTATGGAACAATCTATAAGGGCAATTTTTAATAGTTCCACATGAGCTGAGTGCTAAAAGACAGAGATGACAAATGTTAGTATTATTCTAACCATGATAAAAATAAAATCAATAATTGCACTTTCGGAATCAGGAAAAATAACATTGAACTATTCCAGGTCATGTCTTGTTCATTTATCTCCTATATTTCTGTACCAAAAAAATCATAATCAGGCTAAGAATATTAATGTTTGGCAACCATAAATAATTAGCAAGTATTAAATTAAATAATCTTTATTTAAGTGAATAAAATATATCACAATATTTGCAGTGGCAATACTTCAGATACATATGTGTGTTAAAATGCCCTCAGCACTTTCTTTGAGGCCCTGCTATGCACCAGGCATTAAATAAGGTCCACAAAACTTAAAATAAATAAGACATGATTGCTGCTGTCTAGAAATTTACTGTCTTGTTCCTGGATGTGATACTTAAACAACTATTTAACCTAATAGTCTATGATAGGTAACTTTGTTGTCCTTCTGGACTCATCTCTTCCTCTTATAAGCCACATCCAACTAGTCAGAAAATCTGTTAGCTCCACCTTCAAAATATATTCAGTTTCTTCTTACCACTTTTACTTCTACCATCTTGGTCCAAACTACCACCAAGTACTACCTTCATTATTGCAATAGTCTCTGTCTTAGGCAAGGATATCTCTCATATCAGGTTAAAGGTCCCCATTGGCAGGGCCACTTGAAATGCAGCCTGAGCCTGTAGCAGAACCTTTTCTTTTCTGGGTCCCACTCAAAATGTGTAGTTTTTCTTGTACCCAGGAAATCGATTGGAGCAATATTTTTGATAATAAAATATGCTGTCTTGAGAACCTGTAGAGACCTGCTAGGTGTTGTGCTTCCTTCTGAGTGGTGGCAGGTGCAGCCTCAGTTGGAGATATTCCTAAAGGGCCGCGCCAGCTCCTGAGTTTCCTTTGTCATTGTACAAGAATTTGGCTGCAGTCCATCTCTTCTGTGTGACCAGTGCTACAGCCCTTGCTCTCTCAAAGGTGATCTCACAATCACTTTCCCATAATCTTTCTGTAACACCCGTCAGACTCTATTTACCAAGGAACCCAACTTAAGACAGTAATTCAATAAAGGACTATGCAGCCAAGGAAAGTGATGCTCTGTATTATTGACAAATTGAGATGTTACAACCTCTTGTTCCCTGGGAAAAGAAAGATACAGATAATGACTTGTAGTTTATTTAATTTTATAAAGTATATGTGTATGTTTGTGTGTTTAAAATATGAGCACACACTCATGTATAACCATCCTCACAAGGAGATATCCAGAAGGGAATGAGCCCAAATATTATGTAGTGCTGTTCTCGTGATAGCAGGAACCATGCTAACTTTGCTCTGTTTTGTCCACCAAACATAGATATCTGTTAGGTCAAAAATGTTATTAATTAATTAACATCTAGACTGGGGGATTTCAGATGATTATTTTTGTTTTCATATTTCTCAGAATCCCTTCAAGCTATTACAATGATTACGAAAAACACCCATCAACATTTTGCAATGTATATACACATATGTGTGCATGTATATATCTCAGTTTAGACACTTTAGTCTTCCTGATCAAAAAGAAAATGTCTTGAGGAATACACTAATGTCAAAGTATCATTTATTAACAAGGCATTGTAACTTCTAATGCACAACAAATGCCCTGAGAACCCACATACAGTCGTGCTGAATATTCTTCCAATGAGGCAAGAAGATAGTCAAAATAGACGTGAATAACCAGATGTTTTGGAGAATGTGTTAGATTGTATAATGGAAAATGACATCAATTAGTTATATTTCAGCTATATTTGAGAATTTATCTAGTCTCTGCATCAGAGTTTCATGACATTCTACTTCTCTACCCCTACCTCCCACAGTAACAGGTAGTGGTTGATGTTTAAAAGATACCCATCTGCTGTCACTAACTTAAGGTCAGAATTTTATTACCATGGACATTTAAATCATCTTATGACTGCATGTTGTTGTGCTCACAATGGGCGTTAGTGTTCCCTATGAAGTAATGCATTTTCATAAAATTGTATTTCTTGAGAATGTTTGTCCTTCACATCTCAACAGGAGCTTGTATTGGGAGTTTTATGATACAGTTTTTTACATAATCAAAACTAATGAAATGAGGAGGAATAGTCAAGCCAATATGAAGAGGTGTCAGCAATTTACCATTTTGAAGGAGTTCTTTTGTAATGATATAAAAATAACTGAAAAAAGCAGTTAGAAGATTATAAATAACCTTAGTACTCAGAACAAAAATAGAAACTGAATCATTATGAAATAACTTCAAAAACATTACTAAAAGATTTCCAACCTTCCAGTATCTCCTATAGAGAGATCACTGGGAAATCACCTAATAAGAAAATGATTTGAATTTCAGCCCAAGCCACAGTCTGCATTATTTAAGAAATTTTCCTTTTTGCTGAACATGTCCTTCACTGGCATCCCTTGGGCTGAATTGAGCCCTTGCCTGCACTTCCCCAAGAGACCAGACTGCCTGGTAAATGGTCATTATGCTCAACACAATAAAGGACATTTTTGGAAAACCTCTATGTCTGTCTCGCCCTATTTTCCAGTGATGATAAGAAACATCTATAACTCACCCTTAATAATCACTTTGAAGATTTCACCCAATATTTTAGTCAAACTTATCTTGGCTAGAAAACAATCTAAATCAATCTCATCAAGATTAAGCAAAATAATGCTTACGAAAAGTTGGCTCTAAGCTATCAGTTTGCAAATCAAGAATGGAAATTGGCATCCTTGTTCAACCTCAGAAGCCCAGTATCTCACATCTCTCCTTCTTTCTCTTACTTTTTCTGAAAATATATGTGCCCCTCTCCTATTGAATGCTAATTCCTCTTCCTAACTCTAGATATTCATGGTCCCTTTGGTAACTCTGTATGTCAGTCATCTCCTCTGCTTCTTGTATCTTCTAATTCTCCCTCTCTATTAACTCTTTACCCTAAGTCTAGTCTGCTTAAGTCCCTTCCTCCTTAAGCAAAAGAAGTCGGATGCAATCTTCTCACCCCTAAATAATACTTTACCTGCCTCCATTCCCAGGAGACCAGGTATACTTGCTCTTTCTTATTTGTTAACTCTCATTTACTTCTTAGGCCAATAAGCTTGTCATTTTACCTCCACTATGACATTAAATTTAAATTGGTTGTTCCAATGGCTATCCAATCATCGAAGCTAAGATGAAATGATACATTTAAACTCTCTTTCCATCTTAGGCAGTGGCTTTTCCCTTAGCTTCTCTGACACCATTCCAATCTCTCTTCTATACTTCTGCCAGATCAATTGCATTAACTCACATATTTGATCACTTATAATGCTAAAAGGCTATGAGAAGCTGAAATTATTCACAGAATAAAGTGTACATTCCTTAACATGTCACTTGTCTGAGTTCTTTATCCCTGGCTACTCTTGCAGCTGGTTCAATGGATGAAATTCTTTTGTATCTCATACTTTAGAGCGAGAGTACTGGCCTCTTGAATCTTCTCATGGGCACCAGTAAGAGGCTCATGGTAAAAGACTGATAAACTGTGATATTAGACCTCGCCTATTGTTGGTGTGGAAGCAGGAAAAACTCTCTCCTTTTGGATTAACTCTTCCATTTCTCTTGTCAACATTAGAGCTTGAGGTACCAGAGAACCAATATCAGGATTTGGGCTTGGGAAGATGATCAAAGGCATCACCTTGCTAGCTTTGAGCCTATTTTTTTTTCAGAGTAATTATTATTCTTAATTTTACTTTTATTTGTGGTAAAGAACATAAAACATGAAATTTATCTCTACTATTTTCGAGTGTGCGTTTCAGCAGCATTATCTATATCACATTGTTGTGTAACAAATCTCTAGAATATTTTCATCTTACAAAACTGAAACTCTATACCCATTGAACAACTCTCCATTTTTCCTCTCCCCTAGCCCTTGGCAACTACCATTCTACTCTCTACTCTATGAGCTTGGCTACTTTAGATACCGCATGTAAGTGGAATCATTCAGTATTTGGTTTTTTTTTTAATGACTGGGTTATTTCAATTAGCATAATATTCTCAAGGTTCATCCATATTGCAGCATGCGACAGGATTTCCTCCTTTTTAGAGGCTGAATAATATCACATTATATGCACATACTACATTTTCTTTATCCATTCATCCATATATAGGCATTTAAGTTGTTTCTACTTGTTGGCTATTGTGACTAATGCTGCAAGTAAATGTGGATGTGCTGTCTAGCTCAATGTTTGATCCTCAATGGACAAAAGTTATTTTGGCTCACAGGTGATACAATCAATTCCCTAAGTAGAATTGGGCTTGAAGATCAAAATGTGGACAACAATAAAAGTATGCATTCTACAGCTATTTCTCTATCTCCCAACAGACACTGTCACCAACTTTTTTTTTTGGCATTTACAGGGATAGTAGAGGAAACCAGTCTATCTTCATAAATATACAGTAATATACAACAGCCCATTTATCTTGCCTTCATTTTTTCTTAATCAAAATAAGTCTATTGCTTTACTAACCATTGTATATTGAGGTTATTAAGAATCCAAATTAACTGACTACATAGTAAAAAATATTCTATATTTTGCTGTTTTTGTACATTATTTTATTCATGCATATTCTGATTGCCTAGTCTATGCTTAAATACTAAAAATACAAAGAAGAATTAGATATAATTTTACCTTCAAAAATCCAATAATAGAAATTGAGATATGAGTGAGATATATATATATAAAATATGAAATTATATATATATATACATATATATATATATAATTACTTGTTCATGTCTCAATTTCTATTACTGGATTTTTGAAGGTAAAATTTTGAAGGTAAGTACAACATGACCAGTGCATGGATACAGTAACATATTGGATATTATAAGATTACCTAAGGGAGGCACTTTGCCCAGCGCAGGAGGTTGGGAGAGGGTGACATAAAGATTTATTGAAGGAGTTGACCCTTGAGACAAAGATTATAGGATAAGTGAGAAATAGTGATGTGTAAAAGAACACCAGCAAACCAAGTGCATCAGGGACTTCTAGTAATTTAAAGGCTAAAAAATGGACATTGAACAATTGATCAGCTTAGGAAGAGCCAGTTCTCAAGCATGAGAGTGAGACAAAAATGTGACTCCAAGAATTTAATTGGAAGTGAGTTACGTGAAGACAACTAGGGAAAACCATCTATAAACCAGATTTTTAAAGATTTTTTTAGTACATAAAATTTTGGTCAAAATTGTATCAGAGAGATGACCAGATCAGTCTGACATATGGAGAACATTTTTTCAATGACAAGAAATTCCTACTCACTGCAAATTAGTGAATGTCATATTCACATTAACCAAAAATGATCCACTATTTGGAGTGCCACCTTGAAAATACATTGAAAGATAATTCATCCTTACATGTCTTTAGTAAAATATAGTCATTTAAATCAAGGTTTTACTGACTTGAGTGAAACAAAAGACAATTAAACCAAATATTAAGGTGTTTTCTTAGAGACTATCAGAATTCTTAGACTATTCTAAGTAGCTAAAGTCATGTTGCTTAAGTTATTCAAAAGTATGGTGGATAAAACACTCAGGACTCTGTAAATGAAGATAATATTTTATTGATTGGGAATGGATTTGATAACCTAACATTTGGCAGTCAGCAAAGCTCCTACTACCACTGTGGCCATGATGAGGTGATTGTTGACTGGATGGGAAAATGGATAACATCATCCAACACCATGACAACAAGGTGATCTTTTTCAGTTATTCTAAGTGTTGCAAAATTGCTGCCTGATAATTATTCCCATGGGGTGAAGTAATCTCGGGAAGAGAACTGAGAGAGAAGACAGTATTACTCATGAAATGTGTTGGTCATGTGGCTAAAAAGCCTTGTATTAAACAGGGAGTTTTAAATTTTCAGAATTTACAAAATAATGCCCATGGTCCAGAAATAAAACTAAACAAATAATAAGTCGATAACAGAGTTGGAGGCCTGACACATAAATCTGATCAAGAATTTTTCTGCAGACATCCAAAAAAGAACTTTCTTTATATTTTCTTTGACATTTTATTATTCAGAAAAAGAGAACTAACGACTGCTTTTTGATGGCATTAAATATAATAAAAGTACCTTAAATATGTACATATATCTCACTTAAGAAAAATCTCCACTTAAGAGGATATTTTTGTTTGTTTTTTTTTAAATGTTTTTGTTCCAGTGCAATAAAATTTAAAGGAACTATTTGTTTCTTTTTATTCTCTCATCTTCCATCTTTCCACACAGCTAGTGCATGGCTGAATGGGATTTGAGGATGAAAACCCAGGTTGGTAAGACTTTCATGCTAGGCCTTTCTAACCTCCACAATGTTCATTTTTCATCTTCCTTGAGGAATTTCACACTTGCCTCACAGATTGTCCAATCCCCCCCTAGCTGGTTTCAACATTACAGATGAGAGCTTTTTCAACATCCTAGACCTTCAATTACTTCTCTTTTCCCACTAGGATGACCTTTTTCTTTATTCTACTCTGTAAGCCACTTGTAGGAAGCATATATTACATCCTATCATCACCTGAACATTTTCTTTTTTGTCACCAGGTTCACAGATGCTGAAGACCCCTCTAAAAGTAATGTCCAGTCCCTCCACCATTTCAGCTCTTTCTCACACCTCCTCACATTTGTTCATTGTCCTCTAGACTCAAGTTTGTCTCTAGACCCTTCCCTCCTCACTCCTCTCCTTTGTTCCATGGTCAGCTTCTGGCTTCAGTTGGATCATTTGTTTCTCTGCCTTGCCTGAACACCCTGGGCACTCTCTCACTAGTAATCAAGATCCTTTAGCCCATCTCAAGCTTCCTCTGCAGCTGTCCTGCCAATCCCAGTGTTGGGCAAATCCAAACACATGTTTCCTTTGCTCTTGTTATCCCACTGCCAAGTATTACTGGAGAAAGTCAAGAAGCTGCCAGTTGGCTCCACTGCAATTTGATGATATCTAATCTCGTTTAGCCCCTCAGGACTGCTTGGAAATCCTCTTATTCATTTGACTCTCAATCAAATTCTCCACAGTGACTCTTCCAAATTTCCTCAATTTTCCTCAAACCCTTGAGCACACTCCCTTCCCTTGCTGTTTGCAAATTACTTCACCTTTTGCTTCCCTGAGGAGATTGAAGTCATCCAATATGCACTTTTTAAAGTTACCTTCATAGATTAATTCTATCTTACTACACTCCCTTAATGCAGAGCATAAGACCAGAGGAAGATCTAGCCAGTGTGTCCTATCAGGGATGGGGGAGGGAATAGAAGCAGTCCTTCTTACATGGGGCTGTGGGACACAGACACGAAGACCCAATATGGAGAGTCTGTTCAAGGAGGGAGGGAAAACCCAAACAGACCCTCAGTACAAGGATGTCAAGGGACTGAGACTACTGAGAAGGAAGATGTGCCTCTCCACTGGGAGGTGGTCTGGATGAATCCCACAGATGATGTAGCAAAGCCCCGAAACAGTTTTTTAATATCACTACAGTGATACAAAACACTCTCAGATTAATATTCTGAAATTAAAACTTCATTTAAGTTCATTTAAATGGATTAGATTAGGTCCTATAACTTCTAAAACATTCCTAATCTTTCATAGAAGGATGTGTTCATCTTTCTTTTAAAAACCAACACTTTAATCTTTAATCTGTATACCAGAACCAGTCTCCGCCATCCAAAAAGTTATTTTATTTTTTGCAATCTCTTTCTTTTGTGTCTTCATCTTCTTCACTATTTATAGCTCCTTGTTGGCCTACTCTGTTAATTGTCCCAACAACACTAAAAAAAAAAAAACTTTAAACCTCCCTTAATTCCTCGTTCTCCCCCACTATTTACCTACCTTTCCTTCTAGCTGTTCAATGGGTATAAAGTTTTGGTTATGAAAATTTCTAGAAGTCTAAATTTTGGTTATCAAAATTTCTGTATGACATTGTGCTTATAGTTAACAATATTGTATTTTATACTTAAAATTTTTAAAGGATAGATCACATGTGTTTCTTACCACAAAAAAGCAAAGTCTGTGCTTACTACCTTCCTTCCTCACTTGCAAAAGATGACCCCACCCATTAATCTCTAGATTCTCTCCCTTCTCAAAGGATATAATCACCCTCAGATGCCAAATCTCATGGCAGTCTTTGACCATCTTGGTCTCAGTGCTGGGGAACACATCTTTCTTACTGACAGTATCTCTCTCTTGAGTTCTAACACACCACTCATCTTCCTCTCCTCCTATGTCTCTGATCACAACTGAGTCTCACCTTGACTCACATACCACTTCCAGACACTACTTAGAAACATTTTGTAAAGTTCAATCCTCAGTCCTTTCCCTTTTTCACTCTACTTCCACTTTACTTATTACTCTATGTTGCTATTATTTTCACATCTCTACCTTTCACCTCTCTCCCACCCTTCAGAATTTCAACTCTCTGCCAATAAAGAGAACTCCATATGTCTAAAGTCAGATACAAGGGTAGGCAAAAGTTACTTTAAAAACCATAAAGACTTGGAATCAACCCAAATGTCCATCAATGATAGACTGGATAAAGAAAATGTGGCACATTTTTTTTTTCCACAGCATGGAATACTTTCCACACCACAGAATACTATGCAGCCATAAAAAAGATGAGTTCATGTCCTTTGAAGGGACATGGATGAAGCTGGAAGCCATCATTCTCAGCAAACTAACACAGGAACAGAAAAGCAAACACTGCATGTTCTCACTCATAAGTGGGAGTTGAAAAACGAGAACACATGGACACAGGGAGGGGGACATCACACACTGGGGCCTGTTGGGGGATGGGACCTAGGGGAAGGATAGCATTAGGAGAAATATCCAATGTAGATGACAGATTGATGGGTACAACAAACCATCATGGCACCTGTATACCTATGTAACAAACCTGCACACTCTGCACATGTATCCCAGAACTTGAAGTATAATAATTAAAAATAAATAAATAAATAAAATATTGTATAGGTTCAAATTCTGGCTCTGTATCTTACTAGTCATGCAACCTTGGAGAAGTTAAACTCTGTACACATTATTTCTTCATCTGTAAAATGGAGATCATGAGAGTACTCATTTCATATCACTTTTGTGTAGATTAAACAGTTAAGTTACACAAAGTACCAGAATGAGCCCACTACATAAATGCTTAGTAAACATTAACCATTATGATGATCACTGACACTTTCTTGCATAAATCCTGTTCTTCAAGCTGAATATTCTTTCTCAACCAATGGCAATAGTGTCAGCTCAATCATCTATATTAAAACCTTCAGTCACCTTCTAACCTCTTTCCACATTCAGTTCAGTTTGTTAATAGACAAACTGGGTAAATTAATCCAGATTCCACCAACAACATAAATGTTTAATCTTCTATTTTTCCCTTTGATAGTGCTCAAGTCCAGAGCTTCATTATCTTAAACCTGAATTATTGCAACAACGTTCTACTGAATTCTCTGCCTTCAATCTTTACCCCCAGTTCCACTTCAGCTCAATGTTACCTTTCTAAACACAGACATCTTTTAAAACCCTTTCATATTTTATGATCACCTTTAGAATAAATTGAAATGCTGAGCGCAATCTAGTTAATTTTCTTCCTTGCTTCCTACCAGGTTCTTCCGCTGCCTTCCCTATTTGTTCAGGGACACTAGGAACACACCATGTACTTTAATTTATTTGTGTGTTTGCAAAAGTTCTCTCTGCCTCAATATCCCATCTACTCCATATTATTTATCAAACTTCTATTTATCTTTAAAGAACTAGTTCAAATGGCATGTTAGTAAGACATATCTTTCATATCTCTGTGTCCTAAGGAAAAAAAGATAGATAGATAGATAGATAGATAGATAGATAGATAGATAGATAGATAATAGATGGTAGATAGATAGATAGATAGATAGATAGATAGATAGATAGATAGATCTTAATTACACTGTGTGGTATTTGTTTATATTCCTATATTTGAATAGATTGTGAAGTTTTTCAATTCCAGACTATATTATTCATTTCTGTATTTCTAGCTCATAACAGAGTTCCTGACAAATATTGTGTCTTATGGAATCTTATTGAATAAATTAATGTTCCTCCCAAATTCCCAATGCTTACCTTCTGTCCCTTTCCAAGCTTACAGAATCTATTGTAGAAATGCCTTGCCTACTAACCCTTCCTTTCCTGTCTCACTGCTTTCTCTGGATCAGGTGTTCATTACCATTGGCATAGACCATACAACGACTGCCCATCTGATCACCAGTTTTAGTTTCTCCTTCTCTCAAAGCCATCCATGATTTGTATATTGCTGCCAGAGATGTCCTACTAAGCCCTGATTCTATCATTTTATTCCATAGCTCAGAACCTTCCAAAGTATCCCCTTGACTAGACAGCAAAATGCAAACCCTTTAGCACTGTTCCCTCTAACTATCCAGCCTTATCTCAAATTAACTTCTCTCCACCCACCAAAGACATACATGCTGCCCTCCAGCAAGCTGGACTATTGACTACTCCTTTAACCTAGAATGCCCATACTCTGATACATCAGAATCTTATCCATCAATCGAAGCCCAACTCACATGGCCCTGCTTCCATAAAGTCTTTCACAAAGCTCCAGACAGACATAATTTTTTCTTATCTTGTTTTACCAAAACTTATGTAAAGACATTTGCATTAGCATGTCACATTCTCCTTTCTATATCAGTGTGTGTTCTTCACACTATAGAGCTCTAGATAGGACTCTGTCTCCTTCAATAAACTGTATGTCACAGGTCCCTCTGGCAGAAATTTTGCCTCACCCACAACATAATATAGTGAGTAATGGTAGCAAAAATACATTGCTGGTTGATTTAAGAAGTTATGCCAAAATTAGTAGAGTTAGAATGTCCAGGAAGGCCAGAAGGGAGAAGGCATTGAAATGGTGGCAAAAAGTTGAGGATATGTAAATGTGGCTGGGCCTGTGGAATATCACCAAGAAGTAATGAGAAATAGAAAACAATCTGTAAAGTTGTTCTTGGAGACCTCGAAAGTCAAGCTGAGAAGTTTGGGCTTTATCCTACTGTTACTTGAAATATATTGTAGATTTTTGAACAGGATGTTAGGTATTAAAAGTACAGTTTTAAGATTAATCTGATAGTTGATTTCAGAATAAATTGAAAGGAAAAATACCTGAGGACAGAGATTCCAATTAGAAGCTTTTTTCATTGATCCAGTTTGAAGTGCCCTTAACTGCTAACGAAGAGGAGAAATACTCCAAAGATATGTAAGGGTAGAAAATATAAGACTTGGTAAAAAATCAAACTCCAGAAACAAGGCAAAAGGGGTTTGTGTAGTTCAGACACTTGCTAGACACTTCCTTCAACTAAAAGAAGGGTATCTAGCTGTTTCTCAGTGTGTCTTGGTAACAATTTAATATTCTAAGATGTAGAAGTGCCAGGAGATACAGCCACCACTTTGACTTACTAGGAGGACTGTAGTAGTGAAGCAAAAGGGACAGTAATCTTTGCTGAAAGGAGTCTTACTCTCAAATTTTTTAAAAAAAGATAATAGTCAAACTGGATAAATTAAAAGCTCATAACAATGAAATGTCTGTGTTTGTTACCATTAGTAGTAGTATAACTTCAGAACTTGTGATAGACGAGAAGTCAGACATGCATTGTAGACTCTAGGAAATCAGATTTCGAAAGCTGCAACGGTAAAAATAATCTCTGATCCTGAGAAGAATTGCTTATGTGAATCTTTTAAACAGCAACAATGATAATTCTGACTTACCTAAAAGAAGATGGTGAACAAACACCTAAGAAGCCAGTGTAGGCCGGGCGCGGTGGCTCACGCCTGTAATCCCAGCACTTCGGGAGGCCGGGGCAGGTGGATCACGAGGTCAGGAGATCGAGACCATCCCGGTTAACATGGTGAAACTCCGTCTCTACTAAAAAAAAATTAAAAATTAGCGGGGCATGGTGGCACACGCCTGTTGTCCCAGCTACTCGGGAGGCTGAGGCGGAAGAATCGCTTGAACCCAGGAGGCAGAGTTTGCAGTGAGCCGAGATTGCGCTACTGCACTCCAGCCTGGGCGACAGAGTGAGACTCTGTCTCAAAACAAAACAAACCAAACAAACAAAAAAAGAAGCCAGTGTAGCAGGACAAGGAGCTCCTCATCAGGTGCAGGCAGAAAAGGGCCTATATAAAGACAGAATAACAAGTATCTAACCACAGATGAGACTATAACAGGGCAGGAATACATAGGGAAGGGATCACAAAGAAGAAAAATGAAATATGGAAAAGGGAATGTGTTTCATCCACATAATAGACTTAAGCACAATTAACCCAGTCAGGATTCTCTTATTTTCTCCTCTGCTTTGCTGTTTGGTGCCTCTTGCCAGCATTTTCCCTTGGCTTTCTCATCTGAAGATTTTATCTTGGGTAGAGAATGTGTGGACAGAGTGCCATTCTTCTGTATCCATAAGGCCTAGCTTAATATTCATGTGGAGAATCAGTAAGTGAATGAGAAAGTGGACATGAAATAGAAATTTCAGCTTTTTCTTTCATCCAAAGTAGTGCATCTATCCTTTTCTTATACTCTTCCTAACTTAGCATATTCCACGGTCGAGTTTGTAGAAGTGAATGGTATATATCACCTGATAAGTTCAAATTCAGGAATAGCAGATGAGATGCTAGTAATAGGAGCATATATGCACAAGACTGCAGAGCTATTGTTTGTTCACTGTGTGCTATTTTGAGCCAATGATGTGGCATGGTTGATGCAAAAGTCAAGAAAAACCTGCAATATCCTAACAGAATTGATGGTCTCAGTCCACTGTGATTAGTGCAGACCATCTTTCCAGAGTATTGCAAGCATGCCATCCCTACCTTAAATACTGTTTAGACAAAGCAAAAGAAAACTTAGCTGAGGCCAAAGACTAAACAATGATGACCAAAGGGGATGTATGGAGTAAAATAATCGAAAAGAATGCAGGGGACTGTCAGGGAGAAAGGGAAAAGGAGAGCTTTATGCCCTTTGGGAGGAAAAGGTAGAAGAGTTTTTAGGCATGTGCGGTGTGAGCTCTTTTATACCAATTTTTTAAAAGCTGCCACTGGCCAGACAAATTATAAGCAGGTGGCCTTTACAAATAGACTCTACCCGAGGTGCACCTGCCTTGCAAGTAGAAAATGATGCCCCTTCCTCTGAGTGGCTACAATCCTAAGGGCAAGCTCCACAGGAGCCAGAATTCAGCCTGCCACCTTCCCTCAGCCAGGTGCCTTTGACAAAAGAGCAAAGTGCTCACAATGTGTAGTCAACACTTCAGAGGAGTACACGAAAAAGAGAGTAGAGGAAGACAACCAACAGAGGTTTGGCATTTGTGTTGCTCAATTACGCAGTTTCATTCCATTGGGTGTTAGGGTGATACTGCTTTCCACCCATTCTCCTATAGAATTGCTTCCATTTGCAAATCACTTTAGGTCTCCTTCTGGCCCCTTACTTGCACCTCTGGGGTAAGGGTGGGAGTGATTTACTTGATTGGCATGTTCCCCAAAAAATGAGTATGTTCAGCTTAGTTACTTGTAGATTATTTCTTGTCATTCATTTGTCTACAGACAGTGCCCATCTGGTCTGCACAGCTAGGCTGCAAGCAATGTAGGATGTAGGATAGGTACTGTCACCTTCCCATGACACACACATTCCTAAAGTCTGCATTCTGGGGGAGCAAATTTATTTCAATATTGCTATCAAGCTCAGTAAAGTTCCTAGGTAAGCATATACTCCAATCTATTTTTTTATTGATAAGACTGATAGTTTGATCTCCTTCACACTGATCCCTATTTCTCTCCCTTAATTTGCACCAAATTTAAGGAAGGGGAGAGAAAGGAACTATTGGTTAGCTCTACAAAACACCAACAGAAGAAACTAAGAAGTGAATAGACTATCAAGAAATGAAGAACATGAGAATGAATAAATTTGCAAGATATTTTGGCTGTAAGAAGAAAAGAACACCTAAGAAGCCAGTGTAGGCCGTTCTTTTAAAACCACAGTAGGGCCGTTACAGTGCAGTGGCCTGTTAGGGAGATAAAATAAAAGACTTTGTCACTGAGTGGACAAGGTTTTGAAAGTAGAGGTGAGAAACAGATTGATAGCACAGCATAGTGGAAATAAGCAGGAGAAAATAAATGGTTTCCAATGCCATTGAAAATAAGAATGAGAAAATGGAGAAAGACAATAATTATCAGCCCCATGAAGTACCAGGAAATTTCAATTAGCATAATTAAGACTATTTTGCAGATGAGGAAACTGAGTTATATAGAGGGTAGGGAGCCTTCGCTGTTTTTAATAGTGCGTCTTAAAGTGTATGTTAAGATGAAGAAGAGGGAGATGAGGGATCTCGTGATAGAGAGAGTAAATGAAATTACAGTATGAAAAACACGAGGGAAAGCCTAGAAGTCAGTATGATTGTGAAGTTAATCCATGCTCAATTTGCAGACCACTAAATCTGGCTTCACATTTAAATCTCCACAGGTGCTTGTTGAAAATAAAGATTCTTGGTCTCCGCATCAGTGATTCTGATTCAGTGGATCTGAGGCAGTAGCAGAAATCTGTATTTTTATCAAACACTTAAGGCAGTTTAATGCAGACCAGCTTTGAGGATTCAGCAATCTTAAATTACTGCTTTCACCATATCATTCCTTGCTTACCAAATTAGAATTGCTCCCATCTTCAAACTCCATAAGGTATAAAACCCTCTACTTATCTTAAAGACTTTTTATAGTCTAGTTTCATATGACCTATCCAACTTTATCACATAGCACTTTCAACACAGCCTCTTTGTAGGGAGGAGATCTCCTCCGTATCCAGCCAGGGAACTTTACCCTCTTCTACAACTATCAAAATTCTGTGTGTTCTTAAATTTTTAGTTTAATTAACACCTCTTGTCCAAAGGTACTTTTAGCTAACATCACCTTGGTGGTCTCTGCCATCTTCAGACTTACTACATTTATCATTTGGGTCTTTGCACTTAAGATTTAAATATCCTGTTTGCCGCTCTCTGTATCATGGGCATTGGTCTCATCTACGAAACTAACTTGTAATGTACTTCTTTGTATTGCACCCCACTTCCTACTACACTTGTGGGTCCATAGTGGGTACTCATAAATTAATATAGGGAGAGAGATGAGGAAAGGGATGTATGTTTTGGCTAAGATAACTAAAAAATCAGGCACATTAACTCTGCTTCCCTTGGTATTAGCTTCACTCTTGGGCACACCCTTCCAGGTTGTGGCCCTTTGCATCTTCAGGCATACTTCTTCCGAGCTAAGTCACCCTAGTAGAAATAGCTTTTCTTTCCCTCAGGAGCAAATCTACAAATGTTCACAATTTTAGAATCCCCATGGAGCTGGGATGATATGGGATAATAGTCACTTCTGAAAATGGATGAAGACCAAAAAACAATTCTAAAGAAGTATTCATCACCCTCTTGGGCTGTCTATTTTTAGCCTCAATTTTGCTCCCAGAGAAACAGGCAAATAACTTTGTTGTCCATTTCCCCCTTCTAAATGTGCATCTGACTTTCATGGTTTACTTACTCATTGCATTGGCATTTTTGGTTTCTAATCCCTTTCAGCTGTTCTGACCACCTTAAAGAGTCTTAATAATTCAAGAACCCTTCCTCAATGAAATACTGTGTATGTACCTGTACCCACCTGCCTACAAAGAGGTTGTATTGAAAGTGCTGTGTGAGAAGGTTGGTCAGGCCATGTGAAACTAGACTATGAACAGTCTTTAAGTAGAGGATTTTATACCTTATGGAGTGTGAAAATTGGAGTATCTGGGAGCAGAATTTTGCATTATAGAATGAACGTTAAATAGAATAAGGCACAATGGTAAGTCGCTCTTTCATGGATTGTCTCTTTTGCAATTTTGTGGGAGTTTTTGTGAAGTAGACTGGGTATTTTTGTGGACTCCAAACTTTATAACATGGTTTTATTTGCTTGTCAATCAAAATTTTGTCTAACAAATGCCAAGTCATGACTGAAGTTTTAAAAAAAGAAGAGAAAAAGAAAGAGAGCATTTCTTTCCCAGTTGTTGCAGCTGAAGTTCCACGTCACAATCTCGTTGGCCAAGGTTGGGAACATGTCCATTACTGGAGCAAGGGGTAAAATTAACCCCACCCAGATGACTGATGTGAAGAATGGTGATTGTTTAAAGGGAAACTGATTGACTGTTACCAAGAGTGATGGGAGAAGAGTCATTGGGAAGGGAAAAATAACTGATATCCATGTCTCCAGATTAGACCCCTGGTGTTCCCTTAGGAAAGGTAAAATTGGAAGCAGATGAAGTAGGCATTTCAAAAGACAGTCAGTAGGAAGCAAAAGAAAATGAGGAAGTTGTAGAGAACTTCAGTTTGAAACCATACATATTTGGTGAACAGTGTGAGTAGAGAAACATTTCTTAGGTATACTCCTTAGGTTAGTGAAAGGAGCATCTAGTTAAGAAAAATTTGAGAGGATGAATATGAAAAAGCTATCAAAAGTAGGCTGGAATTGCTAGAATTGTGCTCCACATAAAAATAACTGTATACTTACCTTGTTCATAGAGGCAACTAGAAAGCTTCAAGACAGAGAAATTAGGAATAATTCAGATGTCGAAACTGAAAATGAGCATAAAAACCTGCTGTGTTAATAAAATCCTAACTACAATGTGAAACACGGCTTGACCAGAAAAATCTAACTTATTCACCTGAAATGACTTGGTAACAAAAATCTCTACAATGTTCTTACCTCTTTTTTCTTTTTCTTTTTTAATTTTTAATTTTTGTAGGTACATAGTAGGTGTATATATTTATCTCATATACTCACAGAGTTTATGAGATGTTTTGACACAGACATTCAATGTGAAATAATCACATCATGGAAGATAGGGTATCCATTCCCTCAAGCATTTATCCTTTGTGTTACAAACAATACAATTATACCCCTTTAGTTATTTTTAAATGTACAACGAAATTATTGTTGACTAGTCAGCCTGTTGTGCTATTGGTCTTAGCTCTTTCAAGAACATATGCAATCTGAAAACAAAGCATAACACCTTATTCAAGATAATCATTTCCAAAATCCTGAAAAGGCAAAGTCATAGAAGTACAAGGGTTTGTATAACTTCTTGACTTGGAGCAGGGAACATTATCTATAGGGATCTGCATTTCAGTGAGAATATACTGGGGTCCACTCTCCAAATGTTTTATGAATTACATTCAACGGTGTGGGCCACACCTAAGAAAATTGATGGATGGTTCCTCTTTTGGCTTGGTTTGTAACAAAAAGAAATTCTTTTAAAGTTATTGTCAACAATATCTTTCTTTAGCTAAAGACGGAAAAGGGGTCATTTATTTGATTTTCAGTTGTGTGATCATTCTGAACATTCTTTAGAAATGCAGTATTAAAATAGAAAAAGTAGTAAGGATTCTTTTTATTTAAAAAAATCAAGAGAGCTCATTTGATCATGATAATTATGCTGAAAGATGAAATACCTCTATGTAGAGTTTAATGGGTTGAGCCACTAAAGTTTCTCCAATAAAATATTCTAGTTGGATGCAACTAACATTTGATCAGAGACTTGGACATAAAATTTACTGGTATTTAACTACACTGATAGTTAGGTACTAGGGCCTGAGCACCAGAATTTTCTCTTATGTTAACCAGAAGTACAACATATATATATATTTATATGTGTTTATATATAATATATGTGTTTATATATATATATGTTGTACTATATATATATGTTTATAGTATATATATATATAGAGTTTAGTAACTAAACTAAATTTATGCTTTGAGCAATATATACACACACATATATACATTTATACACATATATGTACAAATGTATATATACACATATATGTACAAATGTATATATACACATATATGTACAAATGTATATATACACATATATACATATATATGTATGTATAGATACACATATATACATATATATGTATATAGTATATATAGTTTAGTAACTAGATTTATGCTTTGAGCCATATATATGTATTTGAGCAATATGTATATATATTGCTCAAAGCATAAATTTAGTTTAGTTACTAGATAAAAAGTGAAGTCTAGATTTTTTTCAGTGGTTGGTTTCTTTCATGTCAAGCAGGTATATCCAATATTTTGGCTTCCTTGGGCCACAGTGGAAGAAGAATTGTCTTGGGCCACTTATAAAATACACTAACACTAATGACAGCTGATTAGCAAAGAAAAAAAAACATAATGTTTTAAGAAAGTTTACGAATTTGTGTTGGATGCCATCCAAAGCTCTCCTGGGGTGCATGTGGTCCACTGGCCGCAGGTTGGACAAGCTTGATGTAAAGCATTTTATAGGATGCCATAAATCTGTGAAATAATGAGCCTAATTCCCCAAAGTGGACTGGAGAATATCTTGTATACAGTGCCTATTCAAGGTGTCATGAAAGGCCTCAGATTTAGATTTGTGATGTCATTTTCACATGAGATTACAATAGACAAGCTGTTAAGATTGAAAAAAGTTGATATTCTTCATAACACTTCAAATGTGCATGCCATTACTAGAACATACAACCCAACACATTATAAATTAATATATCTTATTTAATTTGTTGCTTGTTGAGTTGCCTGATTATGTTGTCTTGAATTTGGATGATTAAAAGCATTATTAAATGTGAATATTTACTATATACTTTAATTTTTGTAACCATGTATTGACTTCTCTTAATTTTTTTTTAATGTTTAGGATCTTCCCTCCTAACTCTCTCCAGTGACTTTGAAAAGGTCATACATACACAACAATGGAGAACAGCTCTTTGCAGATTTATTTGAAGAGGAGAGGGCAATGTGCCATCAGATCATTGGCCCACAACACAACCAGACACATGTGTCATTGCTTTGGGGTCCCTTTGCTGTGTCTCCCTTGAGGCACCATGGTCTTTCCGGGAAGTAACATTGAAATCTGACCATGAGGGAAAATGGACAGATGATGAAGAGAAGATAAGAAAGCTTGAGTACAAACACTTCTGGCTCTTCCTTACAGGCAACCATGATGCTAACAGCGTACGTTTCTTAGAAAACCCATGTATCTAAATCAAACGCTTGCAACAGTCTTGTATGCTGCATTTTCTGAGACAGTCTTAATTTGAAGTATCATTTTATGTTTCTTAATTTGAAATTCAAATATACATGTATGCCTATAGATGTGTATATATGTGTGTCTATATATGTACATATGCCGTCTTATGCAGAAATAAGAGGAACATAGAAAAGGAAAAAGGGTTTTCTCCTTTCTGCAGTTTCAGAGGATATCTGGAGGTGTGTTCTGGAGTCGGGGGGGAGATGGACGATATATTATGTCCATTCCCTCTTACAGTTCACAGTATGAAAGGTGGAACATCTCAGTGAACATCAAGGAGCCAGGGGCAGGGGAAATCTCTTATTTATACATATATGAGCTCAAATGGCTTGGCAGTATATACATAGTTTCACTTTGATAGCAGAATAACCTTTCAAGAATTCTGAAATATAAATAAGAAATCAAATAAAAATGATAAAGCTCCCATTAAATAAAAGCAGAGTGTGCAGCAACGTAACACAAAGCGTTGCTTCTAAGGGCCTGGTGACAAATCACTTGAGCCCTGCTCTTAAGAATTATCTCAGCTCTGGAGCCCCACACCGGAATTATATATTACATTGCACATTTATTTATCAGTTAGGATAATGTGGGGTTGATCTCTCCGAAACAGCTGTCCTTTTTGTGCCTTCATATTTTAATGCATCTTCAAGATACAGCCAACAAACCAACCTCAATCTTCTGTTGGCAGGACAGTGTCATAACTTAGTTTAACATTTCCTCTAGTGATTTTTTTTTCTTAGCAGTTGATGTGCATGTCAAATAAAGTCTGTCAAAGCTGTTTCTCATAACATAAATTCCAGATGTTTTTGGCTTCTCAAAAGGAAGATGTAATAGGTTTGCTTTTACTAATACACTTAGATAATGAAAATAGAAGTATGGCTATAAAGTCCTTTTATATGCTTTTCATGTTGAAGTATGTAAGCCATAATATGTGTTCGTCTTCTTCCTAAATGAGGTCTATATGCAGAGAAAAAAGATTTAAAGTAGGAAGAAAATGGAGTTGGTATTAGGCCAAGCTAAAACATAGCTACTTTTGATGAAGAAAAATCAAAAGGATAAAATATATTGTAGTTTATACTTTCCATTGTCTTCATTCATTCTATATTCAGGAGTCATTTATCAGGAATCTATTGTGTACTCAGCACTATGCGATAAGTGAAAGGCAGAGCAAATATTCTATAGGAGGAGACAAGGTTTTCACCATGAAAAAAATTAGTGACATATTCAGAGGCAACATATAAGCAAATGTGAGAAAGGCACAATAGCTAAAACAGAAGCAATAAAAAAAATAGCTGAAAGAAATAATAACTTTGTGTAGGGTTAATTTAGGAAAACACTGAGGTAGATGCACCCAGCATGTGGCCCTAGACCACAGCACCTGCAGCACTACTTGGGAATTTGTTAGAAATGCACTTTTTCAGGTCCCACCCCAAATCTATGAATCAGAAGCCCTGGGTTGGTGCCCAGCAAGCTTTACTTTAATAAAGCCTGCAGGTGATTCTGATGCACACTGGACTTTGAGAAACGACCACAGAGAAAATCTGAATGTCCCGGCACTCACTTACCTGTCCTATATAATGTGCCTCCCTTAGGTATCTGAGTGTCTAAAAAACAAGATCTTCAACAAAATGATTCCCGGACTTAGCCTGCAGTGTCACAGTCCTGCCATTTAAATCTTCTGACCCCCAGCAAAGCTGTGGAGAAAAACTGACTTCAAGCAAGGTCATCACAGAATATTTGATTTTTCCCTTACCCGAAAGTCATCAGATTAAGGGACATGTTGCTTCCTACTGCTACAGGAGTCTAATCAGTGACTGATGTAAGTATAAACTGGCCTAACTCTAATTTTTAGTCTTTCTGGTAAGGTTTTCAGAGCAGCACATCATGTGTTTACTAAATTCATTTGATCTGTTTCAAAGTTTGTCACAAATCGTGGACTTTGACCTAAATGGAGTCAGACACACACTCCCTTTTTCTCTCTGTCAAACCTGTTATAACTACATTTGCAATTTTTTTACTCTCAGCTATTACTTAAAACTCATTTACTTTCTCCATGCACTCTGTTTGGGTGTTTATTTTATTTTATTTTATTTTATTTTATTTTATTTTATTTTATTTTTTAGATGGAGTTTCACTCCTGTTGCCCAGGCTGAGGTGCAATGGTGAATCTCAGCTCATGGCAACCTCTGCTTCCCAAGTTCAAGCGATCCTCCTGCCTCAGCCTCCCAAGTGGCTGGGACTACAGGCGTGTGCCACCACACCCGGCTAATTTTGTATTTTTAGTAGAGACGGGGTTTCTCCATGTTGGTCAGGCTGGTCTCGAACTCCTGACCTCAGGTGACCCACCCGCCTTGGCTTCCCAAAGTACTGGGATTACAGGTGTGAGCCACTGCACTTGGCCCTATTTTGTTTTTTAAATAAATTTGGTCTAATACAAATGTATCTTAAGACCTGGAGGTTTTTTTTCAATTTACCTGGACCACTTGGTGTTATATGCTATGAAATCTAAAATGATTTTCATTTAGTTTATCTTTGTTCTTTGAGTGTCTGGCTGTATGAAACTACATTCGGTTTAGATCAGTGGTTCTCAATCAGGGATAATTTGTGCCACCCTGGGACATTTGGCAATGTTTGACACATATTTAATTATCACAACTGGAGGGTGTTGCCACTGGCATTTAGTGCGTAGAGACCAAGGGTGCTGCCAAACACCCTACAACACACAGGGCAGCAATGCCTCCTCCTCACCACCGCCAAATAATTATCAGTTCAAAATGCAAATAATGTACAGGTAAAAAGTCCTTAGTTCGCGTGGATTCCACTCTCTCTCAAAGAGAAAGCTGAACAACTAAAAAAGCAAAGTGTAGGATTTAGCAATGTGAACACTCCTGATTTCTTAATTCGTTTATGAGACCAATGCTGGTTTTGCTGCAAGTAGCAACCTCCCTTTTAAAAATGGAAATCCTCACACCAATAATCCCAGCATTTTGGGGAGCTGAGGTAGGAGGATCCCTTGAGCCCAGGAGTTTGATACCAGCCTGAGCAACATAGTGAGACCCTATCTCTACAAAATTAAAAAAAAATAATAAAAAGACCAGGTGCAGTGGCTCACATCTATCATCACAGCACTTTGGGAGGCGAGGCTGGAGGATCACTTGAGCCCAGGTGGTCAAGGCTGCAGTGAGCCTGGATCGCACCACTGCAGTCCAGGCTGGATGTCAGAGTGAGACCCTGCCTCCAAAAAAAAAAAAAAAAAGAAAGAAAGCCTTTCTCTTATTAAACAAAAGGAAAAATTGATGGGTACTTGTAGAAAAAGTCATAGAGCCACAGATTACAGAACTTTTGAATTTTAAGCTTGCTACTACTTCTAAATAGTTTAGCATCTACATTGATTTTATCATTAGTGCATTGCCATTCTTGTGTCAGTAGTAAGCTACAGTATTTTTGTATTTACAAATACAAGAATTTTGAATAATTGATTAAAGCGGAATGAGAATGAAAAAGAAGAATTATAAACTCTTTAAAACTCCTCTAATCCATCACCACAACCACCATGACCATCATTTTATAGATAGAGAGCAGAGGTGAGGTGTCCAGTTAAACTCAACTGCTTGCCCTGGGGATGAGCCATTCATGTCTCTCCTTGACCTCTCTGCTTCTCTCCCTTCCCCACTAATTTATCTCTTCTTGCCTTTATACCCTTATCATTTCTCCTTTACACCACCTCAGTTGTCCTTCCCATTTCTTTCCTATCTCCTGTTTTTCCCCTTTGTCAAGTTTCTGAACAAAGCTCAGCTCTCTTTCCTTCTACATTTCTTACTCTAAATACCACACATCTTTTGCCCATGTGCAGATATCTGGATTTATGTACCACGAAAGAGGACTTTGTTTGTATACAGTAGCACACACCTATAATCACTCAGAAATAAAAATCACTTTCATCTAGATCTAGTCTTGAAAATTGTCTGTTTTCTCTCTTGCATCAAGTAGACCACATGGTCTTACACAGAGGAACAAAAACAATGGAACCTACCATTAAAACAACCTTGTACTACTGTTTAGAAAAATGCTGGAGCGGGGTGAGTGCTTCTCACTGTGTCCCCCTCATTCTAAGACCCATGCCAGGAAAAATAAAGTTTTAGGTTAAAAGGAAATTAGTTGCTCATTTGTTATCTGTCAGTAGCAATAAAGAGGAAGTTTGCAGAGCATCAGGCATCTAATGATAACAATCAGTTGAATGGTCTACAAAATAATTGACTTCCATTTATTTGGCTGTCTGATTTCTTCTTTATCACTTGTCCTAGCTAAGTTCTATCCAGTTTATTTTGTTTATGCACTATCCTGTATGCATATTTAGGATTATGGAAAATAAAACACTAGCCAAAAGATCAATAATCAATTTCAATTATGCTATATTACATGTCACATGTTACGTTTGCATCGAGTCCTGTATTTGGATACACTACACTTTATATTCTTCATTGCTATACAGCATGCTGTTCACAATGACAAAGAACCATCTGATCTGCCATGTTCTGAATATTAATATCAACTATACTGGATTTTGTTTGGGTCATGAAGATTTAATAATTTAACTACAGGTCATTGGAGTTCTGTTGTGTCATCAAATAATTATAGAATTTATGTTTTATCAGCAGCAAAAATATCCTAGTATTCTAAATTCCACTTATTGTTCTTTAGCTTAATGCTTAGTGTTACCCCTTCTCAACATGTTTTCCCATCATGAAAATTAACCCACTCTATATCTTTCTGGAAAGAAAATAAACTGCTCCCTTGCCAAGCCTTTCATTATGCTGCTTCTTTCCTTCATGAATTGTGATCTAACAGTAGCCCAGCAAAAAGCCCAAGCCTTTGAAGTGTTGTGCTAATTTGATTAATACATAGTTACATCCTGTTATGATGCACTTTGCCTTATGCATTTTAAATGGAAAATGCAGAGTGGATTACATTTGTGTTAAAAACACAGCATACTAAATGAACAGCACTGAAAGCAGTCTATAATAACAAGCTCTGCAACCACTTTAAACATGCAGAAGGTTATTGTTTGTAGGTTAATGATAATTATATGAAAATATATGTTTTTGCAACAATTAACATGTCAATAAAAATACTGGTGAGGTTAATACAGCTATACTTAAAAAATATTTATTCCACCAGTAATTTAAAAATAATTCCATAAATATTCTAATATAATTGTCTAAGTTATATGTGCATATATCTACACATGTATAGAAGTAATTCATACATTCTTTGGAAAAAAGTACCTAAGTCAACCCTAAGATATTATAGAATCAAGGGTAAGAGGGTACTTTCCTAGAAAGAGGTACACGTTTTCATGCTTATTACTGAAAAGAAACAAGCAAATTGCCAGGATTACTTGAAATAACAGGGTTCATTTTGTGTGTATCTTATTAAGATTCAGGGTCTCAGGGTAGGTTGGTGAAAAGAAGAGAATGCATCCTATAACAAGATTTGTCCAAAGTTCTTCATATTGTCTCAACCTAAATTTCGCCTCTGGAGACATTATAAAGTATTATGATACTGCATTCTTAATATACACCTCAAGTGGATGCTAATGATCTTAAAGATCATAAAAATATATCTTTGTAATATGGTAAAAAGTTAATGAATATATTACATCCCCATTTTTGGAGACACATGCTCAACTATTTTTCCATTTGGAACATACATTTTTACAGTTACAAAATGTCTTTCCCTTCCATTTAGCTTTTTTCAATGACTAATGGCGGTTTACAATAGTTTACAATAGCTTAAAATGGCTTAATCTCTTTAAGTACTTCCATTCGGACTTTTTTCTGTTCACACAACAATCATACTGAATCCTACACCCAAATCTATTGAATGAACCCTTTGGCAGTTGGTTAAAATTCATGATTGTGCTCTCTATTGGATCAGAAACTCCTAAGTAGCCAAAGAAAAGGAGAAAACACTTTCATGATAGCTCACCCAATTCAATTTGCTGTCTAGTAACCATGGTATAACCACTTGTATTTATCACCTAGAATTAGGTCAGAAAAGAGAAAATCAGCATCTACCCTTTTCTTTCCTTTATTTTTTTCTTTTTTCTTTTTTTTTTCTTTTCTTTTTTTTTTTGAGATGGAGTCTTTCTCTGTCGCCCAGGCTGGGGTGCACTGGCGTGATCTTGGCTTACTGCAACCTCCACCTCCTGGGTTCAAGCAATTCCCCTTTCTCAGCCTCCCGAGTAGCTGGGATTACAGGTGCCCTCCACCAGGCCTGGCTAATTTTTGTATTTTTAGTCGAGATGGGGTTTCCCATCTTGGCCAGGCTGGTCTCCATCTCCTAACCTCATGATCCACCTGCATCGGCCTCCAAGTGTTGGGATTCACAGGCGTGAGCCACCGCGCCCTGCCCATCTTTTTCTTAAATATGAAAACCATTGCTGTTACTTAGACCTAAAATAGAACTAGAAGAAAACTTTGTATCAGTACACTTTCACCTTATTTGTATAGTCTACAAAGTCATGTACAAAAGGATCTATGAAGTAATAAGCTTTTCAATTTTTATAAAACCTGAAGCAGAATCTTCTCTCCATATTCAAATGTAGGATCCCTGAGATTAAAATGAAATACCAGCCTAGTGTGGTGAAGTTTATAGGGGGTCATTAAGTTTCTATGCCCATTTATTTTATTAAAATCAGTTCTCTTGATAGTACAGTAGGGTGACTATGGTCAATAATAATTTAATTGTACATTCAAAAATAACTAAAAGAGTATAATTGGATTGTTTATAATACAAAGGATAAATGCTTGAGGGAATGAATTACCCTTTCTATGATGTGATTATTATACATTGCATGCTTGTGTCAAAATATCTCATGTGCCCCATAAATATACATACCTACTATAAGCGCACAAACGTTAAAAATTTAAAAAATAAACATAAATGTAAAATCAGTTCTGTAGCTTTGGGGAAATACTTAATTTTTGTGGATCTCAGACTCATCATTTTGATAGTTATCCATTAAAATGTGTTTTATAATGCTCTTCAAATAATTTTGACTACTCATAATAAAGAGATATTTTACATGATGATCCAGTACTCACAAACATGCACACACCTCCTGCACATATACACAGGCAGACAACTAAAGCAAGATTTTTCATGAACCAGTACTTACCCTTACAACTTGTAATGAATATTGATATTTTGTATCTTTTTTAAAAATTCTAGTTACAACTCATTAGGTTTTGCTCTTGATGTTTGAAAAAAAAAAAAGGGCCAAGATGTCTAAAGCATGGTCCATCTCTACCCTCCTCTCAATGGGTTATGTGAATATGTTGTTTCACCTGGACTCTGATAGTACATTTGCTCACTTTTGCCATTAATGCTATTATACACTATCAATTCTTTTTTGGTTTGTGAGGTGTTTTCTTTTTTTTTCATTTAGAATTGATTTGTTTTGGCATCATAACTTCTAAGTGAAGACTGATAATAATTGGTCTCTGTTCATATTGTGTCATTTCTTTACAAAACATTGGTAGATTATATTGTGCTTTTAAATAGTTCTTTTTAAATGTCAAAGGAAAAGCTGTTATAGATATTGAAAGATGTTGATATCATGAAAAAAAATTATGCTTGATGCACAGCTAAATAAATGACCTACCTGTGATATTCTAAGAATTTAATATTTGGCAACCACAGATTAATATGAGTCTAATTTCATCATCACATTCTTCCCTCAAGAAAGACTAAATATACCATATTTGTTGCGAGTGTTGACAATTCATCTTTCCTAAGTAGTGAAATTTGACACAAGGTTAGCCTGATGCTTGGCCCACTGAAGCCCAAGAAAGAACATAGCTAATACTCAGTAATGTAGAAAGAGAAAAGATAGCTAATACTCTCAGTAATGTAGAAAGAGTAAAGAAAACATGAGACAATTTTGAAGGCTGATTTGGAAGTGACAATATGTTAAAAACAAACTGAATACAGATGTGGAGCATTCAGTCTGTCCAGTTCATAAAAGCACAACTTCCATAGTGTGATACAGTCTTAACATTGACCTACCTCTTTTGTTTGGAGATACTGGGCTAATAGACAGAATATTTTCATGCTTTCCTGTTTTCCATCTCCACTATAAAATATGAAATCCTTTCAGCATGAAGCATCACTTAGCACAGTGCCTTGCACATAGTAGGTTCTATAAATATTTGCTGTTTAGATAGGACTTATCTCCTGTATGTTCTCTCAAACACTAAATGTTATCATTTTAATAGAGCATCTCCAAAATTTTCTCTGAACTAGTGAGAATCACCCTAAGACTGTTTATGAAGGCTTGTAAATTTTCTGGACAGCCTGGTGTAAAAGAACAAAAAATTACATTCAAACTAAATTAACTATGATTTGATGTTTCTGCCATTTCCTGCCTCTGCCCTAGCTACCCAAGACATAGCTTCTTCCTAAAACTATAGCTTAAGTCTATGAGACCCACTACTTCATTGTAAATGAGCTAAATCAGAGTGAGAGTGAATACCAACCTAGATATTTAACTGCGTGGAAGGACAGCTCAGCTACTTTAGATTGGTGTGTCTAATAGAAATATAATGCAAGCCACATATGTAATTTTAAATTTTCTATTGTTCCATTTAAAAAATAAAAAGTAACAGGTGAAATTAATATTATTCATATTTGTATTTAGTCCAATATATCCAAATACTATGGTTTTAATAGGTAATCAACCTAAAATTTTTACACAGGTATTTTGCATTCTGTTTTTATACAGTTTTCCAAATGCAGTGTGTATTTCACTGATGCAGCACACCTCGATTTGGCCTAACCATATTCCAAATGCTCAGGAGCCACCTGTGGCTAGTGGCTTAAGTTTGGACAGCGCAGCTACAGACCATTCTGCTCCAGATGACTTTGGAAGTAAACCAGGACTGAGCTCCTCAGTCAGAGGTAGTGTTTCACACTTTCAAAGTTTAAAAGGAAACTTTGAGTTAGTTACTGAAAGACAGAGAGCCCTTGTCAACATTAGGAGATTATGTCCTCTTTCTCCGACACTCATATCCTTTCCAAATTTCCTATTGATTACTTCCCCAGCATGAAAGAGGCAGGAAACAGGAATATCCTTTCATGGATGTGGTTGCCATCTTGACTGGTGTGGTTAGCACTAAATCCATTAGCATTAATACTCCCCATAAGAAGCTTTGGATAAGTAGCTTTAAAACTCAAGATGATCAACAAAGAAATAGATTTTCTTGGGGGAGGGTGAAATTGTTAGAAGACAGGAAGGAGGCGGAGGTGCTGAGTCACAGTACATCAAATTGATCCTGAAAAAAATATAGGGACCCATGGCTAATTGGAGTAATTGCCTGGGTTGGGGGAGCTGTGCCTTCCTCTTGGCCGCAATTTCTTTCTCCTGCCCTCTGCCTCTCTTACACCCATTCAGCATGCCAGCAGCCATCAGAGTTTGATGGGCCGTGTCTAATCCCTGTGTAGGGAATCTGCCCAAAGTAATACCAAACTAGAGTCTTAGCTTGTCACAGAGGTCCCCTAGGATGAAATCGTTATAGATCCCATAAAACAGTGCTTCTGAAACTTCATTGTACATATAAATAACCTGGAAATCCTGTTTAAAATAGAGACTGTGATTCAGAAAGTTTAGGGGTGGGATGGGGGGAGGAGATTTAATCTCCCAGATGATGCCTACGCTGTCTATCCTGGGACCACATATTGAGTAACCAAGTCCTATATCAGTGGTTCTTAGCTCTCTGTGTACCTTAGAATTACCTACAAAACCTTTAAAAAATAATCAGTCTCCATCCCATATCAATTAAACCAAAATAAGAATAGGGGTGGTTGTTCAGGGGATGGTGAGTGAGTGAAACAAGTAATAATACTTTGCTAAAGCTCTCATAGGGTGGAAAAGTGCAACCATGTTTGAGACCTACTGATCTGTTCTAATGCTAGTAAAATCAAATGGCGTTCATTTATCTGCCCCGTTCCACAAGCTGCCAAGTCTTCACAGCAAGCTGCTGAAGTCCTCTTCTGACTCTCTGGTGTTCTGTCAGCTCAATATCCAACTTCGTACTCCATATTACATCATTCCTATCCCTCTACCTGTTTTTCAGTTTAGTTCAATCGCATACGTATTGCTTAATTGCCTGATGAAATCAGGAAGGAGTCAGGAGAACCAAAATTTCCCCTACATTCGAGGAAATTTAGATCTTACTGAAAGAATCTGGGAAATTATTGTAAAGGGCTGCAACTTATCATGCTCAATTCCCACACAAAATAGTGTTATTGATTTCCAGAAAGCAGAGGTCTTGATTAGGTTTACCAGGAAAAGCTTTTTAAAATCAGTGAAACCCAAGGTCAGAAAGTAGCATTGAGAACATTTACAGTCTATTTTTTAAGCAATTTTGAAATATACAGTACATTATTATTAACTATAGTCACCATGCTGTGCAACAGATCTCTAAAACATATTTCTCCTTGTCTAATTGAAACTTTATACCCTTTGACCGTCCCCTATTACCACCTTTTACTACCTTCTTCTCCCAGCTTCTAGTAACTGCCATTCTATTCTCTACTTCCATGAGTTTGACTTTTCAGGTCCCACATATAAGTGACATCATGCAGCATTTGTCTTCCTGTGCCTAGCTTATTTCACTCAGCATACGGTCATCCAGGTTCATCCATGTTGTTGCAAATGACAGAATTTCCATCTTTGTTACAGCTAAATAGTATTGTTTTGTGTATATATGCCACATATGTTAATTAGCTTCATTTAATCATTCCACATGTAAACTTACAGCAGAACATCACCTTGTCCCCTGTAAATATGCATAATTATTATTTTGTTGGTTAAAAAATTTTGGCCAGGCATGGTGGCCCACGTCTGTAATCCCAGCACTTTGAGAGGCCGACGCAGGTGGATCACCTGAGGTCAGGAATTCAAGACCAGCCTGCCCAACATGGTGAAACCCCATCTCTACGAAAAATACAAAATTAGCAGGGCATGGTGGCACATGCCTGTAGTCCCAGCTACCCGGGAGGCTGAGGCAGGAGAATCGCTGGAACCCAGGAGGCAGAGGTTGCAGTGAGCCAAGATTGTGTCACTGCACTCAAGCCTGGGTGACAAAGCAAGACTCCATCTCAAAAAAAATAAACAAATAAATAAATAATTTAAGAAAAAATGTCATTGAGCCCCAGTAATGAGTACTGTAACTGAATTGACCTTGGGAGAACTCAACAAGTGAAGAAGGGGTTTTAATATCAGGTCTGGGAGACTGAAGTTTGCAGGGAGCTTGAAATGCAGTTGCTAGGAGGGAAAAGGAGGTGGGATTACAAAGAGAAATGTACAAGAGGCTTAGAAAATATAGCTATGGTTCCATATACTCCAGAAGGCTTCAGATGGGAAGAATGATTGTCAAAAACAAATGCATAGTCATGAATTGAAAAGGACTGGACTAAGTAACATGAAGGTAGATTTTGGAGGCATGAAAGGACTTAAAAAAAAACAAAGAGGTAGGTTTTGGATAGACTGAGAAAATATATATGTTACTCTGAGTATTAGATCTAAATTCCAATCTGAAATTAAAATTGTATATGCAAAGCTCAGGAAGGAATTAACCTAGTTGGAGCCAGAAGAGACTAATCTAAAACAAAGGAAGCCAAACTGAAGAGATCTTTGAAAACTAGACACAGGTGAATTTGGAACTAATTGTAAGTGTTATCACAACTTCTGAACATGAGCATATTTTAGATATGTTAGTTGCATGACAGTTTTAAGAATAGTGGTGGCTGGATCGCCTGGAAGAAGGTGGTCAGTTAAAAAAATAAATTTAAAATATTTAAGCCAAGGTAAGGTAGAAATGACAGTGGAATGTCGGGTCGATGACAGATTGAAAAGATGCCATCATCTTTTCCATAGAGTGGGAAATGTCAATAAAATTTACTGGGAATACTTCTCTGACTTAAAAAACTATTAACACCAATCATAGGAAGGACACACTGAGAAGGAGATTCACTTAAAGTGGAAACATAATAAGTTCTGATTTGAACATACAAAGTATAAAGTGACCTCCAAGAGAAAATACCCTGAAGACTTTTGACTTAAGTGGGAATGCGTGGAAGATATCTGGGTGAAGATAAAGGACGCTCTGACTCAAGTAACTCCAAGCGAACAATGTGAACCATTTAAAAACATGGACAATGGAGACAATTCCAAAACATGAGGCAGAATCTTTGAATCCTGTGCCCTTTTCCTCTGCTAAGATATAAATGAACCCAGTCAGTTGCTTACTGATTCATCTACCTTTTCAAAATCCAAAAGAGAAAGAATCCTATAATTTTTAGTTGGCCTCTCCTAGATAGATACCAATGGTGAAATACCTGGTCAGTTTGGGCTAATATTGTTCACCGTAAGCGGGACTGTTCAGCTAAGCCAGGAGTGTCCAGTGGCCTCAATTTTTAACTGAGTGAAATCAGCCTTGTAATTCCCATTTGTCAGCCTGTGGTTCTATACTCTTCAACCTTAAACCAAATGACCATTATCCAGCAAGACATTTTGCTTGCTGAATAAATGTAGCCATATCAGCATTTTTCAATGCCAGAACTGGTACGATTTTTTATATATTCATACATTCTTTTATGTGACATAGATAGAAACAGAGAGAAAGAGAGAAAGAGAGAGGAAGGGTTTCAGTGTTTGGGGCTGACATTTGTCATTTTCCTTTCCTCTTTTCTTTCCTAAGTGGGTGGAAGGATTTATAAGCAGGAAACATCTTCTTCAGTACAGATAAGTGAGATTTGGTGGTTGACAACATATAATCAAACCATTTCTCCTCCTAATATCTCTAGCTGAATTATCTCCCCCTATTTTTCTTGGTGTCCATTATAGCATTTATCCATTCATATTTACCAGTAATAATTTGAATCAAAACCAAGAATTGCTTGCTGGAGAAGGGAAGTAAGATCTTTCTTTCCAGACAGTTCAGTAGTTTGGTTCCATTAATACACCTATATAGTAATAGTAATATACAGTGTTTAATGGGGCCAGATAGTGGCTAAAACTTCAAATAATCTTAATTTTCAAAAATTAACAGTCCTCATTATATTTGAAACCAGGTCTATCAGCACTCTGTGTTAGTAGGAAATCAATGCATCCTGAGTATCTCTATTTTTATGCTCCAAAAAATATCTACATGGTAGAATTGTTTATTCTTCAAAGAAGATAAATATGATTTTTAAGTATAAATATTGAAAAATATGAAAAATTAATGCAAGTAAAGCATCTTTAAGTGTATGATAGCGGCTGATACTGAATTTTTGCCAATGACATAAAATTGCAGAAATTACACAAAGCAGTGTGGGAGAAGCACACTGTTAATCAAATATGTCAATGTATCTCCAGGGCTGATAGCTAACACGTAAGTAGTGACCTAAATTTTACTGGGGAACATTTTAAAAGCATTAAGCATATGCTGTTTACTTAGTTGATGCAATAAATATAAACATGCTTTGAGTTCACAGTAAATTCAAAGTACAGACCTTAAATAATTCTAACATTTTAAATCAAATTGATTAATCACTAAAATACATTAGAAGAAATCGTTTCAGCAAATTTTTTGTGAAAAAGCTCTTTTAGTCAAATTCAGTTCCTCCATTTCTATCCACTGCATGTGTAATTCATGAACCTTTAAACAGTATGAGATTATAGATAGCTAAACTGACATTTGTACTTTCACTTAGCAGCCTGAATAATCGGCACACTCTAAGCTTTTTAAATGTTAAAGCAATCATTGCTTTGAATTCATCTTGTGATGTCATTGCCACTAACAACTGACATAATAAATTTGAGGCATATGAAAGCTTGAAAAGAATATTAGATATATGTCTTATTTTAAATACATAACAATTAAATGATGTACAACAAGAAGTATGTTCTGATCCATCTATTAATGAAATGCTCTTTAAAAGTGTGATGTATCATTGCTATTTTTGTACTTCTGAGCTTGCAAAGATTCTCATTTAAATGTGTTGTGCTATTTGTTCAGAGTCAGAAATAGCAGTATTACTATACGTAGAATAAGAAAATTAATGAACGTGTATACAAATGATAGCTACATTTGCAGCCCATAGAAGGGACACCAAGAGCATACACAATATTTGTACTAGGCCAGACCAAAATAAAAGTGATGTGTCTGTATGTGTATATGCATGTGTGTGTAATTTACCAACTGAATATTTTCATGACTGGGATGCCTTTTACCAGTTAAATGGGCCACCCATGTAGTCAGTCAGGGTTCTTTGAGCAAATCCATTTATCTCTGCTAAGAAAATGGGCAATAGCCAGGAAAATGGGAAATGGAAAATATAATAGACCCATTCCTATTGTCATTGGAGATATTTGATAGAACAGCCATGGTTTACTTACTTCTTTCCCACTCACATGAGCCTGAAGCCACGCGTGTTTGCACAGTATTTTCTCTCCTGCTTCAAGTTCCTATTAACAAATAAGTAGATCACCAGACTTGTTCTATGTTTTTGTATGTATCATAGTAACTGGAGTATTACGGGGGTCAGGAATAACATTTTTAAAGAGAAGTTTAAAGATACTCTTGCATGATGAGAGGATCAATCTCTGGCATGTTCTGGTATCCTATATTCCAAATGTTTGAAACAAATTAGGCGAACTGGTAGAAGTATATAAACAATCGAGCCAAAATAGCCATACAGGATTGTAAAGTTTCCTCTAAGAAACAAACAACTTTACAGAGCTAAACATAGACACAGATGGTCATTTATTGTCGAAAATCTTACTCCAGAAGTGACATTTCAAATCTTATACCAACTCTAAATTGAAAAGCTATTCTCCTATAATCCAGAAATCCCATCCACCCTCCCATTCCCAATCACACACTTTGACTTTCCAACCCTTTCACATAAAATTTAAAAGATGTAGAATTTGAACTTTGTTTTTAAATGGCATGAAAAAATAAACTCCCATCAAGCTGAAACTCATCCTAAAGTCCTAGCTACTTGGAGATCAAACTTGATTTAATTAGAAAGTCTCTTTAACATCAGATAAGAGAAATTTCTTGGTTCTGATTCCTGTTCAAAATTCTTCAGAATCATTCCATCTGGAGGGATGTCAAATCTTCTTATCTCTTATCTCCCACCACTGCCTTACACAGACCTCCATACACACACTTCATACATGCACCACCTAACTGATTTAATTCCTTCATTGTTGATGACCATTCTCCCAGAGCCTCTTCTACTCCACTTTCACTGACCACAATTCTGCTTCATTAAAACCTCAGCTCAGTTTATTTTCCTTCTGCCTGCCCTCTTGCCCCACAAGAACCACGTTCATCAGTTTTGATCTTGCTATTCATAGATCTGTATCATTCCATCTTGAATTATTATTATAAGATTATATTGTTATATGTTAAATTATATAAATATATGTGAGCACTTTGGGAGGCCAAGATGGGAGGATCACTTGAGCCATGAGTTTGAGACCAGCCTGGGTAACATCAGGAGACTCCACCTCTACAAAAAAATGCAAAAATTAGCTGGGTGTGGTGTCACATGCCTGTGGTCCTAACTACTTGGGATGCTGGGATAGAACGTTTACTTTGGCATGGAAGATTGAGGCTGCAGTGAGCAGTGATCATGCTATTGCACTCTAGTCTGGGTGACAGAGTGAGAATGTCTCAAAAAAATACACACAAATACACACACACACACACAGACGAACACACAGACACACACACACTCTCTCTCTTTAGAGAGTAAGCTTCTTAAAGACAGAAATTTAAAATCATTAAATGTCCCCAAATGCTCTAATATATTAGCTTTTATGTAATAAATGACAAATCAATGTTTGTTGTTGATAATGATGATGAGGATGATAATAATAAAATAATCAAAGATGAAGAATGGGAACACAGGTGGCTAAAGGTTTTTTTTTTCCTGGCCATACGAATGTTTACATTGTCCATGAGCACAAAGGAAATCTACTGGCTGTCAAGTCCCATTTAAATTAATCTGGCAGTCCAAATAAAAATGCAGGAAAGATCACATGCATCACACTAGATGTTTTAGGAAATTAAAATTAAGAATACACTCATTTCACTGAGGGGGAAAATGAAGTAGCTTATGGTTAAAATGACCTACCAACTAAGGCATATGAATATATATATATATGTATATATATATATATATCTTCTATGGAAATATATCTTAAGGATATGTAGTTCACTGTTTTATATAGAAAGAAAATATTTCATCTTCCCGTTCACTTACAAGAGTTAACATTTATTAAACACCTCCTATGTGCCAGGCTCTGTGCTATCAAATCTCTGTATTTGTCTCATTTACTGCTGAAAACAACTTCATAAATAAAATGTCATCCAATTCAGATGATGAAGTTCTGGCACAGAGAATTACATAATTGCCCAGGTTCACTCAGCTGGATTAGGAGGCAGGATTCATCGACGTGTCTGGGACCAAACCACATTCTTCTCACTTCCAGAGGAATGGTGAAGTGTGATTTTTTTATCTCATCACATTTTTGGAGGATATCTCTTACTACCTCTGTGGCAGTAAGCAAGTTCTTTAATCTCTCTGAACCTCAGTTTCCTAACATATAACATGAGAGATAGTGATATGTAAGCTTTGTTATAGTTATTCAAACAACCTGAATGCATCAGTTTCTATTCTCTTGCTACAATAGATCTGAAATCAATTATCATAGATCGGAGTGTTTATTATGTCATTGTTTTTCACAAAATCTCTCCATTCCCCCTTGTTTTGTTGATGTTTAAGCTGGCAGGATAATTTCAGGAACTTCTGCAAGTATAAATTTTAGTCAGATTAGTCTGCATGGTGATATAATCAGGAGAAGCAAAAGCATGTTAACTAAGAAAACACCCAAGCAAAGAAATATGAAGACAGACTGATTAGACTCAATGTTGCATTTAGAATTACTCTATGAAGCGTTCTCAGCACAAGCATAGACAAGTTTCTCCTTTATGTATTTTCAATCTTATGCAAGTATGAATATACACATGGAAATTTATTACTTGTTTCTGTCACCACTCGTTCCACAGAGAATTTAAGGAAAATTACAACAAAACCATCTATAATAAAATTATGATAAAAGTGGAAATATCAAAGAAGTATTAAAGCTTATGTAAGCTTAGGCAAAAATTCAAAGACCATGTAAAATGAGAAGGCAAGAAATTAGAGTATAAGAACTAATGTAAACACAATAATAAAATTGCAAGTTTGGCCCTGTTCATTGTAGCTACTAAAGAGAGGTCAAGTATATAATGCACATTGTTTGTTAAAAAGAGGAAGGGCATCGCTTCTTGGTCTTTTGGTTAAGATCAAGTGAAGAGGAAGGAGAGGGGAGGGTGGGAATATTCCCAATTTGTTAGAAAAATAGAAATATGTCCTGGCACTAAATCTTATAAAAAATTTACATGAAAGTTTATAAAAGCAGTATTGACTGACATATTGGACAACGTCTTTGATAAGACTTCTACAGCTGCTTGGGTGAATGGCTGAACTTGTGTGGGTTTTGGACTTGAGCACATTAGTATCTTTATTTATATGTGAACACATGTTCATGAACTTATGACTGTCATGCATGAGTTTATATATACTATAAAAACTATAGGGAAGTTCAATATCATAGTCTTTATACAGTGAACCAAAGCTCTGTGTTTGATTCATATTTTGCCACTATTAACAGTTGAAACCATTTAACTGCATTGAAAAGGATCATTATTTGACAATCTAAACTAAAATTAAAGTATCTCCAAACTTATATAGTCATGAAGATTGGTTGAATGATTTTGCACAGAAAGATATCAGAATTATAAAAGCCCTGCTAAACAAAAATGAAAGTCAAAGGACTATTAAAACTGGCAACACTTCAAACCAGAACCAAAATTACTTACTGGTGGTCCTCTTTCTCCAGACAGGTTCCAGATAGTTATCCCTGGTCTTCCCCAGCAGTAACACAAAAGTCAAATGCATATTCTAGTTAGTTTAAGTGCAAATAGACCTCATTATATATTTGAATTAATTGTTTATAGTAGACTGACTCAAACCTGAACTTTGATTCTACTTTATTTGTTCAAACAACAAATATGTATTGAGTATGTACTGTGTTCCAGGATGCATGTATAATAATAAATGAGATATAATACTTTCTATCAAGTCATATGAGAGAAGACAGACAAGTAAACAGAAGATTACAATAGAGTGTAACTGTGCTTGGTATGAATAAGAGAGAATATAGGAGGACTCCTGACCCAGCCTCAGATGACACAGGAGGTTTCTGACCACTTCATTGGAATCCCTATGAATAAACATGAGTTATCCAGATGAAAATGCAGAAAAAATTGTTCAAGACAGATAAAACAATATAGGCAAAGATACAAATAGCACTTTGAGCACTTCAAATGGATTAAAACAGCAAATGATGGAAGGAGAGTATTAAGAGACAAGAAAGTTTAGCTGGGCGTGATGGTGCACAACTATAGTTCTAGCTAACTGGGAGTCTGAGGCAGGAGTATTGCTTGAGCCCAGGAGTTAGAGGCTGAAATGAGCTATGATTATGCTGCTGCACTCCAGCCTGGGTGACAGAGTGAGACCCTGTCTCTAAAAAATGAAATAAAATACATGAAATTTAAAAAGAAACAAGAAAGAAGAGGCCAGATCATGAAAGAATTCACATGTTATGTCAAGAAACTTGGATTTTTATCCTGGGTTGTGTTGTTAAAGCTAATGAAAGATTTTTTTTAGAGAGAGAATTAAAAAAAAATTCTCATTTTAAGTCAAATCACCATGGTTTCTTAATGAAGAACTGATTATAATGAATTGAGACAGACACTAACAGTTTCTTACCTAAAATCTTTTCTCCCTCTGCTCCACTTTTTTCTGTTAACTTAAATAAACCAAGCTGTAATACTTACCTTCCAAAACTCTTGCAGCTAGAAATGCCCATGTGACACAATTTTAACTGTTCAGATACAGACAGGAATTCCTTGGAAAGCGCTTACCTTTCTAAATAAAAAAGCAAGGCTTCACAGGTAGAGTTATTTTGCCTTTCCTCTTTATTCTTTCCTCTTTTCTTCCTTTTTCCTGAACTGAAGACTGGATTCTGAGGACACCAGAGTCATTTTGTGTTTATAAGAATAAGAACACAAAGATTGCGAGGCATAAAGAGAAAAGGTGGGGACATAACTTTTTGTATAATATCAATATTTTAGGAATTAATGGAGGAAGACCAATCTATTATGCAAATGGAGAAGAAGTTATCCTAGAGGTAGGAGAAGGCAGTGAAAGTCTGGTGCTACTGAGGCCAAGGGGAGAAAGCATTCAAGGGAGGAGTGGCAAACAGCGTGCAAAGCAGCAGACACCAAGAAAGGTGATGTTCCGGCATCCTCAGGATACAAAGAAAAAGTGGCTTCTTTATTTTTTTCATCAGTTATCCAAACATCTCCACAAGTTCTCACCCTACTGAGAAATGGAGAAACCTAGGCTTTCCAATTAATGACAACACAAGCTCTTCTAGTTTACAGTTTCTTAATACATTTGACAAAAGTCCCTTTCAAATAAAGTCTTTAGTCTTTCAAATTAGTTTCCTCCCCAACTTTATCCTTCCCTAGGATGTGGGAGTGTACACAAGCTTACTGAGTCCTCCTAGTGGAGGGGAAGAAATAACTTAGATCTTTACTCATATACTCTTGTCTCTGCAGTGGGGACCTACTTTATTCTGCACTAGCACTGTTCACTACCAAGCTATGTCTGCTTGCATATGGACCTTTGGCCAAATATAAACATTCACTACTGCTCAGAACCAGCCATGAAAACTGATTCTAGTCACCAAGGAATGTGCCCTCGGTTGCCTGTTCTTGTCCTTAGCGTTCACATGGTCTAGCATTCCAGCTGTACTTGCAGCTCACCAAGGTGGGTTTGGGATTTAGGCATTGGCTGCAATGCATTTGTGGCCACAGCCTCTTCAGAGCCACAGTTTGTCATGGTGCATGAATCTCCTCCAAGGGTTTTGCCTGGAGAAGCACCCAACTCATCTATTACCCTTCTTGTAACGTTCTAAGGATCTTTCATCACTCCTTGGTGGTTTCTGCTATACCCCTCAGCCCTTGATGCCCCTTGTCCCCACCCTTCAGCCCCAGATGTTCCCCATTCCCTCCATACCTAACAACCTTATTCTACCTCTACCTCTTGTCTTTGGTATTTTCCACTTTCTTTTCCTTCCTGAAAAGAGCTTTCCCTTCCTCAGTAGTTATCAAACTTTAGCATACATCGGATAACTGAATAAATTATTAAAGTCCAGATTGCTAGACTAGGGTACATTCTGAGTCTTTGTATTTCTAATAAGCTTCTAGGTGATGGTGTTGCAGGTCCCAAAGCCTCACTTAGTGAATTACTGTTCTGCAGCCTATTGGTGGTGAAAGTGGAAGGAGAAGGGGTTGAATTAAGCCTCAAGGCATCTGTCTAAAATTTGGAAGATTCTCTCTAAACAGTAACATATTATTCACTACAGTATTTTTCTGAGTCCTTCAATTCTGCTTCTTGATATGAAAGCTAAGCGATAACTAGAAATCAGAGATTTACATGTATATGTAAATGGATGCTGAAGATTCAGAATCCAGTGCAGTGAGCTGACTCCAGCGAGCTGAGAAGTGAATGGGAGGTCAGGATGAACAATGTTTGCAAAATCTTGACTGTGAGTGGGAGGATGGGGGAGTGGGCCTTTTCTTCTTCTTTTTCTTTTCTTTTTTTTTGGAGGGAGGGAGAAATAGAGGAGACTTGAGCATGTTAAAATGTCGATACCAATGACTAGTGGAAAAACTTAAGGACACAGAGGAGAGTTTAAAATGAATGATCTAAAGTTCCTAATGAAAGGAAAGGAAATGGAAACCAAATCACAGGAGGGTAACTGCACTGGGAGGAGAGAGACATCCACGGTGACAGAAAGGACAAGTGAGTTTGCATCGGGAGCAAAGAGTTAACAAGTTGAGTGTAGGAGGGGCACAGAGTGGAGTAGGGAGCTTTGACATCTGGACAATATTTGCAGTAGCCATTCTGAAGAATAAGAGTGAACAACTATGCAGGAAGCATGGTGCTGGCACCTGTTCCTGGTGAGGCCTTAGGAAACTTACAATCATGGTGGAAGGCAAATGGGAACTACCATGATATATGGTGAGAAGGAGCAAGAGAGAGCTGGGGAGAGGTGCCATACTCTTTTAGACAACCAGACCCCGCATGAACTCAAAGAAGGAACTCACTTATCACCAAGGGGATGTCACTAAGCGATTTATGTGGGATGTGCCCCCATGAACCAATACTTCCCATTAGGCCCCAGCTCCAACAATGGGGATCACATTCCAACATGAGATCTGCAGAGGACACACATCCAATCTATATCAACAGACTACAGAAGGACAGAAGTGTTGTTAAAGTTCCAGTTGCCATTACTTAATACTTTAATGCTTTTTGTGTCTATTCAAACTTTATTTAATGTCGTATCTATCCTAGACATTCCCTTTTTCTGATAATAGCCCTCCTACCTTTGTCCCTGCAGCCTAGTGCAACGTGATTTCCTGTTCTTGCTCATCTATGAGTTTATTTGCAACTTCAGGTGGGTTTTTCAGTTCTAGCTAACCAATTCTCACATGAAATTCCCTTGTTTTAAATACAGATATTGGTTTCTATTTTCTATCTGGACCCTGACTCACACAGCACCAAGCCCTTTGGTCATGAGATCCACCAGTGGAGGTGGAAAATTGAAATAGCCCCTAAGGTATTGCCATGAAGGAGTGATGGTGAGGCAAAGGGACAAGGGAAGTGATTAATGGCAAGACACTGATTACAGCAACATATCCTGCATTTTCGGTCTAATTCAGTAATACAATACTAACGCTGTGTAGAATAAGAATAGAGTCATTGGCACCAGGAAGCCACACAAAATAAATTCTACTTCATGTCTCAGTGATTTAAAACTCAGATATAAGTGATTTTTTAAACATGTGTAGAAGTGATAGTTGCTTCAGACAGTAGATACAGGGCTTATAGAATTATTTTTACATTGACCAGACTCTGAAACTTATGACACAAAAGGGTTTTCTCAGAACTGCACACACCAATATTCTTGGATTCATGAATGATAAGAAAAAAGCTCATTTTTTTCTCTTATACTTTTAGTAAAGCTGCAAGATTAGGTGACTTATTTTTATCCAACTTAACAACCCTAAAGCAGAAATTAGACATACTACTTTTGTTTTTATAAAGTATTAGGAATGTCTGGGACAATGACAACTCTAAACCTCATCACCATTTCTTTTGGCTTCTATTTTTTGTGTGATTCTGTTTGCGTGTGTGTGTGTGTGTGTGTGTGCATTTGTGTGTGATATTGCAGCTTTTTGGGCCAGTATGTTGAGTAATGAGTGAGGTAAGGTAGTATGTGTGAGATGATGAGACCAACATAATCTAGTTGGTTGTAAAATATGTAATCAGTTCAAACTGATAATATATACATATGAATGCATGCACATGAATTATCACATACATTTTGAGGGAGAAAGAAAAACTCAAAAGGAGCCAAGAAAAATTCTTCACAAGATTGTTTCCAAGAATAACAGTAGAAAAATAACAATGTCACTAGGTATTTAATATACAGCTTTTAAACGTGTAATCTAATGAACAAAAATAGAGGTGATTATTCTACTTTAGCTGTGCTAAAGAATAAGTATTTGCATCAATGTTTTCTGTATTTTTCAGAGAATAATGTAGTTTTAAGGTGCCAAAGCTAATCCTTTCACAAAACTATCTTCCAGGGAAAGGGTCAAACAATTAAATAGAGTCCTAAGTCTAACTCTGTTAGTTGCCTTTAAAGGTACCAGGTACTATTTTTTTTTTAAGTTCAATTGGCCAAAATAATGTATTTAATATAAAGTATATCTCAATAAAATGTATGTTTTTTAAAAAAGCTTTCAACACAAAGGATAAATGCTTGACATGATAGATACACCATTTATACTGATGTGATTATTATCATTGAGTGACTGCATCAAAATACCTCATGGAACCCATAAATATACACACCTACCATGTACTCAAAAAATTAAAAATTAAAAAAAATTAAAAAGCTTTCAAGACAATGAACACCTTAAACAGACTCTGTGCCTTTCAAGCCAGAGACATTTTGAGAGCTGAAGAGTCACTTGCATTTTGTTTTGTATTTATTTTCTACCATAATCCATTTCTGTCCCTTTATCCTATGATATTTATTTTTCCCACAAAAGCACATAGGGAAGTGCACAATGGTAAAATGGGTTCTTTTATTGTTTAATCTCTTTACTTCCTAACTCAACAGATAATTCATCTGTAGTAAAAGTTTACCCTGAGGTTTAAATCCATGGAAGTTACTTACATTTAGAGACACTGCAGGTGCACAACAAAGGCAACTATATCCACTCAGTGTAAACTTAATTCCTAAATGCCCTTTTCTCAGAAAGCAAAACAAAACAATGGTTCATTTCTGGTTAATTGTCGTGACAGAAATTTAACAAAGTGATGGTCTGTCCATGATTGATTATTTAGAATTCTAAATTTAGAAGCTAAGAACTGCAATCAAGTGGAAATCATTAGTAATTGCATGTATATTTGCAATTCATAAATATTTTTTAGTTTCTGAAGTCTTTCACATTGCACTGGGGAACCAGGTGTAGGCTATGTTTTTAGTTGCTTGTCTACAGATAAAGTTCAGAAATGCTATTTAAATAAGAGTTATGGTTGTTCTAGCTTGACTGCCCCTCAGATCCAGCCAGGCTAGCTGTAGGTAGAGTTAGGCAACCCCAGCCCTCACACTGCTCCCCCATCTCCCTTTTTTATGTTTTTAGTGAACAAATTCCTATCATAAAGTATTTGGGACTCAAATAAATGTCCAATCACCTCCTTGGTTTGACTGAAGCCAGGAGTTCATGGGAAAGGACTAAGGTGTGTCTATCATTGAAATCTAGACCCACACAAACATGGCTGAATGGATTTCAGAGAGGAAAACTAAGCCTCTGAGGGGGAAACCCCTGTGAGTAGTGGCAGATGGGAGCTAGACTCAGCAGGTGGGCCTGGTTGCTTGTAGAAAGGCTTTCAGGCAGTCCCTGACCACCCCGGACCCCATCTTTTTGGAGAGCCTGACACTCTGAGGAAGTCAACGGCTATGCCAAAAAGAGCCAGAATTCATCCCTAGAGGTCAATGAAGCGCTACTCTTCATCACCCCCTTTCTCCTGCCTCTCCCATCCGAAACAGAAAAAGATTTGTGCTAGTGGCCAGAAACAGAAAGACAAGCTGCAGAGACCCAGCGGCACATTGTGAAAGCTGAAGGAAGGGAGAGAAAGTACAGAGGCCACGGCCTGAGATCACACCCTGCGTGTTCTGCGCACGATTCGGAGCAAGCAACAGACTGCACAGGGCCCCACAGGCAGTGGAAAAGGCAGGTGCCTGAAAGAAATTAACAATCGGTGCACATGGCCCAAGATCAGCAACACAAAGGTGGGCATGGAATAAAGGAATGTGGCATTTCAGAAAGGGGCCCTGACACTCTGAGAGGGAAAGCCACCGTGCTAATCACCCAACCACAGGATTACACATACGCAGCCCTCACAACTGAGGGCATCTCAGAAACATTTGGGGAGAGAACCGCCTAGAAGATGTTGGATTTTCTTCCACTGATTAGATAGCGTTTCTGAGCAGAGCGATCAGTGTATTACTGAAAATGCCATCTACATTGTTCCTGTTGGTTCCTGAAGCTTGAAGCATGACAAATATGTATCTAGATAAAAACGATTGCATGCTAGTGTATCAAACAAACGATCTCAAGAGTCAGTTCATTGTTCTTTCTTGCTGTGGCCATGAGCTAAAATTAAATACAAATGTGATACTAATTTTATCACGTATTAGTTTTCTGTTTCTGTGTAAGAAGATCCTACAAACTTAGCAGCTTACAGCAACATCCATTTATTAGCTCATAGTTTTGTAGGACAGAAGTGACTGAGTTCTCTGCTCAGGGTACTGCAAGGGCTGAAGATAAGGTCTTGGTCAGCCCGGCTGTTCTCATCTGATGGCTTCAGCAAAACGTACATATCCATGCTCATTTTTGTGGTTGACAGAATTAAGTTCGTTGCAATTGTAGGACTGAGATCCCTGTTTCTTTGATGGCTGCCAAGCAGGGGCTATTCTGGACACCTAGATGCAGTCCTTGCCATGTGGCCACCCCCATCGTCAAGCCAGAAATGCTTTGGTTTCATGCTTCAAATCTCTGACGTCTCTAATCTTTGAACTCTAAATCCAGATTTAAAGAGATCATGTGATTAGGTCAGGCCCACCTGGGTAATCCCCTTATCTTAAGGTAAACTTATTTGGGACCTAGATTATATCTGCAAATCCCCTCATAGTAGTACATAGATTGGTGTTGGAATAACTGAGAAAAGGTGTGTGTGTATGTGTATGCACCAGGGGCCAGGAATCTTGGGGACTGTAGTAGAGTTCTGCCTATGGCATATTGATTACCCTTTCACCTCATTTCACCACAAAATGCAACTCTTTTACCTAAAATCCCATATAATCAAGTTCATAACTAACTCATAGCTAGGACAGAAAAGTGGTCTTGAAAACTAAAATTAGACCAAAACTAATTTTTCCTATAGCTCACTCATTTACTTATTGAATTATATTTATATAAATCACATCTACTGTAATTATATCTAATGAGAAAAGAATACCGGTGTTATATGCCTCAAAATATCTTTTCCACATTTGTTTTGTCCTAGAATTGAAAGAAATATCAATGATTCAGATTTCTTCAAATGAACATAGTATCAGATTTTACTCTTAATTACATGGATTGCTAGGAAAGAAAAAATTTGGAACAGAAAAGGTACCTGAGAAATCTAGTTCTAACAGATAATCTTATAATTCTTGGCCTTATAGATGGCCTTAGAGCTGCCCATTTATCTGAAAATTTTTATAAACCAAAGACTAAAACATGAACTTGCACACCTCTTAAGAAGACTGGAATTTAGTGAACAGCCTAAAGTGAAACTGTCACTCCTCCTCAGAAAACAGCCACCAGCAAATTCCTCACAGAGAATCTTGGGAGCACACCCCTTCTCTTTGAACAGCAATATGATTTCTGCTCAAATAGGCACACAAATATTTTTGGTGTCCCCAGAATCTACTTGGATGAATAAGGTTTATTTTTTTTTGTTTTACATTCCCCCAAAGCCAAATGTGGCCACTGTTGTTCTTCCACTTATCAAATCTTTCATCAAATTTCCATTTCAGTAGTGGAAGAGCAGAAAGAAGAAAGTGTGTAAAATTGGACACATTTCTATGATCAGAATATAAAGAAAACTAAGCACTACAGGACTCTATTGTCCAAGCTGAAACTTACATGGCATCCAATTCCTTTGTGGGAGGCCCTGTTGGCTCAGAGATATTATTTCCTTCAGTGGTATTCTTATCAAGATACTTTGCATTTATGTGACACTTCTATTTTCAAAGGGACTTACAAAAATGTATTCGCATACTCTATAAAAATCTGAGCTATTATTATTTCACTATGTAGATGAGAAAAATTATCAAAAGTAAGAAATTCACCTCAGGCCATGAAATGAATAAAATATGACTGCTCATACTTCCAACTTTCTGCCCATGCTTAAACTTTTCTACCAAGCTTTTTTTACTTTATCTTGCAATGTGTCATCCAAAATCCTTCAGAAAATGCTTGCTCTAATGACCTAAAAGAGAAAAAGAAAAGAGGAAGGAAGGGAGTGAGGAAGAAAAGGAAAGAGGGAGAGGTAAAGAAAGAAGGACTACTAAGCCTTATTAGAATTCCATTTTTCCCTTCAACACTTCTCTTGTACTTATTTAGATACACCATTTAAATAATTGCCATTCATAAAATTCCGGGTCTCACTTCCTGAAAGGGTATGCCTGTCATCAGCTAGCAAGAGAAAAGAGTAAATAGTCTCAATTTGTATGAAGAATATGTAATTCCTTTTTTGTTCCAGGGGCATCCACAAGTAGAAATATAGATAAATATAGAATTTATTCTATACAGACACACTAAATTCAGAGGCACTCAGGACCTTTGCAGGCCCCAAGAACTCTTACTTTGCAGACACATCCTACATTAAGTATAATTTTTATATAATCAGAAGAGCTTATTTAAGCCGAAGTTAGTTAGTGATATTCTGTAAACTTATATTAACTACTAATGTCTATTTTGTAATTTCTTTTTATTTGTTCAAGTTTAGCATGATGTAAAATTTTTATTTTCTAACTGCATTTCATTTGTTCATAATTTTTGGAATCTTTGTTTGTTTTAAATGTTTAAGTATTTTTGTAGGCTTTTGAAAAGTATATAGGCCCTGACTGATAGCAGTCTCATTACTAGAAGCATGACAACAATGCACAAAGCAGAAAAACCAAGTTATACACTATGAATTTGGCAGCAGTTTACCTATTATAATTTTTGTTTGTTTGTTTGTGTTTTTGTTTTTTGAGACAGAGTCTGGATCTGTCACCCAGACTGGAGTGCAGTGGGGGATCTCAGCTCACTGCAACCTCCGCCTCCCAGGTGCAAGGGATTCTCCTGCCTCAGCCTCCCAAGTAGCTTGGTCCACAGGCATGCACGACCACACCGGGCTAATTTTTGTATTTTTACTAGAGACGGGATTTTACCATGTTGGCCAGGCTGGTCTCAGACTCCTGACTTCAGCTGATCTGCCCGCCTCAGCCTCCCAAAGTGCTGACGTTACAGGTGTGAGACATTATGCCCAGCCTGCCTATTACAATTTAAAGACCCTTCTTTTCCTAAAATATGTTTTCTGCTCATCTGCCACCAATAGAGTTATTCTCTACAGTTATTAATGCCCACAGGCTACTGTTGGTAAAGGTGAAAAATGTCCTCCACTTCACCAGCCTTGCATGGGCACAGATAAATAAATAAATGAGTTTTTATTTTTTAGTTATCTATTGCTGCATTCACAAATTCCTCCAAAACTTGGAAATTTCAAACCATAGTAAACACTTCTTACCCAGTTTCTGTGGGTCAGGAATTCAGGAGCAGCTTAACTAGCTCTTTCATGAGGTTACAATTAACACATCCCCCAAGGCTACAGTCTCATCCAAAGGTTGACTGGGGCTGAAGGACACACTGACCTACATGTCTGGTGAGTTGTACTATTTGTCAAGGAGACCTTAGTTTCCCTCAGTGTTGACCTCTTCACAGAATGCTTGAGTGTCCTCACAACATGGCAGCTGGGGTTCCCTCAGATCAAATAGTCCAAGAGAGAGCAAGGCAGAAGTGACGATATCTTTCAGGACTAGCCCTGGAAGTCACACACAATCACGTCCCCCATATTCAATTCATTAAAAGCTGAGTGACTGAATGTAATAAATAGCCCACATTCAAGGAGAGGGAAATCATTCTATACCTTTAAAGGAAAGAGCAACAAAGGATTTGCAGATGTGGACATATTTTAATTACCACAGAAAATTATGTAAGAATTCTAAAAGAATTGTCCCTAATGAAGGTGCTGAAAGAGACTCTGAGAATTATCATTTATTCTTATGAGCAAACACAAATCTGTCTTTGAAGCCTAGAAATTCTGTTTAGAATAGAACCACTCATTCTTAAGTATGCCCATATATTTTTAAGAATGGAAAGTCTTCCTTTTAAATAACACTAAGTTCAATTCCTTGGTGACCTTAGAGTTACACTATTTTTTAATAATTTATATTCATTGATCAGCCTAACATTCTGACACCGTATTTATGGACTACCGTGATGGATCACATCTGTTCTCAAAGTAAAGTAAATAAATTCTCAGTTTAGATAATTAGTGTGAAAGCCCAGGTTTGATTATATTTTCTTTTATACTGCTGGAATATTTCAATTTTGGAAAGTATATTTGTTATCTTTTGTTATTGAAAAATTAAAAATCTTTGAGTAGATTATGATACATATCTTAAAAATCTAAAAGTCAATAATATTAGTAGATCCTTAAATACGTAGGTCCAAAAATATACGAATTGTTATTTGTATATATGTGTTCGAATGTTTTTGAATTTTTCCTAAAAGGTAGCAAAGATTTTTTCTTAACCTATGATTGTGACAATATCAAATATATAATGTTTGTATAAGAGAGAAGATAGTGGGTGTGTATGTGGAAAGAGGTTGTTGGGGGGGAGTTCTAACTAACCATGCTTTGGATGTTACCTGAAATTTATTTAACCCCACCAACCTCTTGTAGTTGAACTTCTACCAAAGCTCATATATCAGCAAAGCATGCACAGATGGAAGTAAAATTCTTACTGTCCACGCAATTATTTCATACATGCAAAATGTAACCTTTTGCAAACATACTATTGAGTCTGATCTAGGTTGTATAAGAATCATAAATTACTAGCCTTTTGCTTATAAAGGAATGAATTCACCTTCATATATTCTTTGGTCAGTAAGCATTGCCACTTCAGTTTCATAGTATTGTAGACCATGCCTGCCTATAAAAGCTCTCTAGCCCCTATGATGTTATTTATGTATACATAATTTAAAGTCAGTTATTTCCCTACCAATCTTAACATTGAAGCCTTTTAATCTTTGGGATTGAAAATTAGAATGGTAGATACAGAAGATTTCTATCTTTCTTTTTTTCCCCATTTTTCTTCATCTTACAATCTATAGCTAGTAAAGGAGTAAGAGGACACATGATTGAGGTTTATATGCATGAACTGCACATATTTTTTTCCTCAAAAATTCTTTGTCAATCACCTGTTATCTCTATATACATTGTTGTGCCAGGTTCCTGCAAGGACTCATTGAGAGCAAGTGCCAAATAATCTTTTGAAATGTTAATAATTAAGAGATTATATATTTATACACATATACATGATTACATATATTATATACAAGGAGATAAGGCAGGAAAGATCCCATAGACTCTTTAATATTATTTTTCATTCAAATCTGTCATTACCTGCTTCTTTACTGATGCGACACATTAAACTAATTTTATTCTGACTCAAGTAATTTAAATCAATGAACACTACCTCATGAAGTGCTGGGAAAGAAAGAGATAATAAAATGTGATTATTAAGCCAGTGGATCCTGCCACTATCTTTGACAGCAATAATTAACCCTTATCTTATATGAGCAGGCGCTCATCTGAACTCCATACATAAGCAAAGCTATGAATAGTACTGTTTAATACACATGAAAACTGAGGTACAAAGGTCAGTGAGGTGATTAGGGAAGTTAAAAATAGGGCCTTTTTTTTCTGACACTTGCTTTTGAAGCTAGGGATCTAGATTTAGACTTCTTCTTAGAACCACAAATCACATGTCGTAAATAACTTAGGACACCAAATACCAAATTTCCACCAACAAAACATAAGGAGGAACTGATTCAGAGAATTAAGCCATATGACTGCATATCGAGCCACATCCAATGCCAAGATTTTAAGTGAAAATTGATGAGACACATAATAGATCTGCATGAACCCGTAATACATATTTGGGGTAACAAAGAGTGGTACACTTGCCATAAGAGAGACACTCACCTTTTTCTCATTCAAGAGAACACCTTTCCGCAGTATGCAGTCATGTCTGCTGAGGGAGATTAGGTCACTGGCAATGGTTTGGGCAATCTGTCACCAATAAAAAATACTGTGCTCTGGAATAGTTTAAGAGTAATAAACAGGATTAAAGTTAAAGTCTCAAAAGAAGGTAACTAAATACTTTTGAGCTTTTAATTGGGATTTTTTTTCTTTTTTCTTTCTTTTGCATCTACAGAGATTGAAATATTTACAGACTGGGCCAAGTCCACCACTTGGTTTAAATTCTATTGGCGATCAGGGTAGAGGTTATATCAAGCCAAGTGCTTGCTGACTTCAAGTAAACAAAAACAACCAGAAAACTTCCATTTCCAACCATTGTTGCCTTTGTGGTGGAATAACCTTAAACCATCTCATAGCTGTGGTTATATCTCCTCTAGCAAATTTTGGGCACAATTCAAATGAGGATGCAAGTAATTCTCTGAGAAAGACAATTCTTTCTTTTCCTAGGACAGCAAGCTGCTGAGAGGGCAGGGAACTTCTCTGTCTTGTTGATTGATGTCTTTCCATAGACTAAATTCAGCATAGAGTGATACTTTATAAGGGTTTGCTAAGGTTCCACCAAAATGACTTCTCACCAAATTCAAAGAAGGAAATAATGGGTTTCAGACTAAAGATTGACTACACAAAAAGCAAAGTCAGTGGTTACTGATTTCAAGCTATTTAAGAAAACTTAAAAAAGATCCATTTCTTTAAAAATTTCATCTTCTATGACCAGCTATAAGGACTAAAATTTTATCATTATGAGCTCATAGTTACGGAAATTATAGTATATTTGGAAGAAATAAGACAGTGTGCTTAATAACCATTTGTATTTCCTTCTAAGTTGTCTTTCACATGCTTTTCTATCTCAATTCGAGAGAGAAATGGACAAAAAGGGCTCACTTCTATTTAAAACCCAGCTCCTCCAAGAGGAAAGTTTCTCCTACCACTATTCTCTTCCATTCGAACACTATTCCACTGAATTATAATTGCCTTTTTATGTGTCAGTCTGCCTTACCAGGCAGTAGTGCCTTAAGAGCAGAGGCCATCTTGTTCATTGCAGTATTGCTAAGATTAAAAATTATGCCTGGCATATTTTTATGATAATTAACTACTTAATAAATAAATATTGAATACCTATTCTGGACAAAAAAGTGATACCTATGGCAAGTGAAGGGAGAAGGAAAGAAGAAGAGCGAAAATATTACAAACCTTACAGCAACATGTTGGCCCACCTGGAAAAGGTGAAACTGCAGCGAGAGCTCCTAGAATTCAGTAGCATAGTATCTGATGGTCAAACCTTGGACAGTACTTAGGCTGATTTTTAAAGAAACATCTGAATGAGCCTCTCTCCAAATGCAGATTAAGCTTTATCCAATGAGAAACACATGTCAGAGGCAACAGAAGCAGAGAGGAAGGGATTTTCGTGTGTAGATTTGGTCCCAGCCCTGGTCTGGTAGTATGCACTTTGTAGTATCAGTACAGAGATGAAAAAGACATTGTCACTGTCTCTGATTAATTTAGTAAACTGTGTCAGCATAATAGTGCACCTTTGAAGAACGCTTCTACACAAGGGGAGGGGAGGGGTAAAGTGAAGCTCACTAATTCTCTGCAAACTTCTATTTTTTGGTAAGACATGCCCTAGTTAGGATTGTGAGGCTGAAAATGCTTCGAGCTAGTGCCTCTTTAGTTCTCCCTTGAGGATTTACTCTTCTAAAACCTTTCCTACATTTTTAATTTGGGTTCTTCTAAGTGCCAGTGCTCTTCAGACTCATAGTTCAATTTGAGACATTTTAGCAATCCCAGGCAGTACCACTCAAATCTGCCTACTGTACTTGTTCCTTAGGTTTTTGTACTCTTCTGGTGGCAATGGATGCTAATTACTAGTTGTCTTAGTTTCTAGGGCTGCCATAATGAAGTGTAGCAGATTGAATGGCCTAAGCAATATTAATGTATTCTCTCACATTTCCAGAGGCTAGAAGTCTAAAATCAAGATGTCCAATAGTTGCTGACAGTCTTGGTGTTTCTTGTCTTATAGTTGCATCACTCCAATCTCTGCCTTCTCTTTACATGGCCTTCTCCTCTGTGTGCAAGTGTCTTTGCGTCTAAATTTTCCTCTACTTATAAGGACACCAGTCACATTGGATTTAAGGCCCACCCTACTCCAGCATGACCTCATCTTAAAGTACGTCTGCAAAGACCCTATTTCCAAATAATTTACATTCACAGGTTCCAGGTGGGCTTGAATTTTGGGAGGGAAACCAAGTACTCTACACTAGCTAAACAAACACAGAAACTAATCTATGCTTGTTGCCATTCACAATTTACAGGATTTCCTGCTATATTCTACAGTCCTTTATCACCAAAGGAGGGGGAGATAATGTGCATATCAGGCAGTTGCCAACTTTAGAGCAGCAGTCCCCAGACTTTTTGATACCAGGGACTAGTTTCATGGAAGACTATTTTTCTACAGACCAGGGAGAGGGCATGGTTTGGGGATGACTCAGATGCATTACATTTATTGTGCACTTTATTTCTATTGTTATTGCATTGTAATATATAATGAAATAATTATACAACTCACCATAATGTAGAATCAGTGGGAGCCCTGAGCTTGTTTTCCTGCAACTATATTGTCCCAGATGGGGGTGATGGGAGATAGTGACAGATCATCAGGCATTAGATTTTCATAGGGAGTGTGCAACCTAGATCCCTCACATGTGCAGTTCACAATAGGGTTTGCGCTTCTGTGAGAATCTAATGTTTCCACTGATCTAACAGGTGGCGGAGTTCAGGCGGTAATGCTCGCTCACCCACTGCTCACCTCCTGCTGTGCAGCCCAGTTCCTAACAGGCCATAGCCAGGGGTTGGGGACCCCTGCTCAAATGCAGGTAAATGTTGGAGAATATACATTTTAATATCTGTTAAATTATGCCACCAGAGATTTATGGAGGATTAAAACTGAGTTAAGGTTTTATCATTCAAAATAATATTGTCTCCTTGTCCACAAAAAACCGACACAAATGTTCATGCAGGTTTGTGCCGTGGGGAAGCCCCGTGGTTTACATCGTGAATATGGCAGACCACAGAGCCCAGGCTTCACCAATTACATAGGGTCATTGACTCTCTGTGCTTCAGTTTCCTCATCTGTCAAATGGGGATAATAGAAAGAATCTCCTTTCATTGGTGTAGGACTGACTGAGCTGATATACATAAAATGCTTAGAAAAATGTCTGGTAAACAAGCAGTACTCTCTGAAAGTCAGCAAAGATTATCAGACAGTTTCAGAGGAAAAATTTATATTGAGATTACCACCACAACCATTAATACCTATGTGATTCTTCTAAGTTATTTTATATTGAACTTTTTTAAACAAAAGGTAATTTTGTTGCTAGTTTGAAGAAAGGAAGGATTTGCTCCTGTTATATTCAACTGCTGATTCCAGAAGTGCTATTTTAGATTGAGATGCTTAAACTTTTTTTGTTTCTATGGAGATTATCTACTGAATAGTTTACTTACTGCCCTGAGCTGTCGACGCATACTGTTTAATTTATAAAGCTGATCTAAACCTCTATGGGGGAAAAAGCCACCAATATTTCTCCTAACTTACTTGGATTTATTTTCAGTGTCAGACAAGACATAACATTTATTATGATTCACCTTAGCATGATGACATTTCATTTTTCTTGTTGAAGAAGATGTTCCAGAAAAAAGAAAAAAAAAGTTCAAAATCTCTTTAGTCTTCTGGATGTCTCATAATAAATGAGGGGTTCTGCTTTTCTTCAGTGCTTCAATAGCAAGAAGTGTTTATATTTCAGGCCAAGCCCCCACCGAATATTTACAAAATTTGTTGTGAGGTGTTGAAATATAAATCTAAAGTTTGAAACCTACATCAAATATAAGAGAAAAGTCCAATTTTCTTAAAATGTGAAACAAAAAGTCAGAAGTAAAAATGTAAATATTTTAAAGTCTTATTTAAATCCTTAAGTGTCTTCCTCATAAATAACACATAAAACTTGTTTTATCAAATGTTCTTTGGTTGTGTCATTCAGAATATAATACACTGAATTATCTTAGAGGAATAAAAGATACAGAGTTTAGTTTATTAAAACTTTAGAGATATTAGACATATATACATGAAATTAATCTGTATGAACAAAGTTTTACAGTTTTGAAAATGAATCAGATCTTATATTTTAGGCTTTTATAGATGCACTCATAACTGAAAAAGGCTTTTATGAAGAGCAGAGTGAAAAAGCTTATTCTTTACTCTAATACCTAAATGAAGACTGGAGCTTGACTTAGTAGAACTAGTCACTGGATATTTAAATACAATGATGTTGCATCAAAATGTCAATGTTAAATTTGTTCTATAATGATGGTATATTATATGCATCTCCTATGCTTCTGCCACCTTGAGATTGCATTTCTAAAAAACCATACCCTCCCACACACACACAGAAAAATGTAAATAACTTAGAATATTATTTACTAAGCATTTTGAGTTCTTAAATGTTATGGCTGCTGGGAATATGCCAGGATTTCCACTTCTTTTGAACCCAGGAAAATTAGTAGCTTTGTAGCAAATGCTTGTTGACAAAATAAACTGAATAGCAGTACAGATTCCCTTAATTGCCAAATAAATAATGAATGGGTAGGAATGAGTTGATATAAATGGAAACCTCATTAAAATTGTACATTCTACATCATGTTTTACATTTATTGAAAGGAAAAAGAGACAGAGAGGGAAAGGATTTGAAAAACACAACAAAACAACAACAAAAAAGGTGAACCAGTTCTGGAGAGACTATTTAAAGCACACTTGTACTGAGTCAATTAAGTGATGTTTTTTCCTTTCACTTTTGCTTGTTTCTGTAGAGCAAAACAACAGATTAAAAAAAAAAAGATAGTTTATTATACCACTGTCATTCCAAACTGGCCTGATAAGATGTCCTACCAAAAAACTACATTAAAATGATAAATTCTATGATTACATACAGACGTGGCCTTTGTATCTTAGAACACTCTCCTGGAAGTCACTGAAAGTATGTTAATAAATTGTCATGCTATTTTAGGAACAATTTATACACAATTCATTTCCCAAACAATAGAGCATGAGAAATTACACTTATGCTTTACCTTCCTTTGGAAGTAGTGAGGTTCCTATCATAGGGACTCATGCTTGTTTTCTAATTAAACATATTTATCTCTGAAATACATTTATCACTTTCTTTATGCTGTTTGTTTATGAATCAACCCAATCTAACTTGCCTTTTAAGGGTCAAATTATATCAAAACCTGAAACTGAAGCTTAAGCAATAGTTAGGTATTTTGAAATCACATCAGGAGGAACTCAGCTTTGAAGTCAGTAGAGAGAACTTGATTAGGAGCCAGAAGTGGGTTCTCATTCCTGCTGTGTTTCCAACCAACTAGGTGTGACCATGAATAATAGACTTTCCTACTTTGGTCTCAGTTTCCTCATCTCCAAAATAACATTTACCAATGGAACGTGCCATTGTACGTTGGCCAAATAAGAATATCACTGGTAGTGAGAAAGAATTGTCACTTGGGGAGACTAAGAAGGTATGCATGTGACAAAGAAAACAGATGTGCAACAGAATGAAGAGAAAGATGAACCAAAATGTGTCTGTTTTGTAAAACGAGAGTAGTACTTCAATCATCTTTCATTTGCAACTGACTCACTTACTTTTCTTATTCAGATCCATATTTCTAGAAACGAAAATTACCTCAGAATAAGAAAACCAGGACTTTTCTTCCCTGTTCTCAGCAGTTATTTTTCTGCAATGCTGCAATGATAGGGACATGATTCTATTTGCTAAATAGTGAATCACAAGCTCAAACACAGCAAGGACCTCACCCCAGCATACTTCAACCTGCTGACAGCTATGAAGCATAGCAACAATGGGATTTCTTTACAAAGTAGTCTGTCATTTGTCTAATAACTACATTTTAAGTGAGAGATTTCTCATCCCCAAGTTCTAAGAAATCAAATATTTAAAAAAGAAATGGAACATATGGAACTGAGCTTGCCAAACTGGGCTTATCATCAAGATTACTATCTCAGTTTGGGAACACTTCAGCTAGCATGACCTGGAAAATTTTGAACTTATTCACTGATTTATATTTTTAGTTCGAAAGTGCATGACCAATCATATAAGCCAAACTAGGAAACTTACGTGTAAGTGTCCCTTATGTAAATATATTCAAGTTTTCCATCTCTAAAGTACTTGTGGACCAAACTATGCTAACAAATTGAGAATTTTTCTTATCAATCAAGATCCCCCACTAGTTTCAGAGCAATAGGGCAACAATCTGCCTTCCAAGAAGGAGCGGAAATAGTGGAAATTGTAATCACATTATACATTTTTTTAAATTATTGTTTGACTTAGCATACAAACTTTGATTAGATCAACAAAATGCAGACTGAAGAAGAACTCCAGGATATTCTCAAGCATTTTGTTTTTTTAAGTTTTCCACATTTCTTCTCACTGAAACTATGTAGACTATTACTCTAACTTGTATTGTTTGCTAATAATGGGTCAACTCAGAGAGGATCCCGTTTGAATTAATGCAAATTCCAACTTAGAGATGCCAATTTCTGTAATGGGGTTTTACTCTTCTCTTCTTTGCAAAATTTCTGGAACTTGATTTGGATTGTCAATATAAAAGGTTTGGAGTAATTCTATTGAGAGTTCTGAAGGTACTAGAGAGGGCTTTCATCTCATGGCCCTTTGGGATGTAGGGTTCTTATGAAGGATCAGATTCTACTTGCCTAGTTAGTTGGATGGTTAGGAATGTAGGAGTTGAAGGATAAACCCAAAGAGACACAGAATTCACACCAGGCCAGCTCTTGACGTAGCTAAGGTTTACGCATCACTTCTATTTTTCATAAATCTACTTTTAGGATGCCTGGGTGCTACTCTTGTACTTGGGAGGTACAGGCTTCACAGATCATGGCTCTTTCATTAATCTCCTCACGTGAAAATAATCACAAAACTTTTCTGTCATCCTGCTCACCCCTTAAAATTTACCTATTCCATTGCCTCTGTGCTCAGGGTTCTCTCTGTTAAAATTCATCTGGTAAACTAAACTAATAGGTTCCTATAAAACAATGCATCATTAGTACCACTGGACAATTCACTGAGAAAAAATGGAGCTGATTTCAGGCATTTCAGCAGCCTAAAGAGAAATGGGGCTATAGCCAAGGGCAGGGACCAAGATATGTCCCAAGTTTTATCTTATCCACTGACATAAAACCAGAAAACTTCCAAATGGTATAGGTGATGGCAACTCTGCCCCATGGCACTTGGGTCTTCTTGTACCTGTGGGTGGGTCAGGCTGTGTTTATGTGTGCAGACATGCCGGACAATGCTGTGTGTGCTTGTGTGTGTGTGTGTGTGTGTGTGTGTGTGTGTGTGTACATACCCGTGTGCGGGTATGTTGACCAATAACCAGTTTGATTTAGAATTTTTAATCAATTATTTTATGTTGTGTAAACATAATTTCATTTGACCTTCCCACAACTATCTAGTCTGCAGAAGCAGAAATATAAGGTTGAAAAATTCCCGTGCTTTTTTTAGGCATAGTGCTAGCCAAATTGAGGGAATCCAGAATGAAAAGTGATGGAGAGGTTATTTTTTCTCCCATTTATTGCCCAAAAGAAACCTTCAGTGTTGCCCCAAGTCTAAAGGGGAGAACTGTTTTATTAAAAATCTCAATGCAGAAAAAGAGAGATGATTTCATAAAAGTTCTAAATTTTCAAATCAGATCATGAATCATGTTTCAACATTTATGAATACAAATATCTATCGGGCATATACCAGAGCACTTGGTTGGGAAACCTCAGTGAAAAAGGTTAAAGCCAGAGGTTCCCAAACCCTGTTTGTTTATACCACCCTTAGTGTCTTAGTAATTTTTTAAATCATGCCTTGGGGCTAAAAGAAATACCTAACAGTTCCATTTATTAAGTAATTAGATACAAACAACTTAATAAGTATTTGTGTCTTAAAAGCTTCGTAGCCACTTAAAAAGGTAATACATATGATTGAAAGAAAAATATTCATTCTTAAATAACCACAAATATTTACTAGTAGGATGTGTACACATCTTTTCGAATCTTGGAAGTTGACATTGTCATCCTTATTTCTTGTTTCAAATTGACTTTCACATGATACTTTTTTTAATCACAGCAACCTCTAAAATATCAGCTTCACAAAAATATGGTATCATCCAAAGGAATGTAGCATGATCTAATGTTGAAACTGTGAGTTGATTGTTTCACTGGTAGTTCCTGCAGTGTCTGACAGATGGTGAATACCACTGTTTCTCTTGTATTGCTTAAATATCCCATGGTACCGTGTGAATTTGCTGTGGCACCTGGGGCATTTGAGAACCAAGTGGGTAAGCAGTCCAGAGAAGCACAGCTTAAAACTGTTGCAAATATTGAAAGCAGTTTCAGGTCTGCTCCAGTTTCAGAAACAAGAGAAGCAAGATTCAGGCAAACGATTTGGGGAAAGGAGTCTTCCTATTGTCTTTGTGGCAAGACAGGACAGCAGAAATATTTGTCACCAGTGCCTGTTGATGCTTGGGTTGGAAACACGACGTTGCATCCTATTGACAGGTGATACCCAGACAAAACCAGAATATTGTGAGCTCAGAAAATGAGCTACTTACACAGTCTACCCTCCCACAAATCCTTAACCTTCCTTACAGCCAGTAAAGACAAGATATGTCCATACAGAAATAGAAACACTCAAGAACAAAGGCAAGAACATAGCCAAAAAATAACAAACATTTTAGCAAAGCCAAAACCTTAAAGGCAAGGTTCCCAATTCTAAAGTCAGGAGTATTATCATCTGTAGAAACAAAGTCTCTAGAGCAGATGGGGACTTCAAAATCTATATGTAATTGACATCCTACAAGAGATCAGAGAGGCTATCACATCCCTAAACCAAGAACAGGCTATTATGGAAAAGAACAGAATCAAGATATTGGAATTTGATTGGCAAAACCTGATTGGCAAACATAGAATTAGATAGAGAAAAAAGTAGTGAACTACAAATTCGAATTGGATAGTTTTCCTAATAATATTCTTCATGAACGTGAGTGATGATACTATAAAATGGAATAATAGATGTAGCATGCCCCAAACAAGGCATGCCCAGGAAAGGCAGTTAAAATATTTTTCTTCTTTTCCCTTGGATGTATAAATTACAGGGTCTAACTTCAGCCTCTCACATGCACACGTGCACACACACACACACACACAGAGCCATGTGTGTGTCCCCCCAAAATTGTTATGTTAAAATTCTAACCTCTCATGTGATGGTATTAGGAGGCAGGGCCTTTAGGAGGTAATTAGGTCATGAGAATGGATCTCTCTGAATGAGATTACTGCCTTTATAGAAGCCCACAAGAAAGCTTGCTTTCTCTTGCTGCTCTTCATCCTGTGAGGATACAAGGAAAAGATGGCCCTCCGCAAATCAGAAAGTGGGCCTCACCAGAAACCAGATCTGCCCACACCTTTATTTTGGACTTCCCAGCACCCAGCATTGTAAGAAATAAATTTCTATGTTTAAGCCACCCGTCTATCATATTTTTGTTATAGCAGCCTGAACTGGCTAACACACCCACACACACATCACAAAACCTTTATAGTAAAAAGAAGTATTATCCTCGTTTAACAAATGAATAAATAAGGAGAAACAACTTGGGGGGTTTATTATAATCACACAGTAAATTATGATGATAGAGCCAGCCCAAATACTCAGATTTTTGATTTATGGCTCTTTTAAAATCATTTTACGTACATTGACTAATCTGTAAAAATTATACTCAAGGTGGAAAAATCAATAATGATAAAACTAAGAACTTCTTTGCTCTGAAATTCATTGAAGACATGGGAAGGGGTTAAAGTTATCACAGTTACAGCAGTGCAGGGTATTCAAGACTTATTTAACAGGTAGGTCATAAACAAATCATCTGGATAATTTGTCCAGATATAATTTGTCCAAATAATAGTCATTCAAATATTGTTTGTAACACTTAAATGCGAAATTGAGATATTTTAAATGATGATGTATAAGTTCTTATACAAATCCTCACTGGACTGTAGTTCTGATGGGTTGCAAAAACAAATCTATCTATAAACAATTATCTAGAGATAACTAGGATGTTTCACTTCAATTCATAGCAATTAGAGGAAATGTATTTAAATGCAAAGGATCTGTTTTTTTAAAGGAAGCATCAGATAATAGAGAAGAGCCAGTATGCAATATATAAGAAGAAATTATTACTTACTAACAGGAAAGCATTTTTAAGAGGACTGAAAAACCCTGTGAAGTAGAGGAAATTAGGAGATATAATTCAGGTATACTTTTAAAGGGACTTTTGTAAAAGTATTTAAAGAGAAAATAGCTTAGTTACCACAGATGAATAAAGAATTGGCTTAGGTTCTAGAAACCCACTATATCTAAATTCATTTATAGTTGAAAATTCAATGATCTACAATTCTTTGATCTTCAGGGCTGTTTTCTAACTCCAGGATTCAAAGAAATGGAAGGGGTTAGTAAAAATATCTGTGAGCAGAGACATGCAAAAAAATGAGGTCACCAAAAGATCAATGATGAATTATACCTTATTTTAACTTTGTTTAAAATAATTTGTAAAAAGAGTTACACAGCAAAAGCAACAATCTCTACATTTATGTTAAATCCCTGAACATAAACAACTTTAATGAAATGTTTTTAGGGAAAAATAATTCTAAATATGTGATTAAGAAGGAAGAATTCCAAGCAATTAGGCACAGGCAAAGGAAACAGGTGTCAATATAGTCCATCCCTTAAAACTTTCAGCCAGGGGACATCTCTGCTAAAACTTGCAACAATTAATACATTTTTACGTACTAAGTGCCAGTCATTGGCTAAATCCTTTACATGGGTTATCTAATTTAATCCTGCAACAATCCTAAAGGTAGGTATTAAATTTTTACAAAATTCAGGTACATTCATCTTTGAAGTAGGAGATGTAATGTGGTCTGCCACACAAGAAAAATACTAACATAAAAGTGATAAACAACTTTTATAATCAGGAGATGAAGAGTTTTCTGTGGGGACAGCAGATAAATAAATTTGGTAGTACTTTTTTCTGAGGAAAGAAAAGGGTTAACAGAATTACAAACAAAGATAATAAAATAATAAAACTTCTGTACTCACTAAAAGGCAGAATTCAGCACCTAGAGAACACCCGATTAAATTACATTAAATGTTAAAGAACCTGATATTTTACGGTGATAGGTATCAAACAATAAACCCAAGATTTGGTGAAGACCAAAGCTATAATTAATTTCAACAGTAGTTTAGATAAGTTAATTTTTGATAAAAGCTGGGGACGTTTGTGAGGTTTTGATTTGTTCGTTTAGAGAACAGCAGGGCACGATGGCTGACTCCTGTAATCCCAGCACTTTGGGAGGCCGAAGTGGGCGGATTGCCTGAGCTCAGAAATTCAAGAACAGCCTGGTCAACAAGGTGAAACCCTGTCACTAAATCAAACTAAACTAAACTAAACTAAAAATACAAAAATTAGCTGGGTGCGGTGGCGGGCGCCTGTAATCCCAGCTACTCAGGAGGGTGAGGCAGGAGAATCACTTGAAACCGGAAGGTGGAGTTTGCAGTGAGCCGAGATCCCACCACTGTGCTCCAGCCTGGGCAAAAGAGCTGAACTCTGTCTAAAAAATAATAATAATTCTCAAACACTTCTAAGTTTAAGGACTGAAAATACAGTGGCAAAGTTGCTGTCTGTTGAAGTATGGGCAGATGGCCAATAAGGTGGTATTTCTACTAGGAAGATGTAATTGGCCATTCCTGAAACGTTGGTTGGGTATCTTTCTGGGAAAGCTCCTCATAGTCTGCCATGCCTAATTCTAGATCTCACAGGCTTGGAAACCTGACTTTTATTTTATTTATTTATTTATTTATTTATTTATTTATTTATTTATTTATTTATTTTGAGATGGAGTTTCGCTCTTGTCACCCAGGCTGGAGTGCAATGGTGGGATCTCGGCTCAATGCAACCTCCGCCTCGCGGGTTCAAACGATTCTCCTGCCTCAGTCTCCCAAGTAGCTGGGATTACAGGCGCCTGCCACCACGCCTGGCTAACTTTTTGTATTTTTAGTAGAGATGGGGTTTCACCATGTTGGGCAGGCTGGTCTTGAACTCCTGACCTCAGGTGATCCACCAGCCTCAGTCTCCCAAAGTGTTGGGATTACAGGTGTGAGCCACCACACCTAGCCGGAAACCTGACTTCTTAGCAAACTGTCTCTCAGAGCAAAATCACTTTAACCACAGTGATTAAGACCAGAATCCATTGATTAAAACGTTTTGTGTGTTTACATGTATGTATATATGTGTGTGTGTGTGTGTGTGTATATATATATATATATATATATATATATATATATATACACAAAAAAGATCTCAGAGACCTAAATACATTCCCATTACTTAGCAGATATAAACAGCAATTTCAATTATAATCAGAAAGTTTCTTGGTGAACATGGAATCAGAATAAAGAAAGTTGAGGTGGAATTTCCTTGGTCCACATCTCTTCTGCCTAGCTGGTGGTTGAATGAAAATACACCATCAATTGTGTCTATTACTCTTTTTGCCAGTCCTTCAATCAGGTTATAATCTAACCCTCTATCAGCTCAGAAGACCAGGTACCTCTTTTTTCTTTCCTCAAATCCATTAGATATTGAATTATAGCTTAAGATTTGGAGGGCAAATATGTGTTGCTTATTTCAAATTCTATTTATTGACTCACTCTGCCCACATCCTAACAAAGACGATATAGAAGACCAACAGAGTTTCCTATTAATTGTCCTTTCATTCACAAGAAAGAGACATTGCTCTGACCAGCATGCTCTGACTGTCAGGGAACTTATTATCATCTTAAATAAGATCAAATTATGTTCAATAATGAAGACAAGAGTAGGAAGAAGCCACCTTGAATCCAGTGGAACTGCTGTGCTCTGAAGTAATGGTAAGGGCACAGGACTTGTCTGTTGTTTACCCATGAATGCTGTCCTTAGAATCTTAGACAGCAGCACCACCTCACCTTAATGTGTCCTTAGAGACAGCTGAAAGCTTGGTGTAACGACATACATCTAAGGATACCTTTATAAATGATAAGGCAAATTGGTCCAAACAAAAATTAAGCCTGACCTCAAAATATATCTTTTAACTAGTTATTTTTATAAAATTCAAATGCCATAGAATGTGCTGTCTGCTTACATAGACAAAGCTCTTGATGCATTTTGAGATGCCAGTTGTTTGATGGGTGAATTGTAATGAAGCTTCCTTTAAGATTATCTGCAGAAGCAGACAAGTGATCATTGAATTTAGTTTGCCATCCTATGGCCTAGGCTCCTGTTGTCATGAAAACCTGAAATTGATTGCCAAACACTTGCACAGTAATTTTGAGATTCTTATAATTTAAAGCTCAATCATTTCTTGACTGAAGGATACTTATTGAGGAAGCTTCCATCATCAACCTCCGTTTAAAAAATTTCTTACTGTGTGGATTTTAATCAGGGCAATAAAAGGATCATCCACAAGCTCCACATCACTCAGCCATATTAAATTATGATGTAATCTAGTAAAAAAATCAATAAGTGAGACCCAGTAAGGAACCTGAGACTGTTCAAGACTAGAATGCAGGTAGGCACCATATGGCCAGAAATGAAGTGACTACGTATTATCTTCAACCAGGGACATTGGATTTACTCAGTTTCTTTGGGCTGGGCAAAAATGACCTTGTAATGCATTGAGTTATAGGCTAGCAGACATTAGGCACCACACTATCCCTTCAAGGTACGGTCTTTTTAACAAGTCCTAGGAAGGGCTGTTTGAGTTAATTCAGAGCCCGCAGAAGGGCTCACAACAACCTCCTTGTTTTGTCCTAACGTGAGCTGATCCTTCTTGCATCAGGTGGCTCCTCTGACTGTCCTGCCCTTTGGGTACTGGGCAATTAATCCACAAACGCAAAATCCTGAACCCTGGGCTAAGAAAATACGAACTGATTTGGTAAACAAATGATATGTAAAATCTATACGCACAGAGTGGCAAGTGACAAAGGAAATTGCAAATGCCCCTAAATGCTCTTTCCCATCGATTGGCAGAGAGAATCTAACACATACACAGAGGAGATGGAGCATAAAATTGGGCGGACTGACTCAGAGGTTTGTTTTGATTTTTAAATCATTTGTTAAAACTAAAAATGAGTGTGCGTACGCGTGGAGAGGGGGAACAAGGCTTCTCTAATCAGCAAAGGGGCTGTCGGCAGGCGATGTACAAATGAAAGCGCGCTTTCTAAATTTCCAAAGCACTAAAGGGAGAGAAATGCGCAATTACTGTGGGATTCGCCCAGAGGAGCAGCCTCAGGAGTTGAAGGGGATCCTGTCCCTCCCAGAGGAAAGCTCACGATTGGATTGGAACTTCTAGCGACTGCCTGAGGTGAGCTTCAGGTGGGGACCGGCCCCGCCAAGTCCGAGGCAGTTATCCACAAGAAAACACGCGCGTGCCCCCGCTGCTCCTGCGTGGTGGTCGTCCGGAGACAGGCGCCCTGCAGGGCATCTAGAGGGCCCCAAATGGCTCAGCCGGGCCCGCGGCGCAACAGGCTGCACAATAAATTAAAACAATAGTGAGAATAAGCAAATGGTCTGGAGGGCGGGCGGAACCGAAGCTCGCTCTTCGGAGCTGGAGTGCCGCGGGGAGGGGGGTGTCAGCGTCCCAGGGATGAGACCTTCCCCTCCCCCTTCCGCTCCCCGGCACCCCCTCGACCAGACGTCTCTTCCGTAGGCGCGTCCTCCGGGTCATGGGGAAACAGAGGCAGAGACTTGGGAAGGAGAAATGGAGAAACCAGGGCAACGTGGTCAGTGCTGCAGCGCCATCCCTTTTTCACTAAGACCACCCTGGGCCCCTGGGCGGGAAGCCCTTCGCACACTCCAGCCGGGGAGAGTCCGGGCTGGGTTCCGCAGCGCCTGTGGCTGTGTGGCCGGGAGGCTCCTTGCTCTCGCCCGCGTGGTCCTGAGATCGGTCGCTCGTTCCCACAGGCCCCGGGATTGGCTGCACCACGCAGCTGTTGTCCAGTTCCGGAGCTGCCGCGTTCAATCCGAGTCCCTCCGATGCTTTCACTGATATTAAAATTTCACTTTTCGAACTGGCCTTTTATTTATTTTTTTTTACGCAGTCGTTTTTGGGAGGCAACAACTCGGACATCCTGTATCCGTAATCAGATAATCTCACTCCTGCTTTTGTATTCCTGCAGCTTTAAACTCTGCAAATATTTGTGTCCTTCACAAAAAAAGGCGTTCCTCAGTCTACCTCCAACCTCGCCGGGCAACTTATCTTTCCCAAGTTCACAGCCTGACTCCGGATCTCTTGGTCTCTTGTGATCTTGCAGCAATTCAGCAGAAAAGACTCGGTTTGGGTTTTGGTTTGTGATGGCTAATAATGGGGGTTTTACCCCCCTGATGTTTGGGGGATTTGTGCTTGTTTTATGATTACTATTTTTCTTGTTTCCTGCAGTCAAGGAAAACTGTCTGTGTTACAAGCAAACTTACTGTCCCCTGCCTCAGGGACGTGAGTTCCAGTCCTGGACACTTTACTTTCTCTCTCTCCGGTCTTCCCTGGCCCACGGTCAGTTTCTTAACTCTCCTTGTCCTTGATCTTTTCCCGAAATGCCTGGACCCTCGCCTTAGCCCCTCCTCCGATTTGCCCCTTTCTTTAATTTGTCTTGTGTGTTAGCGCTGGGTCAGCGCGCCCTTTGTGCTGAGGTCCTGGGCCGGTGTGTGTGTGTGCGTGCGTGCGTGTGTGTTGTAGTGTGTGTTTCTTTTGTTATTTTCTCCCCTAACACCGCAGAAATGAAACACACATGCAGCTCTGTCGCCTCATATTTTCAGATGTTTTTCACACTATTGTCTGCTCCAGCCCGTTGAAAGTGCAAAGTGAAAACAGATGCATCCAAAAAATTTTTTTTGAAAGGGACAATCCTAGGATGGAGACTAACCCCTCGAATACAGATAAGCAATAAATATTGTATCAGATTTATAACGTGCATCGAGCAGTCTTGATTAGCACCAAGGTGAGCTTTGGTGAGATTTTTATCATTTCCATGTGTCTGGACTACAAGAAGAAATCACTGGGGGAAGAGCTCTATAAATCAGCGTCCATGTCAAGACAAATCAAAATAATGCCTCTATTATTTCAATCAATAAACCATTTTTATTCCCAACATCTGATACACACAGTGTGTGTCCGTCTGTTTGTATTTGGAATTGGCAGCCTTGCCTTATACCAAAACAAACCTTTCAAGACGTGTCAATGAAATTAAAATTTTTAAAAGGAGAATTCAATGTGACCCTCCTTCCCTTTCGAGCTACTCCATTCTCCCCTTTTTAAGCCGCACACCCCAAGTCAGTAGGAGAGCTTTGCAACTCTGCAAAGGATGAAATTGCTTTGAGAATTTCAGAGAAAAGGGGTGGCGGGTGCTATTAGGGAAGAGAAACCGAAAGCGGCGACAGGCAACGACTGGGACTGAGGAAAGCCTCCCTGGCTCCTGGCTCCAAGATATTCCAGAGGACGGTCCTAGGGCGGTCTCAGGAGGGTGTGACAGGGTGCTCCCGCGCTCTGCTAAAAACCAAAACCACCACCTCCCACCACTGCCACCAAGATTTTTCCAGCAGGTGTAAGGCTGACTGGCTGTAGGGCGTTAATTGGGGCGAGGCTAGCTGGAGAAAGATGGGGGGCGGGGGCGGGAGACGAGGAAGAGTGGGGGAGAGGAGGGAAGAAAGGGAGAGAGAGAGAGCGACTGACTCTGGTTGACTGGCGGGTGGCTTTTGTTAGTTTCAGGCAGATTTCAAGACTTGTTTCTCAAAATGTCCTGCAATTTTGGCTTCCGCGGCAGTTTGTGAGATGGGGCCACAATTCTTGATTGATGATAGGAAAGTAGAGAAGGAGAGATGATTCGTCTATGAGTCAACATTGTCGATAGCTAGAGTCTTGGTATTCCCATAGCTTCCTTGGTTATTTTGTTTCCAAATTTGCACACCCAGGAACCAAATCTCAATGATCCTTTTGTTGCTGAAGGTTCATCCTCTCCTGTTCCATCTGTCCGCCATAAACACATAATTCTGACTGCCCCATTCCTAATCCATTTCTTTCCTTTGGAATGGGAAGAAGGAAATGAAAAGTACTCCCAGATGGAAACCGAAACGGCGTCAGATCCAGAATAGTCTTTGTTTGGATTCAACAGCTGTCTGCCCACCACGCCCTCAGTCCCCAAGTCCAAAGCGCATCCTCGGGGTTTCATTTGAGAAAGGGAGAAAAAAGAAACACTTCAAAATCTGTATTTTTACAAGCAGGATTTCACAATCCTTGGGAACTTTGAGACTTGAATGGTTAATCTCTCAGACGAAATTATCACCCCAACGACTGTTCACAGATTAGTCGATGCAAATGTTAAAAACGTGTTGGCAAGCTGGATGAGCAGGTTTGTATTTTACCCTGAAAAGCTTCATGATTTCTCTCCCTGACTCGCTCCGTTCCTTCCCTCTCAGCCTCAGTGCATTGTATGTTGAAGGGGCGGGGGAGGGAGAGATGGGGAAAGCTTAAGCGATGGGAACCTTGAGGCCCAGGGATTTCAAGGAAAGCGAAATGAACCAGGCAGGGAGGTGCATGTTCTCTGTTCATTTCTTTCTCTAATGCGTCTCTCCTCCGGGTCAGAGCGCTAATGACTACCTCGTTCCTACGATTTAGGACGCGGGTGCTTTCACACGAAAGACACGAGGTCCTCTAGTTTTTCCTTCTTCGCTCCTCTAGCTTCTTTTTTACCCTCTTCCTTTCCTTCCTCCCTGGCCCCGAGCCCCCACCCCCTACACACACACACACACACACACACACACACACACACACACCCGTCTCCGAGCTCTGCCTCTCCTTCCCCAGTTTCCACTCCCCTGTAGTTTCCCTCTCCTTCGCCTCCTACTTTCCAGGAGGGATTTCTAATCCCATTCTAGTGCTGCCTGAAGGCACGTTCCGCTTTCCAAAGGCCTTTTTCTGTTCCCTTTCAGGTCATGGATTCAGGAGCCCAGGAATAAACCTAAAGCTTTTTTTCCTAACCGTTCAGATCGAAGGACTTTCGAGGTCCTCCTCAGTTCCACTTTTGCACACCTTAAGCTGCCCCCGTCGACTTGGCAACGTGTCCCGCGGTATTGTTCCTTTCATATTTTCTGTTTCTTAACAGGCAAACGCACATAAGGGTCCCCAGATGCAGCGAATGAACAGGTTTTCCTCGTAAAAATGATGGAGGTGAAGGTGGGGATGGGGGTGCTCTCCTCACTCCGGAATCTGAAGCGGGAGAGAGCTGGATAAACCGCCGAGATGACCTAAGTGGTCTGAGGCGACCAGCAGCGCGTCCACAGTGGAGGACCCAGGCCTCGGCTCAGACATGGCCTGCTCCGCTCTTTCCCTAGGCTCCTCTGCAACATCAGGCAACCAAGGCCTGCGCTCTCCTTTTCCTGAGGAGACTCCCTGGAACCTTCAAGAACCCCCCGACAGCCACCAGGATACCCGGTCTGAATGGTTTCCTACCAAGAAAGACCCCGAAGACCTGCAGTTCTGTCCAGAAACGAGTTTTTAGGGTCACTTGAATTTGAGCTGCTGCGAGGGCGGTGCTTTAGGGAGCAGAGTTCAAAGAGGAATTCCTCAGGACCCTAGGCCAGGTCCGCGTTAAAGGGCGCCTTACAAACCTCCTCTCCCCACACTCCCCCGCAGCCCCTTCCCCAACGTTTAAGGCACCGGATCTTGAGAAGCAAATCTAGTGCCCAGCTTCAAATCCCCGCCTTGGAAAAGTACAAAGAGAAAACTGATTTTTCAAATCCCAAAGCCCTTTCCTTTTAAGCAACTTGGAAAAACTCAGCTATAAACGCTTTCTCCTCTTATGCTAAAATTGAAAACTTATAGATTTTAGATGGAATGAAGAGAAGATATATTCCTTTTCCCTTTAAATAGCCACATTTCAAATTGTGCCAGGCAGCAATTTCTGCGAAAAAGGAGTGGCGGTTGGGATTGTTTGGGAGATGGAGTTTTATTTGTTCCCATTTATTTTGTTTTATTTTTGTTTTATTTTTTTCTTTGAGTTTCTTTGTTATTTTGAGATTCATCTAAGAGACTCAGAATTCCACTCTGAATAAAGCACTTTTTGTTGTTTCAAAATTTCAAACTGACATAAGTGTTGGATCATCAGTTTTCCCTTTGTCTGCCCTAGTTGTAAATAATGGCTTTGAGATTAGCTAATTAAGGGGCATTAATCACTGATAGAAAGGGAATAAATCAAAGCCTTGTTCTAAATTTCAAACTTGCCTGTATAGATGTGCATAGCTACTCTATCTGGAGCAGATAGGTGCTGTTTGAATTACTGTTCTTCAGAGTAAACCAAATCCACTTCGCTTTTAAAAAATGAATATTGTATTTATACAGCCTGGTTGTGCTGTTAAATTAAGTCTCTCTCCATTCTTATTCCGTTTCATAAACAAAGTGTAGAGACGACAGCGATTACGGGTTAAAAGAGCCCAATCTTAGCTTTTGCCTGGCATTATGCTTACCTTTTTGAGGGTGGGGAAGTCAGAAAAGGGAGGAATAAACCCTAAGCGGATACACATGGAAGGGGGATAAACAGATATGTATTGAGGTTTGTTTTTAATCAGAATACACTTTCTGTAGAAAATTTTCAAATCTTGCAGTATTTCAGGTATAATTCGCTAGAATACATTCCCTTAGCCCCCTGTGTAAGACATGAAAAACATTAGGTTCTGGTTTGTGAAAAAGAAAAGCAAGCATTCAGGGCGTGAGTGCGTGCGTGTGCGTGTGCGTGTGTGTGTGTACTGGAAAGAATAAGGCTCCTCTCTTCACTGCCTTTTGCTGCTGCAGTGATGCTCATTGCAGTTCGGCTGGTTCCACGCTCATAGCCCGGCACAGGGTTTGGGAGCTTGGACCATTTCAACACCGACAAAAGAGGCTTTTAAATAAGTACATGCCATAAAACAACAAGCCGGTCCCTGGGAGCAAGTAAAAATTTATTCGTTTCACGTAAAGCCCTCCGAAACAGTAAACACAGAGCAGATAATCCAGAGCCAGGCGGGGGATCTGCATCCTCTCGGCTTCGCGTCGGTGCCCGCGCGTGTGCGCGGCTGTGCGCGCACCTCGGCCTCTGCGGGCACCTCTCCCTCAACCCCCTCCCCAACCTTTGCAAGTGAAGACTTGTGTGTTGGGGTTCCTCACACCCTCCTCCTCCTGTGGGGCCTTGTCTCGGCTTAGCAGAGACTGTCATCTGAGGGCTCGGTTCAAGACTCCTGACTGGGAAATGTGCGGGTCTGGAAGGCAGAGTGGAGTCCCTGGGGCGAACTGGGAGAACTGCCCCTTTCTGCCAGAAAAGCGCCCCAGCCACGGGTTTGCCCCCGCACCGCCCCCCCCCCCCCGCCCCCCCACAACCTCCCAAGAGCTGCTGGTTGGAGAAAACGCCACTTCCCAGTCCCTAAGTCTCCCCACGTGTTGGGTTCCGTCCTTAACTGGACAGTGCTGGCTGCCAAAGGCAGGTGCCAATTCCCCAGAAGCTAAATCCTTCTAATAGCCTCAGCTTGCACACGTCTCTCCCCTCCTTCGGTTGCCGCTGCTTCTCCTTTTTCATTTTTTATTTTTAAAGTCAAGAACCTTATCACTGGTTTTAAGGTACCGTGCCATTAAAAAGAGGCTCGCAGTCTGCGGCGCGAGATCGAGGGGCCCAGGGAGAAAGGGGCCCGGGCGGAGGAGGAGCGGAGGCCAGGGAAGCCACATTTGCATAAAGCTTTGTCTTTCCTGCTTCTTAGGCTGCCGAGGGTTATAACGCTAATTACACAAGATTAATGTGGAGATTGTTCTCTATGGCTCACCAAGATTTATTTGAACAGTGAACTGCTCAAGATCCAAAGCCATAAACCATCCCACCCAGCCGCCGGCCCCCCGACTTTCTCCTTGCGGGAAGTGAAGTTTTTCCAAGTCCAAAGGAGAAAACGGGGAGCTGCCACTGGGTAGGAAGCTCCGAAGAGCTCATCTTGAGGGATATTGTTGTTTACACGAATTATCCGTCGGCCCTCGGATATACAAAGGCAATTCCCTGCCTTTTCTCTTTCTGCCGGCTTCCAAACGAAAGCCTTTTCTGCGGTGTTGTCTCTAAATTTGGGGGATGAGAGGCGGCCAATGAGCAAATCCGGTGCAGGAGCGCCCCCTCGTGGCTTCAAGGGGAAGGGACGCGGTTCTCGGCGTGCCCTCTGAGTTTGAGCGGTCTGATGCTGTCCCTCAGCGGATTAGAGTGGGATAGGGTTGAGTGCTGAGACTGGGAAAGCGGTTCTCAACCGCGGTTCACACTAGTATTCTAACCGAAATAGTAAACACACACACACACACACACACACACACACACACACACACACACACACACGACCACCTTCAGGGATTCTGATATTCTTAGGCAATTTTTTCTTTTCCCAGATAATATAATATGCTATCACTGTAGAGAACCAATATTTGAGAATTTCCTGGTTAGAGTGCAAGTGAAAAAGTTAACTGGCTTAATATTTAACTTTTATATATCATTTGATATTTACTTATTTTACCTAGAAAACCACAGGCCCACCATTATTTCCTGGGCTACTTGGGAGATATTATTTGAAAGATATTTTTTTTCAGGTTATTGGAAAAGTGATTTGAGTTTCAGTATTTGAAATTTTAAGATTTTTAAGACTAGGTTCTTGTTTCCTTCCTTCTTTCCTTGGGGTAAAATATATGTAGTGTTATCAATAATGATAAAAATAGAATTAATATAAAATTATAATTGTGAGGAGGGCAAGTAATAGCAGTCCACCACTCTAAGGTGGACACCAGATTCTTATTGCAGTAAGTTGTTGGTTGACTCACTTTGGACAATTCTTTTAATCAAGCTGTGCCTCAATTTCCTCTTCCACAAATGAAGTGAACCCATTGGATAATTTTAAGTTACCTTCTAGATTTAGTGAATGTGTAAACCTAAAGCACTAGAGAAAACACATGTTACTAAAAAGTTTGCAGATATAGGCTTTATATGTTATATTCATCCTTTCAAAGAGGAATTATTATTATAAATCCAGATTTTTGAAATGTGGCCTTTTCTATAGTCAAGGCATATCCAGAATTTTTTGTCTGGTACCAAAAAAAATCATATAAACATTAGAGAAATATAGCACAAACTTACACTAAAATAAAATTAAGCAACCTATCATTACTGCTCCATTCATCCAACCAGTCCTGCAATTCAGGCATAGTATTTTTGATAGTTTTGCTACTGTCTCCGCAAATGAATTGATATTTAAAAGGGAAGAAAACGCTGAATTTTTCTTCCACTGCACTCCAGCCTGGGCAAAAGAGCTGAATTCCATCTCAAAAAAAAAAAAAAAAGGAATATGAAATTGGAATTCAAATAAAGGTAGGCCTTATTTGTGGTTAGAATGGAGAACTGTGCCCATCACCATCTTTACATCATCTGCTTTACCACTCCAGCTAAGTGGTGAGCAGATACTTGTGATTAACTGCCCTTTGAGGGGCTTCAGCATGAAATATTTGAGACCCTTTCTGGGTTTCAGTTCTCAAGAACCAGATGTGCATCACCGAGACACTTTAGCAGAGGAGGCTGTGATTATTGGTATCAGCAGAAAAATGTGTTTTGGGAAGGCACCAATTAAAGGTGAAGTATCTCAAAGGAAACAGAAAAAAATTGTAAACAGCAACAGAACATGATGTTTTCACTTTGTTAATTCTCATCAAGAATCACAACACAATATAGCACTTAGATGCTCGATGGTTACATCAACACTCATATTAATATCTTTTAGTAAAATAAAGTATCAATCATATGAAAAATACAGTTTTTAATCATAAGCGGTAATTATTTTTAAGGTTACAGAGAGAATGAACATTTCAAAGACACAAGCACTGAAGCTGTTCACATCCCATACCTCATTTATGACAGCAACTTCAGAACTGGCTTATCTGGGCTATGCGTCCCAGCCTTTTGCATTTTTTCCTAGTAAATAAGCACTAGTTTGATTAAGGGACTTGCTTTGAAGTCTTGCTGGTATTTGAGATTTTCACAGTATTCTTGGCAACTTGGTTCCAAAAATGTTGTTTTATGATTACTTAAAAAAAATGTATCTGTGATGTTTAAGCAAAACAATAAGAGTTCATAAATAATTTGCTTTCATTTTATGGTAGTTTACATGATAATGTGACATAAAGAAGAGAATGTGCTTGAGTGTGTACAGGCATGTGTACAGCAATAGTAGTGGTGGTAGCACACACAGGTTGGGGTAACTGACCACTTCATGACACCTGCTATGAGAACTCCACCTCCTGCCACAGACCTGAACCTGGGCAGCCAGATTTTCACTATGCAACCAATCTAACCACCATTACCTCTGCCTTCTCCCTGCCCACAACTGACTGGAAAGGGATGAATCTCTTTTACAAGGATTCGGAGAAATCAAAGTCTCTCTCCCAGCACTTTGGGAGGCTGAGGTGGGCGGATCACCTGAGGTCAGAAGTTCGAGACCAGCTTGGCCAACATAGTGAAACCCTGTCTCTACTAAGAATACGAAAATTAGCTGGGCGTGGTGGCAGGTGCCTGCAGTCCCAGCTACTTGGGAGGCTGAGGCAGGAGAATCACTTGAACCTGGGAGGTGGAGGTTGCAGTGAGCCGAGATTCCCGCCACTGTGCTCCAGCCTGGGCAAAAAAGCTGAACTCCACCAAAAAAAAAAAAGAGAAAGAAAGAAAGAAAGAATGAAAGAAAGAAAGAGGAAGGAAGGAAGGAAATATGAAATTGGAATTCAAATAAGGTTAGACCTTATTTGTGATTAGAATGGAGAACTGTGCCCATCGCCATGTTTACATCATCTGCTATGTGCTATTGTTTAGCATCGGTCCTTGGTCAGACTGAGCTAATCTTCCTAGGCATTTTGTCTCCATCTAAAGATAGAACTTTACGATTAGGAATTTCTGACACTTGCAGATGTTAGTGAGGATGTTTTGGAGACATTTCTCAAAATGTGTCAATGCCTTTGGGAATGTTCTTGAAGAGAGAAAGAAAATAAAATGTATTAAGAAGCAATTTATATGGGGCAAGCATTTCGATACAGTGTCCTACTTAATCCTCACATGGCTTGGTGCTAGGAGTAGTCATCCACGCCCACTTTGCAGTCAGGAAACTGGGAGTCAGGAATTTCATAACTTAAACCACAGCAAAGATTGTTATCCTAGGGCTGAAATGGCATTTGGAGACCAGTGGTTATAATTCCAGAATCTAAAGTTATTCTGCCATGTGTGTTTCTTTCTATCAGTTAGTTATTTTGACTACGTTGGAGGAATATTCAACTCCATCTAATTACTCACTGATCTAGGTGGGCATCAAGTAAAACAGATAATATCACAGCCAAGATGTACAGAAGTAAGTTGCAGTCTTTTTCAAAACCTGATTTACTAAGATCATTGCTTTGGTTTTCTCAGAAACCTAGAAGCTGGTCTTAATGTTGAATTATCTCTGTTATCTGCATATAGGTAGATTCCCCTGGATTATAATTACTCACAGGTAGTCACATTTCCCCTTTTCCAAGAAACTTACCCCTCCAACAAATTAAGACACATCCTTTTCCTTATAGTATTTTCATCCTTCTTATTTTGGGTATTTTTTATCAAAAGATCCAGATGCTCTGTCCTGTCTCATTTGTCCCATGCTATTGTCTCATTCTCAAAGAGCCATTCATGATGAATGAGCCTTTAATGTTTTCTTTACATATATCCTTCTTTCTTTGAAGGATGTTAATATTCTTCCATTAATATTTCTTCTGAGCCAAGAGACAGATAACGTCCAACTGGCATATTTCCATACTGGACTGAATGATAATTTTATAATAAATATTGCATGTCATTTCTTATTATAAAAATCTCTTTTCAGCATGCATGTCCATTTTGTAAGAGGATTAGCTGGGCTTTGCTGTGGGATACTTGAACTTTTGGTAAGCTTTTTCAATCCTTTCATTTAGTGGAAAGGTGATTAAAATGACAGAAAAGCATTTAAACTTAGTTATCATGATCAACCTTCCCAATAGCTTTCTTTTTCTATCACGTGCTTTAGCCAGAGGTAAGAGAGCAATCATCTTTGAGGGCCTTCTCTACCTGCATCCTACGAAAATGAGTTTTCTAGAATTTTCTCAGATATTCCAGTGGAAGTGTTTCTTATAGTATCCTTTGCTGCCACCTGCTGTTCAGCCTACATTTATGAAAGCTGTCAATGCTATCCATTGTTGATGGTGTATTTTCTAACGTAAGGGGTGGGTAAAGATAACAAAACTGATGCATTGCCAGATCCTGTCAAGTGATCACACTTAAACATGACCTTCGAACCAGTAGCTGCATTTAATGTTTGTAGAAATTTACTTCCTTTGTCACACTCTTAGTGTGACATAGTAGCATAATAACCTAAGAAATCCTATTTCTTTCTCCTTTCAAGAACAGCAGGCTGGTCGTTGAGGAAATCAGTCTTTAAGTTGTTGAGGCCAGAATTGTAAGCTGGAGCCACCATGTGTAACTGCAGTCCACTAATGAATTAATAGCATTTATTTGTACTCCATGCTTCCAGCTGCCCAACCTCCGCTTTGCTATCTTGGTTGCTTGTATCTTGGTTGCTTGTATCTTGGTTGCTTGGTTGCTCTCATCTTTCTGCCACACTCACTGTCAGGAGAGTTGGGCTGCAGTAAATGTTGCTTCCTTGCTGTTTCTTTACTCCCTTTGTGCTCCTTTATTACTGAGCAGGCTCAGTTCTCTAGCTTTGGAGTTATAAACTGGGTTCACAATACAGACTAAATACATGCTGTTCCTCAATCCTTTATGTGAATGCTAGGTGTTTAAGTGCATAAAATGTTACCTTTTTCTTATAAGTGTGCCCATCTCAGTAATTCATTTAGCAGGGAGGTCTCTCCCTAACATTGCTGGAGCATCTGCTAACATTGTAGTTCATTTTCTAGAGACAACACCTTAATGGCAGAAGTTGCATAGGCTAAATGACTTTTGTTTGTGACACTTTACAATTGTAACTAGAAAGAAATTCAACACAGCACTGGGTAAAAAAAATGCAGAGAATGATCTCTTGCTTTCTTCTTAAGCTCACCATCTTTCTCCATCAAACTCAGCAGCAGCAGCGGGAAGGTTACAGTTACTTTTGAGAACACTGCGGCTGATGCTTCTTGTACAAATATTCGCTTTCTTCATGACAGAACTCCTTTTCCAAATTTACATTCAGGCCAAGATAAGTCATCCAGCTCAACCATGCATTTCAAAACCACCTGGTATCCTCAAATGTTCTTGTGACCAGGCTTCTAAAATCCTGTAGGGCAAAAATCTAACAAAGAGAAGTCATCCGCAAAGGTCACTGCTTCCAAGTTCATCTTTGGCAGGATGTAGCTCTGTGCTGATATTAAAAAAAAAAATGTATCTAAAGTACAAGATATAGTTCTCTTTTGTGCAACATTCCCAAATCTGATTTGGCTTTCAAATTTATTGCAACCTTTAAAGGGGTGATTTTGGCAATGTTCTGGGGGTGGGGTTGATAACAGTCAAAAAGCTGTGGAAATGATTTAATGGTTCATGGCTTTGAAGTGCCTATGAAAGACATTTAACTAACTTTATATTTCTCCCTACATTTTCCCCAAAACGTGTATGTGTGGAAATTTTCCAAATTGCTTTTCCTTAAAGCACAGAGGACATCATTTTAGTGCTGGAGGGCAGAAATTTATTACTTTACAAGCTCCTTGCTTGCACATGTTTTTCTTCAGAGCTCACTGAAGTTACTTTTCCATCTTTTGCTAACAAACTGAAAAACTTCTTCTAATTTCTTCTTTGATATGTTATGAAGACAGCCCCCCACCCTTCCTCTATAAATCTTCCAGGTACTTTTAGTGCAGCAGCAGGATATATGAATCTAACTCAGGGAATTAGGAAGGGAGGGAGGGAGGAAGAATTAACATGTTAATCACTTATCTGATGCTAAGCACTAAGTGAGATCCTTCATGTCATATATATTTGCTCATTAAAATCATGAATTAATTTGATAAATACTTATTAAGATTGTACTAAGGTGGCTCAAAACTGTAAACCCAGCACTTTGGGAGGCTGAGGCAGGAGCAATCGCTTGAGCCCAGGAGTTTGAGACCAGCTTGGGCAACACAGGGAGATCTTATGTTTACAAAAAACTTAAAAATTAGCGAGGTGTGATGTTGTTTGCTTTTGGTCCCAGCTACTAGAGAGGCTGAGGTGAGAGGATTGTTTGAGCCTGGGAGGTTGAGGCTGCAGTGAGCTATGGTTGCGCCATTGTATTCCAGCCTGGGCAACAGAGCAAGACCCTTTCTCAGACCAAAAGGAAAAAATAAATAAATATATATATATATACACACACGCACACACACACACACTAAGAGCTGGGCATTCTTGGGACTGAGTACTAACCATAAACTAATTTACTGTCCAGTAGGAGAAACATACAAGTAAAAAGTCAAGGTTGATGCAATATCAAATGCTTTTGAGAGGCAGTTACAACACAGTGCTTGGAAATATGGACTTTGAAGACAGCCTATTTGGGTTGAATACAAATTCTGCTACTTGCTAGCCCTGTAATCTTGTGCAAGTTACTTCACCCTTGGACCTTTGTTGTCTCATCTGTGAATTAGGAATAAGAAGAGCATTTACTTCAATATGTTGTTGTGCAGATAAAATGAATTAATACACTGGGAGTGCTTATAAAGGTGCCTGGTATTTAGATTATATACGTAGCTACTTCTCAATATCCAGATTTCAGCTCAAATGTCATGTCCTTGACTGGAATTTTCCCATCGGCCTTTTTAATATATTTATTTTGAGACTCATCGACCTTTTAAAACCAGGCTCTCCTCAAGAGTCACTCTCATTCCTACCACGTTCTTTAATTCCTTATGGGCCTATCACTCTGTGGAATTACATTCATCTTATTTGCTTGCTTATTAATTGTCTCTTTTGCCTACTAGAGAGTTCAAAACACAAGGGTGGAGACCTCTCCAATTTTATTCGTTGCTTTGTTTCCAGACCCTAGGACAGTGCCTGGAACACACTCATTTTTCTACTAGAATTCATGAAATGAATTGCTGGATGTTAAGAGTTATGACAGGGGTAAGCACAGAGCTCTATTTGGAAGTACATAGGAGAGAGAGTTGACCCAGTCTTTGATGGCATGTCATATGGTTTCCAGGAGGAAGTGACATCCTTCAGCACCGGCAGACTGTTCATCATTAGGGGCAGAGGTAAAAAGACAGGAATTCCAGGAAGCAAGAGGGAGGGAAAATATGCATTTAATCCTCATAATGGCAGTTTAAGATGGGCATTTTTATCCCCATTATCTGAAGTGAGAAAAAGAAACTGAGAGTGAGCTATGTGAACTTGCCCAGAGTCCCAGAGTTAGTACATGTCAGGGATAAGATTAAATCATTCCACTGCACTTACCTGCAAAGAATAGGACTGTACGAGCCTCAAAATCAGAAATGATATCTAGTGCCTGAAATTGTTCTTCATAGACCCCATTCACTCAGAAATGTTGCTGTGATGTTTTTCCTGTGCTATGAAGAGTATCACAACATGTCACTCTTCGCTGCAGATCAAGAGGAGCCTTCTTGGATTCCACCTCACTGTCTTTTCATGATCTAACCTTGTATCTGGCTTCCTTGTTACAAACACACGTCATACATTCCAAACTGCATGGAAAATAGAAAAGCAATTCTCTACACTTGAACATGCACATAGAAAAACCCAGCCATTTTGGTGAAGATGAGATTGGTTAATTCTCTGGCTGTTGCCCTATCCTGTTCATGCTCACTAGGCAGACAACACCAAGCTTGGCCCTGGTAGAACAGCCTCATCTCTGAATGCTCTCTACCGGCCAGTGGATCAACAGCTTACTCCTCCTTTAGAAACACTGGAAAGAGGCTTTCGTCAATAGATTTAACACAGTCTTTTTTTCTTTTTTTAATATTTGGAGAGATTTATTCTGAGCCAAATATGAGTGACCATGGCCTGTGACACAGCCCTCAGGAGGTCCTAAGAACATGTGCCCAAGGTGGTCAGGGTGCAGCTTGGTTTAATACATTTTAGGGAGGCATGTGACTTCAATCACATACATTTAAGAAATATGTTGGTTCTGTTCAGAAAGGTGGAACAACTTGAAGCGGGGCAGGGGACAGGAGGGGGATGGGTGGTGGGGGAGGTGGCTTCCAGGTTATAGGTGAATTTAAAATTTTTCTGGGCCAGGCGCGTTAGCTCACGCCTGTAATCCCAGCACTTTGGGAGGCCGAGGTGGGTGGATCACGAGGTCAAGAGATGGAGAGTGAAACCCCGTTGCTACTAAAAATACAAAAATTAGGTGGGTGTGGTGGCGTGTCTGTAGTCCCAGCTACTCAGGAGGCTGAGGCAGGAGAATCGCTTGAAACCGGGAGGCGGAGGTTGCAGTGAGACGAGATCACGTCACGGCACTCCAGCCTGGCAACAGAGCGAGATGCCATCTCAAAATTAATTAATTAATTAATTAATTAATTAATTAATTCTGGGTTGAGTTTATCTGAAGACCTGGGATCAATTGAAAGGAAGTGTCTGGGTTAAAGGATTGTGAAGATCAAAATTCTTATCATGCAGAGGAAGCCTTCAAGCAGCAGGCTTCAGAGAGAATCGATTGTAAATGCTTCAAATTCTTCTTATCAGAGTTAAGGGCTGTGTTGATGCTAATGCCAGAGAGGTATAATGAGGCATATCCGACACCCACGGCCCCATCATGGCCTCAACCAGTCTTCCAGTCTTTCAGGTTAAATTTTAAGAGTGCCTCGGCTGAGGAGGAAGTCCATTCAGACGGCTGGGGGGCCTTAGCATTTTGTTTTTGGTTTACAGTCTCAAGATTTAGACCCACTCCTGGAATCACATAGGTCAGCAACCATTATGATTACCCATATGGATTGTACTACAGGAGCTGAATTTTGAATTTGCGGGATATGGCCCTGGCACCACGTACAAGGTAGTAAAAAAGAACATAATATTATTGTAACTGGTAGCCCTGGAGGGCCTCACTCTTTCTTTCTGCACTGAGGTAGAGAACTGTTGTCTCTCTGTGAGACTTGACACTGGAGGGTATCAGTTGATTGAATTCGTGCCACCTGCTCCAGGAACTCCAAAAGCATTCTTTTGTTGTTGTTGTTGTTTTTGGAAAACTTCACCTGGATGAAGCATTCTTTTTTATTTTTCTTCAAACTTTTAAGTTCAGGGGTACATGTGCAGGATGTGCAGGTTTGTTACATAGGTAAACATGTGCCATGATGGTTTGCTGCACAAATCATCCCATCACCTACGTATTAAGCCCAGCATCCATTAGCTATTCTTCCTGAAGCTATGCCTTCCCCTCCCCCTGACAGTCCCCAGTGTATGTTGTTCCCCTCCATGTGTCCATGTAATACAGCCTTTTCTTAGTGTGCTTGAGGAATGGGGAAAATGGAAAGAAAGTTGAATAAGACCATTCTTAGAAGATCATGATCAACCAGGGTTCGACGTAAGACATGATCAGGCCACTGGACTCCAGCCAGGGTGACAGAGCGAGACCCTGACTCAAAAAGAAAGAAGAGAAGGGGAGAGGAGAGGAGAGGACAGGAGAGGAGAAGAGAGGGGAGGGGAGGGGAGAGGAGGGGAGGGGAGGGGAGGGGAGGGGAGGGGAGGGAAGGAGAAGGGAAAAGAAGAGAAGAGAAGAGAAGAAAATCATGCTCAATATTGAGTACCATCACTGTGACTGGCAGTTTTTAAAAATGGCTGCAAATTCTTTGGGCATCCTCCATTGAAAGGAAGTGGTCTTTGTCCCCTCCTCTTGAATCTGGGTGGACTGGTAACTATTTTTACAAGTCACCATGTGACTTTCAGGGCTAGTCATAAAAGTCATGTAGCTTCTGCTTGGATCTGTTTGCATACTTGTTCTTCCAGTGTCTTCTCTCAGAATCCAGCCTCCTCCCTGATAGAAGCCTGAGAAAACCAAGTGTGGGTATCTGGTTGATAGCTCCAGCGGAGCTCAGCCTTCAAGTCATCCCAGCCCAGGAGCCTGACATGTGAGTGAAGCAGCCTCCAGATAATTCCAGTGCCCCACCGTGATGAAAGTCACTCTCAGCCATGTGCACTATTGTATCAAATGAGGCCCCAGACACTGTGGAGCAGAGAAGCAGAGAGACAAGCTGTGCCCACTGTGCCCTTCTGAATTGCTGGACAACAGAATACAGGACCATAAGAAAAGTTACTGTTTTTACCACTAAGTTTGGGGTGGTTTGTTACACAGCTAGAATAACCAACCAGTTATCCTCTCTCTACCTTTCCTCAGAATCTGTGTTATGAGGACCTCTCTAAGGGAAGGTGGAACTTCTTAAGTAGTATTATTGCAGATTCTGTTAAATTGGCTCGACAACACCCATTCCAAACCACCCCCCCAACAACTTTTATCATCTTTTCCAATAAGGCTAAAAAATAGAATTCTCAAGTTCCCAGCCTTTCTTGCAGTTGGAGGTGGCTTTGTGATACGATTCTGGTCAATAAGATGGAGACAACAATTCCTGGACAGAGGTTTCATTCCCTAATGTAGGCTCAATGGGGAAAAATCTCTTCTCTCCCCACTTCCTCCTACCTGAAATGTGGATGTTTTGCCTTCAAATGCAACAGCCATCTTGAGATGCTGTTGGAGCATGTTTGATTTTTTTCGTTATTCATACTTAATTATTCTAGTCTTTTGTCTTCAGAATTACTGTTTCATGCTTCACATTTCAAGTTATTATATTACAAAAATTAATAACTGTCACAAAATAACCAGCAGTTATGCGCATTTACTATTTTATGAACCCGAAGAGATGGCAATTAACAGGTTTTAGAACATGCCACACCATGGCAGAGCATAAAGAAAGAAGAAGTCTGGGTCTCTCATCACTTTCTTGAGCAGCTACACTCACCCTATGTTGCCTTTCTCCAGAATGATTGTTACACAAGAAAATAAATTTAACTTTTTAGAAGCCATTGTTAACCAAATGTATTAATTTGAACTAAAAGTAAAAAGAGGGACATTTATTTATTCCTCAACCAAAAGGTGAAAAAAAGGAAGAAGAGAGTATTCTTCAATTAAATATCTCTTTATCGTGGGACACCCTAAAATCCATACATAAGGTTCACATGCAGAATGTTTGATGACTAAGCTTCATTTCCTATACCAGCGATACTGATGCTATTATGCTTATCCATAGGCAAGCAAGTTTCTTGTGTTAAGTAGCAACAGTCAAGTATTTTGTGGACTTAAATTCTCCAATATAATTTTCTCCCTTGAGCAAATCTTTATTTCGTGTTACAATCATGGATAACATTTTATTCAGGTTCTTATTTTTGTTTTAAACAAGAGAAGACATCAATTTTTCTAATTCGCTTTGTATTAAAATGCTTAGTGTTGTTTGAGTTAAATTCCTCTTAAGCCTTCACTAAAGACAACTATTACAATTTGCTATTTATATTTTTTCACATATACATATGCATTTCTTAATTATCATTGTTTCTTTCATCTAGCACAATTAAAACCACTACAACTGAATAATGTGATGATTTACATATAGTGATTAATATTAGGAAAATGCATCTAAAAATAAAATCACCAGTGTTCTAAACCTGTTAATTGCCATCTCTTTGGCTTCATAAAATAGTAAATCCACGTAACTGCTGGTAATAAACAACCTGAAATGTGAAGCATAGAACAATAATTCTAAAGACAAAAGACTAGAATAATTACATATGGATAAAGAAAAAACATCAAAGAACAAAGGGCATTTTGAATCTCTCCATTCTTCCTAGAGTACCGTCTCAGATTGTAATTCATTTTAAGGGTACTGTGCTTCAAATGCATTTACTCTATCAAAGGCATTCAATTCATAATTCTTTAAAATCTGCAAGTAGATCTTGTAGTGCAACCATTCAGGCTTATAGTAAGTAGCTTGAATTATATGTTGTGGGACAAAGTGATCTTCACAAGTCAGGAATGCTATAAATCCTCTCCTAAGTGAATAGTCTTTATTTTAAAACATTTCTAGAAAAGCTAGCCCTAAAACTTAACTGTTGTATGAGTACCTGCTCTTCTTTGTTATATTGTGTGTTCTCCAAGAGTTATATAAGGGTTTATTTATCTTTCTTCCCCCAGTATCCACTATGCTTGACTCATTCATTCATTCATATGAGGCATCGAGTGCCTAATGTGTTAGGCACTGTGATGGGTAGAAAACAAAATATATTTGATCTTCACCCTTTGGAATATACATTTTTTAGCAAAAACACAATCATTAAAATATAATTGCATAAGTAAATATTTCATGACAGTCTTGATAAATGCAACAAAGGGAGAATGTAGAGTAAAATGAAGAAGTATAATAGGGAACTAATTTGAGACCTTAAGGATGATGATCAGGGATAGTAAGACACAGTGGGCAGGAACAAGAGGAAAACATTTCAGGTAAAGGGAATGTCATGAGTGTAGGCCCTAGGTTGGACAAATGCTGCTGCTTATTCAATACTTAGTTAGTCCAGTAATGATGGAGACTGAGAGGTACGTTCACTTTCAATTTATTTTTAAAGGCCCAGTTCAAGCTTCAGTCCATTCTTCATTGATCTTCTAACTTTTTTGGGGGGGAGTACTTACAACAATCCTAAATGTAAAACACAGCCTTAATATCAGTACAATAAAGCACCACATAACATTGTTTTGGTCAACAATGGACAGTTTATATAACCATGATCTCATAAGATTACACTGGAGATGAAAAATCCTATGGTTTAGTGACATTGTAGCAGTTGTTACATCATAGGGCAACACAATACATGTTTGTGGTGCTGCTGATGTAAACAAACCTACACTGACAGTCATATGAAGGTATAGCACATACAAATATTTACAATACATAATACTCAATAATGACAATAAATGACTATGTTACAGTTTACATTTATACTATACTTTTTATCATTGTTTTAGGGTGTACTTCTTCTACTATACAGGTGTACCATTTTTTATCTAATATGCTGTATTTTTACTGTACCTTTTCTGTATTTAGATATGTTTAGATACACAAATACTTCCCTTTCTGCTACAATTGCCTACAGTATTTAGTGTAGTAACATGCTGTACAGATTTGTAGCTTAGAAGCAATAGACTATCATATAGCCTAGGTGTGTCGTAGGTTACCCTATCTAAGTTTGTGTAAGCACACTCTATGATGTTCACATGACAGTGAAATTGCCTAAGGATGTGTTTCTCAGCTTGTAACCCCATTGGTAAGCAACATATTACCATATATTGTTTTCAACCAGTTGTAATTGTTTTCATTAATTTTCAAATTGTGTGTTCTTTGACCATAAGAACCATGTTTTTAAATCATCTGTGTACCAATCTAAGACCTAACACTTTGCTGAACAATATGTATTTGTAAATTGGGTCTTTGATTGATATTTTCCTTTTATTTATTTATAGTTGTAATTTCTAGTTACATTAATTCAAGACCATGTCTGCAAATTAAATAAATTGTAAAGTTTAATTTGTGAAACTATATAGTTTCCAAATATGAAGTATGATATTGTCTCACATATATGTGATAACTGAAAATGTCATCATGGAATATAAAATCAATTTTGAAGGCAGGACAAGGACTAGCTCATTCCAAGTGGTCTACGCAAACATTGGGGCACAGATTTCTTCAGAGGCCCTTAAGTGTGTTTTATCAATCTTAACATTAATGAAGCATAAATAAGGAGCTATATTCATGTGCACAGTGATAAAAAAGTTAATACTTCTATTTTATTTAGTATAAAAACAGTTTAGATTGCATACATAGTTGGGCAAAATCAAAGATATTTCTTTCTGGCTAGTGTAAACATTAGTGATCTATAGTTATATCACTTTTAAACAGTGCTTGATTTAAATGCAATTATTTTCCTTGATAAAAGCAAATATCACAGTGAAATCTTTCCCAAACATATTAACTATTTACATTCTCAAGATAAGAAATAAAAATAACATGGTCATGAAAGGGTATTGATTGATAAATTTTCAGAGACCAAATAACCTTAACAACCTATGCACATACTTGAAGTGATTCTTTCACTGACGGAAACAAATTCAAAATAATCATCAATGTCATAATAATCTACTTCCATTAACTGAGCAACTATCATGTGCAGCATCTTTTCTTTAACCCTAGAAGTAAATTCAAGTAGCAACACACATTGGTTCTGCCTCCAAAGAACTTGTCCTCTTGGTCAAAATAGCAAGGACTTTGCATGACACAACTACAAGGTGATCATTTACACAGAATACAACATGAGTGGTGTCACCTAGAGCTATGCACCTCATAGCCCTAGATGGGATATAATCAGGAAAATGACAATTATAAAAGCATATGTTAAGAAAAAAGATACTAAAAAGTTATACAGCACACATTAAGAACTCAGTAATCATCCATTAAACGAACTGTAGCAATTGTCAAAGAGACAAGTCATCATGAGTTTGTGAGTTGAGAAGAGCCTTGAGAGGAAAATGGACTTCTGTGTTCTTTAGCAAGGAGCCCTGTGACAAACAATGAAGCAGTGAGAGTTATTTGACTAAGACTTGGGTACCAAAGCCTGTGGCCAGAAAAGTATATCTTTTGCACTCTTATTCAGAACATCTTTCTGCAATTATGTCACTTCTCTTCTGTACCTTCTCAGAATGAAGCACATCTACAGACTGCATTAATTTTAAGGAGTCACAGACCCTGGTGGTCAGTGAATCATTTTTGAAATCCAGATCGACTGCGAATGACAGATACTAAAAACAAAACAGTGGCTGCTGGCGAATACCTGTTCCTAACAGCACACTTCAGTGCTCACACTCTGAGTTAGCTTGCATGTGTGTGTATTTCTCCCCACAAAAAGGACCTGAACTTTCATGAAACTAGGACCGCCAGCAGTGGGTCCAGCTCTAAAAGTGCCCACGAGCAAAATTTTGACCTTTTCCACAGATTTCCCAGAAGAGTCTCCACATCTACCTTCAGACTTCATCTTGTGCAGTTGCTTTATTTCTTCCTTCAATTTTCTCTCTCAGCAGGCTGGACTTGGCTGCCAGCCAGCCTGCACCGAGAGGCCAGCATGCTCATTTGGTGCTACTGCACTTTTGTTTTTGCATAGAATTGTCCACAGAGGATGGGTTTCAGTTTGCTAACATAAAGGTGTGCTCCCCTACACCTAGGCTGTAGGTGTATTTGCACCAGTGCATACATGCTTGAGCTGCTCCTGAGTGAAATATTTCCCAAACTATACTAGCTGGGAGTCACTGGATTTCCACATGCTATCATTGTATCCCTCACCAACTGAGCTAAATAGATTTGTCTCTATGAAAATTTTTATTTTGAACTAATGTGCCATGGGCCTGCAAAAATCAAAATCTGTTCATAAATGTACCATTTTCATATCCAATATCAATACATCAGCATCTTATATTATTTTGAGGGAGAGTAGGGATAAAACAGGCACTGTTTGTATCTGTTTAAATATCAAATCATCTATATCTTTCAAAAATCAAAACAGTCTCTTGCTATAATATCAGATAATAATAATAACAATTGGCCTCCATGGTTATTTGATATTAGTTGTATAGCCATATTTCCATTAGCACTTAGTTATACTGAAATGACAAAAAATTAATGATCTCCTGAATATTTAGGAACTTATCATTGAATTAGTTATTTTGGATTTCTCTCTGAAGTGTGCATTGGTGGGTCATCTAAGGTAACTAGTTTTGCTTTTCTATAATGACACTGTAAATAAAATATTAATCATTGACATGAAGGAAGTTGATTTCTCTCTGGCAGTCATGCTGCAGGCTATCATCAGCCTGTTGGGTATTAAAGATACTCAGATCCACTGATAATTGAGATTGACTTAAGAGTATCCTGGCTTGACAATACCTAGAGGAACAAGTAACTGTCCCACTGATAGGCCACCCCACACGACATATAAGCAGTAGATGGGAAGTTCATACCCTAGTGATGGAGCAGGTAAGGAGACTCCTTCTCCCACATGACCTGTGACTTTGCTCAAATGGAAAGGAAAAAGCCTGTTCTTTTTTTTTTTTTTTTTTTTGAGACGGAGTCTCGCTCTGTCGCCCAGGCCGGACTGCGGACTGCAGTGGCACAATCTCGGCTCACTGCAAGCTCCGCTTCCCGGGTTCATGCCATTCTCCTGCCTCAGCCTCCCGAGTAGCTGGGACTACAGGCGCCCGCCACCGCGCCCGGCTAATTTTTTGTATTTTTAGTAGAGACGGGGTTTCACCTTGTTAGCCAGGATGGTCTTGATCTCCTGACCTCATGATCCACCCGCCTCGGCCTCCCAAAGTGCTGGGATTACAGGCGTGAGCCACCGCGCCCGGCCAAAAGCCTGTTCTTAAAGTAAAAATCTCAGCATAGACTATGCTATAATTGGAATGTGTTCTTCACAGTTTCTGTGTTGGAAACTGTGTTAGTCTGTTCTTGCCTTGCTATGAAGGAATACTTGAGGATGAGTAATCTATAAAGAAAACAGGTTTTATTTTGGCTCACAGTTCTGCAGGGTGTATAGGAAGCATGGTGGCAGTATCTGCTTCTGGTGAGGGACCCAGGAAACTTCTAGCCATGGCAGAAGGCAAAGGGGGAGTAGGCATGTCACAGGGCAAGAGCAGGACTGAGAGAGAGAGAAGGGGGAGGTCCCAGACTCTTCTAAACAACCAGTTCTCACATGAACTAAGTAAGAGCTCACTCATCACCACAAGGATCGTGCTAAGCCATTCATGAGGGATTTGTCCTCATGATCCAATACTGGCCACTACTCCAAATCTCATATTGAGAATTACATTTCAACATGAGATTTGGAGGAGGAAAACACCCAAACCACGCCATTCCACCCAGTCCCCTAAATATCGTGTCCTTTTCACATTGCAAAATACAATCATCCTTTCCCAATAGTCCCCCAAGGTATTAACTTGTTCCAGCATCAAGTCCAAAGTCCTAAGTCTCATCTGAGACTTAACGCTTTCCACTTATGAGCCTGTGAAATCAAGGACAAGTTATTTACTTCCAAGGTACAATGGTGATACAGGCATTCAGGAGATATTTTCATTCCAAAAGGAGATATTTTCATACAAAGTGATACAGGCATTGAGGAGATATTTTCATTCCTAGAGGGAGAAATTGAACAAAAGAAAGGGCCAGTAGGCCCCACATAAGTCTGAAACCAGCAGGGCAGTTATTAAATCTTAAAGCTCCAAAATAATCCTTGACTTCATGTCCTGTGTTCAGGGAACACTGGTGTGAGGGATGGGCTCCCAAGGCCTTGGCAGCTCCATCCCTGTGGCTTTGAAGTGTGCAGCCCTTGTGGCACCTCTGATGGGTTAGGGTTGAGTGTCTGCAGCTTTTCCAGACTCAGGATTGCAGCTGCCACTGGCTCTACCATTCTCAGGTGTGAAGAGCAACGGGCCCTTTTCCACGGTTCTGCTGGGCAGTGACCTGGTAGGGACTGGGGACTCTCTGTGGGGGATACAACCCCAAATTTTCCCTTAGTATTGTCCTAGTAGAGATTCCTTGTGAGGGTTCTGCCCTATGGCAGGCTTCTGCCTGGGGCCCTAGGCTTTCCCATACATCCTCTGAAATATGGGTGGAAGTTTCCATACCTCCTTCAGTCTTGCATTGGTGACCCTGTAGACTTAATACCACATAGAAGCCACCAAGGCTTACAGCTTGCACCCGCCACCCCCAGAGTGGCAACCTGAGCTGTATCTGGGGCCCTGTGAGCGGAGGCTGAAGCTAGAGCTGCTGAAGCTGACAGGATGCAGAGAGCAGTGTCCTGAGGATGAGCAGGGCAGCACACCCTGGCCCTGACCCCTCAAACCATTCTTACCTCCTGGGCCTCTTGGCCTGTGATAGGAGGGGCTGCCTCAAAGATCTCTGAAATCCCTTTGAGGCCTTTTTCCCATTGTCTTGGATATTAGCACTTGGATCCCTTTTAGCCATGCTAATCCTTCTAGCAAGTAGTTGCTTCCCAGTCTGTTTAGATTCTTTCTCTATCACAGGGCCAGGCTGCCAATTTTCCAAACTTTTACACTCGTCCTCCCTTTTAAATCTAAGTTTAGATTTTAAGTCATTTCTTTGCTTCTTTTATCTGACTATAGGTTGTTAGAAGCAGCCAAGCCACATCTTGAATGACTTGCTGCTTAGAAATTTCTTCTGCCAGATACCCTAAGTCATCACTCTTAAGTTCAACCTTCCACAGATCCCTAGAACATGGGCCCAATGAAGCCAAGCTCTTTACTAGGGAGTAACATGGGTATCTTTTACTCCAGTTCCCATAACTTCCTTATTTCCATCTGAGACCTTGTCAGCCTGACCTTCACTGTCCATATTTCCTTCTATTATTATTATTCTATTTCAATAGTTTTGGGGAACAAGTGGTTTTTGGTTACATGAATAAGTTCTTTGGTGGTGATTTCTGAGATTATGGCATGCCCATCACCTGAGCAGTGTACACGGTACCTAATATGTAGTCTTTCGTCCCTCACTCCCTCCCACCTACCCACCCCCATGCCTAGTCCCCAAAGTCCATTCTATCATTTTTATGCTTTTGCATCCTCATAGCTTAGCTCCCACTTATACATGAGAATATATGATATTTGATTTTCCATTCCTGAGTTACTTCATTTAGAATAATGGCCTCTAACTCTGTCTAAGTTGCTGTAAGGGCCATGATTTCATTCTATTTTATGGCTGAGTTGTATTCCATGGTGTATATATACCACATTTCCTTTGTCCACTTGTTGGTTGATAGGCATTTAGGTTTGTTCCATATTTTTTTAATTGTGAATTGTGCTGTATAAACATGCATGTGCATGTGTTTTTCATATAATAACATTTTCCTCTGGGTAGATACACAGTAGTAGGATTGCTGGATCAAATGGTAGTTCTACTTTTAGTTATTTAAGGAAACTCCATGCTGTTTTTCACAGTGGTTGTACTGGTTTACCTTCCCACCAGCAGTGTAAAAGTGTTCTCTTTTCATCACATCCACACCAACATCTACTGGTTTTTGATTTTTGAATTTTGGCCATTTTTGCAGAAGTAAAGTGGTATTTTATTGTGGTTTTAATTTGCATTTCCCTGATAACTAGTGATTTTGAGCATTTTTTAAATATACTTGTTGGCTGTGTGTATATCTTCTTTTGAGAATTGTCTATTCATATCCTTTGCCTACTTTCTGATGGGATTATTTGTTCTTTTTCTTGCTGATTTGTTTGAGTTCCTTGTAGATTCTGGATACTAATTTTTTGTTGGCTGCATAGTTTGTGAATATTTTCTCTCACTCTGTGGGTAGTCTGTTTACCCTGCTGATTATTTCTTTTGCTGTGCAGGAGCTTTTTAGTTTCATTAGGTACCATTTATTTATTTTTGCTTTTGTTGCATTTGTTTTTGGGGTCTTATTCATAATTTGATCACCTAAGCCAGTATCTAGAAGAGTTTTACTATTGTTATCTTCTAGAATTTTTATGGTTTCAGGTCCTAGATTTAAGTCTTTAATCCATCTTGAATCGATGTTTGTATATGGTGAGAGAGGAAGATCCAGTTTCATTCTTCTACATGTGGCTTGCCAGTTATTCCAGCACCATTTATTGAACAGGGTGTCTTTTTTTGTTTGTTTGTTTGTTTGAGATGGAGTCTCACTCTTGTTGCCCAGGCTGCAGTGCAATGGCATGATCTTGGCTCACTGCAACCTCTGCCTCCTGGGTTCAAGCAATTCTTCTGCCTTAGCCTCCTGAGTAGCTGGGATTACAGGTGCCCACCACCATGCCTGGCTAATGTTTGTATTTTTAGTAGAGATGGGGTTTCACCGTAGTTTCACTATGTTAGCCAGGCTGGTCTTGAACAAGGCTGATTCACCCACCTTCACCTGCCAAAGTGCCGGGATTATAGGTGTGAGCCACCGTGCCAGGCCTGAATATGGTGTCTTTTCTCCAGTTTATGTTTTTGTATGCTTTGTTGAATATCAGTTGGCTGTAAGTATTTGGCTTTATTTCTGGCTTCCTTATTCTGTTTCATTGGTCTACATGCTTATTTTTATACCAGTACCATGCTGTTTTGATAATTATAGCCTTGTAGTATAGTTTGAATTCAGGTAATGTGATGCCTCCAGATTTGTCCTTTTTGCTTAGTATTGCTTTGGCTATGCAGGCTCTTTTTTGGTTCCATATGAATTTTAGGATTTTTTTTTCTAGTTCTTTGAAGAATGATGATGGTATTTTGATTCTAAGTGTGTTGAATCTGTAGATTGCTTTTTCCAGTATGGTCATTTTCACTATATTGATTCTAACCATTCATGAGCATGGGATGTGTTTCCATCTGTTTGTGTCATCTGTGATTTCTTTTAGCAGTGTTTTGTAGTTTTCCTTGTAAAGACCTTTTACCTCCTTAGGTAACTATAATTCTAAGTATTTTATTTCTTTGCAGCTGTTGTAAAAGGGATTCAGTTCTTGATTTGATTCTCAGCTTGGTCGTTGTTGATGTATAGCAGTACTGCTGATTTATATACATTGATTTTGTATCCTTAAACTTTACTGAATTTGTTTGTCAGATTTAGGAGCTTTATGAGTGAGTCTTTAGGGTTTTCTAGGTATACAATTATATCATTGGTGAACAGCAACTGTTTGATTTCCTCTTTTCCAATTTGGATGCCCTTTATTTTTTGCTCTTGTCTTATTGCTCTGGCTGGGACTTCAATACTATGTTGAATAGAAGTGAGGAAAGTGGATATCTTTGTCTTATTCCAGTTCTCAGGGGGAATGCTTTCAATGTTTCCCCATTCAGTAGGATGTTGGATGTGGGTTTGTAATAGATAGGGTATTGGTCCATTTTCACACTGCTATAAAGTACTACCCTAGACAGAGTAATTTATAAAGGAAACAGGTTTAACTGACTCACAGTTTTGCATGGCTGAGGAGGCCTCAGAAAGTTACAATCATGGCAGAAGGGGAAGCAGGCACATCTTACATGGCAGCAAGTGAGAAAGAGTGAAGGAAGAACATTTATAAAACCATCAAATCTCATGAGAACTGACTCACTATCATGAGAACAGCATGAGGGAAACTGTCCCCATAATCCAATCACCTCCCTCCCTTGACACATGGGGATTACAAGTCCCTCCCTCAACATGTGGGGATTACAAATAGAGATGAGATTTGGGAGGGGACACAGAACAAAACCATATCAGATGGCTTTTATTACTTTGAGGTATGTCCCTTCTATGCCAATTTTATTGAGGGTTTTCATCAAAAAGGGAGGTTGTATTTTGTCAAATGCTTTTTCTGAATCTGTTGAGATGATCATATGATTTTTGTTTTCAATTTTGTTTATGTGATGTATCACATTTATTGACTTGTGTATGTTAAATCATCTCTGCATCCCCGGCAGAAACCCACTTGATCTTTTTGATATGCTGCTGGATTCAGCTAGCTAACATTTTGTTGAGGATTTTTACATCTATGTTCATCAGGGATATTTGCCTGTAGGTTTCTTTTTATGTTATGCCTTTTCCTGGTTTTGGTATTAGGCTAGTACTGGCTTCATAGAATGACTTAGGGAGGATTCCCTCTTTCTCTATCTTTTGGAATAATTTTAGCAGGATTAGTATCAGTTCTTTTTTGAATGTCTGATAGAATTCAGCTGTGAATCCATCCGGTCTTGAACTTTTTTGTTGGCAGTTTTTAAATTACTAATTCATTCTCGCTGCTTGTTATTTGTCCATTCAGAGTTTCTATTTCTTCCTGATTTAATCCAGGAAGGTTGCATATTTCCAGGAATTTATCCACCTCCTCTAGATTTTCTAGTTTGTGCGCATAAGGGTGTTCATAGTAGCCTTGAATGATCTTTTGTATTTCTGTAACATCAATTTTAATATCTCCCAATTCATTTCTAATTGAGATTATTTGCATCATCTCTCTTCTTTTCTTGTTTAACCTCACTAATGGTCTATCAATTTTATCTTTTCAAAGAACAACTTTTTTTTAATTTGTCTTTTGTATTTTGCTGTTTCAATTTCATTTACTTCTGCTCTTATTTTTGTTATTTCTTTTCTTCTGTTGGGTATGGGTTTAGTTTATTGTTTTTCTAGTTCCTTATGGTGTGACATCAGGTTGTCTATTTGTGCTCTTTCAGACTTTTGGTTACGGGCATTTAATGCTATGAACTTTCCTCTTAGCACCACTTTTGCTGTATCCCAGAGGTTTTGATAAGTTGTGTCACTGTTATCACTCAGTTTAAAGAATTTTTCAACTTCCATCTTGATTTAATTGTTGACCCAAGGATCATTCAGGAGCAGATTATTTAATTTCCATGTATTTGTATGGTTTTGAGGTTTCCTTTTGGAATTAACTTCCAGTTTTATTCCACTGTGAACTGGAAAGATACTTGATATGATTCCAATTTTCTAAAATTTATTGAGACTTGTTTTGTGGCCTATCGTATGATCTATCCCGGAGAATGTTCCATGTGCTGATGAATAGAATGTATATTCTGCAGTTGTTGGGTAGAATGATCTATAAATATCTGCTGAGTTCATTTGTTCTAGGGTATAAGTCTATTGTTTCTTTGTTGACTTTGTCTTGATGACCTGTCTAGTGCTGTCAGAGAAGTATTGAAGTTCCCTGCTATTACTGTGTTGCTGTCTATCTCATTTCTTAGGTCTAGTAATAATTGTTCTATGAATTTGGGAGTGCATATGTATTTAGGATTGTAATATCTTCCTGTTGGACTAAATCTTTTTATCATTATATAACGTCCTTCTTTGTCTTTTATCACCCAGTATTTTATTTGAGTTGATGATTCAGGCTGTAGGCAAATAAGGGAGGTATCCCAGGCTAGGCACCAGTTGTGGCTAAGGTAGGTGTGTAGATTTAATACCCAGTGGTGGAGTGAGGTTGCAGCCTTGATGAGGGTGGCTGGGGGAGCTCTCAATTAGGTGTATTGAGGTTTGATAAGGTGAAGAGTGGGAGACACCTCAGCTCCCCAACCAGGCAAGGAGGAAAACTGTTTACTTAGCAGACTTACTCCTCTCCCAGAGTTTCAGCTATTCAGGTCAGACAGGCACCTCTTTTCATCTGTAGGAATATTGATGTTCCAAGTAGGGAGGAATTGTGATGGTGCCTCTCATGCAGGCCTGAATCTGGGATGTGCTCTTCTTGTGGGGCTGCGCTCACCCTAGATTGTTCCAGGAAAGCTGTCTATAGGTGCCTCTATGGTGTGTTCCTGTGAAGAAAGCTCTAAATGTGTCTGAAGTGGAGTGCCAGGGGTGAACAAGGACTCCTTTGCCAAGCTCCTTCATGATCCCAGAGGCTGCCTGTCTGTTGGGGTATCCCAGAGGCTGCCTGCCTGTTGAGGTATAGGTGCAGACTTTCCCTACTGTGCCCAACACTGCAGTTGTGCCTCTGCTATAAGAAACTTCCCACCAGTGGAAGGATCTGGAACACAAGGCCCACTGTTCAGATTCTTGTGTCCCATTGGGTTGATCCCTTGATGTGGTACTCTTCTCCTTCCGCTAGGGATGGGGCTTCCCTAGAGCTAGACTGCAGTGATTGTTATTGCTCTTCTGGGCCTAACCACCCAGTGGGGCTGCCAGGTTCCAGGCTGGTGCAGGGAATATCTGTAAAGAGTCCAGTGATGTGATTAGTCTTCAGGTCTCCTAGCCATGGATATCAGCACCTGCTCTGATGGAGGCGGCAGGGGAATTATGCAGATTCTGTGAGATTCCTTGGTTGTAGATAGGTTTAGTGTGCTGGCTTTCTCAAATGATGGTTATGCTAGCAGTGAAATTGTCATGTGGACAGACTCAGAACCTCTGGTTAGCCAGGGTGTTGCAGGCAGCAGTCTTACCTGCTGTTTTCTTTTTCCTGGGAGCAGGAAAAAATAAAGTATTATTCTGCCAAGGGTTACTGTAATGGACTGAGTTGGTTGTCCTCCAGCCAGGAGGTGGTGCTTTTAAGAGAGCATCAGCTGAGCTATTAGCAGTGCTATTTAAACTTGCCCTAAATTGGCCAGGGGAAGTTTCTAGTTTCTCAGGTGACAGGATGGGCCATAAAGCTCACAAGAGTTTATGTCTTTTGTGTTTAGCAACCAGGGTGGGTAAAGAAAGACCACTAGGTCGGGGCAGGGTTAGGCAGGGCTGAGCTCAAACTCTCCCTGGGCAGGGCTTACCATAGCCACTGTGGGTGTGGGAGTGTGGTTCTCAGGCCAATGAGGTTATGTTACAGAGGGGAGTATGGCTGCCTCTACTGTGCAGTAGAGTCCGCATGGGGAGTGGGGAATAACTGGTAGCTGTAGGCCTCACTCAGCTACCAAGCAGTTGGCAAGGCCAGTCTCACACCAACAGCACCCTGCTAACAGTGCCGAGTTTAGATCCAGACAACCTTCACAAAGAACCCAGACCTGCCCCAGGCCATAAGCTTCCCTGATGAGAAAGCAAGCATGGTCTTCAGGCCCTGCCCCTCTTTGTCTGCCCATAATGCCAGCATCCAGCTCCCACAGTTGTATCTGCAGCAGTTTCTATTTGCTCCCTGGGTTCTGTTTAAGGGAATTCACGCCCACTCAAAATTATCACAAAATTTAGTTGGGAGCTTCTTTCACCCTGCAACCCCTCCTTAAGTTCACTGGCTGCCTTCTCCAGGGATCCCTGTGATATATAATCAAGGATGGCTTCCCTGGGCTCCAGCTGGAGACTGGGAATACCTACAAGATTCTTTCCACTGATGCTTCTACTTTTTTATATTTCATGCCACTCTCTAATTCATTCCAGCTGTAGGTAAGGTTGAAACCTTCTCCTGTGATCTGGATTTTCAGATTCCTCAGTGGGGATGTATGTTCAAGGGCAGGCTCTCCCCATCTTCCACTCTGGGAACTCACAGTTTTTTGCCTGTCTCACAGAGTTTGCCTTGGCATGCTACTTCTTTTAAAGGATGTGTAAATTCTTTCAGTTTTCCTGGTAAATTCCTGCAGTAGTTCTTGGAACAAAAGTTCACAGTGTGACTCTCTTCATGCTTCTCTCCTTCCAAGTGGGAGAGGCACTCTAACACTGCCTCCTATCCACCATCTTGGAAAAAGAAAACACAATGTCCATATTTCTATCAGCACTTCAGCCAAAACCATTTAACCACTCTCTAAGAAGTTTTAAACTTTCCCTGAACTTTCTATCTTCTTCTGAGACCTCCAAGCTTCTCCAACCTCTGCACATTACTCAGTTTTAAAGCCACTTCCACATCTTTGGGAATCTTTATAGCAATGCCCCACTCTTCAGTATCAATTCTCTGGATTAGTCTATTCTTGCATCGCTATAAAGGAATACCCAAGGCTGGGTAATCTATAGAGAAAAGAGATTCTTCTTTGGCTTATGGTTCTGGAGGCCGTACAGGAAGCATGGTGTTGGCATCTGCTTCTGATGAGGGCCTCTGGAAGCTTACAGTCATGGTGGAAGGTGAAGGGGAGCCAGCATGCCATATGGCAAGAGAGACAGAGGGCAAGAGAGAGAGAACAGAGAGGTCCCAGACTCCTAAACAACCAGATTCCACATGAACTAACTGAGCAAGAACTCACTTATCACCATGGGGATGCTGCTAAGCCATTCATGAGGGATGCATCCCCATGATCCAATAACTCCCACTAGGCCCCACCTCCAACATTGGGGATCACATTTCAACATGACATTCGGAGGGTACAAATATCAAAACCATATCAGAAACTTAATCCCAATGCAACAGTGTTGGGAGGTGGGCCTAATAAGAGGTTATTGTGTCACAAGTTCTTCGCCCTCGTGAAGTTTAATGTTGTTATTGTGGAAATGGGTTCCTGATAAAAGGATGAAGTTTGGTCCCCTTTCTCCTGCTCTCTCACCTTTTGCTATGGGATGATGCAGTGAGAAGGCCCTCACTAGAGGCCTGCCCTTGATCTTGGACTTCCCAAGCTCTATACCATGAGCCAAACAAACTGCTTCTCTTTATAAATTACCCAATCTGTGGTATTCTATTACAGCCACAAAAAATGGACTAAGACAGGCTGTTTCTTGCTTTTTTATTGTCTTATTTTAAATTTAGCTTATTATTTATTTTTATTTATACTTTGCCTTGAGGCACTGTATGACTCTGACTAGGTAGTGGAAAAAGAAAGTGCATAGATAAATATTTCAGGGCATTATCTGGCAACACTCCTACTCTCAGAAATGAATTTTTATATTCCAAAAAATACTTGCACTTTAATCTACATGCTTTATCTGACCATTCCCTTATTCCTGGAGATGGAAGTAGATACTGGGGAGGAAATCGGATCTCTGTCCTGAATTTATGTCTTCTATGATTTGTTCTCATTCACAAGGAACATTTGGCTGTGAGAGCCATACTTTACTGTACTCCAAATGTAGAATAAGTGGGGTTACGACTATCAAATGACCTTTTCACTAACTTGGTCTGACCATCATTACTTGGTTCAAGGTTAACTATACAATCTGTGAGGTTTTTCTGTACCTCACCTCTTTGACTCAATCAAATTGAGAACCTTGGCATTCTTGCCCAAACATCAAGAAATAAGGAGAAAAAGCCATTGCATCATTTCTGGTGGCCTTATTAGGCATATACTAGGAATGCTACAAGTTTTCTCCATCATAACTATTAATGAAAAATTTCCCAGCATTTTTAGGAGTTCTATTAAACTTTACTGAAAGGGAACTACTTAGACTTTTGCAAATAATTTTAACAGCAGGTGGCTTTCAAAATTCTATCCTAGACTTGAGTGAATTCTCATTAGGAAACCAAGTGAAGTACCCATCGATTCATGTACTAAACAACAATGTTTGACTCCTGATCTCAAGTGGATACAGTTGAACACAAGGAAAAAAACCAACAAAGGTGAATAGGAAAGAAAAAAAAACAATACTTGGGAGAAAGCAGGAATTTCATAGTGCTGAAGAAAGCTGTTGTGTTTGTTCTTTCGAAAATATTTACCAAAGTGCAGAAAAAGTCTGCACTTTGGACTAATTTCAAATCTTAATCAACTTGAAATCAAGGTGGTAGCTCTGCGAAAGACATGTAATGCTCAGCAGATAAGGGATAGTCAGTTGAAGAAAGAAAGGGTCAGGTAATGAAAAGTCATCTTTAATCTCCCTCCTTTGACTCAACAGAGGGAAGCCCAATTCTGTCATGAAAACTTGGGACATAAAATTGAGACCAGTAAACATTTTTAAAACCTTATTAGCCAACTCAGAAAGAAAATCCATAATTAATAATGTAGACATCCAGGCAGGAATCATGTGATCCTGAAGTACCCAGATCAGTTCAGCTATTTTTCTCTCAATTTAGAGACAAAGAGAGAAAGAAGTCCTAGAAAAAGCTAGTGGCCAGATTACAACTCCTGTTGCCTTTAGGTGAGATACCACTCACCTCTCCCACTGTTAATACCCAATCCTCCAGAGGTTTCTTCCTGACTCTACAATTTTTCAGTTGCAAGAGAAATGGGCTCATTGCTGGGAAAGAATTAAGATTGTAGGATGTAACAACTTTTATGGCAGGATACAGACTTTCCCATTAATATCCAGAATTATCTGGTCAAGTTTGAAGGAACCAGAGATGAACAGAGAAATAGATCTGATTTAGAGACCTAAAATCCACCTTCTTGGAAGTTTGATATGGGAAATTGGAAGTCTAATAGGAAAAGAATAAAAAAGATATTATATTTTGAAATACCTCCTGATATAGTTTGGATATTTTCCTCCTCCAAATTTCATGTTGAAATTTGATCCTCAGTGTTGGAATGGGTCCTAGTAGGAGTCTTTTGGGCCATGGAAGCAGATCCCTCATGAATGGCTTGATGTTCTTCTGGGGGGAATGAGTGAGCTCTCACTCTTAGTTTCCATGAGATGTGCTGCTAAAAAGAGTCTGGCACCTCCCCTCCTCCACTTTTCCTTTTCTCTTGCTATATGATGCCTGCTCCCCTCCACTTTTTACCATGAGTGGAATATCCCTGAAGCCTTCACCAGAAGCAGATAATGGTGTTGTGCTTCTTGTATAGCCTACAAAACCATGATCCAAATCATTCTTTATAAATTACTCAGCCTCAAGTGTTTTTATAGTCGTTGTATTTGAAAAAATAAAGGGGGTCTTGCTCTGTCACCTAGGCTGGAGTGCAGTGGTGCAATCACAGTTCACTGCAGCCTTGACCTCCTTGGCTCCAGAGATCCTCTTACCTCAGCTTCCTGAGTAGCTGGTACTAAAGGTATGCACAACCACACCTGGCTAATTTTTTTATTTTTTGTGTAGAGATGGGATTTTGCCATGTTGCCAAGGCTGGTCTTGAGTTCCTGGGCTCAAGTGATCTGCTTGCCTTGGCCTCCCAAAGTGCTGGGATGAGCCACTACATCCGGCCAGAATTTTTTAAAATAGCAATGCAAAGGGATTAAGACACCTCCCAATTTGGGCTCCTTTACCAATAAGTAATTTTCAAATTGATATCTACATCGAACCTGGCATTAGATTTTAGTCACAAGGCTGAATCTGTGAACAAGGAAGGCCGGATCTAGAGGAGGTACAGGAGAAGTCTGTCCTTTCTGACCTTGAGAGATAAGGAAGAAGACATGCAGTTCCCTTTTCTAGGTTTGAGCCCAGAAGTCACTGGAGGAGTTCAAGGGTGCCCAGAGTGCAAGCAAGATCCAAGGTAAGGCTGATTCATGTGGGGTGCTCCACAGGGAAATAATGAAACCTAGAGAAAGGCCAGCAAATGCCCAGACCTGAGCTAGGATATCAGCAGGACAAGCAGGATCCAGAAAGCCATCACTATGGAGACCAGAGAAAAGTACATGGCTCTCTGGACCTTTTCTTCTCTACTGTGATGAGGACATAGTTCATTTTACCACCTTCACATATCTGATGCCATCTTGGAGGGATGCAGGGAAGAGAGTGGAACTCTGAGAAACTGATTATTTTTATCAAAGGAAAGCAAGCAGTACCTAAAGGGACCATTTAAATTGCATTAAAGTTACCAGGTTGATTTATTAGATTCACTTTTTGACTCATGAGGAAGATCAGAATAGTTTTTAGGAAACTGTTCAATTGCAAGTACTGTGGGAAAACTTACAACATTAAAATGTGTGGACTGCTTACTATAGGCTATTGGTAACATCCATGTAAGACAGGTATTATCACCTCATTTTACAGACAAGGTTACTAGAACCTGGTAAGGTAAACTCACTTCCCCAAAGTTACATGCTCAGTAAATAAAAGAGGCAGAAACTTAGCACAGGTTATTGTAATGTCAGATCTCATACTCAGCTACTATGCTATGCCATCTTCCTTGTATTGCACTGCAGAATATCCAGAACTATTCCTAAGCCACATCGTGTATTATTATCAAATGGCCTGTGAAGCAGATTCTCTTGCTGGGACAGTTTTTAAGACCTCTCTATACTGAATTGGGACACTGCCTGGAAGTTGTCCAAACTCTGCCTTTTGAAAGAATATTGATGACTAAGAAAACTTGCCCTGAATAAACTAATGTTAGGACACAGGTAAGTGTAATAGGAAAATCAACAGAGTGACTATGTAGGAAGTATTGAAGATGTTTTTTTCTCCCCACCCCTAGGAGGATTTTCAATGAGTAACTTGGAAGGGCTATTTTTAAGAGAATGTAGCCATTAAACCATTTCAAGAGCTCTAGAAGGACCTTTTTGTTATTACTTCCAGATATAACTGAGAGTGATTCTGAGTTACCTAACTGGTTAGGGATTTAGCCAAGAACTGCCATGTAGGGAGAAAGGGATGCCAGATACCCTGCACAGGCTGGCAGTGTAAGTAACTACTAGGGAGGACCAAGAGCAGAAAACTCAATAGGTTTGACCGGTTCTCACTCATAAGAAATGCAGGAAGACCCAGGGATCGGGGTCATGGAATCTCACAGTTGAGGGAAGCTGACTCTGAGAGTAAACTACTAGTTTGAGAAGCTATGAAAAGCAGAGCTGCCACTGCCACAGACAGTTGTCCAGAGTTTCCTTTGGAAGTTGTAGGAGAAAAAACTGCTGAGAGTACAGATTTAAGATACCACTGATGAGAGGAATCACAGGGAGTAGCCAAGAGAAAGAGAGGTAAACCCATGCAAATCCTCTAAGCCAAAGCTCTTTGAGGACAACCAGCAATGGCACCAAGGGAAGAGTGAAAGGCAGCTCCCATTGTTGACTTGCTATTCACAGAGCAGGTGCGGGTTGTGACATTCATGCTCAGCAGAAAGACAGAATAATCATTTTATTTGCAAGGGCATCTAATTGAACTGAAGATCCAGAAATTCTGGAGGTATACTCCATGAAGAAGCCATAGAGAAAACAATTATAATCCAGCCACCTGACACTCTTAAGAGTGTCAACCTGGAAAAGAGAATTATAGATGCTTATGTTTTAAGATAGACTTTGAATTGTTATAACTATTTATCTATGACCATCACTGATATAACTGCATCCACAGAACTCTGCAATGGAGATGAGTGTAAGTAACACATTTTATAGGCAGAGAAATTATAGCATAGAGCATGGTGGGAGCCACATTGCAAATCAGGCCTCCAATCAGTTACCAAGCCAAGAATAGACCCTTGCTGCTATTTACCAATAGAAAGCAATCTCTGACAATGTCCAAAATGTTATTAAGGTTTTCCAAGCCTTAGACAAATGTATCAGTGGGAAACTATCTCTCATTTCTGAAGAACTGTAACTTAGTACAGTGACCAGAATTTGATATTTTCCATTGATTTCCCAGATTAAGTAAAGAATAAAGATGTTTAAAATCATCTTCATTCAGCCTCCCTCAACAGTGAGATTCCAGGACCCTGATCCCTGAGTCTTCCTGCATTTCTTATGAGCAAGAACTGGTCTAACCTTCATCTTCACTTAGTTTGCATACAAGCTGCTCCTCTGTGACCAATTCCAGATTGGAATTGGATTACAATTTGAACATTGTGTGAATTGTTGTTTACAGGAAGAAGCAGCCCAGCTGGAGATTTTATTAACATGAAAACAAAAGATATTAACATTTTCACTTTAACCATTGTCTTTGAAAAGTTATGAACATTCTTACACAAATTTGCACTTTTTTCTAATAAATATTATCCCAAATTTAGAAAACATTTTTGAAGGGGCAGGTGACTTAAAAATCTTACCATAAAATAATTTGGAAATGTATCTTTCATGACAAAAATTTAACATATCTAACAGTTGAAAGGGACCTTAGAATATATCTCATCCAACAACCCACGTCATAAACGAATCTCTTCTCCCTCTCCCCAAAGCCATAAGTGGACTATATATGTCAGTAAATCCAATGCACACTATTGAATCTTGATTTCTCAGATGTGTTTGACATTTTGACTTCTTGCTACTTTTTAAGATACTCTTTTCTTTTGGTTTCTGGTATGTAATAGTTTTCTCCCTATGTGTCTGCGTGCTTCTCCTCAGACTTTTTTCCAAGTTCATTCCCTTTTTATCCAGGCATGAAGTAATGAAGTCTCTCAATATGTGACCCTCTTCTCTTTTCATTCCACGGATTGTATCATTCATTCCCACTGCTATGATTTGTCTGTAAGATTTGAATCACAAGCATTATCTTTGGTTTGGATTACTTCTCTAAGTTCCAGATGAGTACAAACAAGTCCCTGCTCTGTATGTCTTCTTTGAACCTTTATAGGCACCTCAATACCAAGGTGTCTGGATCTAAACTCAAGATCTTCTTTCCCCATCCCCACCTTCAAACTTCATCTAACAGTCCCTCTTTGAAATCACAAGCACCTCTAATTTGCCCTTGAAGTCTTCCCACACCCTTATATCAACTCCAGCTCCAAAGTCTGCTGATTTATGCCCTAAGTATTTTTCAAATCTATCCCCTTCTCTCCATCTCTACTGCCACCAGCCTAGTCCAAGTAGGCAACATCTTCCTCCTTGATTATTATAATATCCCAAACACTCTTCCCTTATGTACGTTTGCTCCCTTTTAATGAATTACCTTCCTCAGCATCAGCAGAGTTATCTTTCCAAAACCCAAATCTGACCCATATTCTTCCTTAAACACAAACAAAAAATGTTAAACAATGTACTAGTGTTCTTGGAATTTAAAAAAAAAACAACTAAAACGAAATCTAAAACAAAAGCAAAATAATTCTTAACATAGCCTCTAGGTTTATACAAAGCCTTGTCACTCATTATCTCTCTCGTTTTGCACTGTGCTCCTCTCACTGCCATGAAGACTGCTTCTGGTACAGTCTTTTTCTTTTTTTATTTAAGAGATGGTGTCTCTCTATTTTGCCCAGGCTGATCTCAAACTCCTGGGCTCAAGTGATCTTCCTGCCTCAGCCTCCCCAGTTGCTGGGATTACCGGCCTGAGCCTCTGCACCCAGCCAGAATGACTTCTTGCCAGTGGAAAATGTGGTATATCTGAGGAGTTGATCTGAGAAGACAAGGACCGTTTTCTCTTTTGTGTGTTCCACTTATAAATAACACTTAGAAAATTATTGAGAAATAGTCTTGACTTAGTTTGCATACAAGCTGCTCCTCTGTGACCAAATTCCAGATAATTTAATTTCCCACGTTTAAAAAAAATGGTGCTGAAAACATATTCACGTTCTACCTTAAAAATCCCTTCTCTGCACTAAAAAAAAAAAAATATTCTCATTCTAGGAGTTTACTCCCTTATTTTATGAATTTATTCCCAACATTGATTAGCATTTGGTAGATCTAGAAATTGTATGTTTAGAATTAAAACATTCAAATGGACTTTTATGGTATCAGTCCTTTGTCTTCTTAAAACAATACCAAAAATCATGTGCTTAGGAAAAAACTAAAGAAAGCAAAATTTTGTTTTGTTGACTTCCTTCTCTCCTTTAACTGACTCCAAAATCTAACCCCCTTCCTCTCTACTTCCCACATATTAAAACTCACACCAGGAGGGAATTATTAGACAAAAACAGGAGAAATACTAACTTTGTATGCTTACCAGTTTGATTTAAATTAGAGTAAGATAATTCTCCATTTATGAAATGTGCGGTATTCGGGAATAGAGAAAGTTGTGTGTTTGCAGGTAGGGTTGGAAAAACGATTTCCGGGGAGATACTGACCTGAAATAACACGATTTATCCTAATGTGTGCCAAGCATTGAGTTCTTAACAAGAAGATAAACTGCATTTAGCTTTTCTTTAGACTTGTACTAGTTCAGAACATACAACTGGGACATTATCTTTTTTCCCCGTAACCTTTAGGAAACACATGTATTAATATTCTTGAGTACTAAGTATCCTTTTATTTTAAAAATCTTATTCAACACATTTAAATTGCTAAGTATATAAGGAGGCTAGACTTAACACCGAGTAAAGGCTATTGCTGAGGCAAGTCAAAGCGGCATCTGCCGTGTTCATATGTTTAAAAAACAAAAGCCAAATACCTTTTATGCTTCAGTTTGAGCTGTGGTTATCATGGTCCTAATCACAGTGCTTATAATCAAGACTATTTTTTCTTTCTCCCTAATTTTCTCTTTCCTTCAGGAAAGCACCCTCACTTCAAGTCATGTTCATTCCACAATCTCATATTTCAGATGTCATGGTTGCAGGATTGGTCGTGTTGTGTTGGAGCTGAGAAGAGGCAGTGCCCATCAATCAGCAGTTCCTGCGTGCTAATCCTCACCCCAGTGAGCTGATTGAGTCCTCTGGATTCTGACCACTGTGATGGTCAATCATACAGCTGCTCTATTCAGCCTCATCATCTCCCTATTCTTACAGATTATTGCATCATGGCCACCAAGACAAAAAGAAAGAGAAAGGGGATCAAAGTCATCAAAGCCACGTGTCCTGAAAGAAATACTCAATGTGACAGGAATTTTTCATCAAATTGACTTGCTGTAAAAGACTATTTCTATCAAATAGCAATCAAATGGTTATGATTATAAGTAATCAAAAGCTGGATGTTGCTGTAATGGTGGTGGTTTCTCCAGTTTCCTCTGGTTTCTATTCAGAATGCATATAAATCTCGCCTTTTAATTTTGAGGCCATTTCTCTAACCCTTACAATTCTATTACTTATTTAAACCTCAAACTCGGAAAGCAATGATGTCAGAAACAATCAGTAGTTCTACTCATAGCAAGTCCATCACAATTTTTTTTACTCTGATTCTGACATTGATTCAATAACTTTGTAAAAATTATTTGTCACCTGCCAATTGACTTCTATGGTAATGAGAATCATCTGGCATTTTGCTACAGTTACCAAATAACAAAGAAATATCGTGAAAAATCACTTATTAGAATTATCTTCACATTTGTGAAATATTTGTTAAACATTTTGATGCTTGTGACAGTGTCAGAAGTAATTATTGCAACTATATTGCAACTGTATTACCAAACTGAGCTGGTGACAATCAATTCTTATTACATGTAATGGTGTGAAACAGTATTTCCTGTAAAAGAGTGGTATAGCCTTTTGAAATTGGTTTCCATGAAGAATTTATTTTTCATCTCCTTATCTTGATAAAAAGATATTCCAGAGATAAGTAAAAGTTCTGCTTAAATCTTTCTTTTTGTTGATAAACTGAAAACTTATCCTGTAAAGATAATTTTCTTTTTTTCTTAAAGACTCAGATTACTTATTATTATTTTTTATTAACATATAAATGACAAATAAAAATTGTACATATATGGTATATAACGTGATGTTTTGATATAATATACATTGTGAAATAGTTAAATCAAGCTAATTGATATATCCAAGACCTCACATACTTTGGTTGTTGTAAGAACATGTAAGATCTAATCTCTTAGCAACTTTAAAGTATACAATATATTGTTATTAAATGTAGTCACCATGCTGTATAAGAGTACACTCTTATTTACCCTGTCTAACTGAAACTTTGTACCCTTTCACCAACATCTCCTCATTGCCCCACCCCCACCTTGGCTCCTGGCAACCACACTATGCTTCTATGAGTTTGACTTTTTTAGATCCCTCAAATAAATGACATCATGCAGTATTTGTCTTTCTTTGTCTTTTTTTCCACTTAGTATAATGTCCTGTAGGTTCATGTATGCTTTCCCAAATAATAAGATTTCTTTCTTTTTAAAGGCTGAATAGTATTTCATTGTACATGCAGCTCATTCATCCACTGATGAACACTTAGGTTGTTTTCACAGCTTGGCTATTTTGAATCATGCTTCAGCCAACATGGGAGTGCAGCTATATCTTCAGCATACTAATTTCATTTCTTCTAGATACATATCCAAAAATAAGATAATTGGATCGTATAGTAACTCTATTTTCAAATTTTTGAGGAACCTCCATAGTATTTTCCATAATGGCTGTACTAATTTACATTTCCAACAGCAGTGTACAAGGATTCCCTCCTCTCCGTATCCTTGCCAACACTTACTTTTTTCATAATAGTCATTCTAACAGGTGTGAGGTGATAGCTCATTGTGGTTTTAATTTGCATTTCTCTGATAATTAGTGATGTTCAGCATTTTTTCATATACCTTTTGGCCATTTGTCTTCTTTTGAAAAATACCCATTGAGATCCTTTACCAGTTTTTAAACCAGGTTATTTGTTTTCTTTCTATTGAGTCATTTGAATTTCTTATGTATTTTGCATATTATCCCCTTATCAGATGTATGGTTTGCAAATATTTTCATCCATCCCATAGGTGATCCCTTCAAACAGTTTATTGTTTCCCTTGCTGTGCAGAAGCTTGTTAGTTTGATGTAATCCCATTTGTCTACTTTTGCTTTTATTTCCCGTGCTTTTTGGGTCACATCCAAAAAAATCAGTGCCCATAAAAATGACATGGAGCTATTCCCCTATGGTTTTTTTGTTTTTTTTTTTTTTTTTTTTTTTTTTTTCATAAAAATGATGTGGAGCTATTCTCCTATGTTTTTTTTTCAGTAGTTTTACAGTTTTTGGTTTTACATTTATGTCTTTCACTCATTTTGAGTTGATTTTTGTATGTATTGTGAAATATGGATCGATTTCATTCTTCTGCATGTGGATTTCCAGTTTTCCCATCACTACTTATTGAAGAGATTGCCCTTTCCCTCCTTGTGTATTCTTGGCACCTTTGCTGAAGATCATTTGACTGTAAATGCATGAATTTATTTCTGGGCTCTCTATTCTGTTGCTTTGGTCTATGAGTCTGTTTTTATGCCAATACTATGTAGTTTTGATACTATTGCCTTGTAGTATGTTTTGAAATCAGGTAGGGCGATGCCTGCAGCTTTGTTCTTCTTGTTTAAGATTGCTTTGGCTATTTGGGATCTTTTGTGGTTCTATATGAATTTTGGATTTCTTTTCTATTTTCGTGGAAAAATCACTAGAATTTTGATAGGAATCACATTTAATCTGTAGATTGCTTTGGATAGTACAGGAATTTTTCTTTATTTTTTTAATTTTTAATTTTTGTGAGTACGTAGTAAGTGTATGTATTTTGGGGGTACATGAGATGTTTTGACACAGGCATGCAATGTGTACTAACCACTCTATGGAAAATGGGATATTCATTTCCTTAAACAACTATCCTTTGTGTTACAAACAGCCCAGTTTGTAAATAACTAAATAACTTTTAGCTATTTTAAAATGTATAACTAAATTATTATTGACTATAGTCACTCTATTGTGCTATGAAATACTAGGTCTTCATTTTTTACAACTAATTTTTTGCACCCATTAACCGTATCCACTTACCCCCATCCACTACCCTTTCCAGCCTCTGGTAACCATCCTTCTATTCTCTCTCTCTGTGTATGCAATTGTTTTGATTTTTAGATCCCACAAATAAGTGAGAACATGCAACATTTGTCTTTCTGTACCTGGCAGTGCAGATGTTTTAACAATATTGATTCATCCAATCTATGGATATAGGATATCTTTCCACTTATTTGTGTCTTCATCAATTTTTTAATCAATGTTTTACGGTTTTCATTATACAGATATTTCTCTGCCTCAGTTAAACTTATTTGTATTTTTGTGAAGCTATTGGAAATAGCATTTTTTTAAAATTTCTCTTTTGGGTAGTTCATTGGTAGTATACAGAAACATTAAAATCAAACACACTGTTGATTTTGTATTGTACAACTTCACTGAATTTGTTAATTAGTTCTAACCATTTTATTGGTGGAGCATTAAGGTTTTTATGTATAAGATTATATCATCTGCAGAGACAACTTTATTTCTTTCCAATTTGGAGCATTTTGTTTCTTTTTCTTGCCTTCAGTACTTCATTAAATAGAAGTGATAAGATTGGGCATCCTCATCTTGTTCCTTATCTTAGAGGAAGCTGAAAGCTTTTCACCATTGAGTATAATGTTCACTGTGGGCCTGTCATATGTGGCCTCTGTTATGCTGAGGTACATTCTTTCTATACCTAATTTGTTAACAGTTTTTTTCATGAAAGGATGTTGAACTGTGTCAAATGTTTTTTCTGCATCTATTGCAGAAAAAATCATAGGATTTTTTCTTTATTCCATCCATATGGTGTAATCATACTTATTGATTTGCATACATTAAAATATCCTTACATCCCAGGGAAAATCCTACTTGATCATGGTGTATAATCCTTTTAACATGCTGTTGAATTCAGTTTGCTAATATTTTGTTGAGGATTTTTGCATCAATGATGTTTATCAGGAATATTGGCTTATAATTTTCTTTTCTCGTAGTGTTTTTGTCTGGTTTTGATATCAGGGTGATAAAGGCCTAATATAATAAGTTTGGACATGTTCTCTTCTTTTTAATTTTTTGGATGAGTTTTAGAAGGATTGATGTTACTTATTTTTTAACTGTTTTGTAGAATTCACCAGTGAAGCCATGAATTATGGGGCTTTTCTTTTTTGGAGGTTTTTGATTACTTAATTCCCTTACTCATCATTAGTCTGTTAAGATTTTCTTTGTCTTCATGATTCTGTCTTGGTAACCTGTGTTTTTAGAAATTTACCCATTTCTTTTAGATTATCCAGTTTACAGCATATAATTGTTCATAGTTGATCATAGCCTCTTACGATCTTTTTTATTTCTGTGGAATCAGTTGGATTGTCTCTTCTTTAATTTTTTATCTTATTTCTTTAAATCTTCTCTCTTCTCTTCTTAGTTTATCTAAAGGTTTGCTAATTTTGTTTGTATTTTCAGAAAACACAGTTTTATTGATCTATTATTTTTCTAGTCTCCATTTTATTTATTTCTCCTCTAATATTTATGATTATTTTTTCTTTCTGGTGAATTTGGGCTTAGTTTTTTTTTTTCTAGTTCTTTAAGGTGTAAAGGTAGGTTGTTTAAGATCTTTTTTCTCTCTTAATGTGGTCATTTATTGCTATAGACTTCCTTCTTAGATCTGCTTTTGCTGCACCCCTTGAGTTTTGACATGCTGTGTTTCCATTTTCATTTGTCTCAAAAAATTTTTTGTTTCCTTTTTGGTTTCTTTTTTAATCCACCGGATATTAAAAAGTGTGTAATTTAATTTTCATAAAGGTAATTTTCAAACACAAAGAAAAATTTTATTCTCCATCTCTTGATTTCTCAGTGATGCATGTCATCATTGTTGCAAGTTCTGATGAGAAAACTTGGAAAATAACTTTCCTGTAAAGAATATTTAAAGAAAACAAATATTAATTAAGATTGTGATTTATTCATAGTCAGTCTGCTTTGTCTTCTCTTTATGTCTCTTTCTTTAGGAAGTTATTTTTTTTTATTTTTTTATTATTATTTTTTCAGGAAGCTCGTATTCTCCAGATAATTCAAGAATCCGCAGAGCAAATCCAGCACAGACTGTGCACAGACTGTTTGCTTCCCAACGCCCAGACACATGTGCCTGCGAATTCCTGATGTTACGAAGATCTGCCCCGGGGAGAGGAGGCAACGCCCCAGGAAACTCCAGGGCATTGACAACCCACACCCCAGACCCCAGACGACCCCAGAACACTGACAGTCCACACCCCAGACAACCCCGAGGCACTGAAAACCCACACCCACACCCAGAATAACCCTGGAACACTGACAACCCACACCCCAGACAATCCTAGACAACCCCAGGACACTGACAACCCACTCCCCAAATAACCCTAGGCAACCCCAGTATGCTGACAACCCACACCCTGGACAACCCCAGGAGACTGACAACCCACACCCCAGCTGACCCCGCATCCTGGCTGTGACGGGGCCGCCATCCACACCGCCTGCTCCAAGGGCTCTGTTGCTCCGGGTTGGACTTGCACGGCTCTGGGTCACTGCAGGACTTGGGACAAGTGACTCAGTTCCCCATTGAACAGGATAGCATCTCAGCCGCCCTGGGTTACTGTGATATCAGGAGTCAGTGGCCAACGTTTCCTGTGTCCTCTTTCTGAGGCCAGACGCCAGCATGGAGGCTGCAGCGAGTCCCTTCCCTCAACTGCACGAGGCCTGGGGACCCCATGGCCACCTGGCCCAGGTGTGGGCACCGAGGCGGGGCTGTGGGGTGAGCTCCCGGGTGGCCCATGGCTGGCAGTCGGCCGTCCTGAAGGGACTCTAGGTACGACACGAGGTCCTCCAGCCACGGGCATCAGCTTCCCCTCTCGGACACAGGCCAGCAAAGACAATCGCCGGATGTTTGAGTACCTCCTCTCCTTCCAAAACAAACAGAAAACCCATCCACAGCGTCTGTCGACCAAAAGAAGAACCGCCAGAGTCCAGGGAAGCAGCTTGCCGGGAAACTGCCAGGTTTGCATCGAATACCCCGAGTTCTGGAAACCCCGTATGTCCCAGGCAAACAGGCACCGTGGGTCACCCTTCCAGGACCCACATTCGCGCCAGGCCTGGGTGGAGGCCTTGGCCCTGGGAAGGAAGGCTGACCAGAAGCCCCGGCACCCTGCCCCGGCGGCCACGTGCAGACGCAGAGGCCTCTTGGGCGGTGAAAGGCTGCTCCTGAAGGTATTTCTGGTTTTTCCATTTATAAAGCAGAGTGAGGTTATAAATCAGAAAAGTGTTTACAGGAAACACACAGCTGGCAATAACAGCTTGGAGGGGCCACTGTGTCTCTGTGACTATTTCATCTTCCACGCCAACTTAAACACGAGAAAAAAAAGGCTTTCCAGCCCAGGGCCCCGCTGCACGGCACAGCAGATTGAGAGCATTTGTAATAATTCATAGATCTCACTTTCATTTTTCTGCTGCCCAGGAATTACATTCCACTATTAAAATGCGCTGGGACTGCCTGGCCCGGCCGCTCCTGCGTGTTCAGACACAGGTCGGGCGAGGACCCTGCGCGGCCCCAAGTGGGCTGCGGCTCCGGGGCCGGGCGCTTGCCCCCTGCTGGACACACGGTGCACTGCAGGCAGCCCAGAGGGCCCTCCCCGCGATGCGGGTGAGAAAGTCCCGAGACAGGCCCATTTCCTCTGAGATGGCCACGGTTCCAGGTGAGAAAGCAGGCGGGAGGGAAGAAGCTGGCGTCCAGGCCCCTGTGCAGTCACATCTGGTCCTCTGCGGTCCGTTCCTGTTCTTGGGATGCTGGCAGGGGGCACTGCCCCAGCTCAGGGGCACACAAGACCCAGATGGGTGCAGGCAGGAAGGCCAGCTTGGTCGGGGGGGTGGGGGGCCCGGGCCGAGGCCGGAGCCGGGACAGCCCCCAGGCGTGGTCGGGCCCTGGACCTTACCTACTGCAGACCCAGTGGGTCCCACTCCTCTTCAGCCGAGGCTTTGTCACCTCAGGGCAAGTTGAGGGCAGAGCTGGGACTCCCCAGATACTGCCCGATCTGCTCTCACCGACCCAGCCCCAGAGCCCCAGGCAGGAGGGATGGGCAGGGCCTGGGCAGGGCCTGAGGGACAGGTCTCTGTGGTCCTCAGAGCCTCACCCATTCACAGTCAGGCATGGGGTCAGAGAAGGCCACGTGCTTCAGTGGGATCACCCGGGGAAGGCCCAAGGCCGGTGCCAGCCGTCCCCACAACAGGACCCGGAGGCCTCTCTGCCCCATCCTCCAGATCCAGCCTCTGGTGTGCACGAGCTGAGAGGGGATGCTGAGGGCAGGAAGGAGAGGGACTTTTGGGTGTCCTGTCCCACACGCCCCCTCGGGGCTGGCAGGGGAGGATGGGGCAAGATGGTGGAGCTTGTCAGGGGAGATGGGGAGCACATTTCAACAGCTGTGCTCTTCTGGGACAGCACAAACTGTGGGGGAGAAGAGTGATGGCCAGCAAGGCCCTTGGGCGGCGAGGGGTCCCGAGTCCAGGGGCTCAAATGCTTTGGGGCACGGTGACAATGCCACCTCCTCCAGGAAGTCTTCCCAGACTTCACTGCCCAGCGGTGACTCTGAGCTGACTGCACCTACCCTGAACTCCAGCCCTGGGAGCAGCCAATCTCCGGCTGCATTACCCTCTAAGACTCGGGAGGTTTGGGGCGAAGTCCCAGAGGTTTTTCAGGAAACAGCCACTAAATGGATGAATGAATGATGAAACCTGCTGCTGAAGGGCCCACCTGCAGACCTGGGCTCTCCCTGCACTGCCCGGGCCCTCAGGGTAGCACCACCCAGGCTGGGTTGGGCCACACACCCCAAAAGGGCCCTGCCAAAGCCCTCCCACCCCAGACACAGAAGGGGCCTGCGGCCACCCCTGGGCCCAGCCCCGGCCTCCCCGCGCATGCCCCCAGCCCCCCACCAATGCCCTCCCCTGCCCCTGGTGGGTCAGAGATCTCCTGGAGGCTCCAGGGAGCGGAGGCGATGCCCGCAGGCGATGAGCGTGTTCTCAGGAGCAGGTGGGCAGGGGCCTTGCAGACTCTTCATTTAGGAAGTTATTTTCATGATCCAAAGGAGCTTGTAAAATACGAGATTTATAGAGCATACAGAATCTGCAAATAAAATGATTTTTTGGTTGCTTTTGTTTTACAGATTTAAAATAAGTAGCATTCTCTTAAGTTCATGTTACTTGAGGGAATGCCACATAATTCTAGCTATGTACTTCTTAGGAATGTGAAAAAGTAGGGAAGTATGCTTGGTCACAGTCCTGATGGTGACTTTCCTATGCCTTAATAGAAAAGAGCACATCAGATCTCTCCTAAGGATAAGGTTTGAGAGTTAACAAGATGGCACAATCAAAAGGGCAGTAGACACTTGTAGGTCTAAGGAATACACTAAGAGAACATATACATATGGAATGAGGTAGCTGTGGTTTCTAAAGTTTACATTTTTATACAAGATTAGCCATCCTAGATGTTCCTTGAAATTGACTAAATTCACATTTGAATTTGCAAGCCTCTCTTTCTGTGTTTTTCTCACCACTATAACTCTGCTGTGGAAGGTTGTGTGTATTTATAACATCATTTTCTATGCCTACACATGTAGAAAAATATTTTCTCATTTTCCATAAAATGGACAGGGATACTGAGTTCTGATCAACATAATGTGAATAAAGGTGATACTCACCGTTCTTTGCCAGAGGCCATGAATGCCACCTTTTATTTGTTTGTTTGTTTTCTGAGACAGAATTTCGCTCTTGTTGCCCAGGCTGGAGTGTAATGGTCTGATCCCAGCTCACTGCAACTTCTGCCTCCCAGGCTCAAGCTATTTCCTGTCTCAGCCTCCCGAGTAGCTGGGATTACAGGCACCTGCCACCATGCCCGGCTACTTTTTGTATTTTTTGTAGAGATGGGGTTTGCCATGTTGGCCAGGCTGGTCTTGAACTCCTGACCTCAGGTGATCCACCCGTCTTGGCCTTCCAAAGTGCTGGGATTACAGGCGCGATGACTGCGGCCGGCTGGAATGCCACCTTTTAAGAAGGCAAAACAAGGCCGGGCGCGGTGGCTTACACCTGTAATCCCAGCACTTTGGGAGGCGGAGGTGGGTGGATCATGAGGTCAGGAGTTCAAGGCCAGCCTTACCAAGAGGACAAAACCCCATCTCTACTAAAAATACAAAAAATTAGCCGGGTGTGGTGGCAGACGCCTGTAATCCCAACTACTCGGGAGGCTGAGGCAGAAAATTGCTTAAACCTAGGAGGTGGAGGTTGCAGTGAGCCAAGGTTCGGCCACTGCACTCCAACCCAGGTGACAGAGCAAGACTCTGTCTCAAAAAAAAAAAAAGGCAAAAGAATAAAACAAAAAGGTAAAAACAACCTGGATCCCCATGTTAGTACATGTATAAAAAGTGTCTGTGGAGTCACCTACCCTACATCAGAAATTTTGCGAGCAAGAAATAGATGTTGCTATGAAAATCATTGGGATTTCAAGTTTTTTTGTTTTTTTTTTTTTTTTTTTTTTTGAGACAGTTTCGCTCTTGTCGCCCAAGCTGGAGTGCAGTGGCATGATCTTGGCTCACTGCAACCTCCACCTCCCAGGTTTAAGTGATTCTCTAGCCTCAGCCTCCTGAGTAGCTGGAATTATAGGTGCTCCCCACCATGCCCGGCTAATTTTTGTATTTTTAGTAGAGACAGGGTTTCACCATGTTGGCCAGGCTGGTCTCGAACTCCTGACCTCAGGTGATCCACCCACCTCAGCCTCCCAAAGTGCTAGGATTACAGGTGTGAGCCACTATGCCTGGCCAGGATTTCAGGATTTATTTATTACCACCACATAGCTTATCCTATCCTGACTAACATAATTGCTTTTTGTTTTCTACTTCCTTATCCGGAAACTCCTGTTTTTGTTGATAAAGTTTAATGGTCCACTCCTGAGAGGTATTTGCATTTCAGTAAGGTATTCGTGAGGAGCAAAATATCATCAAACCCTAAAAGAAATGGATCTCTGATACCGAAAAAAAATTGAATACTGTGATAAAGAGCAAGGCAAACTCATGTATAGAGAGATACTCTCTGAGAGCCTCTCTAGCTATATCATCTACTCCAGTAGTATTTAAAAGTCATATTTGTTCTCCATATTTCTATTGTTGTTTTCTCTTAGTAAATTGCTATTTTAGCAGGGAACAATTGAAGGAGAAAAAATACCTTTTTTTGTCTGAATCTTTTTGACAATTGTAATTCTATCAAATAAAAGAATTATAAAGTGATTTATTCTGACAGGCACGTGCACCAAATAACTCAGTTTCTTAAAATAGTTCACATTCAAATTATTTAGCTAATGGGCATTGTAAGTTTGGCAATATGCTAAGAATCACTCTGTGCTTCTCTCTATGACACATGGGTTCTTACAAACAAAATTTCTGACATCAAGTCACAGTCTTTGAATTTCATTCTCCATAGCTCCATCTATTTCAACTGCACCCACAAATTACCAAGTCTGTTTATTTTGTCATTAGAGACTGTAAGTGGCATTGACTATGCAAGTGTGACATTCTAGGAACAGCATGGGTTTTGACATTAGACCTTGATTTAAATAACATTTCCGATGTTTACTAACCATATAAGTTTCATGGAGTTGATCTAAAGAGTTCCAATTTCCTCCTATGTTAAAATAAGAAAAATTTATATACCCATTCCCATAAGGAACTGATAGGCTTATTTATAGATACCACTTTCAAAGGCATAAGCAGAATGCCTGGTATGCAATAGGAATCCAACATATGAGAATCCATTTGGGAATCATTTTATATTGATATATAATTAACAAGTAAAAAATGCACAGATTTTAAGATTTTGGTTATTCTATCCAGCCATGAAAGCACCACCTAAAACAAGATGTAGAACATTTCCATAGCTCCAGGAAGTTCCTTCAAACTCCTTCCCAGTCCATTTAACCATCCCTCTTCCCATACACCACCTTTCCACCACTTAGGCAAACACTTTTAAATTTGTATTATTATAAACTTGCCTGACTTTAGCAAATTGAGTCAGAGAGTATGTACTTTTTTGTGCCTCACATTCTTTGCTGAACATAATGTTTGCTTATGAGATTTAATTCATGTTGTTGCATGTAGTAGGTAGTGCTTTTTTATTGCTGTATATTTTGCCATATGACTATACTACAATTTTTTTATCCTTTAATATTTTAACGGACATTTGAGTGATCCGTTTTTGGTTATTATCAATAAAACTGCTACCAATATTCTTGTACAAGTCTTTTTGTGATTTTATGTTTTCATTTCTCTTTAATGAATACCTATAAGTAGAATTACTGGATCATGGAGTAGACGTATATTTAACTTTATAATAAACTACCAAACAGTTCTCTACAACAACTGGACCATTTTATTTTTTTAATTATTTTTATTTTTATTTCATTTTTACTATTTTATTTTATTTTATTTTTTTGAGACGGATTCTCGATCCATTGCCAGGCTGGACTGCAATGGCGTGGTCTCGGCTCACTGCAACCTCCGCCTCCCAAATTCAAGCAATTCTCCTGCCTCAGTCTCCCGAGTACCTGGGATTACAGGCGCGGGCCACCACGCCCAGCCAATTTTTGTGTTTTTAGTAGAGACGGGGTTTCGCCATGTCGGCCAGGATGGTCTCTATCTCTTGACCTCGCGGTCCGCCCACTTCAGCCTCCCAAAGTGCTGGGATGACAGGCGTGAGCCACCGCACCTGGCCACGACTCGACCATTTTAAACTCCTACAAGCAATGTATAAGAATTTCAGTTGCCCTATAGCCTAGCCCATATAGGCATTCTTCATTTCATTACACATCATTTTCTTGCACTTTGCAGATAGTGTGTTTTTTTTTACAAATTGAAGATTTGTGGTAACGCTGTGCTGAGCAAGTCTTTTGATGCCATTTTTCCAATGGCATGTGCTCACTTCATGTCTCTGTGTCGCACTTTAAGACTTCTTGTAATATTTCAAATGTTTCATCATTATTATATCTGTTATGTTTGTCTGTGACCAATGTTCTTTATTGTTACTATTGAAATTATTTTGGAGTGCTGCAAATAGCGCCCATATAAGATGGTGAACTTAATTGATAAAGGTTATGTTTTCTGACTGCTCCACTTATCAGCCATTTTCCCATTTCTGTTCCTCTTCTTGGGCCTCCCTATTCCCTGAGACACAGTAATACTGAAATTAAGCCATTTAGCAACCCTACAAAGACCTCTAAGTTTTCAAGTGAAAGCAAGAGCCATATGTCTCTTACTTTAAATCAAAAGATAGAAATAATTAAGCTTAGCAAGGAAGGCATGTCAAAAGCCAAGATAAGCTGAAAGGTAGACTGCTTGCACGAAACAGCCAAGTTATGAAACCAAAGAAAAAGTTCTTGAAGGAAATTAAAAGTGCCATTCCAGTGAACACACTAATGATGAGAAAACAAGAGAAGCTTATTGCTGATATGGAGAAAGTTTGAGTGGTCTGCATAAAAAGATCAAACTAGCTACAACATTCCCTTGAGGCAAAGCTCAATCCAGAGCAAGGCCCTAACTCTCTTCAACTATATGAAGGCTAAGAGAGAGAAGCTGCAGAAGAAAAATTTGAAGCTAGTTGAGGTGGTTTCATGAGATTTAAGGAAAGAAGCCATCTTCATAACATAAAAGTGCAAGATGAAGCAGCAAGTGTTAATGTACAACTCACAGCAAACTGTCCAGAAGATTTAGCTAAGATAATTGATGAAAATGGCTACACTGAACAACAACTTTTCAATTTAGATAAAACAGGCTTATGTCATCTAGGGCTTTCATAGCTGGAGAAGAAAAGTCAATGTCTGGCTCCAAAGCTATGCTGAATCTCTTGTTAGGGGCTAATGCACCTGGTGACTTTAAGTCACTAATGAGCCAGTGCTCATTTAGCATTTTGAAAATCCAAGGACCTTTAAGAATTATTTTAAATCTACTCTGCCCTACTAATGAAATACAAAACCTAAATTACAACACATCTGTTTACAGCACAGTTTAGTGAATATGTTAAGCCCGATGTTGAGACTTGTTGCTCAGGAAAAAAAAATTTCTTTCAAAATATTACTGCCCATTGACAATGCTCCTGATCACCCAAGAGCGCTGATAGGGATGTACAAGGGGATTAATGTTGGTTTTATGCCTGCTAACACAACATTTATTCTGCAACTCATGGATCAATGAATAAGTTTTACCTTGAAATCTTATTATTTAAGAAATAAATTTGGTAAGGTGATAGCTGACAGAGATTGTGATTCTGCTGATGAATCTAAGAAAAGTAAATTGAAAACCTTCTGGAAAAGATTCACCATTCTAATGCCATTAAGAGCATTTGTGACTTATGGGAGAAGGTCAAAATATCAACATTAACAGGAGTTTGGAAGAAGTTGATTTCAACCCTCATGGATGACTTTGAGTGTCTCAAGACTTCAGTGGGGCAAGTAACGCAGATGTGGTAGAAATAGCAAGAGAAATAGAATTAGAAGTGGATCCTGAAGATGTGACGAATAGCTGCAAACTCACAGGAAAACTTGATTGGATGAGTAGTTGCTTCTTACAGAAAAGCAAAGAAAGTGGTTTATTGAGTTGAATCTATTCCTGGTGAAAACGGTGTGAACATTGTTGAAATGATAAACAAAAAAAATAGGTTGAGAATATTTCATAAACTTAGTTGATAAAGCAGTGGCAGGGTTTAAGATGATTGACTCTAATTTTGAAAGAAATTCTACTGTGGGTAAAATGTAACCAAAAAAACAGCATCACATGCTACAGGGAAATCTTTCATGGAAGAAAGAATTAATCAATGTGGGAAAACTTCATTATTGTCTTATTTTAAGAAATTGCCCCAACCTTCAGCAATCACCACTGATTAATCAGCATCCATAAACATCGAGGCAAGACCTTCCACCAGTGAAAAGATTACAATTCTTTGAGGGCTGAGATGAATGTTAGCATTTTTCAGCAATAAAGTGTTTTTAGTTAAGGTACATACATTTTTTAGGCATAATTCTATTGCACACTTAATAGACTATAGTAAAGTTTAAGCATAGCTTTTTATGTACTAGGAAACCAAAAATATTGTGTGACTTGCTTCATTGGGATATTTGCTTTATTGCAAGTGGCCTGGAACTGAGCCTGCAATATCTCTGAGTTATGCCTGTATTAAGGATTATTGGTTTTTTTTTTATTTAGTCATTCTAGTGGGTGTGAAATGGTATCTAATTGTCATTTTATTTTGAATTTTCTTGGAAACTAACAGTGTTAAGCACCTTCTCATATGCTTATTGGTATTTTGTATATGTTCTTTTGTGAAGTATCTCTATTTCCATCCTTTTATTGAATTGTTTGTATTTTTATTGTTGACTTATAGGTTGGTTTTTTATGTTTTAGACACAGGTCTTCTGCCATATATATGCCACAAATAATTTTCCCAATCTATGGCTTGTCTATTTTCTTTGTGGTGACTTTTGATAAACCTATTCAGTTTTGATGAAATCCAATCAATTTTTTTTTTTTTTTTTGCTTTTATAGTATTGCTCTTAGTGTTCCGTCCAAGAAATTTCTACCTACCAGAAGTTTCTTCTAAATGCATTACAGTACTGGTTGTTTTGTTTGTTTGTTTGTTTTTTCTGAGACGGAGTCTCACCCTGTCGCCTAGGCTGGAGTGCAATGGCGCGATCTGAGGTCACTGCAACCTCCACCTCCCAGGTTCAAACGATTCTCCTGGCTCAGCCTCCCAAGTAGCTGGGATTACAGGTCCCCACCACTACGCCCAGCTAATCTTTGTATTTTTAGTAGAGACGAGGTTTCACCATGTTGGCCAGGCTGGTCTCAAACTCCTGACCTCATGATCTGCCCGCCTTGGCCTCCCAAAGTGCTAGGATTATAGGCGTGAGCCACTGTGCCTAGCCGCATTACAGTGCTGTTTTATATTTAGGTCCATGATCCATCATGAATTAACTTAGGGGTGTAGGTCCAGGTTTGCTGGCTCACACCTGTAAGTCCAGCACATTGGGAGACTGAGGCAGGCAGATGGCTTGAGCTCAGCAGTTCAAGACCAGCCTGGGCAACATGGTGAAACCTGGTCTCTACCAAAAGTACAAAATATTAGCCAGGCATGGTGGCACGAGCTTATGGTCCCAGCTACTTTGGAGGTGAAGCAGGAGGATCACTTGAGCCCAGAAAGCAGAAGTTGCAGTAAGCCGAGATCACACCACTGCCCTCCAGTCTAGGCAACAGAAAGAGACCCCATCTCAAAAAAGAAAAGAAAACAAAACAAAACAAGACTTTGGGGTATGGAGTGAGATAGAAATCAAGTTGTTCTATTTTTTTTTTCATAGAGATAACGATGATGATGATCTAACTTGACTTACAAGTTTGGCTTTAACTTTTGTGTTTCAATACTAGAGATAACAAGAAATATTACGTGTGTGTTGACTTCCTAAGGTCATGTTAAATGATTGCAAACATGTTTGAACTGGTGCTTAATTGTTTTAGTAAAATCCTTTACAGAAAATGTTGTAACAGAACTATGTTTAAGTAAAATTTTTAAGTCAGTGACAATTTCCATGGAACTTGCATCTACTTCCACCCAATCCCAGTTCGGTTTTCCATCCTCAACCATTAGAGTCTTAGAGAAGTTTGACTTCAATTTTGAAAGAAATTCCACTGTGCATAAAATGTGACCAAACATCATCACATGCTACAGAGAAATCTTTTGTGAAAGGAAGAGTCAATCAATGTGGCAAACTTCATTTCTGTCTTGTTTTAAGAAATTGCCACAGCCACCCCAACCTTCACCCACCCCAAGGTCTCAAACAAGCACTGGGCACTCTTGTCCTGTATGATAATCTAAATCAGTTTTCTATTGGCAGGTCCTTATTCTATGTAATCAATATGTATTGATTACATATTTCATCACCTATAGTCACTTTTCTATAGGCTATAACCCTGCAAAATAAAGGTCCTGTTACAGTGGCTAAGCCTATAAAGTTAAACTGAATTCAAAAACTGTTATCTCCTGATTGATTATTATGTGGTTAATGTGAACACATGGAAAGTCAATCTTGATAATTTTGTACCTGTGCCAGAAAAAGAATTTCCAAGGTTAGTCAACTTCAAAAATTCTGTGTGATGGGACTATTTTCTTTAAAAAGTTCATATTTGTTGTCTGTGTAATGTAGATTCACTACATTGCTTATAACCAACCCTACATAAATTTGCTGCTGGGTAAAATCACTAAAACCAACAATGTCATGCAAATATTAATACTTAATATATTCCTGATGTGTTAATCCATTCTGCATTGCTATAAAAGAATACTTGAGATAGGGAAATTTATAAATAAGAAAAGTTTATTTGGTTCACAGTTCTGCAGGGTGTACAAACATGGCACCAGCATCTGCTCAACTTCTGGTGAGGCCTCAGGAAGCTTTTTCTCATGGCGGAAGGCAAAGGAGGACTGGGCACATCATGTGACAAGAGAGGGAGCAAGAGAGAGGGGATGAGGTGCCAGGTTCTTTTAGACAACCAGCTTTTGCATGAACTCAGAGTGAGCACTCACTCATAACCGCAAGGAGGGCACCAAGGCACTCATGAAGGATCCACCTCATGACCCAAACATCTCCTATCTCCAACATTGGAGGTGACAGTTCTTTTTTTTTTTTTTCTTTTTTGGAGATGACATTTCAACATGAAATTTGGAGGGGACAAACATCCAAACTATATAACCTTACCGAGTTTCCAATTCCGTCTTTCATTTTTTAGTTAGCAAATGATTTTATAACTTAGTGACTTTTTGCTGAGAACATTTTCCTCTTCATAAGCCAAAACTTTTCAAATATTTCTTTTTATGCACATTTTCTATTACATTTAATTCCTCAAAAGAATAATCAGGCAGCCATTTCTTATCACCAGTCTCTTTTTCCCATTATGGAACATTCAAATGAATGCATCCATTTGTTTCACTGTTTCTGAGGAAAGACATTCTACATTGGGCTTGCCTCCTGCAGTGTTCTAAGGAAATTTTTCATAAATCATGCTTTGCCACTGATTCCTTACCCAAACCTTTTTGGAGTTACCTTTGCTTCAAGGGAAGAACAAGAATGGCACTTTCAATATTTGCAGTCATTTGAATAAAATCCACTCAAATGTTAAAGTGACAGTGCTTATCTTTGTCAATTTCCACACATTATTTGCCTCTTGCTCTGATTTTATTCTGGCTACAGAGCCTGCTTCAACACTCTGGAAATCTCATTGCTCTTGAATTTTACCATGTTCTTGCTACCAAGAAGTAAAATGACCTGATAAATTGATCCATATTATAATTTAATTTGGGTATTATTATTTCTGAAACTAGAATTTTTACATTTTGTAAACTCTCATTTTAAGGGAGATCCTTTGGCGAAGAGACTTCTACATTCAGAGTCTCATGGTGAGCTTTTAGTCGCTGGGAGTTCTCTAAGCAAGACGTGTGGATTGAGGTGGAGTGGGAGGGAGATTTTTTTCTAGCAGCCTCCAAATCATACCTAAATAATGCTAGCTAGCCACCCTTAATATATATCAATTATAAATGAACACAATTAGAATCTAATTTTATTATTATTACATTAATAAATGATACTGCTGACAATAATGGTATAACAACAATAATGGTGACTTACATTTACAGAACACTTAGGACATGTCAAACACTGTTCTGAGTGCTTTAGATATAGTCTTTATTTTTTTGTCACAATAGCTCTATGGAGCAGATAATATAATTATCCCATTTTACAGACAAGAAAACTGAGGCACAGAGTGATTGAGTAACTTATCTAAGGTCACACAGATAAACAATAACAGGCTGGGATCGGTGGCTCACACCTATAATCCCAGCACTTTGGGATTTTAATTACAAAAAATTAGCTGGGTGTGATGGTGCACGCCTGTAATCCCAGCTACTAGAGAGGCTGAGGCAGGAGGATTGCTTGAACCCGAGGGTGGAGTTTGCAATGAGCCGAGATCACGCCACTGCACTCCAGCCTGGGCGACAGAGTGAGACCCCGTCTCAAAAAAAAAAAAAAAAAAAAGATAAACAATAACAATACTTTACTGTTATCATACACTTTCTACAGGCACTGAAATTGGTGCTTTCCAATTATGATGTCCTTTGTTCTCATAAACCCTATCACCAGAGGAAATTTGGGCTTAGAGAGATTAAATCCTTTGCCATGCATCACTTTAGAAAGTTGAAAAACCTGCAACTAGAAACCAGTTCTGTCTAGTACCTAAGTTTATTATCTTAATTACTATGCTGTTTGTTTCACAATAATGCATGAAATTATTACAAATAATTTTTGCTATTAAAGAAGAGGAAATGACAGTTTTATCTTGGCTCATAAAAGACTATATGACGGGACCACTGTGTGAAGCACATTCTCCCTCATTTCTCAACATGAATAGGCTTTGTGGATGCCATTGCAATATCTTCTTGAAAATGCCACTTGCCTCAGTGAGCAGTTTTCTTTGGGATAAGACAGCAGAGGTACAAGGGAGGAAGTGGCTAGAGATGAAGAGGACTGGAGCCAAAGAATAGTAACCACTCCTCCACAGCCACGGTTCTCTCCAGCTGCTTCATCTTTTATCTTTCTCCTAACTGACAAAAAGATAAAGATGTCTGCCCTCCTAGGACAAGAAAGGAACTTAGCCATATGACACTCATATAAATAGATCATTTTGAAGAATTGAACATAAGGAAATTTTTCCATCAAGGCTGAAGCCTGTTAACTGAAGAAAAATTTAGTGAAGAAAAATTCTTTTTCTTCACTAAACATTGATATGTGCGAGATTCATAAGATAATGCAAAAGGTCAATAACCTAAGCATTAAAACACATATACAGATACTGTATAGCAGCAGTCCCCAACCTTTTTGGCACCAAGGACAGGTTTTATGGAAGACAATTTTTCCAAGGATCGGGGTCGAGGGGTGGTTTCAGGATGAAACTGTTCCACCTCAGGCATAATCGGGCATATAAGGGGCTCACACTCTAGGTCTTTTACACGCGCAGTTCACAACAGGGTTCGAGCTCCTATGAGAATCTAATGCCGCAGCTGATCTGACAGGAGGCGGAGCTCAAGCAGGAACGCTAGCTCTATTAGTCTGTTCTCACATTGCTAATAAAGATATACCTGAGATGGGTAATTTATAAAGGAAAGAGGTTTAATAGACTTACAGTTCCACATGGCTGGGGAGGCCTCACAATCATGGCACAAGGCAAAGGAGAGGCCTCACAATCATGGCACAAGGCAAAGGAGAAGCAAAGGCACGTCTTGTCTTACATGGCAGCAGGCAAGAGGAATTGTGTGCAGGGGAATTCCCATTTATAAAACCATCAGATCTCGTGAGACTTAGTCACTACCACGAGAATGGCATGGAGGAAACCACCCCCATGATTCAATTATCTGAACCTGGCCCTGCCATTGGCAAGTGGGGATTATTACAATTCAAGGTAAGATTTGGGTGGGGACACAGCCCAACCATATCACTAGCTCGCTCGCCCACCATTCACCTCTTGCTGTGTGGCCCGATTCCTAGCAGGCTGCTGCCCCGGGGTTGGGGACTCCTGCTATATAGGACTGGTACATAGCCAAAAATCCTCTGATTTTTCCACTAATTTTTTTAAGCAGAATATTTTCTCTTATAATTTTTTTTTTCATTTTCTTCAAAACACAAACATCTGACTAAGTAAGCAAAAGTCACAATACATTTTATCTCTCTTTTATGTTTTAGGGCTCAATTATTTCCAGATTTTCTACTTAATAAAGCTATTAAAATCATGTTTGTCTTACTTTTTGTTATTTATGTTCATTTATTCTGATTTTGTCACATTTTATATTTTCTTACCTGAGGTGATACATTTTAATAAAGATCTCTGTCAGGCTTTTCTGTTTTCTTTGGTTGTTTGGGGTTGAGGACCATTCATTTCTTTGAGCAATCGTTCTAGAAATTATGGTATCAGTTTTTAAAAAGTCTTATTTTTAGAGCCACATGATGATTTCATACAGGTCATGCACCAATTCAGTACTTGTTTAATGGCTCTATAGATTAAATCTCTTTACCCTCATATAAAACATGAAGCAAAGTTCTTGTATTTTAAAAAATGAAGTGTGAGAAAATCATAAACATGCCTTTTGTTAATAACAAAAAATTTATTAAATGAGTTTTAGGAACATATCTTCATACACATTGGTAGATAACTTTGATAACTTTCTCATGTGCTATTTTCTTCTGTACTTTAATGGAAGGGAGGTGTTTCATAGAAATTGTTCGGATCTGCCAGAATTCTGTCTCACTCATTATTTTTACTCCCTTAAGCTTTGGTTACCTCATCTATGAAATAGGAGCTATAATACATACACTGCAGATAGGCTATTCTGGAGATTTGGGATGATGCAGGGAAAGAATCACATAGTCTGTTCTTAATAATTGAATTTAATAATATAATAATACTGCTGGATTCTTCGGTTTATATTGTTAGTCATCCACGGCTGCCCAATTGCTACATTGTTTTTGTTTTTCAGACTGGAACTCAAACTCTAAGCAAGGTTTTTTTCACTATATTTTCCTACATTTGGCAATAGATAGTGTATTTGTTTCATAGGGCTGCTATAACAAAGTACCACAAGCTGGGTGGCTTTTATAAACTGGGTGGGTTTTACAAACATGATTTTAATATCCTTATTAAGTAGAAAATCTGGAAATAAAGAAGAAAACCTTATTTTCTCACAGTTCTGGAGAAGTCCAAAATCAAACTATCAGCAGGGCCATGTTTCCTTTGAAATCTGGAGGGGAGAGTGCTTCCTTGCCTCTCCTTAGCCTTGGTGGTTGCTGGCACTCCTTGGTGTTCCATGGCTGACAGCTGCCATGCTGTAATCTCTGCCTCTGTCATCACACAGTGTTCTCCCCTTACATGTCTGTGTCTCTGGGTCTCTTTTCCTCTTCTCGGGATACCAATCATACTGGGTTAAGGGCTCATCCTACTCCAGTGTGACCTCGTTTTTGTTTGTTTGTTTTGAGACGGAGTCTAGCTCTGTCGCCAGGCTGGCTGGAGTGCAGTGGCACGATCTCATCACACTGCAACCTCCACCTCCTAGGTTCAAGTGATTCTCCTGCCTCAGCCTCCCGAGGAGCTGGGACTACAGGTGTGCGCCACCACACCCAGCTAATTTTTGTATTTTTAGTAGAGACGGGGTTTCACCATGTTGGCCAGGATGGTCTCGATCTCTTGACCTCGTGATCCGCACACCTCGGCCTCCCAAAGTGCTGGGATTACAGGCGTGAGCCACAGCACCCGGCCGACCTCATTTTAACTCATTACATCTGCAGTCACCTTTCCAAATAAGGTCACATCCTGAGGTACTGAAGGTTAGGAGTCCAACATGTCCTTTAGGGACGCACAATTTGACTCATAATACATAATAATAAATCCAGCTTATAAAATATCCAAGTTTTATGATTCCCATCTCTTATTTCAAGAACACTTCTTCGCAAAGAGTAAAGATTCATAACATACATAAGGCTTTTTGTAATTCCTTCTGGAAAGTCTTTCCTCCCATAGGAGCATTTTCCTCCTAAAGTCTTAATTCCAATTTAAGTGAAAATGACATTATGACTTTGCAGTCTGTTACCACTTCACCAAGGTCAAGGCTCTTTCTAATATAATGGCTTCTTGCTAGTTGATTTTCTTATAAAGTGTGTAGCAAATCACTTGACGTTTCTGAGGCCTATCAGTTCATCATAATCATAATACAACTGTAAAAATCATGTTCATTGGCAGGTGAGCCTCTTAGGCATAAAGTCTCTTCAATCATTGCTTGCCCATTTTCTACATTTGAATCAGACTATGATCTCTTTTTTTTTCTTAATTATCGGTTATAATGTGACTTGTATGAGGTGCTATAATCAAAATGCAGTAATAAAAGATTCAAAAGCATACTTTTAAACATTATGTATAGCCATATATTTTATATCTTGACTTCATTTCCACCTCCAGCTACTATTCCTTCTTTTCTTTTCTTTTCTTTAAGATATAACTCCTTGGCAGAGTTGTCCATGCTGTACTCAACACCTGCAATTTCTTGCAATTTCTCTTCCCCTCCACCCCATTCTCTTGAATACACTCAAAGTTTTATCCCCATCAGTCCAGTAAAACTGTTCTTATCAAGGTCATTTTAAAAAAACCCCTGCATTTTGCTAAATCTAATGTTTATGTCTCAAGTCCTCATAGTACTTTATCTAGTGTTATTTGGCATGGTTGACTACTCTCCCTTCCTTGAAGTACTTTTTCTCTTGGCTTCCAAGGCATAATATGTACCTGGATTACCTCCTACACTTCTGGTGACTCCTTCTCTGTCTCATTTGCTGGGATTCCTTATTTCTCCAAACTCTAAATATCGGAGTACCCAAGGTTTAGTCTTTGGAAGTCTTCTCTTTTCCATCTATATTAACTCCTTAAATTATTTCATTTTATGGCATTAATTATTATGTACATGGAAATGATGTTCAATGATTTTACCAGCCTGAATCTTTCACCATATATCCTGATATCTCCACTTGAATGTCCAAAGGCGTCCAAATTTAACACATGCAAAACTGAATTACTAAACACCACTCTTGGGGGTGGCGCTACAGAGGGTAATCTTGCACTGCTATAATTTTTTCCCATTTCAGTTAAATGGCAGACACTTACTTGAAGACAATCAGCCCAACATCATAGAGTCATTTTTTTCCTGTCATCCTCTGTATAAAGATTGTCACATTATTTACATAGAGTTGTCTCCATATAAATGCTGAAGTTGGATTCACCTTCAAAATATTTCTAGGTGTCTACCAACTTACCACCACAATCAAGGCCAACATCATCTCCAAACAATAATTAAGGTTATTTTATGAAGGCAACAGACAAATTTATACTGTTGAAACAGAAGTCAAAATGATCCTGTTGAAACATAAGTCGTGTCATCTCCTTGCTTAAAAAAATTCCAGTGACTCATTTCTCTTAGTGTAAAAGCTCAAATCCTTACAATGACCTATAAGATCATATACAATCTGTTACAAAGGTAACCAATTTGCACTGCACCTCTAACCTTATTTCCTATCCACTCCATCTTGCTCTCTTCACAGTGACCATCTTACCTCCTGGCTCTTCCTGGAACATTTCGTTCACAATCTTTCCTCAGGGCTTTTGCCACCTCTATTGCCTTTGCCTAGGAGTCTCTTCAACTAGATACCAGATAATCTCCCAGATAGAGCTCTGCCTGCTTCTTTCAAGTGCTTATTAAAGAAATCATGCTCTCAATTAGTTTTACCCTGACACCCTATCTAAAATTTCACACACACACACACACACACACACACACACACACACTCAACTTTGCTTTATTTATGTTACCTACGAGTACTTATCACTGTCAAACATACTATCTGTTTTACTCATTTATCTTTCATATTTTTGAATGTATGAGTTAGAAGATAAGTTCCATGAGAACAGACAATTTTTTCTTTTCTTTTCTTTTTTCTTTTTTTTTTTGTTTTGAGACGGAGTCTCGCTCTGTCACCCAGGCTGGAGTGCAGTGGCGCTACCTCGGCTCACTGCAAGCTCCGCCTCCCAGTTTCATGACATTCTCCACCCTCAGCCTCTGGAGTAGCTGGGACTACAGGCGCAAGCCACCGCGCCAGGCCAATTTTTTGTATTTTTAGTAGAGACAGGGTTTCACCGTGTTAGCCAAGATGGTCTCTATCTCCTGACGTCGTGATCCGCCCGCCTCGGCCTCCCAAAGTGCTGGGATTACAGGCGTGAGCCAATGCGCCCAGAATTTTTTCTTTTTAATTCATTACTATACCCCAGTACCAAGCATAGTGTCTGAAATATAATGGTAGTCAAACATTTCTTTTGATGGTTTATTTGCCACTGTGTTACCAGAATTTAGAATAGAACTTGATACATAGTAGATGCCTAGTAAACATTTTTGAATGAATGAATGAATGAATGAATGTCCTAAAATACCTGTATCATTGTCTCATTCTTGGAATCATTTGCTAAATATTAATTAGATTATGAAAAAATACTTTTAAGGTATTTAAAAATAATTTTCAATTGTTTTTAAATAATAATAGTATCCTTAAAAGTTGTCTGAAGATCTTTAAATATGATTTTAAGGTTTCCTTCCTATTATTTTGATTTGTCTCCAAAACTAGGGTGACTTTTTTCTAATTAATTGATACATTTAGAATTCAGCTATCAAAAAAATTATTATAAAATCTAAAATTGCCATATTCAGAGTCACTTGGAGATTGCAATATTACTTTGTGACATTAAAAGAATAAAAAGTCACATAATTATAGCTTAAAAAATCAGATGTTTCAAGACCATCATCTAAAACAAGACAAAGGAGTTTTCTTCCTGAAGAATGTACCTGAAATAACATCTCAATTTCTTCAGCAACATCCACTTCACCATTTCCAGGCTTTCATTTGGTGCAATGGTATTTTAGACATGAATTTATAGCGGCTGATGTAAAGGTATAAAATGATGAAAAACTATGATTAAATTAAAATAAGTAATTATGTATTTTCTTCCTTAATTAAAAATCTTATTTATATAAAGCAGTGAGTGCCTCAGGCCATTTATATTCTACTTTATTGTATTTCTTATTATGGGAATAATAAAAAGTACAATAAGCTTTGATTGGATTTGTCACTCTCTATAGGTAACATGAATGCACAATATAGTCCATTGCTGAAATTCTTATTCTGGAAACATATCACACTAAATGTTTACTAAAGCAAAATCCACTTACTCTACCAAAGTAAGATTATTTGGAGATGATTTATAAATAAGATACACGTACTCTGTGATTAATGGATACTATGAATTTCTATCTTGAGAATTTAGTGCCATTATTGATTCTTATTTAACCCCAATGTTCTAGTGTTCTCATTTTACAAATATTTTTAGTAGGAAAAAGAGGAAAATAATAAAAGCATTCTCTACTCAGGGAGGCATCTCTTTTGGTGTATTTTATATGTAAAACAGGAACAGTGATGCCTAGAAAAAGGAAAAAATGCATGTGCAAAAAATGCCACATGAGTTTCTCAAGGCACACATGTTCTCAGCTGCAAAGCTAATAGCAGATCATTGTTTAACAATCAAAAAGAGCAGTGTAGAAATATATACAGTAACAATTAAAATTCTGTCTTCTCAGCCTTTGCCACCATTTCCATCTCTGCTATTCAACTTTCTCCTACAAAGCTATTGTAAACATTTTATTCTATACTTTCTAGAACTTTTTCTATGTAGATATTTTACATATTTCTTAGTAAATGATTTTACACTATTTCACATGAAAGGTATTCTCAAACAATTCCTAAGTCAAAAACAGAAAGTCTTTGATAGACCTCAGAAACCAAGTCAGCCATATAATTAAGCAACTTGCACGTCATAAACATCACTTTTCAAAAGAAGGCAGCAATGAAACAGGGCAATTTTACCTGATAGCATCAAATTGTCAAAGATGGCTTTTTTGACATAAACAGTAATACTCATGCTGAAGAATTGCATTGAGCAATCCACTAGAATCCCTGTAAAATACTCATTATTTCAACAACCACGGAAGGCCAGGAGGCTCCACATTTATACCAGCTGCTTTAAAGATGCCATTGATCTTATCCTCTGTGATGGTCACCTTGTCATTGTGCAGAACGAGGGCTTAGTAGATGCAAAATCTTGGAGATGGAGGCCATGGTTCAGGCGAGTCCGGGGTTGGTGCTGTCAGGCGAGTGAGGTGTTAGTTATCTACTAAAGTGAAGGTCTCACTCCAAGGCAGCCTTAGTGTCCTCAGAAGGACAGAGCACATTGGTGGCTGCTGAGAAAAGCCTATTTCTTGAGCTCTTGTTATAAACCAGGCTCTACACTCAATCTTTACAAGTATTATCTTATTTAATTTTAACAACAATCCTAAAAAATAGGTACTGTTATTAATCCTGCTTTAGAAATGATGAGATAGGCTTACAGAGGTTAAACAACTTGCTCAAAGCAAAATAACAAGTGAAAAAGCTGAAACTCAAAAGTAGGTCTTTCTATTTCTAGAGTCTATTATTTTACTAGGATTTTTTTTTTTTTGGTACTTGACTATAATATTCTGCTCCCAAAACTTCTCAGTTAATTATAGATATTTATTTCAATTAAATTATTTTAGATGACTCATTTATTCTTAATGAAACCATTCATTAACACCAAGTTTCCTCAACGTATTCTAAGAATTATATTAATTCCAATTAGCTTGTTGTAGCTTCCTATGTACTGACTACATAAACCCATGTAGAACCAGGTAAAATATATATAAATGATCTGTGCAAAAACAGAAAAAAGTTCACCACACTGTGTTCTTGGCATAGAGCTCACTCTAATTCTGATGAATCTTAGCAAAGTATAATGGTTAATTTTTTGTGTCAACTTGACTACGCTATAGAGTGCCCAGATTAAAAATGATTTCTGGGTATATCTATGAGGGTGTTTTCAGATGACATTCACATTTGAGTCAGTGGACTCAGCAGATTGCCCTCCCCAATGTGGGTGGACATTGAGGACCTGAATAGAACAAAAAGGTGGAGGAAGGAGGAATTTGCCCTTTTGTGCTTCCTGCCTACCTACTTGAGCTGGAACATTGGTCTTTTCTTGCCTTTGGATTAAAATTTACCCCCTTGACTCCTTTGTTTTTTTTCAAGGTTTTTGGACTTGGACTGGAATTACACTGCCAACTTTCCTGGGTCACCAGCTTGTAGACAGCAGATTGTGGTACTTCTCAGCCTCCATAATCACATAAGACAATTCCTCTAATAAATCTCTTCCTGTACATATATACTATTAGTTCTGTTTCTCTGGAGAAACCTCATATACCCAGCATAGATTATACGTGAGGGCAAGGGTTGGGAGAATGAGACCTTTCCAAACCACCAGGTCTATAGAGGTCTAAAGCTCTCAGTGGTAGTTGCTAAAAATTGTCATGTGTTATATAGCTATCTAGCCAAAAGAAATGATAACATATGTTTACACAAAAACATGTACAAAAGTGTTCATAGCAGCAATATTTATAATAGCCAAAAAGTAGAAACAATACAAATGTGCAGCAACTGATGCAGTGGTTATGTGTACAACGGAACATTATGTCGTACATGAAACATAATAAAAGAAATGAAGTACTGATAAATGCTAAAGCATGGATGAACTCTGTGAAAAAAGCCAGTCAAAAATGACCATATGTATTAGTCCATTTTCACGCTGCTGATAAAGACATACACACACCTGAGACTGGGCAATTTACAAAAGAAAGGGGTTTATTGGACTTACAGTTCCACATGGCTGGGGAGGCCTCACAATCATGGCAGAAGGTGAAAGGCACGACTCACATGGTGGCAGACAAGAAAAGAGAGCTTTTGCAGGAAAACTCCCCCTTATAATAACCATCAGATTTCATGAGACTTACTCATTCTCACAAGAACAGCACGGGAAAGACCTTCCCCCATGATTCAGTTACTTCCCAGTGGGTCCCTTCCACAACAGATTCAAGATGAGATTTGGGTGGGACACAGCCAAACCATATCACCATGTCTTCTATGATACGATTTACATGAAATGCCCAGAAAAGAAAAATTTAGAGACAGAAAATAGATTGGTGGTCACCAAGGGTTAAGGGGTGTGACTACTAATGGGTACAAGGTTTCTTTGGGGGTGATGAAAATATTCTAAAATTAGATTATGGGTATGGGGGCACAACTCTGCAAATACACTAAAAATAACTGAGTTGTACACTTGTCTGTCTCCCCTGCTAGACGATCAATAGACTATGAGCTAGATGCTAACCATGAAAAAACTTTTCAGGGTACCCACAGGAAGATTTGCCCAGCACAGCGAATGCTCAGAAAACACATTCATGAATAGTCACTGAGTGACCTTAGGAGCCAATTTGACTCTCACTTGGCTTCTAGAATTGGGAAAGATGGTACTTGATATGGTATGAGTTAGGCAGCCTAACAGAGCTGACTGGGGACCTTCAGTTCTCTTCATCTATTATTAGTCTCCTATGATGTAAACTTTGGACTTGGTATCAAAATATCCAGGTTTATTTATTTCAAAGCTGTATTTTATTCTGCTGTACTTGTCAAGTTTATTTTGAAACACAATGTAAGTGATGACTCAGCAGTTTTACAATATCAAGCAGACCCTGAGGGTAGGATATACAGAAAAGTCCTGGCTGCTGCCTGAATGATAATAGTAATTTCAGGAGGAAAAATAGAAACTTGAGAGGGTGAAGATTGCAGTTATCCTACTGGAACAAAAAAGTTCGTCGCTAGACTGACTTCATACATAAAGTTTACTAATCAATGAACAAATGACTATCATGCTTTCTTAAAAACATTTTTGTGTGTGTGGCATGGATACAGCCCAATTTTAAGGGTGGTAATAATAGAATTTCTTGGCTTTAGTTCTCGTATATGTCATGAAAAAAAATTGTATAAACTTCTTAGGACAAGGATTTCGTTTTTAAAGTGAGATTTAATGATACTACAGGAAAGATAAATTATCCTTCAGTTTTTCTTCCCATTAGTATTCCACAAACCTTTCAGTGCTTTTATTCATCACTTCATCCATTCAATTTTGAACTCCTGGGGAGCAGCAATTTTTTCTTTTAGAGCCTGAACAATTATCACAAATGCTTAGACAGTATTCAGAAGAAAGGGGTTCCTATTAAAAGTTACTGCCTTGTTAACTGATTAACTCATGCCATGGAACAACTATAAAAACAAATACTGTGAGCTCCAAATGAGTTTCTGTATTTACTTATTTATTGCAAAAATACCTTCCTGGGAATCATTTGTGATTTAAGTTTAAGGCAGGGTATTAAAAAATAAGGTAGAAGAAGAATAGCTTGAATGCCTTTGAAGACTATGCTGTTAAATAAAAACTTTTTCATTTTCCATGGGATAAATAGTCACACTAAGCAATAAAAACACAGCAATAATGAGTTACTTAATGGTTCACTCTTTAACTAGATCTCTTTATTTACGTATTTTCTATTTTTAAACAAACAAGCAAAAAACAAACAAAAAGTCTCATTGACCTCTCTTCTCTCTAAGCTAGAGCCTCTCCATCCTCTTTTCCACAAACTTTCCCACATGCTGGCCAAATTACAGTGTTCCTGTTTTTCTCATCACCCTCATTATCACACCAAAGCAGTTCTTTCTAAGAGCTTCAGAATACAACTGACATCTTCAAATCTCATATTATTTGACTTTTCAGCATTTATTTTTACTGTGGATCATTTCCTCATTTTCAAAATCCTCTTTTCAAAATACTCTTCTTTTGGCTTCCTTAACACTTTCTTACCTTGTGTATCTTTGGTTACTGAAAGTCTCCTTTACAAGATTATTTTGCAGAAACTAAGTGTTGAAACATTCAGTATCTTAGATTATTTCATACCCGCCTGCAGCTTTGGTTACCCTCTACAGGCCAATGAGTCTTTCTCCAGTGTGGGCTTACCTTTTTAGCTTTGAATCAGTACTTTCATCCCTACCAAAGAGATCTATTCATACAGGGCTTTACACCAAATGGCACCGTGAACTCAAAATAAGGGATGCCACGAAGCTTTGCTGAAGGTGCCAGGGAAATTAAATTCAATTCAGTAACCAAAGGTATACAAGGTAAGAAAGTGGTAAGGAAGCCAAAAGAAGAGTATTTTGAAAAGAGTATTTTGAATCAGTACATGCAACTCTCTACCCAATACCTCCATGTGGCTGGTTGTCTCCAAGGTTCTTCCTAAATATTTCTCAAATTTGTTCACTTCTAGCTTCCACTGTTACTGCCCAAATTCATACTGCCAACTTCTTTCCCTGAGACTACAACACTGCATTTCTTACTGGTTTCCACATTCACTGTTGCCCTCTCCAAGCCCATCCTCCACATTGCAGTGAGAATAATCTTTCCAACACAGTAAGTCTCATCATGTTAAGTCACTCCACCCTCTCCTCCACCAGCAAACACCCATTAAAACCTGTTCCTGAGGTCTCAATGCTCAAAAAAAAAAAAAAAATTTATAGGGTCTGACTACATCTCTAGCCTCATCCCAGTTCCTTCTCCTTTTGAGTAGCTGCAATCCAGCCAGAGCATACTTTTGGTTCCCTTGAACACTCTGTGTTCCCTTCTACCACTGGGTGTCTGAGCAGGCTATTGCCTCTGTCCTAGTGTCACCTTGGAGAAGTCTACACCTTCATGTGTTCCTTCCTCATGGCAGCATTTCTTGACTTCTGCTGCATAACAAATCACAAAAGACATAGAGCATTACAACAAGACAAATTTATTATCTCACAGTTCCCATGAATTGGGACTCTGGTTAACTGAGGTTAACTGAGTTCTCTGCTTAGAGTCTCACCAGACTGAAAAAAAGAGGTTGATATGTGCAAACTTATCTAAGGCTCAAGATTTCTATTTCAAGCTCATTCAGGTTGTTAATGGAATTTATTTCCTTGTGGTTGTAGGGCTAAGGTGCTCATTTTCTTTCTGGCTTCCATCAATAGGTAAATGAATAAACAAATCATGGTATATCCATAAAGTTGAATGTGATTCAGCAATAAAAGCACTCTTAATGCACTCAATAACATGAGTGAAATTAAAGCTAATTATTCTGAGTGACAAAAGCCAAACAAAAAGGAATATATACTGTATGATTCCATTTTTATCGTCAGGGAGAAAAGGTAACATCTTTTCCTCATGCATCACGAAGTTCATGGCTGAGGCTCCTATAGCAAAAATGCAGGTTAGCAAGAGAAAAATCATACAAATATATTTAATAATGTGGCATGGGAGCCTTGAGAAATGAAGATTCAAAGAAATAGGGAAATGTGTGTATTGTTTAGGCTTAGGTTTGAGGAACAGTGGACAATTGTGCAGAAGTATGATTGGGCAAAGGGGTATGACCTAATGGTGATCAACTAGGGGGATCTTGGGCCTGTTTGTTCAGATTCTTTTTGATATCTCTGTGTTTTCAAGGATAAGGATGTATCTTTCCTCTGGATATGAAATATAGGACTGGCATCTCTAGAATGAGAGTTTCATGACCTACTTTAGGAAAAGATCATCTGGGTTTTATGGCCTACTTCAGGGGAGGAAGGGCGAGGGGAAGTTGAGAGTGACTTTCTTGCTTTTGCTATTTTTTCAAATGCCAACATGCCATATTTGGGGGTGGCATGCCCTGAGCCCCATCAATATAAACTTCGAGAAAATTTTATCTATCATGGCAGAAAGCAAATTGTTGGTTTCCTGGGAATGGGGCAGGTAGAGAATTGGGAGGGAGAATGACAGACAGGCATGAGGAATCTTTTGGGAATAAGAGGTGGGCTTCTGATCAAATTATAAGTTTCAAATATATGCAGGCATGGGCAATGGTTCATGCCTGTAATATCAGTGCTTCTGGAAGCCAAGGTGAGATAATTGCTTGAGGCCAGGAGTTCAAGACCAGCCTGGGCAACAAAGTGAGACCCCATCTCTACAAAAAATGTACAAAATTAGCCAGGCTCAGTGGCATGCACCTGTAATCCCAGCTCCTCAGGAGGCTAAGGTGGGAGGATCTCTTGAGTTCAAGGCTGTAATGAGTGATGATCATACCACTGCACTCCAGCCTGGGCAACAGAGCAAGACCTCAACTCAAAAAAAAAAAGTTTTAATTGAAAATAAATAAATCATTTCATGCAATATATTATATATCCAGTATAAAGCAGAAAAAGAAGAAGAAGAAGAAGAACCATAGGTTGTCTCATATGTCTGAAATCACTGTGTTCTCTCACCTGATCTTGGTCAGAACCCCTGGGCTCCTTTTGAGTGGTTTCTCTCAGCTCCCAGGACATGGTCTTGGAAGTACACTTTGTCACATGACCAAACTTTAAATGAAATCCTAGGAAAAGCACTGGCAATTATTTAGTCCAAGGACAATTTTGAGAATTAATGAACAAGTTTTAATCTTGTCTGGTAAACTTTCATCCCTACCAAAGAGATCTATTCATACAGGGCTTTACACCAAATGGCACTTTGAACTCAAAATAAGGGATGCCACGAAGCTTTGCTGAAGGTACCAGGGAAATTAAATTCAATTTATAAAATCTCTTTTTTAGTGATCAATAAGTCAATTCAAACTAAGCTAAGGGTTTTTCAAGTATGTGCCCAAGAAATTAATTTTAACTGAAACGAGTTATATGTTTTCTGAAACGATTGAGAGGAGCAGAACTAGAAATGTTCAAACGTCACCACTATATTGAACCAGAACCCATTTATTTGATTCAAGTGGTTCAAGTTTTTGTTCCTGACTTTGTCCCCAGTGTTACAGGCAAAACAATGTCCATGGTTTGTGGGCATCTCAGTGTAGCACTCACTGGATGATATCCTAGTATAGAAAAATTATTTTAATTCCCCAAGTTGCATGGAACAATTCTCTAATAAATGCAACTGATTAACTTCTAGTTAGAGTCACACTAGGCTTCCAAGTACCAAAATTAGAGTTTCACCTCCCAAATCTGAAGAAAATACCTATATGAAAGAAAACTCTAGTTACTGTCAACCACATAAATGAAAGTACTTGAATACCACAGCATGTATACAATTAGCTAATAAACTTCAACTCAATAATTACCTGAAATTAGGAAAGCATAAAAGAAAGAAAGGAATGTGCTGCATAAGAACTCCACATTTTTCCCTAAAAGCCTTTCTCTCCAGTGGTGACAGTCACAGCATGTTTGGGAAAATGTTATTGGACCTCGTGGAGTTAACAATATAGTGTGGCTTTTAGCTAGAAAGAGGGCTTTAAAGCACTCATAAGAATATGGTGGTAATTGTGTTCCACACCAGGGAAAAGAAGTAAAACAGCAAGAAGTTGAAAATAATACATTTTAATGGAAAGAAACATAAAACAAACTTCACAATGGTGCCCTTTTAATGTACTCATGATAGCTGTTAATTTTGAAAATGTAAGTGGACTGTTTATAACATATTCAGAGGTAGAAGGTAAAGGTTAAGAACAAACTATTTTGGGATAGTAGAAAGTATGGTACTAAATCTTAAAGCAGTAGCTACTTAAATCTTGTCATTTTCCAAATTTAGTCCATGACCTAGAAAACTTTTAAATTAATTGTACTGCAAAGACTCCATCTCCAAATAAAGTCACATTTGAGGTACTGGGAGTTAGGACTCCACCCTGTCATTTTGGAGGGACATGATTTAACCCATAACACATGAATGACATAAAAACTAAGATTTAGTTATGGTTGTTTTTTCACTTGAAAGGTACCAGTAAAATTTGTCAACTGGCTATGAGATAACATCTTTTCTTTTGGAACTAGATACTGCATTGTTTTAATGGTTTGAGTGGGGAAGTAACCTGTACCTTCTGCAAACTTACTAATCTCTAACTCACCATTGACTCTGTACCTAATAAAGTAGCTTCATGTGGTTCATGAAAAAAAAAATTTAAATAAACAATGTCAAGAGAGTCTTTTGATTTAATTTTCTGCTTGTTTCACATATAAATGGCAAAGAAATATCTTTATTCTATGGTTAACATTTTCATTTGTGTTTAAATGGCAGGGCACTTTTTTTTTTTTTTTTTTTTTTTTTTTTTTTTTGCAACAATGAGAATGTTGCTCAGAAGAAAAAAAGAGTTTGCCAACGTTTTACAGAATTTCCTAGTCAGGTCAGGCTGCTATAACAAATTACCATAGACTGGGTGGCTTATAAATAGCAGAAATTTAATTTTTTACAGTTCTGGAGGCTGAAAGTCTGAGAACAGGGTGCCAGCATGGTCAGGTTCTGGTGAGGGCTCCCTTCCTGGCTGCAGACTATGGACTTGTTGTGTCCTCACGTAATGGAGAGCAGAGAGAAGAAAACACTCTAGGGACTCTTATAAGGATACTAAACCCATTCACGACGTCTCTTCCCTCATGACCTCATCTAAGTCTAATCAACTCCCAAAGGCCCTACCTCCTAACAGTATCACAACGGGTGATGTTTCAACATGTACATTTGGGGAGAACATGAACATTCAGTCCATAAGACAGTGACTAGAAAAAGGAGAAAGTTGTAGCACATTTACTAGAACATTTATGGAGAAATAAAAGCAGGGTAACACCATGGTTAACAGGATGGCTGTGAAGTCTGATGGTTCCAGGTGAAAAAAATCTGTCATTAGCTAATTTTATGATCTTGAACAATTATCCAAGCTCACTTTGCTTCGTTTTACTCCTCAAAATCTTGGTGATAATACTATATTCATATAGATATGAGAATTAAATTGGAAAATGTTCCTTAAAGAGCTCATAATACGCCTCTACATGTAATAGCTTTTATTAATAAACAATGGATGAGGGTTAGGAAACTAAATTACTGCAAAAGTATGAGCCCAATATTATACTAATAAGAACTATAAGATTCAAAACTTGTAATGATACCCAAAAGGAAAACAATTTGGAAGTAGATCCCTTTCATTTCACATTTTTTTCTTTTTTTTTTGAGACAGAGTCTTGCTCTGTCACCAGGCTGGAGTACAGTGATGTGATCTCGGCTCACTTCAACCTCCGCCTCCTGGGTTCAAGCGATTCTCCTGCCTCAGCCTCCCAAGTAGCTGGGACTACAAGCACGCACCACCACACCCAGCTAATTTTTGTATTTTTAGTAGAGACGGGATTTCACCATGTTGGCCAGGATGGTCTCGATCTCTTGACCTCATGATCCGCCTGCCTCAGCCTCCCAAAGTGCTGGGATTACAGGCATGAGCCACCTGGCCAGCCACATTTTTTTCTTAATCACAATAATTTCCTCGGGCAACACATGAATCATTTATACCTTGATAATGAATTTGAGGTCAGTCACTTGTATTCACTTTTCAAGTAAGACTTTTTAACTTTCTTATTTTTATCACTTTTTTTCAATCACAAGCATAGAAAGTGTAAAATCAGGTATTTCTAGAAATTGTTCTTAGAGATAATTCTGTCCAACCCTTTAGTTTTACTGCTAAGAAGTTGATATCTCGAAAAGTTAAATGATTTTCTTAATGTTACATATTGAGTTTCTAACCAAAGAAGGCTTTTTGACTCTGAGTTCAACAGTTACTGAAGGGTGGTAACTCTTCAAATTAATACTCACATATATTATATTGAGCCACACAGTATTGAACTTCCAACTGTTTTTTAACTTAATTTTATGCCAAGGAAGAAGATTCCATTGGATTTACTAATAGAAAATTAATTGCAACACCAACACCTGATATCATTTAAAATCTCCCCATCTCGCAAGAACTAAAAACTACCTACCTCACTGGCACATAAACAGGTATAAATTATCCTAAACAGGTATAAATTATCCCAAATTGAAATTTAAAACTAAACCATACTATATTTATTTAAAAAGTAAAGACACCCCTAAATTGACAGGATAACAAAATGAAATTAAGTTGATGCTGCAGCCCTTGGCTACATCTAAATCAACATCATCTAAATCAATCTAAATCATCTAAATCAACATCATCTAAAATCAACATGACAAACTCACTAAAAGATAAAGTAAGAGACAGGATGGTTTTTAAGGTAATCAGATCTGTCTACATTAAGTCCTCTTGAAGACAGCCAAACCCCCAATTCCTTGCATTATTTGTTTGTTTTTTCATTGATCAAGAAATTAAAAAGAAACTGATATAATTTCTATTGTCAAGGTTTCTAATCATTCTCACAACTCTACTTTCCCAAGAGTTTTGAGAATAACAGCCAGAGGAACTCTTGAAATGATGACATTTAAGTAGTAGCACCAATTTTTGGAAGGATCTGTCTTCTCTTGGGGGAAGAAGAGAGTAAGAGGGAATAATCTGATTCTTGTCAAAGATGTGCTCCTAGGATGTGTAAGTTGTTGACATTCCAAACACTTTTCCTAGTGTTAGAGGAATTGCAGAGGGCAGGTATTAGCAGAGGGAGAAATCTGTAGACACTAATAGGAGGAAGAGGGTCAGAGGCAGGACCATAGTAGAGGGACAGAGTGAGCAAGTGACAAAGGCTCACTTGGTCATGTCTTAGCATTAATTGTGGGCCTACAGTGTGGAATGAGCTTACACAGGCAAACATGTTGGGGAAAACAAGCAAACAGAAACTCTGTGTCGAATTGAGGGAAATAACTTGCATTTGTAAAACATAAGGTTGAAACAGTGTTTAGCTTTACCAATTTTTGTTTGTTTTTACGTTTAGAGTTTGCCATTTGTCACATTTCATCTATAAATTCATAGGAAATGCGTAGTCCCATGCTAGTTTACAGAGCAATAAAAATAAGCTGGTTCTAGTTGTATGTATTTTAGCTTTAAAAAATGAAGCCAAATGCATATTGGTCTTTGAATTGAAGACGTTTTTAGATAATTTCCTTATTAGTTCGTTCTGATCGTACTGCAGGCCTGCTGGAGCTGTTGTTTGGCGACACTATTCCATGTCTTGCATTTGATTTTTTCTCATTTTGGTTTATTTCCTTATTTTGTTGGAGTAAACTTTCTTTAATTTGATTGTATTGTGGACATTTAACATTAGATTTACCTTCTTAACACATTTTACATGAACTATACATTATTGTTGACTATAGGTACCATGTCATGCAGCACATCCCTAGAACTTACTCATCTTGCTTGACTGAAACTTTATGCCCATCGATTAGTAACTTCCCATTTCCCCCCTACTTAGCCCTTGGCAACCACTTGAATGAATTTGACTATTTTAGATATCACATATAAGTAGAATAAAACAGCACAGTATTCGTTTTTCTGTGACTGGCTTATTTCACTTAGCATAATGTTCTCAAGATTTATCCATATACTGGCCAGGAGCAGTGGCTCAATGCCAGAAATCTCAACAATTTAGGAGTCTAGGGCAGGAGGATTGCTTGAGCCCAGGAGATTGAGACCAGCCTGGGCAACAAAGTGAGACTTCATCTCTACAAAAATTTTTAAAAATTAGTTGAGCATGGTAGCACATGCCTGTGGTCCCAGCTAGTTGGGAGTCTAAAGTGGGAGGACTGCTTGAGTCCAGGAGGTAGGGGCTGCTGTGAGCTGTGATTGTGCCACTACGCTCCAGCCTGGGCAACAGAGTGAGATTCTGTCAGAAGAAGAAGGAGAAGAAGATGAAGAAGAAGAAGGAGAAGAAAATGGAGAAGAAGAAGGAGAAGGAGGAGAAGGAGGAAGAGGAGGAGGAGAGATGGGGGACGAGGAAAGGAGGAAGAAGGAGATGAGAAGGAAAAAGAAAAAGAAGATTTGTTCATATTGTTGAATATAACAGAAGTTTCTTGTTTTTTGAGGCTGAATAGTATTCCATTCTATGTATATGCTATATTTTCTTTATCCAGTCATCTGTCAATAGACATTCAGGTTGTTTTCACATCTTGACTATTGTGTAAGGCAATGAACAAAAGAGTGCTAATATTCTTTGAGATCATTATTTCTATTCTTCTGGGTAAATACACAGAAGCAGGATTGCTGGATCATATGGTAGTTCTATTTTTATTTTTTTGAGAAATCTCATACTGTTTTCCACAGCAGCTGCACCATTTTGCATTCCCACCAACAATATGCAAAAGTCCAAATTTCTTCATCTCATCACCAACACTTGTTTTCTTTTGGTTTTTTGATAATAGCCATACTGACAGGTGTTAGGAGATATCTTATCATGGTTTTGATTTGCCTTTCCCTGATGATTAACAATGTTAATGACTTTTCACATACCTCTTGGCTATTTGTATATCTTCTGATATGGTTTGGCTCTGTGTCCCCACCCAAATCTCATCTCGAATTGTATTCCCCACAATCCCCATGTTTCAAGGGAGGGACATGGTGGGAGGTGATTGGATCATAGGAGCAGTTTCTCCCATACTGTTCTTGTGATAGTGAGTGGGCTCTCACGAGATCTGATAGTTTTATAAGTGTTCAACTCTTCCTCCTTCACACGCTCTCTCTCACCTGCCACCATGTAAGATGTACCTGCTTTCCTTTCTACCATCATTGTACATGTCCTCAGGCCTCCCCAGCCATGTAGAAATGTGAGTCAATGAAACCTCTTTCCTTTATAAGCTACCCAGCATCAGTAAGTTCATTATATCAGTGGGAAAATGGACTAATGCATCTTCTTTGGACATGTCTATTCATGACCTTAACTCATTAGAGGCATCACACATAATGATTTCAAAATATATTACAAGGCTACAGTAATCAAAATAGTATGGTACTGGCATTAAGACATGCATATAGACCCAAGGAAATGAATAGAAAGCGCAAAATAAACTGTTGCATATATGGTCAACTGATCTTTGACAAGGGTACCAAGAATATGCAATGAGGAAAGCATAGTCTCATCAACAAATGGTGCCAAGGAAACTGCAAAAGAATATACATATAAAATAATGCACAGGCAAAATAATAAAATTGAACCCTTATACAAAAATCAACTCGAAATGGATGAAAGCCTTAAACATAAAACCTAAAACCTTCACTACATGGGTTTTGACAATGATTTCATAGACAGGACACTGAAAGCACAGAAGACAAAAACAAAAATAACTAAGTGGGACAATATAAAACTAATAAGATTCTGCACAGCAAAGGAACCAACTGACATGTGGAATGGGAGAAAATATTTGCAAACCATATATGTGAAAAGGAGTTAGTTTCCAAAATATATAAGAAACTCCTACAACTGAATTACTTAAAAAATCAATAACTCAATTTTAAAAAGGAGCAAATCTTCAGATAGCTACTCATGAGTACATGGAAAGTTAGGTGTTTTTTAGACCATTATGGTCTCTACAGTTAACCCTTGAACAACACAAGTTTGAATGGCATGAATCCCCTTATACATATTTTTTTACATAAATATATTGGAAATTTTTTGGAGATTTGTGACAATTTGAAGAAACTTGCAAACAAACTGCATTGGCTAAAAATACAGAAAAAAAAACAAGAAAGCATTATGTGTGACATCAATGTGTAAATTATACATAGATATTAGTCTATTTTATCATTTACTACCATAAAACATGCACAGATCCATTACCAAAGTTAAAATTTATTAAAACTTATGCACTCAGACTGTACATGATGCCATTCACAGTCAAGAGAAATGTAAAGAAACATAAATGTAAAGAAACCTAAAGTATTACTAAATCATAACTGTATAAAATTAACTGTAGTACATACTGTACTACTGTAATAATTTTGTGGCCACCTCCTGCTGCTTTTGCCATGAGCTCAAGTGTTGCCAAGTATCCTCTTAAAATGCCATGTGATGCTCATCATCTCCCTGTGAGCAGTTCAGCTCTCCAGTAAAATGTGAATCACAGTAAAAAGTGACCTCTTGTGGTTCTGGTGTATTTTTCATGTATAGTGTAATGCCATAAACCTTGAATAACAACATAGGACCCATACGAAGTACCTCTAGTGATGCTAGACGTGCTCCCAAGAAGCAGAGAAAAGTAATGACATTACTAGGCAAAGTTGGATTGCTTGATAGGTATCATGGATAAGATTTGCAGCTGCGGTTGCCTGCCATTGCAAATAGACAACGTATCTTGTAAATAGGCAACATAAACTTACAGTATGGATAAATACAATACAGTAATGTAAAAATGTGTTTTCTCTTCCTTATGATATTTTTAATAACATTTTCTTTTTTCTAGCCTATTTTAAGAATACAATATATAGTACACATAACATACAAAATGTGTTAATAGACTGTTTATGTTACGGGTAAGCCTTCCAGTCAACAGTAGGCTATTAGTAGTTAAGTTTTGGGGTAGTACAAAGTTATATGTGGATGTTCTACTGCACAGGGGGTCAGCCTCCCAATCTCCTACATTGTTCAAGGGTCAACTGTATTTTTTCTAGTTTCTTTTTTTAAAACTTTATTGAGGTATAATTGATACACAAAACCCCACTGCACATATAAAATATTACATCTATTTAATAACATAAATCTATACAAAAGAAATAAGCAAATCACAAGATAAAATAACTCTTGAAAAACAAAAAATGTGATACCTGTTAAAAAATTGTATATAATTTTTGAAGACAATATTGAAGATATATTTCAAAAAGTAAAACCCAAAACAGGTAGGTTGAAAATAGAAGAGTCCAAGTATGTGATTTAGAGGATCATTGTAAGATATCCAGTATCCAAATAGCAGGACTTGCAGAATAAAAAGAGAATATAGAAAATTTAGTAATGATTATAATAATAATGACAAAAACAATAAATATTTCTGAAGTAAAAGGCACAAGTTTCCATCTTGAATGAGCTCTCTCAGAGCCTAGCATCATAAGTGAGAAATGACTCATACCAAGTCATGATATGATGACATTTCAGTTACTGGGAAAACAGATCTTAAAGCTTCCAAAGAGAATTAAGAGTATGTCCTGTATAAATGATCGAGAATCAAAATGACATTAGACTTCCCAGAAGTAAAACTAGAAGCTAGAACATGGTAGAGTAAAGCCTTCAAAATTTTGAAAGAAAATGAATCAAACTTGGAATTCTGAAAGTAACTGAGTTATCAGCTGGGTATAAAGTTAAAGAAATAAAATTTAAGATATTAATGGTCTTACAGGATAAATGACTTCTAGATATCTGCTGTAGTGTCTATAGTTAACAATACAAGTGGTATGCACTTAAAAGTTGTTAAGACAGCAGACCTCATGTTAAGTGCTCTTACCACAAAATAAATAAAGTTAAAAAGCAAAGAGACACAAGGAAACTTTGGAAGTGACAGATGTGCTTATTGCCTTGATTATGGTGATGGTATCCATGTGTATACATATGTCCAAATACACATTAAATATATGCAGTGAGTTTTTATTTGAAGTAGTGAAACTAAGGGAAAGAGAACATTGCATGGAGGGACATATTATTCATTAATTCATGCAGTTGGAATGAATATGAGTTATATGTATGTGTTGGGAGTGTGAGGGGCAGATGCAATGGGAAAATCAGACTGATGAAAGAATAAGAGTTCTTTTGAGGCACTGTGGAAGATGGTTCAATGGGAGCCAGTTAATTAGGGGCTTTGAAGGCTGAGTTGCAGAATTTGAAACAAGTACAAAAGGCAGAGGGGAACCATTAACAACTATGATTCATGGTGAACTTTGCATGTGATTGAGCAGGGAAGTAGGAACGCCAATGAAGTATTTTTTCCACATGGCAGATGAGAGGTGGTGAGAGTGATAGTGAGGCTGGGAAATCTCAAGCGAAGCGGAAATGAAGGATGAAAGAAAGATATTGGGAAAAGCTCTTAGGAACTCTAGATAATAACTGCTAGGTGCTAGGCATCAGCCTATTACAGTAAGGTCACTTTCAAGTAAAGAATAATATCAAAGAGCCTAGGGCTTGTCTTTATGATTCTGGAATGTCTTCATGAAAAGTAGAGTGTTATTCAATTGTTCAAATATTTCTGTGGACAAGCATTTAAGGAAGATTTGGAAACTGGGCAACATTACACACTTCTGATAATTGGTAGATTTATAATACTTACGTCAAAGGCCACCAGAAGAGAGAATACTTCATAGCTATAGAAGAGAAAGTCCTTCCATGTGCAGACAGAATCGCCAAATATGTCCTATGTTACCTAGCAAAGAAGTGATGATGCAATTATTTCACTAGAAAAGTAGATGGGCAAGGTCAATTCTTAAAAAGCTATCAGGTGGAAGAGGATTGACTGTTAGGATAGTTTTAGACATGCTTATTTTTCAATAATGCTTATTTTTCAATAATGCTTATTTTATTATGAATAAGATAAAATTGATAATAATTATGGACCCATGCTCGTTTGACAACAACAAAGCAGATTTTAGGTTAGGCATATTTGAGTACAAAAAACGGTGAACAACTAAAGCCAGATTTTTTTTTCTGGATTTTGTGAATTCACAGATGTTCAGCCACAAAACCTAATTCAGGTATAAACTAGTGCTTCTTAAAGTATATTTTTTGCTCTGGCCAAACCAAAGTTTTCTCCTGAAATTACAATGATAATTCAATCAGACACAGTGTAATGACTACATTAACATTTGGTGGGAATGTTAGGACCAGCATCAGAGTCCCCAGGGAAAATAACCCTCAGTTATTTATGGACCTAAGAGCAGGTGCTCAATTTTATCTCCTCTGAAAGCCTGCCGTTTCAGCAATTTAGCATCTCTCATCATCACAGCCACAGGGAGTTGATTAGTGTGATACTGAGGAAAAAAAAAAGATACCATCTATAGAATAATCAGTTCTATTTCTTTACTAGTGGGCAAGAGGGTAACTGCTGCTTGTCCAGCTTCATGAAGGGGAGAGGACCAAGTCACAATCATTCTTTCTACCTGCCCCTTGTCACACTCTTCTCTCCATGAGAGTCAGAGAGAGTCTGGCTGGGTAAACTGCAGCAGTCTGCTGCCTCAGCAGGAGTCTTCCTTACCTTGGGAAGTTTACAGCAGGAAGTTTACAGCAGGAACTTGGAACTTTACAGCGGGAATTTGCTTGGGAACTTTACAGCAGGAATGAACCTGAGAGTGGGCCACTGTAAAGGCCAGCTCTGGTAGACATGTTTATTGGGGGAAGTCAGATATTCATATTGCCCCAACTTTCTCTCTTATGAATCCCTCTTTTGTTAAAGAATGCATCTAGTTGACTTTTTACATCACCCCAAAACATTTCTTCTTGGGATTTATCTTTTTAAAAAAACCTCAGTATGATTATAGCATCCGTTAAAATTAGGCATGTGTGTCACCTCACTTTTAGGATTAAAATCAAAATTATGTCATGGCCTAAAAGACCTCCATGATCCAGCCACTGGCTGCTAGTCTGTGCAGCCTCATCCCCATTACTCCCTTTGTAGATCACCCTGTTCTGTCCAGACAGCTTCTTTCTGTTACCCCAGTCCCCATGCTCCTTCCCACCCCAGTACCCTACAGGGGCTCTTTTCTCATTGGGCAATGGTCTCATCTCATTTCTACCTGGCTAATTCTTCCTCACCTTTTCAGTCTGAGGTCATGCCACTTCCATAGAGGACACATTTTACTGCCAAATTCAGATTAGATTCCACTTAATATACCCTCTGATACACTATAGTTTTCCTCCATGACACTTAGCAAAATTGTTGTGACATAACAGTTATTTGGTAGTTGGGTTTTTTGTTTGTTTTTAATATCCCTCTCTCCTACACAGATGTAAGATCCTTGGGACAGGAACAGCATCTTTTCTGTTACCACCTAATCTCAGCATGGTGCTGATACATAATTAATGCTCACTAGGTATTTGGTGAATGTAGGATTTCACCAAATCCTTTCATCCCCCACCAGGACCTGAAGGAGTAGTAATATTGTTAGTATCCAACATTTTGCCACAAGTAATATGTATTTTAGTAGCACTTCTAGAAAAATGAGTTTAAGACATCATCTAAACAGTAAGATTTGCAAAGACTGTACTAGGACTGAGTCCTGACTTCAAAAGTCAGCTCTGGTCAGTTGCAGTGTGCTCATGCCTATAATCCCAACAATTTGATAGTCCAAGGAGGGAGGATCCCTTAAGGCCAGGAGTTCAAGACCATCCTGGGCTACATAGTGAGACCCTGTCTCTGCCAACAGTTTTTTTAAAATATTAGCCAGGCACAGTGGCATGAGTCTGTAGTACCAGCTACTCAGCAGGCTGAGGCAGGAGGATTTCTTGAGCCCAGGAGTTGGAAGCTACAGTGAGCTATGATCTCACCCCTGCACCCCAGCCTGGGTGACAGGGTAAGACACTGTCTCAAACAAACAAACAAACAAACAAACAAACAAACAGTTCTGACAGCATTTAAGTGTTATACGTAGAATGCAAGGAATAAAATTAATGCTGTTGAGAGAAAAGGCTACTGAGTTTCAATGAGGGGGTCAGGAATGGCTTCCTGGAGCAGGTGAGGTTTTGATTAAAGCTTGAAAGAAGACAAAGCTTAAAAACATATAAAAGGGATGATAGAGTAGAGGTTACCCTAAGCAGGAAGGATGTCTGAAGTTAAGAAAGAAATTTTGCCCTGAGCACAAAGTTCCCGTAGGGAGAACTAGGCAACACAGCTGGAGCAGATTGGGATCAGACTGCTGAGGACTTTAGATAGTATCCCAGGACTTCAGCATTGTGACTGCAGCCACCACAGGAAGAGGAATCAGGGTGCCGGTGGTCATATGGGCTGAGTAGCAGAGTTGATGCAATGGAAATGGATACTCAAGAAGGGACTGATTGATAGTTGGAGGCAGCGGCTGCACCAGATCAGGTGGGCAACTCTTCGTTGGAGAACAGATGTGGGAAGACAATGGGAAGGGATTAGAAGCCCACACTGATCTGATAGATCATTGGCAGCCTCTGGTGGAAGTGTCTGAAGAAATAGGAGTGGAAAAAAGGGAGCACGGAGGACTTGTTTGTCCACAGTTGAGGATGACTGAGCTGGCAAATGTTGAGTCTATCTGGTCTCTATGACCTTGTCAGTAACCAGATGTGTTAGTCCATTTTTACACTGCTGATAAAGACATACCTGAGACCGGGTAATTTATAAAGAAAAAGAGGTTTAATGGACTAAAAGCTCCACGTGGTTGGGAGGCCTCCAATTATGGCAGAAGGCAAAAGGCACTTCTTACGTGGTTGCAGGCAGGAGAGAGAATGAGAGCCAAGTAAAAGGGATTTCCCTTTATAAAACTATCAGATCTCATGAGACTTATTCACAACCATGAGAACAGTATGGGAGAAACCACCCACATTATTCAATTGTCTCCCATTGGGTCCCTCCCACAACACATGGGAATTATGGGAGCTACAATTCAAGATGAGATATGGGTGGGGACACAGCCAAACCATATCATCTGGCTTGTGACGTTTTGGGTTTTTCAGATTACCTTCATCAAGAATGGGAGCCATAGAAGGTTTTAAAATAGGGAAGTGGCAAGCTAAGAGTTGTTCTTTAGGAATAATCATGCAGAAAGGCTAGTGAGTGACATATCTATTATGGATAAATGAGATCTGCCACCACAAACCCCACAGATGTTGAAGGTACTTTTATATCTGGGTACAATGCACGGGTGGGGTGAGGGTGATCCTCACAACAGTCTGATAAAATAATTGGAATCAATATGATTCTTCCCTTTTGGCCAAGGGGGAAAATGTAAAATTGGCAGTGTAAGTAGCTTGTCTAAAGCAGTAAGTCAAATTACTGTCAGAACAGGGAGTAAAGCTCTCTAGTTCTGAATCCATTTTTATTAACCTGTAATTATTGTTAGAAGTGTCTAAACTCTTATGTAGTCTGATGCCTGTCAGTTTAGGGGATATTTCACAGGCCAGTGGTGGGGCCTTTGGCCCTTGGCCCTTCCCTGCTGTGGAACCCAAAGTCGCCCCCTCCAACTTGCAGAGACTTGAAACTTCAGTAAAGACCAGAGATTGCAGCAACAGCCTAGCCTACCCACCTGCCACAATAATTAAAATTAATATATTTCTAGGTGAGGGGGCCCAGAAGCTCAGGGCTCTAGCTGAAAGAAACATAGGTGTATAATTTCTCACATATTATGCTTCATTTATTTTAGAGAAAAGAATACTAGGATCCAGAGAGGTCAAGCGACTCATCTAAGAATGTACAACTACTTATGAGTGGATCAAAAACTAGAATATACGTGTTATGTTTTAAGTTATGGTTTCAATGACGAGCCTTTTAAAATTCTGCTTATTCTGTCTGTTAGCAGGTTTGGAAGGCTAGAAAGTGAATTCAAACTCATTCTTTGTTGATGCCTTATATTTTCCTCTGTTCAATAGCATTCTATGTTGCTGCAATATCTACGATTTGCTTGAATCAGTTCTATAGGTTAAAAACTAGTTGAAAGAGAGAAACAAGCAGTCATTATGGTTGGAAATAATCAATTCACCCCCTACCCTCCACCCCAACCTTCATTTGGGAACACTATAAAGTCCTTTATATCAAGATAATGGCTTCTTAATGTTTTTCTGTTACCTTAATGATGAGTTCATAGGGGATAATAAATACTAATTGACTGAGGAGGAGAAAACCACTCTGAAAACCCAGTGCTGGAAAACAGTTACAAACAGGAGTCCAGCCTGGTCCAAAGGCCTGCTTCCCAGGGCCACGTGCCTCAAGCAGACAATAGCAGCAGCAAATATGGTGTCAGTTAACCATGCCCCTTGATTGACTGTGTGGGTTGAAGAATAACCTTGTGTGTGGAGAATAAGGAGCAAAGCTTGGGAGATTTCAAGAACTTCTGAATTTATTTTGAATCATTGCCATGGCCTGAGATGAGGCTATTATTATAGGATAGTGTCCTGACATGAAGTCCCACCTCCAGTTTGCCACAATAGACAGCATATGCTCAGGGACTAGCTCACAGGTCAATTTGAATGGAGTGGCAAGAAGAGGAAGGCCTCACTCAAGGGCCTCTATTTCCTGACATAGTACTACCAGCTCCAAGAAGACACCTGGGCCCTGAAGAACATGGCAGTGGCATGCCATTTTCATTCTGCCTGTTTTTGTTCTGACTTCTCTGGTCAAAATCCCAGGTAAGTCAAAGTGCTCTAGACTTGGAGTCATAAAACCTGGGTTTCCTGCCACTGGCCAGCTGTTACTTTTAGCAAGAGGTGCCCCTTCGGCAAAATGGGCATAACAATATCTACCTCAGATATCAATTGTAAGGATTAAATGAGATAATGGGTAAAGAATGCTTACTCTGGGACCAGCAGCCTATAAAAACTAGATGTCACTAGGATCACTTTGATGACAAGGAAACTGATGCTTTGAGCAACTAGCAAGCGCAGCATCTTGAATTCAAACCCACACCTCCCAGACTCCTACATCCATGGCCTTCACTGATATTCTATATTGCCTCCCCTGACATTTAATAACATTGTTTGAAAACCTCCACTCTTCTCCCAAAGGAATAACATTTATTCCATTTTATTCTCAGCATTCAATGTAGTCTTTTTTAATGGGAAAAAAATTAAATAACATTTATAAATGTTTCCAGCAGCATTCCTGATACCTTTTTAGTATTCTAAAATTTTCCTTCTTTCCCCTTCTCTTTCCTTTCTCTGTCTCCCTGTCTTCCATCACCTACTAACCTAGTACACTTAGTGCTTAAGCTGTCATTACATCTCCATATTTTTACAGAATGTATAGAGATTGTGGTGCTAGCAAAAAGAGTAATTCAAAAATATTGAACAACTCCGATTCTATAGTAGAGGTAACTTCGCAATTCATTTTCAAGCCTCATTCATGCCTTCAGATGGCACTTTAATACACACAAATTATATCACAGAAAATAAGTTGTCTAGTTTTTAAAGCATAATGGAGATAATCTCAAACACACTTTGTCTCCTTCAAGGTTTTCCTAGGGCTAGTCCTAAACTGTCCTCCTAATTCCTTATAGGATAGTCTATAAGGAATTTTGTGTCTCCAGTAGAAATCTTGTGTCTGTATTTTTGTGCCTCCACTTTTTTTCTTTTGACTCCTCTGCCAAACTCAGATTTATGAAGGACATAATGTTCCATTACCTGTCTAAGATTTAGGTGCATTAATTATCCTCCTTCTTCCACTGCTTTCACCAGCTTTTCACTTTCCAGGCCTCTATTGGTGCAATGCTGCTGCTGGTCAGAGCTTCAGGAAGCTTTCCATACACGGGGCGCCTGGAATACTTCAACAAACACAAATCAGATTTTTGACAACAGCCAAATTGCTTCTTTCCAATGCTGAGCCACTGACATGTACCAGAGGCACGTTTATAATGGCTTTTGGGTCCCATACTTCAAAGGGGAAAGATTCATTTCAGTACACTTCTTTTTAAATTCTTGCAAAAAAAAAAAAAAAAAACCTGCTCTTTTGAAATTTTGTCTTAAGAAAGTTGCTCATTTGTACTTCAGCTTATAAGAAAGATTGAAACAAATGTTGATTTATAATAAAATACATATAGACAAAAACTCTAAGCATAGGGAAAAACATAATGAATTATCTACCCCAAAATATTGTTTGTGAATGTTTTTGAAGGAGTAGGAGAACAAATGAAACATAGTCATAGCTTCACAAAAATACTGATTTCAGACCAAGAAAAAAAATCACATGAATCATCTTGCTCAGATGCTTCATTTTATAAATGAGCAAATGAGGTCCCAAGAAGGTGACTGATTTAGCCAAGGCCACCTGGCCATTGAGTGACACTTATTTCAGAATAGTGCAACTGAATGTAAAGCTACCACTGTGCTGTATTCTTTTGCTACTATTTGAAAGCAATTGCCCTGGAATACAGTCCTTTGCTCTTACACGATTGCAAGGTTCCTTAAGCCTAACTGATTATTAGTACTAAAGGGATCACTATAATACTATTAGAGTTAGCTAATGTTCAGGGGCTCACTACCATCCTCATCTCATGGATACAAATCTTCTGTTTGTTTGTTTGTTTTTGAGACAGAGTTTCATTCTTGTTGCACAGGCTGGAGTGCAGTGGTGCAATTTTGGCTCACTGCAACCTCCGCCTTCTGGTTTTAAGTGACTCTCCTGCCTCAGCATCCTGAGTAGCTGGAACTACAGGTGCCTGCCACCACATCTGGCTAATTTTTGTATTTTTAGTAGAGACGGGGTTTCGTCATGTTGGCCAGGCTGGTCTCAAACTCCTGACCTCGTGATCCACCTGCCTTGGCCTCCCAAAGTGCAGGGATTACAGGCGTGAGCCACCGCACCTGGACGGTTCCAAATCTTATCCAGCTGTATCTTGAGGTCTCTAGGTGATACTCATCCATCAGTCTGTCAGCACGATTTTCCTTTTGTCATCTACTGACCTGATCCTCAGTCACTTCCAGGTGTTCTTGAACACGGCCACCACTCACCGTGCCCTCCGTTAGAGTACTGGTGTCTCCTCAGGGTGGTTCCACATTAAATACAAAACTACCTTCCTCCTCTCTAGGTTACCCTTTGTCACCGGCAACCATAGGTGTACCTCTTGTGACCTCAGATTTCTAGTGTATCAATATCACTCTTCTTTATCCCTCTCCTGACCCAGCTTTTCCTGCTTTCTTTTTACTTGGCAGACTCTATTGCTGTGACTACAGTGTAACCGTTTATATGATTGAGTTCCATAGAGAGACTTCCTGAGTGTTCTGGAATTTCTCCAATTCCAGATTAACAGGAAAGAAAATCAAAATGACCCGTCTTAAGTAGGATGTCTACTCCAGGCACAAAGGGATTCTATCATACAGAATATCTACAGGACATCTACCTCCAGGGAAAGAGAGTAGATTTCAAAGAAGGGGAAATGGCCAGTACGGCTTGTTATCCGCGGCAACCTCAATTCTGCGGCAACCTCAATTCTCGCCTCCTCAGAAGAAAGAATTTGACTGAAAGGCATAAGGCAGAAGGAGAGACCAAAGCAAGTTTTAGAGCAGGAATGAAAGTTTATTAAAAAAAAACACTTTAGGGCAGGAAGGAAAGTACACTTGGAAGAGGGCCAAGTGGACAACTTGAAAGACAAGTGCGCATTTGGACCTTTTAACTTGGGGTTTTGTACCTTGGCATACTTCCGGGGTCTTGCTTTACTTCTCCCCTGATTCTTCCTTTGGGGTGGGCTGTCTGCATGCACATACTTGAGCACACTTTCCCAACTCCTGAGATCTTATCAGGAAGCTGCTGATCACCGGTTTCAGGTGTTTCATCTGTTAGGAGCCTGCCTTTCCCTAGAACAAGCTGTGACCAATTATTATTTTAGAGAGACAGTTAACAACAGCCTGACCATCACCTGATAGTCGCCCAACATTCCTGATGTGTGCCTGTGGGCCGGGGGCAGCCCTCTTCTGCCCTGCTCATGTGTGACCTGCTACTTACCGTAACCGACTCATTGTGAAGACACATATCTGGGTCAGATATTATGATGCCCATCCCAATTCCCTCCCTTTCTTTTTTGCTGCACAAAAACTCGCTCCTGTGATAATCAACAAATATAAATGAATGGATGCCACCCATTTTTTCAACTTGTCAGATAATCCTAAACATCCACCAATGAACTGAACATGAGTTCAAGCTCACACCTTACTGCATAAATTAACCTCTCAATATTTAAAATAGTAATTGTACAGTTCACCCAGAAAGTCTCATCCATTTAATAATTTGAATTTATAATAATAGAATAGTTTGCATGGTTTAGATCTCTTGCATATCAGAGAAAATACCCCAAGCCCATACTGACTGAAAGGTAGGTAATAAAATGTAGCCTTCTGCCACACCTTCTCCACTGTGCAAAACCTACCTTAGAATTCTTGCCTTTGAACAACACATTTGAGCCATAGCTCTTCTTCCTGTCCAAATACTTCAAATATCCAAGTGTAATTTTATACACCAATGTGTAATTTCCTGTAAATTAATTCTCTCATTTATTTACTGACAAAACACAGTAACTCATTTTCATAGTTCTAGAAAAGAGAAAGTCTTCCCTTGATCTCCAAATTAGTTATCCATATAAATGGCATATTCCATTTTTTAATCGAATCAGACCTCTTTCAGTCCCCCCAACCCCGAAGACACATGCAGGGCTGTGCTGTTCCAGAACAGCAAAGCTTTCATCTAAGATGCCTGGCTCTGGCTTTGGGGATAGGCTTTCTCAAGCCAAGTAGTTTCTCCAAGAGAAGAACAATTTGGAGAGAAATTCAACTCATTTGTTGTAAAACATGAAAATGCAATTATGTAATTTGCAATGAAAATGAGGCTTTCAATCTTTAAATTTAAATTGCTAAATCTCTTAACTTGGTGCTTACATATTGCCTTATATATTTTGTATTTCCTGAGATTATATCGCCTTTTCCAAGTGATGGCAGAGACCATGCATTAAACTCTTTACATCCTCCACAGCTATTTTTATGTTACCTTCTGCATAGTAACATCATTTGCCTATTGACCTAAACTGGGTGTAAAGCACTTACATTTTAATTGCATTTTTTAGATTAAATTGAATCCTCCAACTGAACACTGAAGGGCATAAACACAGTGCTATTTACCCTTCTTTATTTTGTGGAGAGTCTATTTCGAATTTTGGATGATCTTTATAAAATATTAAACCTTCAGCTTTCTACTAAATCTAAAGTATTTTAAGTAAAATAGAAGACAAAATTATATCAGACCTAAAGTAAAAGTTGCAATCAGCAGTCCTAGGTTCTGTTGCCAGCTTCACTTGAATTTATCCCTTCCTCTGAAACAATTTTCCCTAATCTGAACAATCTTCTCAAAGGATAAGTGGGAGTACCCACTAAGAGATGCTGATCCAAGATTCTTCTGGGTAAAGCTATTAAGGTAAACACTTGGTCGATACTGTGTCACTGAAACCCTGGTTATCTGCTCAGGGACATTCTCTTCTTGGGACTTTATTCATCACAGAGCACCCTGGACCAGGCCAATAGTCTATCAGCAAGAGTCAGAGGGAAAAGCCAGTGTCTTCCCTACTGAATCTTTTATGTTGAAGAAGTTATTAAGATGCATCCATGGCCGGGCGCGGTGGCTCACGCCTGTAATCCCAGCACTTTGGGAGGCCGAGGCGGGCGGATCACGAGGTCAGGAGATCGAGACCATCCCGGCTAAAACGGTGAAACCCCGTCTCTACTAAAACTACAAAAAATAGCCGGGCGTAGTGGCGGGCGCCTGTAGTCCTAGCTACTTGGGAGGCTGAGGCAGGAGAATGGCGTGAACCCGGGAGGCGGAGCTTGCAGTGAGCCGAGATCGCGCCACTGCACTCCAGCCTGGGCGACAGAGCGAGACTCCGTCTCAAAAAAAAAAAAAAAAAAAAAAAAAGATGCATCCATTTGCTCATTTTTTTCTGAGTGGAAGAGTGTCAGATAAGGGCTCAGTGTTGTTCTGCTGAGCAGGAGTGGGAAAAATGAGGCGGCCATGACCACCAGGGCATCATTAAGCCAAATGTATCCCTGATGTTTGAGGTGGATGTCAGTTGCAGATAAAGGGTCATTATTTGGACCATCCTCCAGCTTAGGCCACTAATAGAGACCTCTAAAATTTGCTTCTTGTCTTCATCCATTTGTAATATTTTCCAAGGATAGCTCTGATTCTTGGCACATTCCTTCTCTATAGAATACTTTTTTTTGAAATTCTACGTATAAAGAAATCTACTCTTCGAGGACTAGTAAGCATCCCATATTTACCATGGCATTTTCATTAATTAAAAGAATTAAAAGAAACCCCTCCTATCTCAGCATTGCTTATTATGTGTTCTGTGAGAATAAATTATATTCCAAAGGACATCATAGTATAGCTTTGTATATACATGTCTAACCTTCCAGTTAGAGTGTAAACTCTCGGCAGGTGGGAACCAGGTCTTAGGCGGTTTTATTTTCTCTTTGGTGTTTACTATAGAGTCTGACCCCCTTGTATTTAATAAATAAATATTTCGTACTTGCAAAATGTTAAACTGATGTAACATAAACAAATTTCACTAAGATTTTTAAAAATTAAAATGAATAAAAAACATGCAGGGCAAATTAGTGTTCTTTCAAAATTCCTTTCTGACTGTTATGATTCATTTATGTACACATTTCTTATTTTCAGGAACCAAATAAAGTTATTTCCCCTGGATTTTGAACCATAATAACATTTTTAATAGAGTAGATGGTTGAAAAATAAGATTTATTTTCAGAAAACTGAAATATTGCTTTGCAACATCTTCCATGCTGTATGTAGCAGATAGCATGAGAAATATTGCTCTTATTTCATTCACATGAACATTATCGCCACAACTTCTATAAATAGAAAGGCCAGGATATAATTTTTAACATAGGAAAAATAGTTGCTCAGGAAATCTTGTATAAAAGGTAAATATTCAAATCATTTAGGAAGTATTAAAGTAGCCATGTTCTTAGGACAGGAAAAAGAGTAATCCAAGGAAAACAATCTGAAACCTTAATGTATTATGTACTCAAAAAGTTAGGGGATTTGGAGAGTTATTCAGAGGCGGAAGAAAAAGTACTGTGCTTCCTTATCTGTGTCCTTAAATTCAACTTAATCTTACAGCCTTATTGGGTTACTTTAAAATTCCATTCTGCTGACAAAGGGCTAATATCCAGAATCTACAATGAACTCCAACAAATTTACAAGAAAAAAACAAACAACCTCATCAAAAAGTGGGCGAAGGATATGAACAGACACTTCTCAAAAGAAGACATTTATGCAGCCAAAAGACACATGACAAAATGCTCATCATCACTGGCCATCAGAGAAATGCAAATCAAAACCACAATGAGATACCATCTCATACCAGTTAGAATGGCAATCATTAAAAAGTCAGGAAACAACAGGTGCTGGAGAGGATGTGGAGAAACAGGAACACTTTTACATTGTTGGTGGGACTGTAAACTAGTTCAACCATTGTGGAAGTCAGTGTGGTGATTCCTCAGGTATCTAGAACTAGAAATACCATTTGACCCAGCCATCCCATTACTGGGTATATACCCAAAGGATTATAAATCATGCTGCTATAAAGACACATGCACACGTATGTTTATTGCAGCACTATTCACTATAGCAAAGACGTGGAACCAACCCAAATGTCCAACAGTAATAGACTGGATTAAGAAAATGTGGCACATATACACCATGGAATACTATGCAGCAATAAAAAATGATGAGTTCATGTCTTTTGTAGGGACATGGATGAAGCTGGAAACCATCATTCTCAGCAAACTATAGCAAGGACAAAAAACTAAACACTGCATGTTCTCACTCACAGGTGGGAATTGAACAATGAGAACACACAGACACAGGAAGGGGAACATCACCCACCAGGGCCTGTTGTGGGGTGGGGGGAGGGGGGGAGGGATAGCATTTGGAGATATACCTAACGTTAAATGATGAGTTACTGGGTGCAACACACCAACATGGCACATGTATACATATGTAACTAACCTGCACATTGTGCACATGTACCCTAGAACTTAAAGTATAATACAAACAAATAAATAAAATAAAATAAAATTCCATTCTGCAGGTGATCTGGGGGCAAAGACCAGGAACCCAGGCTAGATAAAATAGCCAGTATATATCAAGTGGGTATATATCAAGTGACAACTCCTACACCCCAACCCACACATCTGATGGAGGAGGTGCCTCTCCCATTTCCTCATTCATTTATAATGCCAGAGATACTGCGAAAGACACTGCTAGATACTGGGTATACACTGCTGAATGCAAAGACCCACCACCTACCCTAGTAGAGCATTCCAGTTTTAGTGGAGCCAGACAAGCAATAAAGAAGCAAATGGACAACTATAAATAAAAACTGTGACTAGTTCAGGCCAGGAGACTATTTCTGCTTAAGAATGTTTAGAAGCGTTCTATTTAAGGCAGTGTGGTCAGAGGGAGTTTTTTTGAGGAAGGCATAGTTAAGTTGTTGCCTGAAGAATTAAAGAAGTCAGACACATTGGTGATGACGGTTAGATGTGTTCCAGGAAGAGGTATAAAAACTGGGAGACGAGCACAGTGTCTTTGGGAAACTGAAAGAAGATAGTGGGCTGACGCATGGAGTCTGAGGATGTGATGCAGATCTAGGTGAGGTCACAGAGATACAGAGATAGAGAAGAAGAAATTATGAAGATTTGTCTAAGCCATGGTAAGTAGCTTAGATTTTCTTTTTTTTAGCATAAGATGAAATGAGAAGTTACCAAAGATTTCAAGTAAGGGAATAACCTGATTCTGTTCATATTTTCAAAAGATTATTGAGGCTGTTTTGCTGAGAACAGAAAGAGGGGAAGGAAGGATGCAGAAAGACACGTGGGAGGCTGTTGAGGTCATCAAGGTCTAGGGGAGGAAGGAGGGTGGATTGGGCAAAGAGCCATGGGGCCAGAGAAAAATGGATGAACTTGAGATACATGTTGAAGGCAGAAGCAACAAGACTCAGTGATACGTTCACTGTGAAGGGTAACAAAGAGATAAGAATAAAGGATATGCTTAGGTTTCTGATTTGATAGCAAAATCATTTCTACCAAGGTGGGACAAACTAGATAAGGAAAGAGAAGGAGATTTTGAAGTAAGAGTAAATGTCACTATGCTTTTAAAACTTAAATGTTCTTTTTTTAAAATAGGAGTGTTATACAGTCAAAATGCATGCAAAACTTCTATTTCTCTTTCATGTATGCACTTTCTCTCTTTCATACACAGACACTTGAAAAAACTACAGATTTAGCACATTTTGAAACTCATTCTTCAACTGGTAGCAAGTAGTAAATACAGTCATAATCTCTTGGATAGAAATTTGCACACTTTCTCAGTTCATGGTTCCTGCTATGTTCTGAATGTTTGAGTCTCCCCAAAATGTATATATTGAACCCCTTATCGTAAAGGTGATGGTATGGGAGATAGGTGATTATGTTGTGAGGGAAGAGCTGTCATGAATGGGATTAGTGCCACCACAAAACAAGCCTCAGAGAGTTTGTTCCCCCTTCTATCACGTGAGCACACAGGAAGAAGGTGCCTTCTATGAACTAGAAAGCAGAGCCTCACTAGGCACTTGATCTGCTGGTGCCTTCTTGATCTTGGACTTCTCAGTTTCCAGAACTGTGAGAAATAAAGTTCTGCTGTTTAGAAGCCACCCAGTCTATGGTATTTTGTTATAGCAGCCCAAACAGACTAAGATGGTACCCTTTGGTGTCTCAAAAAATATTTTCATATGTGTGCACACATATACTGGAAACAATTTTATTTTATTTCATCCTTAACCAATACCATTTACTAATGGGTTGCATGTGTGCACCTCTTGGGCACTTCACAGCTTCTCAAACCTTGTAAGCAGATTGGACGCTGCCACCTTTATTTCCTCTTTTAAATTGAATTCTGCATGCTACTTGCTTTTTATCACAGCGTCCTTAAGAAAACTCAACTTTTCAAAGACACGACATTAAGAGGAATATAATACAATTCAGTGATGCAACTGTGAATGCTTTTAAGCTAATAATTTGCTTGTGTCTGATAGATATGGTCTTGCGTCCCTTGAAAATTTAAAATATTCGCTGTTCCCCTATGAATTTCCTGAGATGCCCTGGGACACCTTGGTGATAGTATGGGAAATGCACCTCACTGAGCTGCTGGGAAAGCATGTAAACCTTAACCTGTGTTCTTTGGCAAACAGCATTCGGGCACAACATTAGCATAGTCCAGATCTTTCCTCAAATCAACTTCTCCTCACTCTATGGTACCAACTTCCCAAGATTATTTATTTCTCCCGAGTCATTTCCATTATAAACTTCCCATACTCATGAGCCTCCAGTGGATTCCAATCGTCCTATTGGATTTCAGTGTCAAATTTGGACTCTTGACTGGAGATCCTGCATCAACTGGCCATCTCTGTCATCGTTCTCCCAACTCCTTGCTGTAACGCCCCATGAACACTTCAATTCAGCCCAGGAAGTCTTTTCTCCACTCTTTTTTGCACCTTTCTCCTTGAGGGCTTTTGCTATTTCTCATTGTGTAATCCTTCTTACCTTTCTACTACCTATCAATGCTCCTTCGGTGACTAAGAACCATTTCATCCACAGGCTTCACTGAGAAAACTCTGGGTGTAGCGTACCCCATGCCATCGAGTGCCTGAGCGTGGAGTTTCTTGCCAGACTGGCTGCATGTTCATCCTGTCTCTCCATGTATCAGCAATACCGTCTTAAATTACCAAATTTCCTATGCTTCTGTTTCTTGAGCTGCAAAACGGGGAAGAATATTATGTACCTCAGAGGGTTGTGGGAGGGTTAAATAATTCATTACTGTGAAATACTTAGATCAGTCCCTGACCCAGAGGAAGCACTTGGTAACTGTTAAATAATGATTATTATAGTTGTTGTCTTTTTATTTTAGTTACAAATTAAATGTGCTTGTTTTTCTGTAACTACAGTAAAAGGTCCTCCTCAAAGATGAACAGCACAGTGTTTCAAGTTCTGAAATTGAGCTTGACTGGAAAAATAAATCATTCTTCTAGATGATTGTAAAATGATCATGTAAATAAGAAGTGCAATTATTTATATGTACTTGTTTTTCCATAATCACAGTAAAAGGTCCCCTGAAAAATAAACATCACAGTGTTTCCAGTTCTGAAATTGAGCTTGAACTGGAAAAATAAATCATTTTTTGAGATGAGAGTAAAATGATCATATAAATAAGTGCATTATTTAATTAGCAATCTGAGTTTTATGTAAAAGAAGTTTTCTCAAACTGACTTTTACCCATACTGTACACTAAAAACTTTTTTTAAAAAATGTTAACTCATCTACTTGGAAGCTTTCTAATATACTCCTTTGCTCTCTTAAAGAGAGGCTACTGACTATAAATTAAATTAGTTTTGACTCATTATTTTCAACACAAACATCCATCACCATGCAGTGACTCTGTCTAGTGAACTCCCCACCTGTGTCTCCTCTGCCATTTCTCTTCTCATCATGTTTCCCTGAAACTATCGCTTCCTTTTAGTCAGAGAGTGGAAGACCCAAGAGGCTACTTCATTTGTAGCCTTACTTTCCAAGTAAGAGGTTTGTTTACCACCACAGCATGTGATGGCCTGAGAAGGCACCTAATTGGGCTTGGTGAAGGATAGAAGAATAAATTGGGACCAGTGAGGCCACACATGATGGCTGAAACGATGACGTGTGGGTTTATAAAGCAGAAGTTTTACAATAACGGTTTCAAATTATCAGAGGAAAGTTTGCTTTTTTGTGTGTGGTTTGGTTCTGAAGATTTGATATTGCCAGTATGTGAAGTACAGAAAAACAAGGTCTTTCTCTGTTTTTACAGTATGGTGTTTTAAATGGTGGGGAGGCAGTGAGGCCAAGTTGTGAAGAATCCACTTGCACCAGGGCATGGTTGGTGCTCCATTTCATTGCTGTACTTCCAAACATTTCATTTGAAGGAAGGGTTCAGAAGCCCCCTATATTGAAAATGTGAATCCACTACTTTAAAATGATGATGAGACAGAAATCACGTCTTCAGTGATATATAACAGATTCAAAAAGTCAGACTAATGCAGGAGGCTGTGTTGTGTGGTTCTGTGCCTACAAGAAGCAAGCATTTAGTATGTATATCCATTCTTTGTGTATCCTTCCTGGATGCATTATGTAGCTAGTGCATGTAGAAGAGATCATTATGGTACCAATTATTTCCACAGTAACATGGCTGTACAACAGATTGTCTGACATTGCTACCTTTATTAGATGCTTAGCAGTGGTTAACTTACAGCAAGAACATGAGCGGTGCCCTTGGACAGAGTGTCACAATGAGTTGCCACCACTGTATTGTAAAATCCACTTTTGACGGCTAATTTTATATTTATGTCAACTTGGCTAGGCTATGATGCCCACTTGTTTGGTTAAATGCCAGTCTAGATGTTGCTGTGAAGGTATATTTTAGATGTGACTAAAATTTACATCAGTAGACTTTGAGTAAAGCAGATTGCCCTCCAATCAATTGAAGGCCTTAAGAGGTCCTTTGAAGAGAGAAGGATTTCTGCCTCAGTCTGTCTTTGGACTCACGACTACAATATCAGTTCTTCTTGAGATCTCCAGCCTGCCAGCCTGCCTTGTACGTTTTGCACTTGCCAGCCCTCACATTCATGTGAGCCAATTTCTTAAAAGAAATCAATCTCTCTCTCTCTCTCTACACACACACACACACACACACACACACATGCACCTTATTGATTCTGTTTCTCTGTAAAGCCCTGACTTATATAACACCAAACTTAGCTGATATCTACTTTCAATCTAGCTTCTTCCTCTGATTAAGAGTGAATGATTCTTTCCAAATATAGAAGCCAATAAGCTGATGTGTTGTCAATGGCTTCCACTTGAGTTACTTCACTCCAAAATATTATTATTATTACATAAATCAAAACAAATCAGAACAGTAGCACTGAATACACGGTGACCTCTGGGATACAGAAGAGTGTTACTTCATACTAGGACAAAGGGAAAAGCTCTTCCAGGTTCCTGTGATAACACCACTCCTGCTACATCCCAGATTTAACATCCCAGTGTTTATATGGAGAGAAAAATGAGACCCCACTGGACAACATCCATCGTTGCTACCTAGTGAGGATTTCACCAAAAACATAGGAAAGCAAAAGTCTTATTTAAAACTCTACTTCTCTAAAGCAAGAAACATTTTTCTTGTGACCTTTTCAATTGATGGAATATTCAGTTGGATACACCTCATCTTTTCATTCTCTAGATTGCATTTCCTTAGAACAATGAAGAAGAGGAGCAATGTGGAAAGAAAGGGTGATGCCTGACATATAGCAGCAGATTGGCCAAAGGAAGGTAGGAATTCTGTGAAGGAGAGGAAGAGTGAAAAGAGAAAATAAAACTGGGAAATCAAGATAAAGCTGTAAAAGGGAAGCAGTAATTCATTTCCATTCCAAATCTAGACCCTTGTAAGAATTTGCAAAATTTGAAGTAGTTTTGTTTTGTTTTGTGTCTGATCAGCAATTGAGACCATATTTTTTCCTTTCAAAATAGAGCCATCAGTGTTGTTATAATCTCCAAACTATGCAAATAAATGGTCGGGTGAATTTCATTTCACCAAGTAAGGGTTGATGCTGAAATTTACTTCAGGCAGAGAAGTTAGATGCATAAGGATATGTCAAATTCTCCAGGGGCTTGTGATGAATTCTTAGAGTGTGAAGCTGCTCCCCGCTGTTGTTTGTAGATAAGGACTTTTCAAAGTGGTCTGTGGATTTGAGAAATAAAGTAAATGGAAAATTTCTCCAAGTAGGGCATATTTCTGATGACTAAGATGAGTACATTATATCTGTTCCAAGCTAAGTCAATAATGAATTGTTCCCAGATAAGCATACAAAAATGGGTTATATGTAAATTAGAGAAGAAGGAGCTGACATTAATTAACTAATTTAGTTCACTATAGAACTGGTCCAAAGAAACAAACAAAAAACTCCCAAAATACCCCTCAAAATAACTGACTGCGGTAGCATGACTTTCATCAAGTGATTTCATTAAGGTCACCAATAAATGCAGGACACGACGAACTCATTCTAGTTTCTGTGGAACAGCAAACAGTGTGGATTCTGAATTCCATAGTGCTGTTTATCTTTCACGTTTTCTTGTTTTCATGATTCAAGTGAAAAAACTGAGCACTCATTAAATGATAGGAAAATCAAACTGTAGAGTAGGTCATAAATTTGGACAGAACTGGATTAGAAAGCACATCTTGAAAGAGGCATCACTGTGACTGATGAGAAAAATCTCTTAAAATCTTTGTAAATCATTTTTCATTGAATATTTTTAAACCTTATGATCTTGTTTTTAACAAAATCGTGACGGGTTTTAAAAGGGTCTCAAAAGCTAGGCATTTAAATGGTAGCTTTCCTAATTCCAGAGAAATTGAATTCAAAAAATAATTTACCTGGAATTGAAATCAGCATAGAATGTCCCTGTTTTGCCTCCTTCCGTGGTAAACCTATGACAGTAGGATCATGCATTTTTCTTTATATTTTAAAACTATAAATATTTGAAAATGCTAGAGCTTTTCAAAGTATAATCAAAACTATAAAATGGAAGTGAAAATGGATAGACTTTCTCTCATGAAAATGGTAATTATAGCTTACTTGAAACTTATTTCACATGAAATATATAAAATGCTTATACAAGAAAAGAGAGGGAGGAGAGAGCTAGATTCCTGGGGAAGAAGATGAAAAGTGGGCCAGAAATGAAAACAGACATGGTCTACCTAAGAGAATTGTTTCTCCAGGAAATACTTCCTTTTGTAAAAATATATTCCTAGACCGCTTCCTAGAACTGGAAAGAAATCCACTCTCCTGAATGTAAAACAAGGAACCCAGGTGATGAGTCAAAATCCTTGCATTATGGCTGTCTCTTTATCGCTAGTGAATCGACATGGGTTGTTCCACATCTGTAGGCCTCAGTTTTTTAAGTTGTCAAATGGAGAGAACATCTTGTCTAAATATTTTATTGAGTCGAGGAAAAGAAAACTGAAATGCTATACATGAAAGACTCCTTAAAGTAAAAATAAAAAAACTGCTTGATTGCAATATTTTATTGCTTTGATTCCTCTACTTCAATAGTTTGTTTAGATCTTACAGGTTTTTTTTTTTTTCATTCCCAATCTCAACAGCAAAGCGAACGTTTCATAAACTCCAGTGGAGAAAAGAAACCTCCTCTGACATGCTCCTGAATTTGTTACTCAGTCGTGTTCTACCACTTCAAAGTAAAATTGCTTTTGGAAGTTAGTGGCCCCATTAAAGAGAGTACAGCCAAGTGTTGGAGTGAGATTCAGGTTAGAGGGCTGTATTCAAATGTTGAAGAAACACTGATCACAAATAGAGCACATTAAAATTCTCTCTGAGTCCTTTTCACATAAGATCTGTGCATGGCTTCCATCTCAAATTCATTTGAGGTCCTTCCTTAACTCACAAAGTACAGAACAGCAACAAAAAAAATCACATTGTCTTAGTAGGAATAACACATTTTCTTATGAGGAGCCAATGCTCTTCTGTCAAGTTATGGCTGAAAGGGCCCTCAGGAATCACCTAAACAAGTGGTTTCCAAACTTTTTAATGCAAACTTTCTTTCATCAAATGTGGTCTTACTCTGAACACAGATACATAAGATGGCATAGAAGTGGCTCTGCTTAGTTGAATCGGGAGAGGATGTAGTTATCCACTCAGTCACTTCACTTACCCACTGGAATGTCACATTTTCAGAGTCCTAAAGCTCTGTGATGTGCAGTTTTAAAATAACTCATCTTTTCTCTCATTTTACAGAAAAGGGACATTAATTTGTGTCCCTGGTGGAGGGACCAGAGCCCACACTTGCTAACTACATCTAGTGCTCTATTACACTAGCCCTTTTCCTTCATTTTCTTCCAGTGTCACACTCTGCTGAGCGTAAATGAGTTGGTTAAACCCCTGTGGGTGCGCTCTATGAGGAAGCCTGTGGGTGGTGGTTGCGGGGGAAGAATCTGGGTCTGTGAACAAAAGAAAAGAAAAAGATGTAATGTGTGCCTCACAAATAAGATTCAGTCACTCAAAGGCAAAATAGAGAAATAAGGAATTAAATGAGGGTAGAGGAAACAGCAGCAGTTCACCAACTTTTGGCTGCACTTTAACATGTTCTAAATTATTGATGATTCAAAAAAGCTTTGGTTCGTGTGGGTTTTATTTTTTTATGTTTACCTAAGAAGAACATGACTGAAAAATTGTAAAATATTTATTAATTTATTCATTTAAAAATCATGTCAATAAACTGTTATATATTAACATAAATAAGAGTTTAAAGAAAAATAACTGTTTTCCAAATAAAAGACAGTGAGAAAAGTGGCATTGTTTTATCTATTTGCAAATTTCTTTAATGCCTGACCGAGAAGAACACAGCTGGATTTTCATATCTGCTCTGCATTTGAGCTGATATGAATGAAATCAGTTCATCTGAGTAATCGCACACCTTTCAGACTCTGGGAAATGCCACAGTAGGTTCAAAAGAGCATGAGAGTACAGAAGGCAAATGACATCTTAGTAGTATTATGTAAGTAATTTTGACCCTACAGACTCCTGAAAGGTGTTCAGGGACCCAGACAGGTGCTTGGATCACACTTTGAGAACTGTTGGTTTAGAGATACCAGATATATCATGGGGATAAGCCAAATTAGATAAGAAAGAAGACAAAGATAGCACTTTTCAGTTGATCTTTCAGCAGTGATGTCTCTACTTGGAAACTGATAAGAAGTATGAATCAAAGCCAACAACAACAAACACTGAAGTGGTATTCGGAACCCAAGGTAGCCCAATTGATTTGCTCTGGAAACTAAAAATATGTAAGTTGGCCATTTACTTTTAGACTGTGTAAGGAGAGTGAGGAGTAAATATAAACATTGTTTTAATTAATTAAACAGAAACTAAACAAAAGGCGGAATTTATTGCCACCACTCTACACCATATGTAGAAAGAAGCTGCAGTTCTAAAATAGGCAAAATTTCTAGAATTTCAACATGGAGTTTCCGGGTACAATATTGTAAGAAATCTATTCTATGTAGAGAGAAATTAAACTCTTTAAGAACCTTTGTAATTTGTTATAGTATGTGGTCAGTTTTATGTAATCCATGCCAGGCTTGTAGAGTTTAAGATCATCTTTAGAGTGACTTGTAAGTGTTTCTATAGGGACACTCTGAACTGAACGTTAAACCTTCTACCACTGTTCTCTTTCCTTTCAAATATTTGCTGCATGCTGAGCCAATCCACTTGTCACCATTATCTCAAGTTTCTTTTGTATGCTCCCCACATCCAAATTCTCAAGACTGTACAAAGCCATGTGCCCACAAGACAATTTGAGGAGGTCCCCACAGGGGCACATGTTGTGAATGACTCAACCTGAGAATGCTGGCTCCATCCTTAAGCTGCTCCAGGCTTGGCCTCAGGCTCTTGATTCAGGAGAAAAACCATGATGCATTTTTAAATCTGAAAATGTAGCCTTTATTTCTCTTTTTTTCTGAGCGAATGGCCAAGACAAAGATAAGAGGAACGAGGCTGAGTTAGAAATTCAACTCATGGAAACATAGGCAAGAAAAAAATCAATCTTATGAAAGCAAACATATTTGCCAACTTTGCCTTTTCAACATACTGCAAATGATACATTCAAAGTATTAAAAATAATACCTTGTTGAGAGAAAATTGATAAAAAGAAATGAAAAGGAAAGAAGAACAAATAAAAGGAGAAATTGGAGAAACTGCATAGACAAAAACTTCCTTAAATGCAATCATTTCTTTTGCTTCTATCCACTCTCTGTGAAACTCACTTCAGGCCAAAAGAAATATGAATGCATTTGAAGGTGAAAACAGATTATAATGGAAGTATCTCTTTGATTACTTTTGAAGCTTCAAGCCTCCACTATTTATTTTTATTTTTTGAATGTTATTGTGGCAGATACAACATTAACACTTGCAGAATCTGATAGAGACACCAACAGTGGAATAATGCAATTGCATGCAAATGGAATGTCCCAACAAGAAGAACGTGTCAGGTGAATAATGACACATACCAGAATCCTGGTGGCATTTAGGGATTACTTTAATATGGAAAAATAATGAGGCAAGCAGAAAAAAAAATACATAGGTGAATGTTTCCTAGATAAATACTGATCTGGAAAATTTACGTCAGCCTTTTCATTTTTCTACACTAAAAATACATAGTGTAGTCTTACTGGAAAAAATTGTGTGCATATTTTTAATAGGAGGCTCTGGTTTGCCATGTAAATTACCCATCAGGGAACATAAGAAGAAAGGACTGGTTATAGAATTAAAATGACCTCAGTGGAAGCTGACACAACACAGAGGTGAGAATTTTTTGTGTTCTGTCATTGGTGTCCAGTGATCAGTACCAGAGGACTCTCCCCCTTTGGGGTAGAGACTGGAGCAATGAAACCAGAGTGGTTTTTCTGTATGGTATTTATGCAACTAAGTATAAATACATTAAACCTGACTTGAGCTCAAGGAAGCAGAGAACTTGTGTTCTAATTCCTAGCTCAGTTGTTTTAGCCTGTGGCCTTGGGCAAGTCTGTGAGACTCCTTATCTTAACAGTGACATATGATGACAATAATAATGCTCTCAGGAGCACCAAGTAAGACATAGGAATGTGAAGTCTTTCTTTTTGAGTTGCTGCCAATCTTCTGTCTTCTCTTTCTTCTGGAAGGATCGGGTGTTCTGTAGGCATCGCATTTCAGTGCCATCAGTTCACACACCAATATTCACAAGTCTTTTTAAAGAACTTCAAGACTTTTGCCTAACAAAGACTTGTAACAAATAGGGTATTTGCTCGATAAATGTAAAATAAACATATAGCCTTCATATTTAAGATTCTGTCCATATATACATACAGACTCTTCAAGAGGTACTAGAAAAGTCTGCATTAGTTGATTTTCAGAGAGAGTGGATCAATGTCTATCCAGAGACCTAGGGACATGACTGGGACTTGGTGTCAAACATTTTTCCTCCCATTCCTTCACCTCTACTCTTTCAGCTTCTGTTCTTTTTTTATACATTGTTTAACCATCATTTGGTTCCAGGAGGCTTTTCCCTTCTGTTTGCCAAATATGTTTATAACCCCCACCCACCCTCCCTTGAGAGTGTGTGTGTGTGTGTGTGTGTTGTGTGTGTGTGTTGGGGCAGCACCTGTGTTCATCTTCATTTTTATGTGCTACTTATGAAGTTTCTTTTTTTCTTTTGCAACTATTTATATAGTTTCTGTTCCCAACTTGCAAACAATACTTGTGCTTGCTGTTTCTTCTGTGAAGCATGAAACTCACTTGCCATGGAGATACACAGTGGCCATAGATTTGCCTTTGGTCTGCACCAAAATTTGCCTTCTAGAGAATAGAATGCTTCTGGGGTTTTCTTCCCAACTAATTCTTGGCATGGTTGAAGGCCAAGAAATTGGCCTCAAAGAAATTCTGTCTACTGAGTTTCCTGGCAATTGCCTCTGTGAAAAGCACACCCCAAGGAAACAAATCTCCCCTGCCGATACTTTCTTGTTTCACTGGTTTTAAACATCTTCCACACAGCTCAGAGACAGCAGCAGAGGGGCCGCTTTGGGAAGTAGCTGAAGCTCTTTTATCTTGTAGTCTCCTCAATCTGGGCTTTGCTTATAAAATAACACTGAAATTTATAAAGCCCTATAACATTTGATTTATTTTTAATCCACTCTTGGGTTGTGTAGCGATAAAAATCCAGGCAATGATGAGGCAACCTTCAATAAAACAGTATGTTATTGCCAGGGAACTAGCTCATGTAAGCCCTACTCTAAAATCAGCTGGTCTGTAACTCCGGGGAACAACAATAAAGAACAGACACCAAGGTAACTCCCTCCTTTGTAAAATTCCCCTTCCTTAATTAATAACAATTGTAAAAATGTAATTTTAGGATATCTTCTAAATACTCAATACTACATAAGTTATAGAAACAAATAGAAACAAAAATCACTTGCAAGTTACTACTACCATACTTTGAGTTTATTTCCTAATATGATGAGCACATTATTTTGCATCTTGATTTTTTTTACATACTGTATCCCAGAAATCTCTTCCATATTTCTATGAAGTCTTTATATCTGTCATAATTAATATTAATATAGCTTTTTATCTTACTTCAGCAATGAGATTTCCTTTTGTGACCCCATTTCTGAATTACTCTAGTTGATACAGAGTTATGAGTTCTCTCTTCTTTACTTGATGCATTAAGCACAGAAGAATTGTTGTTTTACTCAGTCTGTGGCTTTAGTGAAGGCTTAGAAACACAAAAGGTGGGATGAGGCCTGTAATCCCAGCACTTTGGGAGGCCAAAGCAGGCGGATCACGAGGTCAGGAGATCAAGACCATCCTGGCTAACTCGGTGAAACCCTGTCTCTACTAAAAGTACATAAAATTAGCCAGGCGTGGTGGCGGGCACCTGTAGTTCCAGCTACTCAGGAGGCTGAGGCAGGAGAATGGCGTGAACCCAGGAGGTGGAGCTTGCAGTGAGCCGAGATCATGCCAATGCACTCCAGCCTGGGCAACAGTGCAAGACTCCATCTCAAAAAAAAAAAAAAAAAAAGGTGGGGTGAGGGGCCAGGGAACAAGCCATGGCAGGGAGCTCTGAAAGGTTTATTTCAGTGCTATGCCTGCTACTAGGAATCTCTTCCTGGTGTCTCAAGATGACAGCACCACACTAGTCCACTGGCATCTGGGAAATGGTCATAGAGTCCCCTGGCTTCCAAATAAGTGGCAATGACCTTGGTTCAGGCCTAATACAGACTAATACAGACTACCGTTCTTAATACAGACTGACACTTGTCAGAGAAACCAAAGGAGCCATAATATGCACCTGTCTTCCAAATCTTGCTTGAAATTGAATCAAGGTGCTTGAAACAAACCACTTCATTAATATTTCAGCAGAGCTACCTTCTGTTGCTGAGCTTGGAATGGTATGTTGAATAACAGGAGATGTGGCATGATGCCTCAGCCAATATCCTCAAATAGTCCAGATCACAGCATCACTCATCATTTATCATTCACGCAGGCTTCTCAGCTTGGCCATTTTCCTATGGTGCTAAAGCACATCATTGAAAGCTCAGGCAAGTCTACCTCCCTATCATCCCCATCATGATCTGAGGTGAATGCAGATGCATGTTTAGGAAGTACTGATGTTAGTCCATGTGGGAAGTAAATGTCACGGTCTCTTGTTATTGCATCAAGATCTTGTACTGGATGTAGGATATTTGGAAACATTGTCAAGTCTTTAATGCAGTCAGGAATTCCTTTCCTAAAATCATAGTCAAAAAATTTTCACTCCTGAGACGATGTGCCAAAATTAATTTTAGATAGATGAAAGGGTGAAAAGTAAAAGAAAATGATAAAGTCATTTTTAAAATCTAAAAGAAAATATGGACAACTGTTTATCTGATATTTGGAGAAGGAGAGACTTTTGAAATTTTATGTAAGGGAAAAGTCACAAAGGATTTGACTACATAAATATTAAAACTTTTATATATCAACATTATAATTGAAATTCAGGTCCATCAAAAAGCTGGTAAAATATTTGCACCAATATGGCATTGTTAGTAGTCTTAAACAATAAATAGGTAATGAAATAAAAAATAGCAATGATAATTCAATAGTTAGAAACATAAAGATCTTAAGCAGAACATTCATGAAAGAATAAAAACAAAAATCTTAAATAATGAGAAATCAGTGGACTTCCACTTCTAGGAAGATGAAGTAGACCTATTTTCCCTATTTCTCTGCGAAGTACAGCTAAAAACCATTATCTATAAAACAAACATAAGTCTATGAAAGGTGGACCAAAGGTGGCAGACTGGCTAGTGACTTGGGAACTCAAGTGACAAAATAGTGGTGAGTTCTCTAGGATTTATTTTTTTTCTTGTATATTCTGGTTTGGGAGCTGAAAAAGCTAGTAACCTGGAAACATCAACAGACACAGACAAATGAAGCCCAAACAAGAGCCTGTTCTCTGTAGTCAAAGAACCAAGAAAAAGGCAGCTTAGCATGAAAGAGAAGTTTTAGGTAATAATCACTCTATCCTTGACAAGCCCATGCCACAGACCTTGTGGGGAGCCTATACTTCATTCTCATCTGGCAGACATGAAGTACCCTTTATACTTCATGTCTGAAAGTACCCTTTCAGACATGAGTGGCATCCAAGGATACCTAGTAGAGTCAGGGCTTCCATTATGGCCCAGTAATGGTGAGGACAACACCCCTCCATGGTTTCAGTGAAGGTTATATGGAAAGCAGTAGCAAGGCACTCTTGTCCCTCTCAGTCAGGGAAGCATCTGTGGAGGCCTAGTGAGAGCCAGAACTCCCCGCTTATCCAACAGTAGCCAGAATTCCACCTGCTCAAGTCTCTATGGAGACTGAGTGGGCAACCTGAATTTCTACCAGACCTCGCACTAAATAGGTAGCACCCCTCATTCCCCAGCCAAAGATGTGGTGGTGGGCTGGGGGGGGGGGTGGGTGGTGCAGAAACAGCTAAAAGTAAAATAGAAGCTTTAGCTAAATCCAGAACCTTATGACTTAACACTCAAAATGTCTATGTTTCAATTAAAAATCATTTCTCATACAAGAACCAGGAATATCTCACATTGAATGAAAAAAGACAGATGTCAACATCTAGATGGCAGAGACAGTAGAATTTTAAACAAGCAATTATAAAAATGCTTCACTGAGTACTTATGAACATGTTTGAAACAAATGAAGAAATAGAAACTGTCACAAAGAAATAGAAAGTCTTAGCAGAGAAATAAAAGATATTTAAAAAAGAACCAAAAGGAAATGTTAGATCTGAAATACAAAACTGAAATAAAAATCTTAACAGCAGAATGGAGGGCACAGAGGAAAGGATCAGTGAACTGAAAGATAGAACAAAAGGAAAGATCCAATCTGAATAACAGAGAAAATAAAATGGAAAAATGAACAGTGCCTCAGGGACCCATGAGACTAAAAAAAGATCGCACATTCCTGTCACTGTGGGTCTCTGAAGAGAGAAAGAAGATGGCAGGGTTGAAAAAATACTCAAAGAAATAATGGCTGAAAATCTCTCAAATTTGGCAAATGACATAAACCTACAGACACCAGAAGTGAAGTAAACCCAAAGAAATCCGTACAAGACACATCACAATTGATCTTCCGAAAAGCAAAGGCAAAAAGTCTTAAAAGTAGCTCAAGAGAAATGACACCTGATCTGTAGGGAAAAGCAATTTGAACGACAATGGACTTCTTATCAGGAGTCATGAAGCCACATGGAAGTAGCAAACATTTTCAAGTGCTGAAGAAGGGGAACTCTTAACCCAGAATCCTTGGATATCCACTGGAAACAATTCATGAAGGACATTCTCAGATAAAGGAAAACTAAGAGAGTTTGTCACCAGCAAACGTATCCTTCATTTTGAATTAATGCTTTTGTGCAAGTATTTCCAGATAGCATAGCAACCAAGTGGGGTTAGGGTGATGGTGGACACTCCTTCTGGAGTAGCAGTGCAAGTTTCCTATCCAACATGGGTCCATGGACCTCACAAAGTTGGTTTATGGTTGGACTTTAGAAAGGTCCATAACTTCCCAATATTGTATGCACAATTTGTTCCCCATGTGGATTTCTTTGAGGTGACAGTCAAATACTTTCATTAGATTCTCAAGGGATCCAGGACCTAAAGATATTTAAACCATGGTAATATCACCAATGATACAGTGACTTACGTTGATGCCATATGCTGAATTAACTCCTTTGAGAAGTTTTGTCCTCATTTGAGTTAAGATGGGACATGGTAGATAAGCTAGAATAAAGATACATTCATTTAAGAAGCTGGAAATTGTATCATTAAAATTCCTTATTAAGTATTCTAGTGAGGAAGCTGAAATATAGTGGCATGTATAGCTGATCAGGAGCCAGTGAGGAAACCCCAGGGACAGGTGGCTGAAAGGATTTAATAGCACAGAAATTGTATACATCAGGGTCCAGGAGGTGAAGGAGATCTCTTTACATGAACAGTCTACAGAAATCTTGAGTAAGGCTTTGGATTTCCACAGTGCATTGACCTAGGCATTTAAGCCAATCATATCTAAATTCAAATGGCAACAAAATATTTTTAAAAATCTTTCAAAGCAGGTGATGCTACAGTCTCTGTGCTTCACAAATCCAAGTTATCATTATTGGCTACCACTCCTCCATATGCACAGGCAATAAGTCAGGTATTCCTTCCAGTAATTGGGGCTACAATGTAAACTTAGCAAAGCTTCCAGATTAACACATTTGTAAAAACAAGACTTCCTAATAACCTGTCATCTGCTTTCCCAATTTCTCTATAATTTTAGTCTGTAGATGACATTCTTGTGGAGTTTTAGGTGACTGTCATATTGCAGCCATCTGGCAGCCTGTTTAAGAAGCACAACTCTGACATTATAAGATGATGAATCAGTGGTTAAAAACAAAACAAAAGGTGGTTGATGTTTATTGTAATACAATCTTATAAAATCTGAGAGTATTAACTAATTAGTATTTATAAAAGCATCTTCAAACTGAAATATCCATTACCATTGAAAATCATTTTAACTAGATAAAATATTTCCCCAAGTTGTTTTTTTGTGACACAAAATAAAATAGTGGACATTCAATGATTATAAAATGCTTGTTTGCTTTTAGAATGGGCATATCATGGATATCAGGGTTTTTTGTGCGTGCTTATGTAATTTCCTTGCTAGTAATTTTTCAGTAGTTCTTCATGATAAATCTAAACTCCTTAGGTTGGACATGAATTCTTTTGTAGTCTAAACCTGATCATCTTTTAATTTAACTCCCATAATACTCAGACAGTAATTTTATATCCTACTTGTGAGGAAATACTAAGTAGGGTCCTGAGCTCTCATACCTTTCTCTTTTTTGTCTTTTTGTTCGACTCATGTTTTCCAATACTTGAAAAGCATTGCTTGTTGTTCACCTGAAAATTTCTTCTTCAAAATTCAGATCTTCCTAAGTTCTCAAACACACCAAGAATTTTTTTCTTCTATGTCCCTGTAGTGCATATCCATTTAATCATGTATAATGTGTATGTATTATAACAACCTGTACAACTATTTCACCCCATTTATCTATTTGTTCATTTAAATATGTGTTAGGGCAGGGTGTGGTGGCTCACACCTGTAATCCTAGCACTTTGGGAGGCAGAGGCAGATGGATCACTTGAGGTCAGGAGTTTGAGACCAGCCTGGCCAACATGGTGAAACCCCATCTTTAATAAAAATACAAAAATTAGCCAGGCATGGTGGCTGCACCTGTAATCCCAGCTACTCGAGAGACTGAGGCAGGAGACTTGCTTGAACCTGGGAGGCAGAGGTTGCAGTGAGCCGAGATTACACCCCTGCACTCCAGCCTGGGTGACAGAGTGAGACTGTCTCAAAAAGAAAAAAATAATTATATATATATGTGTGTGTGTGTGGTAGACTCACAAATAAACATGTGGTAGACTCTGTTCTAGGCACAGAAAATACAGCAGTTATCTTAATCAGGTTCTAAAATAGAAAGTATTTTGAATATTTACAACAGAGGGGGTTTAAAGCGGAGTATTGGTAATTCAGGTGATGGAGGAGACTAGAATCCAAACAGGGCCCATGGAAGCAGCCAGAAGTTAATAATAGGAAATCACCAGCATCCCAAGACTGGGGAAGCTGAAAGAGGTGATGCTGCAAGAGCCAGGAGCTGTGGTCACCCTTCATAAACTGGAACCATGACTACCTGCCTATGAAAGCTACTAGCCTTTGAAAGCTACCTGAAACCATGTGGGAGAAACAGCTTCTATTGGAGAGGCCATCACAGGAACAAACTGAGGGAGAAATACCCTGGCTGCTCCTTTCTCCTGTTCTTCAATCAATCAGTCCTTTCTATTGTTATTAGTTAATTTGGAAACCCTCGATGAAAAGAGCCTGAGAAGTGTCATCTGTAGGTTTGTAACTCGCAGTGGTACAGAGCACAGCAGAGGAAGAGTGCAAAATGGATTCTAAGGCAAAAATGCCCAGGTTTGGAACCGTGGTGAAAAATCAGAAACATTTTCTCAGCCTTCACAAAACAGTCTAAGCATTTCATTCTATTTCATCTCTGTATTCCTAACTCCTTTTGTGGCAATTGCACATTATAAGTGGCCAATATACATCTTGATTACCTTAATAGATAAATGGAAACAGGTACAAAATAAATAGTCATTTTGATCTCACGGTTCCTTCCACAACTCTGACAAACTGCTTCACAGGAAGACACTTTGAATGGCAGTTTTATCACATGATGTCAAATAAGCAGAACATAGCTTTCACTTCCCTCGTGTGGGCATTTGAGTTCTCTATACATATTGAATTTTCTCTGGTGTTTTGCTTTAGGCCTCATAAATCTCATATCATTCCAAGGCTTCATAGTCCTGAGGATTATCAGTGTCACTGTATTCCAGGTGATGTAAATTGTTGTGACAATTTCCAGGTTTCATTCTGTTGTATTTTGCAGGACAGAGCCTGTCCCAACAGCCCTTCTTGCAGATGTTGCATTCAACACTCTATGAGAGGATCACTGGATTTCCCTTGTGCAATCTGGGCATGAGATGGGCATTGGAATTGATCGCAAGCTTTTCTGGAGCAGACATTTCCAAGATTCTGTTGAACTTGTTGGCAAACTCTCTGAGTGTTATGAGTAGCATTTAGATTAGCAGCTGTTCCTCTTATTCCTATAAAGATTTTCTCCCTGGCCAATGTCTTTTTCTGAGCCATTCTAAATGCCAAAATTGATTCAAAAAATATGGATGGAGAGATTGTATGAACACTGCATACAAAATGATTCAGTTCAGTAAACATTTTGGCATGTGGATTCTGTGCTTGGAACTGTGCTGAGCAGAGGGTGAGGGAGACAAAATCACAGAGCAGTTAAAAATGTGAGCTTGAATTGGATGGTTTTGATTCCACTGTTCACTGAATATGTAACCTAGGGCAAATTGCTGTCTTTTTGCATTGGTCTTCTAATACATAAAAAGGGGATAATAATGGTATCAACCTAAAAGATTATTTTAACTATTACATGAACTAAGGCATGTGGCATGGTGAGAACAATGCCTTGTACATAGTGTTGGTCATCATCATCGTCATCCTTATTTAAAAGCACTGCAGAGTCTGCACACTGCTGAAGGGCAAGGATTGAGGCGCCTCCACCTTTGCATCCCCCCAGTGCCTAGCACAGTACCTGGGCCACAGTAGCTATTCCCATTTTTAAAAATTATTCAGATGTAGTGAAATGCTTCAAATTGCTTACTATATCCTATTAGAACATGCCCTAATTTTCATCCCTGATTCATTCAGTCAGGAGAAATAAGCCCTTAACCCAGCATCCTGGCCTTTAGGCTGACTCCCGGATCTCTCATTCTCTGTCCACCTTCAGTTTGCATTTCTGGATAATTGGAGTTCAAGAGGAGAGTGGAGACAACAAGGGAAGCCACCAATGATGAGAAAGGCAAATTCAAAGTAAACATAGTGAGCTAGAGTAAGATGACACAAATCCCGGCACCAAAAAGGAATAGAATGAATGGAAACTATACCCTTTCCAAAAGCTTGCACACTTTAAGGGTTTCCACTCTCATGAAGGCTTTCAGGTAGGTCTCATTACTTAGAACACCTGCCCCCTCCTTCCTCCAAGCATCCACATCCTAACTATCCTTTTTAGTCCAAGGATGTATTTCCCCTGGGACCCAGAGGAGTAATTTCAATACACGACATAATCTCCTTATAGACGTGAGTAGGTATTGCTTAGAGGCCTCCAAATTTGATCTTGTTTTCACTTAATTTATTTTTTCACTGGGTAACTAGCTCATTTATCAAGGTATATTGAGTGCCTTGTCTGTATCAGGCCCTGGGCTAAAGCACAAGACACAGGTGAATAACTCCAGTGCTTTGATCTCACAAAACACAAAGAGACATCATTGTATGAAGAATTACATTTGTGAGAAAACTTTAAGCAGAAGTATATCTGAGTGCTGTGTGGGCAGAGAAGTAGGAATGACTAAATGTTTTTAATATAGACATTTTTCGGCTACATATCCAGTCTTCCTCAAATCCTAACTTTCTCATTCTCTTAACATTCAATTAGCTGGTCAATTCAGTTTGCTCATTCAATAACTGTTTATTGAGTTCTTGCTGTATGCTGACCTTTGCAGAAATCTAAAGTATAAATGATATTTCTTTCCATGTAGGACTTTATAAAATATTAGGGAGAGAAAATAAAAACTCACAATGCCCCTCTAAACAATAGAGGTTATAGTTTAAAAAGAGTTCATGGAGGGGGTGGACCTTAGCTTAGGCCTGCAGGTATTTACAGGAACCTGGTACCTGGAGGACAGAGGAAGAGGACCCTCTAAGCAAGGAAGATGACTTGGGGGCCTCCTGAGAGTGAATGGGCCCATGTTGTGTTGAGAGGACATACAGAAAAAAGGAAAATGATTCAGTTCAGGGAGTTGAGAGGGAGAGGTGATAGGAGATAAGGTTGGATCCATGGGAGGGATCAAATCATGTAGGTCTCAAAAATCTCAGAAAAAAACTGTATAATTAATTAGAGTATCTCATGCATACTCTGTGCCCAGCAGCCCATTCTACACCTTCCAGGAAAACAGAAGGTGAATAAGTGAATTACAGGTTTTCTTTGACAAACTGAATATACTAGATAGTTCCATTGTGAAGAGAAGTTGCTATCTTGTAGCCTGAACTTAATATTTAACTTCTTGTCTTTGCCACCTTTATTAAACGTCAGCCACCGTCACTGCCTTTAAACATTTTCACTTTGATTTCTCGGTTGTTGTGGGGTCTATTGGTGGTCACGTAGAAAATCACGCTGGTTGCTGGATTCCTAAGCTGTACTCACATTGCTTGCCTTTTGTCTGCAACTCCTGAGGTGGTGACACCTTGTCAACAGTGTCACAACCCAATATGGGCCAACCTTTTACCTTGTCACCTTGCAGACTGATGTTTTTGAAAATACGTCGACAACACAGATGCTTGCAGGGCAGTTGTGGAGGTGAGGATGTGTGTAGACGTGTGGTTATAGTCATGCTGAGGAAAAAGCTTATTTATACAGATAAATAAAATGAAACATCACAGAAAAATAAACATGTAATTTTTTTGGACTTGAATAACTTGACAATTTCAAAGGAATAAAAGCAGCAGAGCTATGAAGACAACCAAGCAAGTTACTAAGCATTTAAACAAAAATTGAATATTTGTACAAAGTAGCATGAAAAATAAGCGTGGAATAGAGTTAGGGTTTATATGGGGCTTCTAAGTAGAGGGCTGAGAAACAAATTTCTCTTGATACTCTTCTTGGTTTCAAAGGGTGCCCAGATTATCCCAGAGGCCTCCATGTGCTCCGTCTCTGTCCCTCTCACTGCTGTTTTTGACCTGGGCTTCCCTCCTCTGTTGCCTGTGTGAGGAATAAAATTCAGGCGTCTACCCTCCCTCAGCTTCTCACCTCACATCAACAAAGGAAAACACAAGGCTGCTCTTCTGTTAATGTTTCACATTAACAAAGGAAAATACATTGCTGTTTTCCAAGGGCTTCTCCAATCATGCCCTCAGAAAACTCCAAAAGTTTTCTTCTCCAAGAAAACTTCAACCTCTTGGGTTGGGGACCCCTTCGCAAGACCCCTTCGCAAGACCCCTTCGCAAGACTCTTCACCTGCAGAAGAAAAAGTAGCCACACAGAGACCGAAGTATCCATTTCAGTGAGTCTCTTGAGACTTTCATAAAGGAAGCTAAAACAGGAAGTCTGTGCCAGTGCAGATGAGGGCAGGAGTCAGCAGAGACTGGAGGCCGTAGAGCTCTCCAGGAAAGGAGTCTCAGGGTTTAGCTTCTCCTTTTGACTCTCACTTCTGTAGCCAACAAACATGTTAATTTCAACCAGGCCAGGCTAAGCTTTGCTGTGAGGAAGGCATCAGACAGCTGTATGCCCAAGGCAAAATAAGAAACATGAAGAACAATCAGGATCTTGGGTTGAGGTTCGACATTTTTCCTTTTTTCTGAGAGGGGATTTCCAGTTGCTATCTGTACAAAAGGCAGCCATTTTGCTGTACTCAATTTGTAAAACAGAGTTTAGATATATTATCTGTCCTCAGATTAGTTTGGTACCATTGGTGTGGAAGGGCAGAAATCACATAAGAATGTGATGATGGCATACAATAATACTGCTTTGTCTACAGAGTTTTCAAATTACGTTTTAAAAGTTTATTCACTCCAACATACTTGCTGATAACACACTACTTACTTGGGGTGGTGGAGGACACCAGGAAATAAACATATACAGTTTCTTACCCATAGGAGCTTCCAAGCTTGTGGAAGAAATGCTGGTGCTGTTACTCACAGCAGATGTCCCCCAGACCCAAGATATGTTTGTGTTAATAGCTATGAGATTGCAAGGAAGAAAGATTATGCCTGGTGAGGGGCTTCAGACAGGAAGTTGGATTTCCTTTGAGATTTTAAGGAAGGAGAATTAAAATCAACTCTTCTGACAGTGAGAATGGGTAGAATGATTCAAATAAAAGAGAAACGGAGTGAGGAAAGGCATAGAATTAAGAGAGTCTATAGTTTGTAGATTTGGAATTAGTGGGAACCCTGGCTTGACTGAAAATAAAAGGTATATGAAGTGATTTTGTCACACATTTTAAAAAAGATGGAGAACAGTTTAGTTTCTTCATAGAGGGCTTACATACAAGGATGTGTAGTCTTTATAGCAATGACAGCCACAGGATTTATTGCATGGGACAGTACCTTGACAAGGTCTTTAAGACTCAATGAGAGGTTTCCTTCCATGTACCTACCCTACAACATCATGCATCATACTGGATTGTAACTGCTTCTCATATATACTCTTTTATAGACTGAAGATTCTTTTTAAGGCAAGAACTACTTTTTGAAAGATGAGCTTTTAGAGAATACTAGTTAGAGCTTGGTACATATCATGGACTAAAAAAGTCTTTTGAATAAATAAGTGAAAATATCAGAGCTGACAAATATTGTACCGGTCCAGGGAAGTCAGGGGTATCTTGGATAGATACTTGACAGTTCCTGGGGGCTGAGTGGATGGGGAAGGCAAGGAAATGGTTTTCAACCTTGTGACTTTGGATGGTGGTACCTTGGAGAGAAATAAGATAGTAAGAAATTGTCACTGCTATTTTGATGGGAAAATGTGCTGGCACACTCTTCCAAACCCTCAAAATGCAAGCTAAAATAGCATGCCTAATCTGTATAAATGGATGACATCAATTACAAAACTAAATCAATATGCTTATGAAATTTAATGTTTGCTTGCACATATATTTTTTAAACTTCCATATATTAAAAGGTAACCTGTGCATTTGTCAGATGTTTTCTGAGTGTCAATATGCAACTTAATATCTTGCCTCAGGTCCAGTGAAAAACCAGACTATTTTACCCCCCAAAATTTAGGAAAACTCCCATAGAAAGGATGAAACAAAAGTGATGGATCTGTTATTCATTAAATTGTTACAGTATGGGGCTCAATGGTAACTCTGCCCTGTTACTCCCTACAAATCATCCTGGTGGTGTAGAAGTGGAGACATTATCAAATAAGTGAAGAGACTGTGGTTGCCTTCAGTTCAGTGTCTGGACTCACTGTGTCACTTCCTTCAATACTACTAACTGAAATGTAAAATGCTATTTAATTACAAGGTTTTAAAAAGTTAAACGCTGAATATTTAACAGGTTAAACTTTCAGAATTAAGTATAACATTAACAGAGAGAAATTGTTAGTTGTGGTAGAGCATTATGTTCAGGAATGCAATTTTTTACAAAAAGAGCCCTAGAAATAGTGATAGCTATAAATCAGTGCTCCAGGAGAGCTACAAAATGTTTCAGGTATTTGGAGCAGAGAGAGATCTTTTATGGCTAGATGAAAAGTACAAGTATTCATGTACTCAGGGGTACATGAACTTGACCTTGAATTATGGGTAGATTTGCAACAGGCAGCAACTCAAAGAAAAAGAATCCAAATAATACACTACAGAAAACTATTCCACTCCTGAGCTGCTGTTATTAGAACTAGAAAATTGACTATGCTGTAAGCCTACAACTATTAAGAAATATGTATCCCAGAAGTTAACCAGGAAACACATAAAGAATAGAAATGTTCCCAATTTCAGGGCAGCAAAAATTAAGTTAGAGGTTGACAGAGAAAAATGTGTAATAAAATTCAAGTTAGTTACAATTTATACTATGTTAGAAGAATGCAATTCCCTTGGAAGAAACTGTATTTTCCCATTGACTTATAGTTACAGATGTGCTTAATTCCATCACTGATTTATTATTACTAGTAATGAATATTAGTACTATAGCTTAAAGTAGCTCTCTTTCTTGTATGTCAAGTAGTTAATGACCTGTAAATGAACTCAAGTATGTTAGGGAAGCTCATTATTTAAGGTAATTATTTAGCAAAGCAATGATCCTTTGGTTATGCAAATTACTGACATTAAGTTATAAATTTGTAAGTATCTAGTTTTATGTTTCATTCTGGGCCCTCAAAGCGACCTTCCAATCCAGGTATTGCTTGCTCTAAAGTTAAAATGCAAATATATACTTCAAGAGTAAGAGAGAGTGTAGATGTTGCCAACATTATGAGGTTCCTACATTTTCCTGCAGGTGATAGAGCTGGAAATGATGCCCAGGATGATAGTGATGATGGTGATCAGAACAGTGATAGCCTTGGCTTGACATGTCCCCACCATGGGTATTTATTTAGATGTATGAATCTAGTATGTACCAATAGAAGACATATCTAAGATTTTCAGCTTTAATGCCACTTTATTTGAAGACTGTTTTTCTCAGATAGACATTTGTAATATTGTGTATGTGTACACCCACTTAAGTCCCAAACATTTAGTCGGTACTGGAAATAATCTGTGCATGGTGGTATGGAGGAAGGGTAGCCGGGTTGGGGGGAAAAAGCAGGCAAATCAATAAACATTTTCAACACTGTGTGCTAAGTGAAATAGATGAACTATGGCCAGATACTTGGAAAAGATCTAGAAGGACCATTTGGTTTAGACTGGGAATAAGTTGAGAGTCAAAAGAAGTATAAATTGGAAATGGTGACTGGGGCAGAAAGAAAAAGCAAGTGAGAGGTGGGAAGCAATGGGCTGTTCTTGGAACTGCCAAGAATTCAGTGGGGTTGCAATGCTGAGTGTAAGGTGGTGGTGGAAAATGAGGCTGGAGAGGGATGAGAGGGAAGCAGGGGCTTGACCATGAAGGGTCATGTGTGAAAGGTTTGATGAGAAATTTTTACTGAGTGAGAAACTGGGAGATATTGAAGGGATTTTAAACAAAGGAATTACAAAATTGGATTTTCATTTCAGTAAGATCACTTTAGCTTCAGCATTAAGAGAGGGCAAAGGGTCAGGAAGGAGGTAGAGCCAGTCATAGCCTATTTAGCAGGGGGCAAAGTACAGGAGGAAGGTCCGTCCTCTGTGTGTTAAGCTAACATTTTTGTTGCTGCATCTGGGCAATATGGGGCTGGATGTCTATTTACTAACATACAGAGGCATTCAGTATTTTACCAATCGTAAGTGTACTATGTGCTAGCTGAATTTGTTCCCGGTAAAGGGTACTGGATTAAGTCAAGGATACTGCTATAACCTACATGAATGTTAGCAAAGGAAGTCACAGGAGAGAACGAGGTTGTTGAACACATCATCAAGACACTCAACAAGAAAAATTAACAAGGCTTAGCTATTGATTGGAGGATGGGACTGGGTGAAAGGGAAGGGGATAGGGGATAATTTCTCTTCTCACTTGGGCAAACAGGTGGAAGGTGTGGCCATTCTTTGGTTCGTTGATAACAGTGCAAGAAGAGGAGTAGAATGGTGGGGGGTGGGGACATTTGTTAGAGTTTGTTTGAGGTGTCCCGGGAACATTCAGGAAGAGATGTTTGTTTGGAGGTATTTGATCATGTAATTTTGAAGCTCAAGGGAAAGATCAAAGAAGAGCTGCAGATTTAAGAGTCATCAGACTCATCAGACTACAGGTCAGAGTTGGAGCCATTCACAGTGGGTTGTGTCTTTCAAGTTGAGTGTAAAGAATAGGATGCCACCATTCTGGGTGGTGAGTCCTAAGTGTTCCCCAGGCTAAAATGCCTCTCTCTCTCTCTCTCTCTCTCTCTCTCTCACACACACACACACACACACACACACACACACACGATAGATCTTGGAAATAATAAATCACATTAAAACAGAAAGGAGATTTACTGCACTACTGCAACCATTCTCTTACAGATCTCAGTATTTAGTAAGCCTGGTTTTACAGGTGTAGGGGAGATTTGTTCTCAAACATGTCTCCATGTGATTCAGAATACTCCTTCTCTCTTCTTTCCCTTCACATGGCTGAATATGTGCTCACAGGCTTCTTAGTGTAGAGCCAGCATAGCCAAGTCATTTGTCTTCAGTCAGTCCTTCTCGGAATACTAAATGCTATGGGAGAATCTTAATCGATCTCCAATAAAAAATCAAGAGGGAAATTATTCTCAATTTATATTATAAATTGGATCTCGTTTCCTACTTCTTTTTCCTAAATATTCTCTTACTGTTTCTTATATCCATCCTTTTTCTCAGTCCTTCTTCTCTTAAGTCTTCATTCCTGTCAGAATTACTACAAGAGATACCTAATATTTCTTCTTGCTTTCTGCCTCCCTCTCAGAAATCCTCTCTGCATACAGCTGCCAACATGCTTCTAAACCCCCCCTTTCATGTCACTCACCCAAGGGCTGACAATGATTTTTCCATTGCCAATTACATCAAGTGCAGACTTCTTTCCTTCCAAGCTCTCTAGAATAAAATCACACCCAGCCTATACAATGGTATTTCAGGTTTCCCTGATACAGCTCTTGAAGGCAGTCAGCACTCTGTCTTCACTGACTCTTCTCACTAGTCTCCTATAATTCTTACCTTTGCTATGAGTCTTGCAAAGATGGGATCTCAGCAGTAATAAACCTGGTTTATTAGAAAGCTCAGAGATGAGACTCAGAATCCCTGATGCTAGCTTTGGAGCATAGTGACCTCTTTGGAAAGTGATTAGCTTCTCATCTGTGATACCAGGATACCTACTAAGTACATTCTACATTGTCTTATTTTTGAAGAGAAAATAAGACAGTCTATGTGAAAGTGCTTTCTAAATTATAAAGTGCTATATAAAGTAAAAACTGTTTAATCAAAACTTTTATCTGAAAATGAAGAATACATGATTTTTTAAAAATATATACATGTTGGATATCTTTGAAAAGATCAGTCTTCTTAGATCCATGTTACAAGTCACTGTTATTTGAAATAATTAAAAAGAGGGACCCAGAAGTTGGGAACAGAAATAGAGGCCAAATAAATTCAGACACTTTGAGTAATTCTTAACATTGACTTTCCAATAAAGCAGCCTGCATGGTTTTTAAAAGCACAGGTGATTTTATCAGGCTAGCCAGTGGTCATTAAAAGTGGGGGGACTGGGAAAGGTAAATTAAGTTAACTGGAGAGTTAGAACTATGCTCTGGCCAGCTTCCATGAGGAGGACAGATAAGTGTCACGGGAGTAACAAACATCATTAGAAATTTAAAAAATCAACAAAAAATTAAGTGCTTTCTAATATATGTATTATCAAAAACAAAGTACATGTCTTGATTCCAATCACTCTAGAAATACTTGTTAAGAACCTAGGATGCATCTTGACAGTCAGTATAAGGGCCAAGAGAGTATTAGGTTTTGTTTTAGAGTTGTGAGGTGTCTGGTGAATAAGTAAATGGAAATAATATTAACAACATTACTCAGTAGTACTAATTTAAGGATTCAAGATATTAAGGGTGCAGTTTTCATTCAGTGAATGCAATGGTTTGTTCTTTCCCCCAAGTTTTGCTTGCATTTGTCTTTTCCATTCTGCATTGTTCATCTTGTACTATTCTACAATTATTTCCAAATGTGTTTGCTTTCTTTTCACAAAAAAATTGAAGTTTCCTTAAGGGCAAGACAAAATCTAATATTCTCTACTCCTTATACTTACTGTCAAAAATGCATACTAGACTCCCAACAAGTATTTCTAGAGTAACTGAAATCAAGTCAAACAAAAGAAGTTTGCTATCTAAAGCTTCTCAGTTATGAATATATCATGAATAAAAAATTATTTTACTTACTGTAAGAATATACAATAAGGTCTTCATAATTTTTTACTATTAATGGGTTTACAGGACCATATTTATTTATGGACTGAGATCTTATTCAGTTAATAAGATGTATCTTATAAAAAGTGGTGCTTTAAAAATCATTTTCTGATTACTTATCAGGTCAAAAATGCTTAGAAAATTCAGGACATTTCATTTGAAATGCTCCTTTAGATATCATGGCCAGATGTTACAAACTGAAACACGTACAAACATACAAGAATCTTTTGTTTCACTGCTATACTTCTTGAGAGAATTTGAAATTAAAACGGCACTCATACAATCAATTTAAATCTATTGAAAATACCTGGGGAATACTGAAAAGACTTTCTTTTTTTCCCTCATTTTAAAAACAAAAAGGGCAACATCATTTTTAGAGTTTCTTGAGACCTTCAAATACATAGCCCCTAGAAGCAAGGTTCATCAAGAGGAGAATCTAAAGCCTAACTGAGTTTTCAAAATACTGCCCACATATACCGTACTTGTTGAACAAGTTCAGATTTATTGAAAGTAAACATTTACATTCGCTACAATGTTGGAACTATTACAAAGCTGGATAAAAGAGGCTTTAGTAGCAATAGAAAGCAAGAGCAATAAAAAGTGAATAGAGAAAATATTTGGCCTTACTGATCTCTTGGCAGTATTTACATTATGTACATATTGTTAAATATTTATAATAATTCTAAGGCACCAAAGGCTAAATAGCAGGTTGCAATACTATCCTGTGCACAAAAATCAAGAAATTTATTGTAAAGAGGCTGTATAGTTAAAGAAACATAGGCATATCTTAATGTTTACATAATGGAGCGGATGCATTTTTAAAAATCTCAAATGATACATTAAATATTGGGCAGATCGAAGATATTATTTTTAGAACATTAAATTATATTGACTATGTAAATAAGCACTATTTTTTACTGACTTGCTGGTAAATGTGAAATGTAATCTATTCGTCAACACAGCTTTTTTCACACTCATGGATATGTTTTGTCTAAAAACTACTTGAAATTCTTCTGACCTACAAAAACTTATCCTAATATTCCATAATGTATACAAAATTCCCAAGAAGAATTTACTGGGTAATAATATACATCAAATCTATATATAATCGGACAAAAATTTAGCAGGCATTAAATGCCAAAATGCTTGAATATCCAGTCTGCCATTCCAGTGTAGCAGTTGGGTGTTTTCATCCTTTAACTCCTTAGAGCGGGAGATTGTGGCTTTAGGTAATGGACATAAAATTGGCCCACGTAGAAAATCAATCTCAAAATAGACTAATTAATTTCAAATTTTGCAACCCAAATTGTTTCAAATAATTCATTGGGTGTTAACCCTGACATTGTTACCAGTGACTGAAATATCCATGTTACCACATTGTCCAGAAGTAACTGACAACATCTGTGTCCAGTATGGTCTTCCTGTTGAATTATTTGATGACTTCTATTTGCAAAATTTTATTTGTTCCTGACATTGAAAACCCAATTTACCTTACCAACAGTCTATCATTTGTCTTGAGGTAGTGTTATAATAAAGAATTCAGCAAGACAATAGAACATCATAATGTTTGCAAAATGTGCTTCAAATGCCACCATGAAATCCGTATTTATTTAGACGGTAGATGACCCAATGTTGAGTGTCCCCTTCATGACATATTAAATTACCATCTGATGAAGTTATCCAGACTCTTTAATGAAGATGAGTTTTTCGTCAAAACTTTCTGAAACCCCATGCTCTAAGGCAAGTTATAGTTTAAAAAATATTTTTATTATACAAAGTACTGCTAAAATTCCTTCAGTTATTTAAAGATTCATAGACTTACATATTATAGATTTTCTTTCTTTTAGCAAAGGGGAGAAAAATGAAGGAATTTCTTCTCTAAACTTAAATTTTCAAAGAAAAACATTCAGAGCATTAACAATAGCTTGGGTTGGTTTTTTATACTACATAGTATTTAACGGTAACTTTTACAATGTGGCACTTTTAAAATTAAACTTCAAATTAAAAAAAAAAACAGCTTCAAACCAAACGTATGACTGAGATTTACTAAGCAACAAGTATAAAATTTATTCCAACATAGTGCACTCGAAGACACCAAAAGTGTCTTACTATAATGCATTTTATAGCACTAGATTATTTGTATATTATTACTTTTTTCCATTCTCAAATGTTCATTTTCTTCTCCTTTTAATACAGTGAAAGAGAACAGATTATTCATAGTAAAATGTTTACAAAATAAGCAATGCAGGAAAAAGTAGAACTAATAAATTAATAATTTTCTTCCCCTACTTCAAGGATGAAAATAAATGACTGCCTTTGCTCAGTGGGTTACTATCTAAGTAGCAATGGCTACACAATTAATAAAACCATTACAAAGCATTGGTGAACAGATTTCAAATAATTATAAAAACACAATACAATATCAAATGTTTGGAATCATCAAATAAGTGAATAGATAATATTTTAATGAATGACTGAATTAAAGCATGATAACAGTGTTCAAATCTCTAAATTGTATGGACCTGCTTGGATTTTGGAAGCACATTTATATGTTAATGGTAGTAATTGAAATTAGATTCTTTAGAAACACAGAAATTCATCTTTATCAGTTATTATAGTATCCCTAATTTCAAAAAGTTCAATTAAAAAATAAGATTGATTCTCCTTAGAATATTTGCTTACAAAGGTTCTGACGCAATTGTTTGAAACAAAATCTGTCATTCTGTATCATGATACAACTCAATTAACTGTCATAAGAAGACATCTTACTTTATTATCATAAAAGATGCCTAGCATTAAACTATCAACTACTTAATTTCCTCAGATAGGTGAACCTACTGTTATTCTTAAGTCAACAGGAACAGTTTGTATTATGCCAATTTTCCTTAAACGGTCTTTCTTGAGTCTTACGAGTTACCGTTCCAGTTCAGACTCCAATACTATATTCTTTACGGATCACTCCAATGTTAAGTAAAGCCATAATGGATTAGGTCAGTGGATTTTGAATTATGCTGGAGGCACTCTACAGAGCTTATTGGAGGTGCCTCAGTGGTCCTAGTGGTCAAACAGGTGGAGTTCCAAGATCCCGTCTCCCAAATCTTGATATTAGATCTTCATGTTTGTCATGTATAGACTGTCTAACGTATAGACTAATTTCAAAAAAATAATTCTGTTGCTTAAACATGTTTTAAAAACACAGTTGAAGTGATTTGGGAGACTTGCAGCATCTTGGCAAAAAAGTAGCAAGGTCCTCATGTCCCACACTAATCTTCAAATAAGTGGTCACAAAACACTGGATAGGATATTATATCTTTGCCCTACTCCACTACTATTATCCCTCAGCCTAGCCCAGGGTTCAGAGCCACAAGTCAAAACAGATCAATGCTTTAAGTAGATACTATCAAAATGATTAATATCCCAACCACTTCAAGCCTATTTTTCTTGCAGAAATAAGTGGCATATCAATTATTTGCAATATAACAAAACAAATTATTAGAAAACACTTCCTAAACTGCTACCCTTAACAACATGTATGACCTTTTTCTCACCTTTTATGCCAGACAAAGGAAATAAACACAGCAGTTATCACATTATACTTGCAAATGACTATACATTTTTATTTTTTTTTACATAAATTAAAATCAGATAGAGCCTTGATTCAGGGTTTGAATAGAGTGGCAGACTCACTAATTAAACTGCTTTCATGAATGGCCTTATTCCAAAGACAACATGTGGGAAAATAAACACTGTCAATTAAAACTTGATGAATAAGAACTCTAGGACTCAAAGAATAAGAAATGATTTTGATGAAATTATGACTCTTGAAAAGGAAATGCTGAGAGCTGGTGTTACTGTTCTCTATAAACTTATTTGTGGTCTTTTAATATAAAAGAAGCATCAAGTTTGTGTTCTTTCTCAATATGAAAAAAATAAGCAGAGATATTAGATGAACAAATATAAAAATGCTGGTGTGGCATAAATAAAATTGTATAATTTTTTTGTAGTAAATAAAAAATATATATGGTTTCTTTAAATTCTGAGGTCTTTCTTTTAAATACATAATCATTTGAATATAGATTCGGTCTACCAGGCCATGTATGTTCCCCAAATTATGACTTTTAGATAACATTTTAAAAGGGCTGAATTTCTTCAGACAAACAGAAAAATTGTCTGCAAATATTTTCAGTGAATGAATGGTGGTAAATCTGGCTCATATCTTGATTTATGTCCAAATTTATTGCTTACTAAATATTATCTTCTTTCCATTAAACGAGGATAGAATTGTGAAGCTAAGCCATCTTTCTTGTCAAAACATACGTGTGAATATACACAAATATATTCACAACCACACATTTTGATGCATGAATGTATAGATGTGTATATTACATACTTTTTGGCAAAGCACTGCTTCTAAGACCTACTTCTTTTTTTATGAAGAAAAATAGAATAGGGAACACCCCTTCCAAAACATTAGAATGCCCATACTACTAATGATATAGCACATCAGAATGTGCAAACAGTATACTTATTGCAAAGTATCTGATAGATTTAGATGCCATTATAAAATGTTCTCAATTCTATTTTGGTAACCTAAAATGTCGGTATATAATACCAAATATCCAGTTAAAGAGTTTAGTATAAAAATATCAGCACAAAACAGTTTTTTCAATCTGTTTATTGTATGAGCAACCCAAACTTCAGTTTAAGTGCTGTTGAAATTTTATTACTAGATTCCATAACCCTACAATTGATAAATCTTATACCATTTTAGGTATTTAATGAGATACTTAGAAATACTAAGAAAAAAAATCAGTATTCAAAGGGTTAATTTTGTTTATAATAACAATAAATAATTTTATAATCTTCTTCAGTTCAAAATCCAGCTTTGAACCCGAGGAAGGCTTTCGAATCATGTTAATTAAATGGTGGTCCTTTAACCAGTAGCAGTTTGATTACCAATTACTCGGAGGATCTCTTTGTGAATGCCTCCTTCTTGTGTATTAATATTTGCATCTCCCACTTGGCCGTCTTCATAGCTGAAATACAAAACATAAAAATATAAAAACATTTTAAAAGATGGCAGCATTTAAAACAGCTTAGAAATGCTATTTGATACCTAAAATATAGCCCAAGAGAATCAAAAGCAAATTATACGGTTGTTTTTCAGGTGTATTTAACAATGTGTTCTCATTGCGAAACACAGAACAGCCCATTCTATGTCATGCCTAAATTTTCCCCTTTCTTCCATTTTTTTTTTTTATCCCCGCATAAAAGACTGTCTGAGTTGCAAGAAGCTTCTCAGTGTCTTTGGCCTTGCAGGCATTTCCCATAGCAGCTGCTACGAAGTCTACTATAAAAAAATATAACAGCTTCAACTTTATGTTGCTAAGATTCTGGACTTCTTAATTCTACTCCTACTTCGATCATTTCTTTATTTTCTGACTGAAGACACTTCACTTTCTACCACTGCTTCTTTGCCATGCCTGCCTTCTAATAATTATTCAGCCATAATCAGTGCTGCCCTTTTTTCTTATCACTGGTCGCACTATTTAGTCTGACTGTAACATATTCTTATTTATTCTGGCAGTTCATAAAAGAATGCAAGCCTGCTAAGTTTACTTTATCAGTAGAAGGGAAAATATAATACTAAAGAACAGCAATTACTAAGTTCTTTAAAAAGAAATAGTTACATTTTAGATGGTAATTCATTTTTCTCAAATACAGTTACTTGGGCAATAAGAATTTCTTAAGAATGAATTTTCAAGCTTTCATGATCATATTCAGAGGGGAACAAGTGACAAATTAATTTTACTTCATAAAAATGGCTTCAAGACAGAAGCTTTAGAAAAGTGGTAATTACTTGAAAACAGATAACCAGGGATATAAGCACAGCATCTCAAAGATTAATACTAGCCACTATCTTTTCCTGAAATAGCAAAATAAAGGAAAATGAAAAGATGACATACAGCAGAGAGAACTTGGCTCCTTATGTAATCCACTGCTTAACCATCAAGTGATAACTGCATTTGTACCAAGTCTAAATTCTTAACTAAATGACCCAAGGTTGTCTATTTGGCTAATTCTTATCGCTGTTTTAGATATACTTAGCAAGTTTCAACTTACATATACATGGAAATGACACCTCATGGTGAAACATTACCCTAAGAAAAAGAATGGGATATGTGGTACACAGCCCAATTACAAATATTTTCTCAGGACAGTAAGTGCTCTGTTACTGAGATTAATTCTCCATGACTTTTATTGCATCCTCTTCCTTGGACTCTCATTTCAATGATGGTTTTATACATGAATCACACCTCAGTTTTCTCTCTCTCATGATATGCAAAATCAATGATTTCAGCCCCGTTCAAGTTTTAACTATCACCCACATGCTCATTCCTAAAGCTCTATCTCCGATCCTTAAATTTTTCTCTCTATATAACTTTGCTACAGATAACACAAATTCAGTATATTCAAAGCCCTTATTTTTTGACCCTAGGACTGCTATTTTTTATGCTCTCCATATCTCAATTTGATGTACCGTCATCCAGCAACACAAAACCTTTAGTCATTCTTGGCTCTTCTTTGTGCCTAAACCCAACTAATCACCAAGCTATCTTGTTTCCATTTTCTTAAATCTTCTCTCTACCTTTGTTTAGGCCTCCATTGTCATTCATCTAAATGAGTGGTTTTCAAGTTGCAGATTGTGTATAACTAGTGGGTTTTTAAATTAATTTAGGTTGTCCAGACCAGCATTTTAAGTGATTAAGATAGAATTGAATCGAATCGAATCAAACAGAATAGAATAGAATAGAGAACATTGACTTCACCACAGATAGAAAGAATTATTTTTTTCTAAGTCACAATGTCAAACACATTTCTTTTTGTGGTAAGAAAAACTGACCTAGAATGTTGTTATAACATTATAACTGATCTCTGTCTCTACACTTATCCCCATCATCTGTCCTACAAGATCTATTCTCCACCCTGCAAAAGCGATAGAAAAATGGCCTCCATCTCACTTACAGAACAAAATCCAAGTTATTGGCAATACGAGTTCCTTCATCATTCAAATACAGATTTCCTCTCCAGTCATGCCCCATCACTCCCCCATCACTCTTTTCAGTCAGATGGAAGGGTTTGTCTACCCAAATATTATATGTACCCTGACACTTAAAAAGCATTAGAAGTTAGTGGAGAAGATATGAGATTTAAATTCTTTGCATAAACTGTAATAATTTAAGACTGAAAGAGCACAGAGGAAGAGAGAGCAGAGAGCAAAAGTGGGAGTGAAGGCAAGAGTGAGAACTAGAGAGAGAGAGAGAGAGAGAGAGAAAGAAAGAGAGAGACAGTATGCTTAAAAGTATTAAATAAAATGCATATTTTTCTACTGTCTAGGAAACCCACAAGGAAGCACAACAGTCATGGGTTGAAGGACAAAGTTGACCAAAGGCATTCAGGTGTTTTAAATTTGATGCATATATAATAATCAAGAAAAATCAAACATCCATTTACTTTGGGCAACTGGCAAGGCTTAGATACATAAGTTGCTAGTGGTATTAGAGTATTTATTACAATAGGGTATACAGAACATGTCACAGCTATTTATGATTTAAGAGTAAAGTTCTTTTATGTCTGGAAAGCAACAGAATTTAAGAGAAATAGAACATGAATGATAACCACTAGGGAGATGATACATTGGACTGGGTTTTGGTAGAATGAAAAATGAAAACGTCTAAAAGGAGACAAGAATTATTCATATTCCCAGGAGTGTAAAAAGATTACTAAAATTTTAACGAAAAATTAACCAATTTGCTTTAAAAATAATAGAAACTAGGAAATTAGATGAAACTTAGCTGCCTGGAAATTTCTTAGGTATGTAAGAACATTTCATAAATAAAAACTTTTGAAATTATTGACAACTTGGTGGGAGGATCACTTGAGCCCAGGAGTTTGAGACCCACCTGAGTAACATAGCTAAGACCTCATCTCTACAAATTAAAAAAAATGACAAGGCAGCCTGAGCTGTCCAAACATAGGGTGAGCAGAATTCAGAGAAAAGACAGAATCATTTCAGACTGGGAGGTCAGGGAAGGTGCCAAGGAAAAGACCATGTTTGAATGAGCCTTGAAAAATAGGCTAATGGTCTAGGTGGTAAGAAGGCCAAATCATTTGGATTGACTGAACAAAGGCACAATAGTGGGAAATACAACTCCAAGTTGTTTTAAAGAAACAGCTTGGACAAGAATTTCACTTAATCAGTGGTTTGTGCATGTAACTGAAGTAAGGTAGAAGCGACTCTATATGTTGGAGAATGCCATGCTTCTATTTAACTATCAGCCTGTCTGGGCAGTGAATAATCAAAACACTGCTTTAGGGAAATGAATATGGTATAAATAGTATGATCTTAGAATTTTATATGCATAGGAATGTAGGCTGTACACCAAAAGATTAATCCTAGTTAACTCTAAATGGGGATAATATGGAAAATTTTCTCCTTTTTTTGGCTTATCTTCAATTTCTGAATATTAAAGAGGTATATCACTAGTGTAATAACGGTAATGTTTAATAAGTCTTGCATTGCACAAAGGAGGCTAAGAGTGATGAAGAAAGTAGAAGCAGGGAGAACTAATGACCTTTTGATATATTCTAGGGGAGAGAATAATATATCCATGGGAATAAAGGCATTGGGACAAAATTGTGAAAAGATAAACTTGGGAATTGATGACTACTGTAGTGAGCAAGGAAAAAGAAATGGAAAACTACAGCTCAGGTTTCGAGTCTCTTTGATGTATAAAATTACTGCACAGACTGGAGAAGGTGAGATGTTGGCCAGGGAATTTAAATAATGGGTTCCTATTTGTATATTGATTTTGAGGTATTAGCCCTTTTTGAGGGCAAATACTCATCAAACAGTTATAACGTGAGCATTTTATTCATTCCTACATTCACATCTCCAGCCCTTTTGAAAATAGCTTCCTAATTTCTACATATGGGTCTCAATGTCCTAGTACACATGCGTTTCAAGGTTAGTCATGTAATCAAGCTTTACTCACAGTTTCTAGAAACTAGGAATTGGCTTGGATCTGTTCATAACATCTGATCTATTACATTTTGCCTGGAGCACTTATATTTAATTAAGTTTCTTCATTTTGGAATTTTCCAACAAAAATTTTTTGAACTTCTAATTCTCTTCTTTTTTTTTTAATTGATATCTTCCTTTAAATTTTTACTTCCATTTTTTTTCTGATGCACCAGCCTGTTCCCTAAAATTTCCCTCCAATTTTTCTCTCATTCTGTGCTGCTTACTTGCTGGAAAACATGTGTTTAGCATACTATGTGACTGTTTTATCATCTCAACTGTGGGAATCAGATTAGCATGGGAGTTATTTTAATTTTTAATATTGTTACCTGATAATAGACTTTTAAAAAAGGTAACCATGTTAACTCATATCCTAGTCATTAGGCAAAGCTTCTAACATCCAGGATCACATAATGTATCAAAAAATTAAAATAAAAAGAACAGAAATTGAGTTTTTGTCTTATCTTCATTCTCATCGATTTATTCTTCTTCTAGGTGTTACCACACATTAGGGTGGCTCACTACTAATAGAACTCTGTGATCATATCTTTTATAGAGAAACTGATGGTTGTAATTAGAATGCATATTAATGAAACAGATTCCCCTTCTGATGTGTTTTGAATTTATCAATTTTCCTTAATGAGTCTCTTCTCTCCTGAGGGTGCAAAAAGGATGAAATCTCATTTGTGTTCATAAAGCAATGACAATTATCTTAATATGATAACACGAAATTTTTCCTTGTATTATTTAGGAAGTATCTGAGTGTACTTCTCTTTTATTCACATGATTTAACCTCAATTTTTGCTTATGAAATACAGAAATTCTTTTCTCCAGTAAACACCCCCCGCAACATGTACATCCCTACAGATAGGCTTTATGTATAATTTATCTAAAAGTTCAAAAGAAATAATACTAAAAATGGTACTGCCTATTTAAATATCTAAGGTTGTTTATTTGGCTCAATTAATTTGAATTTTAGCAAGATGCAGAAGGAGTAGATGAACTGATTAGATGACAGGCTAAGGAAAGCACTCTGGAGTTACTTTTCGGCCAAAATCTCAAGATTTCTCAGTGAAATAACTTGGTGACTGAAAGCTTCTTTTTGCAAGGCCAAGCATCTAATAGTGGATAACAATCAAGATAGTTAAGAAAGAAGACAGAAAAAAATATTTAATAAGCTTTTCAGTGGCCAAGACCTGCATTGTGCTAAATTAATCCTCATAATAAACTTTATAGGTACTGTGTGCAGTTAGCTTCTCTAGGAGCCCCCAGGATCCTCTTGGAGTCTTTCTCTGCCTTCGTTCTGCCCCAGGAGCCTGACCTGTAAGGACTTTCTCAATAAGCTTCATTGTTCTCTAGTTCTGGCAGGCTTTGGCCAATGGGGCTTCCCAACAGGACTGCTTCCTGTCTGTGTCCTTTTGTACCTGGGAATGTATAACAGCTCTGGTGCTAATAGATCCAGGTTACTACACTGGACTTGCGGTTTCCTTATAATCATACCCTTGTAAATAATCTAATTGTGGATGACCCAAAAATATTTTTCATGGGTCATCTGTTTCTTGTTTGGATTCTGACTGATACAGGTATATTATTATCATTTTACCGATGAAGCTTAGACGTGTTATACAACCAGGCAATATCATCTTACTAATTACTATTCAGCCAGGATTCAAACTATCTGATCAAAAGCGGGCTCCTTCTCCTATACTCACTGCTGCCTCACTGTTAAGAAAGAAATCTATAGTCAGCAAATATCTATGGTAAGAACAATCACAGTTTTCAAATCATCCAAAAGAAAACCAGGCAGCTTGTAAGTCTCACTGTGAATAGTCTGTCAACAAGCCAACAGATCCAATGCTGAATACACAGGGTACTCAGGATATACAGTATACCGAAGCAACCTTAACAGTTCCATTTTTCAGTTTCTTTTAAATATACTACATAAAGTACAAAACAGATATGCTCAACTCTTCCCTGAAATCCTTTCTGTGACAAGATCATGGATAAGGTGGGAACAGCATGGGAAACGGGTTGGAAGCCAAGGGTAGAGTGAAAATTAGACTGGTCTACTGCACCCATTATTTAGGAATGAAAAATAATGCTTTTATATTTTAATGCAACTCTTATGATACAGCTGTGCCAAAAAAAAACCCCACATTGACATGTACTGCATTGCCAGCCTGTATTATATGGAATGTAGATCAATCTTTTATAGGACAGACCTTTTCATTATTGTATTCTTCATCCCAGTTCTAAATTTTTAAAATTAACAAAAGTATATGTGTGTATGGAGGTGTATAAACACATGTATACATATATACATACAGAGAGATGGCTAGAGAGACAGAGATGGTGTTTTTCTTTTTTCTTTTTTTTTCTTTTTGAGACAGATTCTCCCTGTCACCCAGGCTGGAGTAAGTGGTGCTATCTTGGCTCACTGCAACCTCCACCTCTTGGGTTCAAGCGATTCTCCTGCCTCAGCCCCAGGAGCTGGGACTACAGGCATGCACCACCGCGCCCAGCTAATTTTTGTATTTTTAGTAGAGATAGCGTTTCACCATGTTAGCCAGGCTGGTCTCAAACTCCTGACCTTAGGTGATCCACCCGCCTCGGCTTCCCAAAGTATTGGGATTACAGGTGTGGGCCACCAGGCTTGACTAAGATGGTGTTTTTTTTAGTTGTAAGTTAACAGGTGTTTTTCATGAGCTCTTCTAAGTTAACAGCATTTAAAAATTATTTAGATTTTTTTAATGGCTTACTGAAAATAAAACAAAAACATTAGTTGATGTTAAACTCAATTACCTGTTATATTTTGGCAGCTAAAGAGACCAAACGATAATTCAGTCACCACTAACCCATTTGTGGCAAAGACAGTAATATACAAATTTGAGCATTTCCACTTACACGAAAAAGAATCGTGTGCAGACATGGTCAGTATTGGGGACAACCCATATCTCTCCATGTTTGTGCAGGTCAGATGAGGTGATCACTGTTAAGTGGAAAATAAAATTAAAGAACCACTTTATTCTAAAGGAATCCTAGTCCATTCCGACTTAATATATCTCTTCTCGTTGAAATCTAAAGCAAAAATACAAGCACTAATGAACACATAAAAATTGTTTAGCCTTATTGTCTATGAAGAAATATAGATAAAAACAGTGAAAGACCATGTAACAACTTTATAATTTGAATAACAACTGGTATAACAATAAAAAGGGACTCATCTAAGTATTACCAAAAGCAGATAGGTCCTGACTTAAGAACTATGTAGACAGCAAGTTCATGTCCTATATAACTACCGTGTGTTGAAAACTTAAAAGACAGTTGACAGCAGCTACTAAAACTCCTAACACAAGAAGAAAAAATGAATTTTTAGGCAGTCATATTTTAAAGCAAGAACAAAGAAAAGTATATCATCTTGCAAATCACCCATCAATTTTTCTGTCCTCAGTACAGAATAATATAATAATTTCAGTGCAGGAACAGAAAGACCTAATAGGTTATCTTCTCAGTGCTTGGTTCATCTTTCACATTTTTCATAGTATCATATATTCAAATACCAACTTTAAGAGGAAGGTAGCACATTAACTAAAGAGATAAGCATTACTTGATCAGAAAGATATAATTACCATTCTGGAAATATCTGCCAGAAATAAAATATATCACTCTCTGAATTCTTGCCAATTCTGCAATTTGGTTTGAACCTTTATGATCTCTACGGTACCCGTTTTTGCATTTGTGCCCTTTGAGATGATCATAAGGAATAATGCTTTCCCTATTCCACCGTAAGCACTCTGTAAATATACTTATATTTTTAATTATAGATGAGCTAGGAACTAACACTATGAGGTTTGTAAAACTTTCAACTTACCTTCACATAAGGCTATGCATTTTAAGTTACGGCTTTGCAGGAATTGGGATTGCTGTCCTTTTTTCTGTGACTAAATTCCAAAAACAATTAAAACTTAGAGTCAGAATGAAACACTTTGTGAAAAAAGCTGTTCATCATTAAAAAGTAATAGTCACTAAGATGGCTCCAGGTCAAAAAAAAAAAGCCTATCTAGACTAGCATCAATTTCCTTGCACTCTCTTAATATTAAGTTATTTTTAATTTCTGTACATCATCATTACTAAATTATTCTTGAGATAAGTGAACTGAAAAATGCTAAATTAGGGTTCAATAATCTTACAACACAGAATTAGAACTCAAATTTATTTTTACTAAAAGCTTGGCCTCTTTATTTCAAGGTAAACAAAATTAAATTTGCTTGATCTTTTCAAACATCAAAATCAATTATTTCAGATCACCTACTCCAAAACCAACCCATTTTTTTAATAGCATCATGTACTAGGTCACGGAGGTTACAGAAACATTTCATGTAGAAAATCTGGGATTTTTTTTTTTTTCAGATATTAGATTAGCTATACTCTCTTTTTTTAAATTTAAAGTCACACTACTTATCAGATGATTTTTTAATTTTCCCAGAATATACTTGTTTTCTCTGAAACAACATGGGATTGATGGTCATTCTACTCTCTGCCCAGAATGTTCTTTCTCCTAGAGAGTCACATGGCTCACGCACTCATCATCTGTAGGTCTTGACTCAAATGTCACCTTCTCAGAGTATCCTTTCCTGACCATCCCATTTAACATTCATCCCAGATCCCTCTTCCACCTGACAGCATTAAATGTCTCATTTCCCTGATTTATTTTTCTTCATAATATCTAGCATTCTATCTATCTAAATATGTATTTAATTTATTTATACCCCTCAGTAGGATGTAGGCTCCAAGAGACGGAATATGTGTCTACTTTTGGCCATCACTACACTCTACTGCCTAGGAGTATCTCTGGTATTATAGTGGGAGATAAATAAATATCTGTTGATTAATTATTGTATAGAGGCAATTCAGTTACTGCATTTCAGAGTGAGTTTTATTCCTTTATAAGTAATGACCACATTAAATAATTTTTCAGACTTAAAAAGCCTATTTTTCCATGCTCTGCTGGCTGATGAGGCCACAGTTCACTAATCATAAGCAGTCACTAAAGTCACTACAACACCTGTGATGTATTGCTGCTTTTACTGCTTGAAGCTGGCTCGTCCTTGGCTGACACCTTCTGTTTCTTGTTCATCCCTGAAAACATCGGCAAAATAATAATTTAGGGACAAAGCTGTCTGATGCAGCTGAAAGTACAATCGACCTACTATGCAAAGTTCCATTCTAGGTAAAGGTTTGATCACATTAGGCTAGAGACAGTAACAAAGGGCTGTGCCCTTAGCCCCTGAGGTGGAAGATCAGTGGGTTTGGGAAGTCCTGGGAAAGTTATTTTTTTGCATTGAAAGCAAGGATCGAAAATTCTTCTGCATAAAATTAATATAATTTAAAAATTCTTAAAACTTGATTTTAAAAGGCTTTTAGAACCTAACTTTCATTCCCACTATCTGGCTAGGAGAAGGAGAAAATAAAGGGTGGGAAATGTGAACAATGTCAGAAAAATATTTTTACATTACAACTGAACTTTTGTTGTTATTTGTTCTTAAATTCTATGCAGAATTTAACATTTCTTCTAATTAAGACAAATTATGTAAGTTTTTTTGTCTGTAATATTCACAAATTTTAGCTTACTCTGTAAATGCCATAATTTCTTACTGTGAATAATTTAGAAAAGCAGAACTAAAATACACATCTGTTTTAGAATAGGTAGATTTGTATCTACACTTTATTAGAAAGTGTTCATCTACTGTTACACCAGAAGTTGAGATAGGTGTTGATTTTTGTAGTTGTTTCAGCAAATGGCTTAATGAGAAGGGGAAAAGCCTGTTTACAAATTTTGCAAAGTACATTTATCCAACTTTTCCAGGCCTTCCAAAAAGGTGGAGGGGTGGATGGGGACAGGTTGAGGAGAAGGCCTTGGATTTCAAATGCCAATTCTGAACAAAAAGCAAAGGATATATATGCAGAGAAGCTGTCCTGTTCTCTTACCCCTACACTTTCAGCCCTCAAAATCAACGACAGATGCTACGTCATCTTACTGTAGTGATTCTTACATTTGTTTTAGATCAAGAGCCCTTCAAGAATTTGAGGAAAGGTAAGTGCTCCCTCTCCAGAAAAAAAGCACATATAACACAAATTTTTACATCCATTCACATGGTTTGTAAACCCTTCCACAATTCTTTCCATGTACCCATTGAAGGAGTCTATATACCAGTATAAAAAACAGAAAATTACAGTACTTGATGATTTGCTGTGTTTTTTCTTTATGCTGAGAATGTATTTATTTATTTCAGCTGGTTTCTTAGCTTTTTATTTTGTACTGTTTTAGCAAGATTTAGAGTCTGATTTTAATAGATTTCTTCTTTGTAACTCCATTTCCTATCTCTACGGTATCTTACACTTCCTGGTATTTATTTTCTTTGTGTTATTTTGGCATATTGTATTTTCAGAGATCACTGAAACAGTATTTCTTTGCTAACAAGAGATGGAGTCCAATTCCCCAACTCTTGAATATGAGTCAGGCTGTCTCAGGCCTGCCAGCGCAGCCCATCCATCAGCTGAGCGGCATTCAGTGGATACTTTGAGGGGCTAAAGAATCACTTAGCCAGGTCCCATCCTAGATTCCTGACCCAAAGAATCTATGAGCGTAATGAAGCTGTTATTTTGCCCTAAGGTTAAGGTGTTTGTTGAACAGCAATAGTTACTTGAATAATTATGTTTTAATTTTTCATATATTTCTAATTTTTCTTTTTTTGTTAACATGCAACCTTCTCATTTTTTAAAGTTTTCTTTCCATCAGCATTTTACCATTTATCAATGTTGCTGATTTCTTTTAGTATTTCTAATTATAAATCTGGTTTTAAGCGTTCCAAGTTTCCTATCATTGAGAAACAACTTGTTATGGTTGGAAGAACATGAACTTTGGTAAATAAATTAGGTAGTTCTCTTTAATGTTCACCTGGTTATCAGACCTCTCTAAATATCCTTTCCTATAACATGAGGATATTAAGACTCACCATTCAGGCACCATGTGAATGACATCTCCTAAAACGTGTAACGTGATCACATAATCACACACACACACACACACACACACACACGCATGAGCACACAAGCAAAACTAATTACATATGCAGTTATATGTATATAAAACCACTTAAAAGTGTGAAGGAACATACACAGAACACTGAAGCTGTAGTAAAGGAGAGAAAATTTTCATCTGCTACTTCAAAAATTCTGTGTAGCTTGAATTTATACAATGAGCATAATTATTTTATATTTAAACCAGAATAGGTTAGTTGTTATATAAATCATGCTGATCATTGTAAAATATTCCAAAAATTTTTTAAGTGCAAAGAAGAAAACATCACCAATTCCACCAAGGATAAGTAATGCTAACAATTTGGTGATCATTCTTTCTACATTTTGAACTCACCAGGCTCCTGCACAGCACAAGTTTTCAATTTTTTCCAAAGTATTTTTTCCCACAATCTCACCAAATTTACAAAAAGTTGTTAACAAGAAAGATGATTTTGAGGGTGTTTTTCTACTCTAATGTTTCCACAATGTTCAAAGCTTCTTTATGAATAATATTACAAAGATAAGAAATTAGCATGATATAGAATTACACTTAAAGATATTATGTATGTGTACTTCTCAGTGCCCTACATAGTGCTTTGCATATATTATAGTCTCAATATTCATTTGTGGAAGGAATAAATGTAAGGAATATTAAATATTTTTTTAAATTGATGAAACATATATTCCATCTTGTACACTAGGGAGAGTATTATAAATTCATCTTGAAAATGGGCTTTGTTTTTGCTTTTGACATTTAGCAAACAAATTTAATAAAAATATATCTAATAAGGCACAATAGAAAGCTGTGAATAGAGTATAAACAATAAGAAAATTAAAACCTAATAAATGTGACTTTAGAAATGAAATACAGGAATTACCTGAGTAACCAAATGATATGCTTGACATTGGACTAAGATAGATTCCACTTCCATACATTGCACCATGGAGCTAAGATGGGAAGAGTGGGAGAGAGAGAGAGGTCTGTTCATGGTTTAAATGATAATATTTGACAAAGCAATCAGTTTCATGTCAGAACATTCAGTCTTACAAAAAAATGACAGAGCTTCTATTCCAAGGTCTAATTTGAAAACAGTACTAATATCCTTGTGCTTAGAAAAATGGTATCTAGAGGAAAAATATTCTTGATAAATGTTTTCCATCCTACCATTAATAAAGACAATCATTTATTATAAAGTACACTAGTAGGCCTTTATTTTAATGGATCTAAAATTTCAGAAACTAAACTTGGTCCGAAAGACACAGTAACGCATTCTGATTAGGATTTATATGTTAGTGTATAAACAAAGCGTCCTGCTCAGATTTTCATTAATAATACTATCTGTCATCCTGTTCTTATCCTGTTACATTTTTCAGGTTACATAAGTTTCATTAACTGAAACTATACTCAGATCAACTAAATTTCTTTCTTATTATCTCTGTGTTCTGGGCCCTCACACACTATTAGTATGAATTGAATACTAAACACATTTAACATTTAATTGAATCATCTAAAATGTCATCATAATATGAGATCTAGCTCAAGTGACTGGGTTAAGCATCTCATTTCCTTATGTCCTTATGCTGTCAGATGAAAAAAAATTCAGCTGCAGGAGAGTGAAGTGAAATGTGCAGGATGAAAGGCATAAATAAAGATGAAGATGACTGCCATGATATCCTGCTAACACCAAGTACTGTCCTGGAGGCGGAAAAGCAGGTATCAGATGGCTCTCTAGCATGCAATCTTCACTTATTTCTACATTTTATTCTCTAAAAGCATTCATATTGAGGCCCAGTGCTCTAGAAATGTACATTGAATTAACAGAATGCCTGTATGATTTTACTTTGTGCATGATAATGTTTTTCTACTTAAGTAAAAAGTGTGATTTGTTTTACTGTTTTCTCAGAGGGAATTAAACTCTCTTTTCTTTTCTTTTTTTTTCTTTTTTTGTTGTTGAGACAGTCTTGCTGTCACCCAGGCTGAGGTACAGTGGTGTGATCTCAGCTCACTGCCACCTTCACCTTCACCTCCCGGGTTCAAATTATTCTCCCAATTAGCTTCAATTGTAGGCATGTGCTACCACGCCTGGATAAATATATATATATATATATAATTTGTATTTTTAATAGAGACAGGGTTTTGCCATGTTGGCCAGGCTGGTCTCAAACTCCTGGCCTCAAGCGATCTGCCCGCCTCAGCTTCCCAAAGTGCTGGGGTTACAGGTGTGAGCCACTGCACCCATCCTTTCTTTTTCTTTTCATTGTGTGATCCATTTTGTGTTTACATCATTGTGTATAGATCAGTTCTGCTTCAGTTCTAGTATGCCTACTAGAAATTCCATATAATGTCTTACTCACATGCTTCCTCTTTTGCAAGTTAAACCTAACAACAGGGTTGCTTACTGAATCTCAATTCTGAAGAAGAATGAAGTCTTGTGAAAGCATTCAGAAAATCTACCTGCAATCGTGTATTAGAAGCAACAACCAGACCATTCCTCAGGATGGAGTGCCAGTTTTCAATGTGTGAGCCACTAAAAAAACAGACGGAAAGGAAAAAGCAAAACCAGAAAATTAATTATCTTCAAAGTGGTCAAAACATAATAAGTCATGGTGCCTTCTGAAGGTTCTGGATTGCCAAATCAAGTATTATGTAGTTGACTACATGACCATCTGTTGAATGACCATCTACTGAATGATCATTTACTGAAAGACAGTGATATCTTCCCCATACATTTCTGGAAAATGTTAATGGGAGCACACCCCCATTAACATTAAGCCTTACTCACTGAAATGCAAAGGTGCTTCCAAAGAGTTTTTTAGCAGCTCTAAAATTGGATTCTTTGGCTGGTGGACTGCTGAGAAGAAGGAACTGATGTGGAGTATGCATAAACTTCAATTGCTGCCATTTAAGATAAAGACAAACAAAAACATGTAAAACTTAACATATATTCAGGCTGATGACAATTTCAAATTTTATTGGTTTAAGAATTACCCACTTTCAAACTATAGTAATTTTCCACTAACCACATTAGCAAGCTAATTTGTATAATGTTTTTAAAACTCTACGCAAGTGATAAGTCACATGGAATTGCAAATATGAAGAACAATTCTTTGGGCAAATGGGAAAGGAATAGGAAACAGACAATCCAAAGCCATTTATATTTAGCTTTGGAATACAGTATGCAATCATGTTTAAGCAGATCTGCCTTCTTAATTACATTTCTTTTAACATTTTTATTATTGAGTCCCTAAGTATATACTAGCTATTCAATTGGGGAAATATTCTGGAGTTTGCTAAGCAGAAAAGAAAAGTTTATAAAACTGCAAAAATTATTATTATGCTTTATTTGCATATATTTATAAAATTGAGAATTTTTGCCTACATTCAAATATAGTCTCCTCCTTGGTCATGGAAAGAAATGAAAGCAGAATCTTTTGGATTAATAGCTTGAAAACATCTTCTAAGTGTTTCCCTTTCTCTTAGGAATATAGTTATGCAGGAATATAATGCATAGGAATCTCACATTTAGAGATTCACAGATGGCAAAAATGAGATTTTTAGGTACAGATCTTAGGTGATGATCAGAACTGAAATCCAGAGTCTATTAGCTTTTTACAAATTATTATTTTTTAAGCTTACTAGGCTGATAAATAAGTTGTCTGAGGTCAATAGCTTCTCAGCTGTAGAAAAGTGGAAATGTGCCAACATGAAACTGACAACGATTATAAAGCACATTAACTTCCTTCTGGTTAATCTCCATATAATATTTTTCAATTGCTTGTGGAATAACTAAATGATTTCATATTGATGTTTTTATTCACTTAAAAAGTCAGGACAGCAGACTGAATTTGAATTTGTTATCTTGGAAAGGTTTGGAGCTAGTGAGCAATGGCTATTTCAAACTAAAGAATTATATTTAACCTGGGTTTACTTCAATTCTTGGAGAGTCTGGCTAAAAATTACAAGGTAGGTTCTCCCAACTGATAAGTACTCCTCCCATTTCTGTATGCATATGTAAAAAAAAAAAAAACAACTTACCCTGTTAACTGGCAGTTTCACAATATGTGATCTATTACTTGATATAACCCTGAAATTAAAATGATCCATTAGTCACAAATACATGCCAAATATATTTAAAGTTCTTTTTCTTAGTTGGCAACCGATTAAAACTTATTTTTGCTGTGCCATAAACTAAACTTGGAAATAATTTCATTTAGTCGCATAATTTAGGTTTGTTTCCTGAAACAATTTAAAGAGCTTATGTAACAAAAAAGGTAATATTTTAATCTGAGAAAACACACTAGGAAGTTGTTCCCTAAAACTTAAGACATAGTTTTTAATAAGCATAACCTCAAGTATCAGCAAAATGAACATTTGAACATTTCTGAATGTACTTTCAAATAATGATAATCCAAATACAAATAAGAGCAGTGAGTCATGGATCTGCTTCTTTTATTCCTCTCTTACATTGCTTAAATTAAGGATAAGTTCTTATGAAGATTTTTTTTCTTTAAATATTTGAGGATCTCTTTGAGCTGATATATATACAATGGTTTACATACAAAATCCAACATACGTAGACTCTGCAGTTGAAAAAAATTAAATTGAAGTATCTGAAAGGAACTGCTCTATAAGCACACAAAATAATAAGTTTTGGTAGACTCTCTTCATCTTGAAAGAAGAGTGACTAACAAGCTGAAGGAAATGATCACAAGAATTAAAAGTTAACCATCTGACTACAAGGAAAAAAAGAAAGCAACTAGATATATGCAATTTTTACCTTCAATCTGAATATAACAATGAGAAAAATTTAAAGGTTACAATGGAAATTTAGTGTTATTTTACTTAATTGTTTCAGAATTTAGTAACAGATCATAACAGATACAAAGAAGGAAGGCTTCTATACCTAATTTTTGTTATAATCTTGTTAGACTAAATTAAATGTGTACTATAAAATTTTAATGAAGTGAAAGTTAAGTAATCAGAATCTTGAGGAAGCCAGATTCTTTTGCATCTGCCCACCTTTACATATTTTTTTAAAACTTCCTGGTCGTAGCATGGTATAAGTGCTCATTCATATCAATCTCTTATAAGCCTTACATTTGTATTACTGTATGGTAAATCTCACGGAGTTGGAGTTTTCAAAGTTAATTCAAAGAGACATGTGTATAAAACCCTTATAAGGGATGTTGAGTAGAAACTAGTGTCTTCATTTTGCAAATGAGAAACAAGAGAGGAAATTATTAGAAGTAGAAGAGGGCAAATTATTTGAAATGGGCATCACAGCAAGGTGACTTCTCTCCTCTTCACAGTCTAGCCCTCCTTCTAGAATTCATGCTGGGGTAACACTACATCCCTCACCAGGCTCACTCTGAAACTGTGCATCTTCTGCACTGAGCAAGCAGAGAGTTAAGAGTTAATCATATTTATACTGCCTTGTTAAGGGAGCAAAATATAAAACATTTATTTTAGATTAGAAAGATTTCAATAATAAAGGTTGAAACACTGAGTTTGATCACTTAGTCCTCACTGAACTAGAAAATTAAATGAACCAAAATGCTTTTGCCACATAAGCTAGTTAATCACATCTTTTAAAACTATAGGCAAACTGCTGTCAAATGCACTATTTATCCCTGGTAGTGCATGTGACAGCATTCTCTTCCCCTTGTGATGTATAAGTTTTAATTAAAGTGAGAGTCATTAAGGACTCTAAGGTTGTAAAATCACCAGGTCTCATAAGCTTGTAGAACTATAGCATTGCAGGGCTTGTAAGACAGGTTTACTTTTGTTTGTTTGGTTTTTTTCCTTAAATCAAGCAGTAGAAAAGGATGCTGTTTTCATTAAGAGGAAAACTAGAATTTTATACCATTGCAGTAAGGGATGAGCAAGGGGGTCCTGTTTATCCATTTGCTTCTTGATTTCCAGATATGGTGCCTGAAAAAAAGTCATTATACTTCTTGATTTTTCATAAAAATTCATTTTTCCGTTTTCACAAAAGGAAAATCAGACCAAACGATATGCCTAATCTAGTAAGACTTAAAAATTTATGGACTTAACATGGGAACAACAACAATTGCCCTAGTCTTTTCTCCCAAGATGATGGGAATTGTGAACTTTCATGCCACCAAAATGACTTGCCCAAACACTGTGTTAAAAGACTTGTCCCGATTTTAGCCTGGCTTCCATTTACACTAGCCTATGTCCCTAAAGATGACCACTCTCCAGCCCCCTGTTGAGTTTCTGCTCAAGAAAACGTGATGCTCCCAAACCACAAAATGTATATTGTACCAACCCACTTTGCCAAACCATTTTTGGTAATTCTCCACTTATCCCCTTCTGTAACTTTCCATTTTTACATAACTCCTCTAGTCCCATCTTCTTTTCCTTGCCTTTTCACTTACTTGTAGCGCCTTTTGCTTCCTCTCCTCTGCCTTTAAAAACCTGGATCACCTTTGTCTTAGTTGAAGTTGAGCTCAGTTTATGCTGCAGTCTCTCTCCCCCACTGCAGTGCTCTGAATAAATCTGTCTTGCCACCTTTACAAGTGTCCTGTAAAGTTTCTCTTTCACAATGACCATTTTAACCAATAACCAATATGAAAGCAAAGCTTGTGAGGGCCACTACTAATGCTCATATCTGAGAGTCCAGACTTAGGTATAGACCTTTACATTAAAAAATTGGACACAATTTACCTAAGACGAAGCCTTCTCTAAAAAGTATTTAAAGGGATTTAACCAACAACCATTTCACAGAACAAAGAGCAATCTCTCCGTGACAATTTAGGGCTACGTATAGGACAGTACATTCTAGAAAACAGCACAGTATAATGTTGTATTTATTCAGAAAGTTTTAAAGAATTTGACACAATAAAACCTGAGAGCTTCCCTATGAAGTACACACCGAAACAGGGTGCAGCATTACTACTTCCACCTTGACAGCGAAGCGCCAAGCAATTAAGCAACTTGCCCAAGGTCACAGGTCACATTCATTGATGAGCCAGTTATACAATTTTGGCTTCTTAACTTCCTAGGCTGACGCTCAGTCGTCTACGTTCCCTTCTATTAAAATAGCTTACACATGACCCAGAATAAAGAAAGCAATTTTTGGCAGAGAGCTGATTCCAGAGTCAGAGTTTGTAGCTATTTTTAAATCCAAAAATAATCAAGGTCTAGGGTATAGTATACCTTATACCAAAGTCTTTTTCATGACTAAAAATGTTTATATGATTTTGTATAAGATATTCCAATATGTTCTTTTTTTCTCCTAGGTGGAAATACATTTTATTGTTTTCTTTCCCTATACAAATAAGGAGTGCTTGTCTGAGAAAGAATTCAGATAATACAGAAAGGTACTGGCATAGAAAAATAACCCAAAGGGATGGTGATTTTTTAAGCAAATAATAACATTTGTGAATTAAAGGATCTCTTGTTTACTCTTTGCCAGACACACACTATTTATTGAGTGAATGAACGAATATTTGACTACATGAATAAATGATGATCGAAAGAATCAAGAATCAAAATGGAAATGCAAAAATGTACTTTTTGAGTACTGTCTTCCTACAGAGCAGTAGCGATAACTCTGGGGGTTGGTGGGGGGCGGGGAGAAAGCTGCATAGCAGCTTAGTGGGCCCTGGGACAGGAGGGTTCCCCTATTCCCTCCCCAGAGAAAATAAAGGACCCAGGGTAATACTCATTATAAGCCTGCAAGGGTCTCTAAGGCAGTGCAATCCTTGAAACCACTACATGCAAGCTGCACACATAATGTGCGTTGTCAATCTCAGATTATTAATTTCTACTTACAATGATAAGTTTTAAACCTCTCTCCAAGTCTTTGGCAGTGGAAAGGTCTCAATAATTCAACAGTGTGTGCTTTTCCAAATGCTGGACTATAGCCCAGGGATGTGTTAGATTTTCCTAACAAACCCCGATCCTTGCTCATCAAACTATTTCCACCAAAGCCTCCCTTAATGACCAAAAACATAAACCCATACTCTCCGGGAGCCTGGCATCTTCCAAAGTGGTTTTGGGATTTTGCATTATATAAAATATTTATGGAAAAGTTCCATTTTAAAGAACATTTCTGTTTTTAATACTCAAATAATGTTTTGAAATTGCTACCATCAATTAAAATTGACAGTCTAGGAAAATGGTACCAGATTTAACCTTTGCCTTAAAATATCCCGACATACCTACATGTACCCAAGCTCTTGCCCGAGTTTGAGGGCAGAGTATTAGGAGTATAATTATCTTATAATTATCCACTTACTTTCCTGAAGTCACAGTGTTACATGCTAGTACACTGATGTGATTTAATTAAAACATCTTAATACCGCACAAATTTTTAAATGATATGTATTATAGAGAAGTCTACATTTCACTACATAGCTAGAACTCTCAGACATTTTAAAAATATACTGTACAAGACCAGATGACATACTTACTTGTGTCATTTCTCTGATAGAAGTTATGCTATCCAGTGCTTTCATTACTCGATCATAGTTCTTTTTCTGTTTAATGAAAAAGTGATGTTAAAAAACAGCATTTGCTTATAAGCTCTTGCAAGTCTGTATATCACTAGAGAAATATATTATTTCCATATGTGAATTTTCCACTGGGGTCAATTTGAAAGAAATGACTGTTTGGTGTACATAAAAGGGAAGACTATAATAAGATGGCTCCAGGACTTCAGTCAGAGAAAAGAAACAAAGAAAACAATGCCAATCCTTCTATAAGCCATGGCGGAAAAAATCTAGAAACACAAAAAAGTTATGGGGCTCCTGATTCAGGCTTTCACCACTAAAACACTAAGCCATAATGAATAAAGTCAACATAGAATCCTAAAATACAAAAACCCACTTCAAATCTCACAACCGCTTTTATTTTATTTTGAGTTGAATATTGTTAACAAGAGTATGGTTGACAGTATACAAATGATAGCATACAGTCACATAGCTGACAATTCATTTTCAAGCAAGATCTAAATATGTGCGCTGTTGCCATTTATGAAGAAATAAAGTTCTTCCAAGAAAATTGTATACAGTTGTTTCTATAAAATTATTTCAAGCTGAGTAGTAATAGAAACTGAGGCAACTTCAGCTCTTATGCAATTTGAAAGTTTTGTAATTTCAAAAGGATTCTGCCTTATCTTCAGGAACATTTATAAAACTGCTTCCTTAAGAAAGGCCAGTCCATTAACAGTATGAACTAAACTTTCACTAACCTTCAGATAGCTGGGGAGGAAGAAGGGAAAGAGGAAAGGAGGGTTGAAGTGAAAATGCAGAAAAGAAAGGAAAACTTGTCCCTTTACCCATGATCTTTAAAATCAAAATGAGGTTATGTAAGTCGGAATCCCCAAAAATATATGATGAAATTAAATACTCATGGATATGCTTGATGAGATAGAGATTTAGATAGAAAGAGGAAACCTAATGAGACTACAATCTCAATATTGTTGTTATTGTTAAAGAAAACTTTGTGATTGGTGTGCCATGATAACAACTTACCCTGGGGTTGAAGGCCAACATCTGAGGATCATTAGGATCTACCACAGAAGGATATGGCTCGAAAATCACAACTTTTCTAGGAGATTCCAACGCAGACCTACACATGGATACTAGTAGATCTACCACCTTGAAATATACACATAAGATAGTTACTACCCTTCAGGTTTTATCCAGTGCTTTGCCATTGTTTCTCCCTCTCAAGGTAGCATAAGTTAATGAGGAAGATCAGGACTGCTACCAATCTCTCAAATGTGTAATGCAAGACTTGAGACCACATTTGACCAAACTTTACCATCAATTCAAAATAACAAACATGTGCTGCTTCTCATTACTCACAACTTAATATCTCTTTTTCAAAGGCACACATTATATGCCAGTATTGTTCTAGACCCTATGGTAAGACAAGGCACAAGACAGACAAGTCCCTGCTCTGGTGCAGCTGATAGTCTAGGGGAGAAGATACACAATAAAATATCAGTTAAACAAATAGATGCTTCAATAGAATTTCTGATACTGTTAAATGTTATAAAAAAATAAAGTAGGCACTAGAGAATAATGCAGAAAGGGACATTGTTTTAGAGTGGCTAAGAAAGGTGGTGAATCTCAACAGAGACCTGTACGGGGTCAGGAAGGAGACATGCGACCATCTGGCGAGAAGCTGTTCCAGGGGAAGGAAGCCCCATGTGCAGGAAAAGACTTTGGCATGCTCCAGGAATAGCTAATTGCCTGACAACATCTTGCCTCTTCCTATTCTCCTCTATCCAAGTCCACTAATGACCTTTGATTGGCTAAAGACAATGGCTTTATTCCTGTGTTATCCTGTTATCCTATGATTCTTCTGCACAATCTACTAAGAGGCAGTACTATATAGCAGTTTGATAGCATGGCTCCCCTTGCCAGTCCCCAAAACAATATATTCTGGCCACTGAATAAAGAAAACTGATACTGCCTAAATGGTCAGAGTTCACCTGAACAGACATATCTACAGTGTGAACACAAGTGACTTAATAAGGAAGCATATATATCTTTATAGGGAAAGCTATTTCTAGAAAGTCTTTAGACAGGCATTTAAAAAATGCACAGTAAGAGGGGGCCAATTTTTGATTGTCCTGCTTCTAAGAGAGGAGTATTGTGACCTAATGACAGCAGAGCTGACTATGTTGTGTGGGTACTCACAAAACACACCCACCCAATCATAGCATCCAGAATTTCCAGTGACCTAAAATAATCAGCAACGCTCAAGACACCAGACATAACATGCCCCGAGTACATAGACATGCATATCCACAAGACACACTCTGAAAACATTAGAATGGAAACATCTAATGTTCCTGACACACTATTTCATTTGTGTGTGTGTATGTAAATACATGCATACATATATATAGATATATGCAAGAAGTTATATTCCAAGCAATAAACATAATAAGGACATAATAAAACCCTCCTTTTTGTCTTCCTCTCCCACCCTCACATTCCTTCTACTCTAGAGATGCACATTAACCCTGATACAGATTGTTTTCAGCATTATCTGGTCTCTAATGAAAACCCAAACAAGAACTGACAAAGAAGAATCAGTAAGATAAAATAGCCTTGTTGGGCGCAGTGGCTCACGCCTGTAATCCTAGCACTTTGTTTGGGAGGCCAAGGAGGGAGGATTGCCTGAGGTCAGGAGTTCGAGACCAGCCTGGCCAATGTGGTGAAACCCCGTCTCTACTAAAAATACAAAAATTAGCTGGACATGGTGGCAGGTGCCTGCAGCGCCAGCTACTCGGGTGGCTGAGGCAGGAGTACTGCTTGAACCCGGGAGCTGGAGGTTGCAGTGAGCCAAGATTGCGCCACTGCACTCCAGCCTGGGTGACAAGAGCAAAACTCCGTCTCAAAAAAAAAAAAAAAAAAAAAAAAAAAAAAGAAGATAAAATAGCCTTTTCTGAGACCTTGTAGGGAGGAGGGGAATGACACAGATGGATATGCTCTCACTAAAACCCTTTAAAAATTATGTCCTACTATGCAATTGAAGTTTTATAAAAGTCCATGCATTTTTGACCAATATTTTTACTAGTATATTTAAGTAAATTATAATGTAATAATGGGTAGTAAATTTAATTGGTAGAATATTTCTGTTAATATATGTCCTAGCCTAACTTCAAAAAAAAGTGTAACTACTGTGACTCAATTACATGGGATGCACCAAAGTTTCCAACTCCTTGCTCACTTCCAGGACACAGCGCTAATACCTGGAAGCAGCTGCTCAGCAAAGCACATTTCCACCTTTTTGTCTGAATAAGGTCTTAACCACTGGCTTTCACCAGATCATCAGTGGAAAGGGGCTGACCTGATGCAAAGAAAGGTATGTCTTCCTCAGTTTCTCTACTACATGGCATATAGTAAAGACAGCAGGGCCACATGATCGAAGGGGTCCAGTCCCCCCGGTCACCACACAGAAAGTGGCCCATCAAACATTCTAATTGGAGTGTGTGAATGACAAAATGCTACCATGTTAAGCTGCCCGTGATTTTATGGTTTATCTGTTACAGAAGCTAGCATTAGACTTTTTAAGAAGAAAAACATTTATAATACAATTTGGATTTATATTCCTTTGCATATGTTAATTTTTCTAAGTATCTCATGGACTAAAACATCCACTTTAAAAAATAAAAGGCTGGGTGTGGTGGCTCAGGCCTGTAATCCCAGCATTTTGGGAGGCGGGGGTGGGAGGATCACTTGAGCCCAGGAGTTCAAGACCAGCCCGGACAACACAGTGAGACCTTGTCTCCAAAAAAACAAATAAAAATAAAAATGTAAGAGAGGCTGGGCATGGTGGCTCATGCCTGTAATCCAAGCACTTCAGGAGGCTGAGGCGGGAGGATCCCTTGAGATCAGGAGTTCAAGACCAGCGTGGCCAAGATGGCCAAATCCTGTCTCCACAAAAAAATACAAAAATTAGCTGGGTGCAGTGGCATGGACCTGTTATCCCAGCTACTAGAGAGGCTGAGGCAGGAGAATCGCTTGAACCCATGAGGCAGAGGTTACAATGACTGAGATTGCACCAATGCACTCTGGCCTGGGTGACAGAAAGAGGCTCTCTCGAGGGGGAAGAAAAGAAAGAAAAAATAAAAAAGAGCACACAACTATGACTTCTTTTTTTTGGGGGGGGGGGGGCTAAATGATATATTTCCCCACTCCCAACGATTTAAAATTAAAGATTCTAAATAGAATCTTAGTATATATGATGCATGCTATGGACAACAAGTTACACACATATATCTGCCTTCTTTGACTGAATGATACAAATGAAGAAGCAATTTGGCAGTTGACTAAGATACTTAGGATGGAAATGCAAAGAAATATTAGGTTTAAGCAAGAAAAATTAGGACATTTGATAAGTGAAGATAAAAAGGTCTGTGAATTTACAGAATCAGGTGCCTCCAAAGGACATTACATTACCTACAATTCAACTGGCAGAGCAACCCTCCCCACACACACCCCTTTCAGGCAAATGAGAAAAATTCGGTCATTAGTCTTTAGTCATTAGTCTTTTAATAACTGGAAGTCCATGTGACTAAGAAAGGCACCTATAGGAAGAGCCTAAGGGTATACAATGTAGTCTAAAAAAGGAAGCAGATTCAGAATTATAAACCAATCATTGTCCAATACTGCAATAGTAATTTAAAAAAAATCTTAGATGAGAGCCCAATATCTAAACAAATAAAATGGAACTATTCTGTTGAAGTAGTATTTGGGGTGCTGGAATAGCAGCTGCTTAGACCACAGGACACTGTTGCTCCAGGCAAGTCCCCTGCAATGGTCCTGAGGAATGTCTTTGCAGCCCCCAGAGCACCACTTAAAATGCACGGGTAAACTGAGGCAATGAGATCCTGAGGTGGTTTCTTTTTGTTTAGAAAAAGAAGTGATTTCCCTGTAATCGTTAGGATTATGACAGAATACTGGGGAACCTGTTTTAAGAAATAAAGTATGAAAAAAATGCTGTCTTTGGAGTAGAATTACTAAACTTTCTGATCTTTTGATATTGATTTTTAGAATTACATCACTAAATTGAGCTGATCAAATACTTGTGCTTTGTATCAATCATTATATAATTTGAATTTCATTTCTATTCAAAACCATTAATTTTATGATGTAACAATGATTTTAAAAGGCCAACTATTATTCTATCAACATACCATACTGTTAGCATACTACTTTTCCTTCTAATTTATAATTTACTATTACTAGCCTTTAATTTCTTTTTTAAAGGGAAGCTTGCATACGGTAAAATGTGTGAATTTTAAGTATACTACTTGAAGAATTTTTAACATATATGCACATACACAAATCTATATAAATATACATGTGAGCATACTCATACAACATATCCCTTGTAAGGTTTTAATTATTTTTACATAGCTATAAATACCATACATATTAAAGTACCTTTTTTTTCCTTTTAGCAATATTATTTCCAAGGGACAAGAAAAACTTTCACATTTAAAAAAGAAGGATGGAAAAGAAAAAGGCTCTCCATAGTCAGATATATTTTAGTAACCCTCTAAGTATAGGCTAGCTATTTTCTTAGTTATAGGGATGCTCAGAACCGTTAATATGCAAATGTGTGCATGTTGGGTGTGGGGGAAATACGAAGCTATAGTTTGGAAATTTATTTTAATCATGGAATCATTTTTTTCATATCATATAAGACCAACATTCTACTCTTTGTATTATTTGTTTCATTTATACTTCAATTATATGAAAAATACTGCCCTAAATATTTCATCAGGTGGATGCAAAATAGTTTTAGTTAATTAAAATGACTAGGCCAAGGAGTGTGTACATTCCTAAGCTCTAGGCTACCATCTGTATTATTAAACTGTTGTGCCTTCATAAGCCTGATGCACTGCCTCAAGTTGTGCATGTTAAATTTTACTGTCCTATAGTTTGTATTAGCAAATAATTTTTTAAAACTAGGTATTCGTTAAGCTATCTGAAATCTGTTTTTGCACACAGTGTAAGGTAAAGCGCTAAACCAATTTTTCCCCGTTACAGGCCATTTGTTTCTACTTCCCTTACTAAATAATGCTTCAGTAAGTGAGGAGCTGAAACCTACTTTAACATACATTAAATTTATTCATAATTTGATCCATTTGGGGGATAATCTGCCATTGATCTGCCATACTATTCTTTGCCAATACTATATTTTGTTAAAACGTTATAGCACTGCATATATGTTTCTGTATGTGGTTGGTCTAGTCTCTCTTAATTAATGTTCATTAATTTTTTAGAGTTTTCTTTTATTTTTTTTCTTATAGATGAATTAGTAGTTTAGTCAGGTTAAGAGGGAAAAAAAAAATCTGGAAATTTTGATGGAATTGCTTTTCTTCCTATCTCTGAAACACTGCTCTGTAAAACTGAATGTTCTCTTTTTATTACATACTCTGCCTATTATCTTTTCACCTAAGTTTTAAAAATAAATTGGCTTCCATTTTATGGCAGTTATCTTTACAAATAAATTTTACATAAAGCATGCACGAGGGTTTCAATATCTCCACTTCACTGTGTAAGAAGAAATTAGAATTATTTTTCATGCAATGGAAAGTTGGTTTAATTTCTCTCCTTGGCAATCACAAAATAACGAAACACACATTAGATGGAGAGATCACATTTAGTTTACATATAAAAAAAATCAAATGCCAATTTGCCACTTAACTAGAAGTTATCAAATATTTTCCCCAAAGAATAGCAGAATGAAGATAACTAGTGGACTGGAACAAATTTTTCAAAGCAAAATAAGAAATAATTAGTATCCTGTGTTACTACCTGAGCTCCAGTTGCTATTTCATCAGCAGCTTCATTCATTACTCCCAGGGTTTGAAAAGCAAACACACACAGCTCCCGTTCACATACGGTAGGCTACAAAAGAAAAAGGAATCAATCACAAAACTTTTTTCCAACTCTCAATATCAAAATTAAATTCACAACATTTCACATAATAAATAGAAAATGCAAGGTTTAAGTGTTTTTTAAAAAGGAAATCATACCATTTTAATACGAAATAAATTCTTAAATTTAGGTAACAATTAGTAAAGAGTCATTTACTAATATAGAGTAAAAAATATTATAAAAAAGATCCTTTTCAGTTAGTTTTAGACACACTCAGAACAATTTAGCAGTAAAAATATCCTTAAATAGGAAAATTTATCTCTCGTGCTTTCATACACATTTGCACATGAGATGCACAGAAAATGTAAATACCTAAGCTGGTGATATAACAATAATGAGCTTAAATATGAAAGCTGTATAAAACAAACATATAAAGGAGAATTCCACTTTTTCCTGGGAAATTTTGTTGGAAAAAAACAAAAAAAAAATAGCATGATTCTGTTTACTTGCTACTCAGCTCTTGAAAGACTCGTTTTGTTGCAAACGAAACGGTTATTGACTTCTATAACCTCATGAAGTCAACAGCACTGAAATATACACTCTGCAATTACTTTGGAAGAGCTCTCATCTTTCAAATCTAATACAGTGTCATTCCTCTGATTTATCTTATCTCCCAAGTTACATTGCATTAGGTAGCTGATGAAGCCTAACACGATGCAATCCACGGTGCCTCTGCACAGCAGACAAAAGGCATTTGTTAGTGCCACTGCTCCTACGCTTACTTCTTTCAGAGGCCAACTTGGTCTTCTGCTTAACCAGTGGGGATGTATGGCCCCATTCTGAACATCATTTATGTTCAGAATTGGCCCATATGCATGGCTTTATAGATAGAAAGCCTGTCCAAATACAAAGCTTTCTGGTTGACTTTGCTCCAAAAAGAATTTTAGGGAAAAAAAATGAATCTATATATTTCCTTTGTCAGACTTAAAAGTGCATTTGATTCCATTTTCAGAAACTTCAGAACCATGAGAGAAAGTAGAGAAAGTTCTTCATCCAGATTCAAGCTATACACACTCTGCAATATATATTTAGATATACATAGAGCAAACTGTTCAATTTCAACAACTTTTCCTTTAACTTGAGTGTTTACTTTTAATCTTCTCCAATTTTTTTGTGTATCTATATGTTTATATGCTTTACCCTAAATTTTCCCCATGGATATTATATTGCTTCTTTTGTTCATTTTCTGGGGCTTAGAGCATGGTATGATATAAGAGTGGCAACCACTTACTGCATATTTACGATAGTGTCAAATGCTATTCTGGTGCTTCAATACAATGAAACAGTACATAAACAAGAATCCAAGGAGAAGATAAACCTTAGATATCATAAAAGGCCTTGGGAATTTATTCTTTTATCAACTACTGAGGAAGTAAACAGTGACACAAAGGGCACTTTGTTTTTAACAATACTCTTTTAGAATAACCATCACTTTTATATGATTAAAATCCATCAATCTCAAAGGCTCATTTACTGACATGAGTTATGACTAGTTTTTATCTGAACCTTGAACTATGCTTACTTTGTGAACATCTAAATACGTATATTTGTGTGTGTGTGTGCGTGTCTGTGTGCGTGTACATATACACACACATTCCAGGGACTATAACAATAGACATTGCTTTTTCAGTACCAAATTGTGTATCTCAAAATAATAAGAGCTATTTATGACAAACCCACAGCAAGTATCATACTGAAGGGCAAAAACTGGAAGCATTCCCTTTGAAAACTGGCACAAGACAGGGATGCCCTCTCTCACCACTCCTATTTAACATAGTGTTGGAAGTTCTGGCCAGGGCAATCAGGCAGGAGAAAGAAATAAAGGGTATCCAATTAGGAAAAGAGGAAGTCAAATTGTCCCTGTTTGCAGATGACATGGTTGTATATTTAGAAAACCCCATCGTCTCAGCCCAAAATCTCCTTAAGCTGATAAGCAACTTCAGCAAAGTCTCAGGATACAAAATCAATGTGCAAAAATCACAAGCATTCTTATACACCAATAACAGACAAACAGAGAGCCAAATCATGAGTGAACTCCATTCACAATTGCTTCAAAGAGAATAAAATACCTAGGAATCCAACTTACAAGGGATGTGAAGGACCTCTTCAAGGAGAACTACAAACCACTGCTCAACGAAATAAAAGAGGATACAAACAAATGGAAGAATATTCCATGGTCATGGATAGGAAGAATCAATTTCGTGAAAATAGCCATACTGCCCAAGGTAATTTATAGATTCAATGCCATCCCCATGAAGCTACCAATGACTTTCTTCACAGAATTGGAAAAAACTACTTTAAAGTTCATATGGAACCAAAAAAGAGCCCACATTGTTAAGACAATCCTAAGCTAAAAGAACAAGCTGGAGGCATCATGCTACCTGACTTCAAACTATACTACAAGGCTACAGTAACCAAAACAGCATGGTACTGGTACCAAAACAGAGATATAGACCAATGGAACAGAACAGAGCCCTCAGAAATAATACCACACATCTACAACCATCTGATCTTTGACAAACCTGACAAAAACAAGAAATAGGGAAAGGATTCCTTATTTAATAAATGGTGCTGGGAAAACTGGCTAGCCATATTTAGAAAGCTGAAACTGGATCCCTTCCTTACACCTTATACAAAAATTAATTCAAGATGGATTAAAGACTTAAATGCTACACCTAAAACCATAAAAACCCTAGAAGAAAACCTAGGCAATACCATTCAGGACATAGGCATGGGCAAGGACTTCATGTCTAAAACACCAAAAGCAATGGCAACAAAAGCCAAAATTGACAAATGGGATCTAATTAAACTAAAGAGCTTCTGCACAGCAAAAGAAACTACCATCAGAGTGAACAAGTAACCTACAGAATGGGAGAAAATTTTTGCAATCTACCCATCTGACAAAGGGCTAATATCCAGAATCTACAAAGAACTTAAACAAACTTACAAGAAAAAATCAAACAACCCCAACAAAAAGTGGGCGAAGGATACGAACAGACACTTCTCAAAAGAAGACATTTATGCAGCCAACAGACACATGAAAAAATGCTCATCATCACTGGTCATCAGAGAAATGCAAATCAAAACCACAATGAGATACCATCTCACACCAGTTGGAATGGCGATCATTAAAAAGTCAGGAAACAACAGGTGCTGGAGAGGATGTGAAGAAACTGGAATGTTTTTACTCTGTTGGTGGGAGTGTAAACTAGTTTAACCACTGTGGAAGACAGTGTGGCGATTCCTCAAGGATCTGGATGGAACTGGAAATACCATTTGACTCAGCGATCCCATTACTGGGCATATACCCAAAGGATTATAAATCATGCGACTCTAAAGACACATGCACATGTATGTTTATTGCAGCACTATTCACAATAGCAAAGACTTGGAACCAACCCAAATGTCCATCAATGACAGACTGGATTAAGAAAACGTGACACATATACACCATGGAATACTATGCAGCCATAAAAAAGGATGAGTTCATGTCCTTTGTAGCAACATGGATGAAGCTGGAAATCATCATTCTGAGCAAACTATCGCAAAGACAGAAAACCAAACACCGCGTGTTCTCACTCATAGGTGGGAATTGAACAATGAGAACACTTGGACACAGGGTGGGGAACATCACACACCAGGGCTTGTTGCAGGGTGGAGGATGGGGGAGGGATAGCATTAGGAGATATACCTAATGTAGATGATGAGTTAATGGGTGCAGCAAACCAACATGGCACATGTATACATAGGTAACAAACCTGCACTTCGTGCACATGTACTCTAGAACTTAAAGAATAAAAAAAAAACACCCAATGGAAATAAAATGAAATAAAATATCTTACTACGCGAGATTGAAATTTCAGGTAATTTTCAATCCAGGAAAAATTTCAAAGAAAAGGAAAAATGCGATAGACACAGTTATTATAAATCTCTATCAACACACTTTGTCACCAATCCTAGGTATTCATGTGTCATTCTGACTTTGTCGCAAATGATTTTTGGCAATTTCACCGAGACCTCTCTATTTCCTATCACGAATAACAAACAAGCAAAATTTCAGTGCTTATTATAAAGCCTTTTTCTGCATTTCTGTTTCAGTGCCCCCCAACCCTGGTCTGTTTATATTCCAATCTTGAAAGTTCTAAATCAACTTTATTGACTTGTCAACTGACTCATTATTTTAAATAAAACACCTGCATTCCTCAGGATGAAGCTATGATTTGATTACTTTATGGAAACACTTTTCTTTCCTGTATGTTTTTGGTTTAAAAGTAACCCTCTTCCATACTCAAGTGAATAAGGCAGATTTCTAGGTATATTCTGCTACTCCAATAGTTTGAAGAAGGAAATCAGACAGAAATCAGGCACCCTAGAAAATCTGCTTTTTGGAAACAAAAACCAAAACACTTTGCCATCATACTAAAAAACGAGAAGTAAAAGTAAGGAATACGTTCTTATAAAAATAATTTTATCTTTCCTTTTTAACACAGCAACTACAAACGTCATAATGTGATTAATTTATATACCATACACCATACTAAGTAAATGCTAGTAAATTCTTAAAATAATGATTCTGTATCTCTTGCTCATTTTTACTAGAAGGTTCAAGTAGTATTTAAGATGTAAGACGTAAATGACTTTAGTTTTGAGGTGTTTGTATATTTATTTTTTGTAGAGTAGTAATTCTCCCTTTTCCTTGTTTATTCACACTTTATTTCCGAGAAGTTCAAAGTGTTAACACAAGATACTGCACTAAAAGAAAGTTCTCAAATTACATTAAGTGATTAGATGTCTCTCTCGCTCACAGAAGGAACATCTTATTCAAGGAAGAGAAACTGAATCACTCCCTTAAAGACACACAAGTAGTTATATTGTGGGCTAGCCTTATCCTATTCCCACCCAATCCTCCACCCTGACAAATTCTATGACTATGTTATTTACACAGAATGTGCTAGCATCAATTCAAAACGCACATAGTCATTTTAAGAGCTATTACCAGTTAAGTGTATTGCCATGTTTTATTGTACATAATTTAATACAAAGTATGTATGCCTAAATAAAACCAAATGTTATATTACTTATTAATTCATTCTGAGTTCACAAAAAGACTATTAGTCCCAATTTGTAAAATACTACCTATTCTTAATATTATATTATATTGCCTGGAAGCAATTAACCACTCTAATTTAGATTGTAAAACCATAGCAAGTCCCTCTATTATCAACACGTACATATTTGCTATAAAATATTCATTAGGCACGATTTAAAAGCATGAGGAATGTATTTATATATGTCCCTAAAATAAGATATATTTTAGAAGTTTTCAACTAAAATGAAAACATTTTTAACGTTATTTGAATCAAAGCAATTTAAATGTGATCAACAAAAACATGTTTCAAAAAATGTATTAAGCCCTGAAGAATATTTTAGAACCTAATTGTATTTTAAGAAATTTATGTTTTCCATGAATTTAAATTACCCTCTACTGGTAATAGAAATAATACAACTCTAAGAATCTAGCTATGTATTTATGTAGAGAAAAGCATGGTGTAGATGAGTGGTTTTCAAATATTTTTGCCATGGTCTTTTTGTTTCAACAAAAGCATGGTGTAGATGAGTGGTTTTCAAATATTTTTGCCATGGTCTTTTTGTTTCAACAAAATATTTCACATAAGTCCAATATACAAAACAGATAAAAGTGGAGCTTATTCCTGTTGGAGCACATGTGTACAGCTCATTTTTCCTATCTATAAAATGGGAATAAAAATAATATCTAGCTCTCAAGTTGATAAAAATACCAAGTGAGATAAGGTTTAAAAAATATCCTTGAGGTATGGAAAGCTGTTTAAGTATTAATATAAGGGAACCTGGAGAAGCTAGCTCTACTGCCTTAACTCAATGTGTATACAAAGATAAGTATTTAATAAAAAATAGTTTTCTTTGAAGCATATTATGAAGTAGCATTTTGATTTGTATATCCACTGTTTAAAACTATTGCCGTGATTTTTCTTACTAAAAATGAAATAAGCAGAGTAAATATAAATTCCTATTTAAAAACTGGTATTGAAAAAATGCAAGAATAATTATATGAATATCTTCTAGAACTACAAACTTAGAAGCCTTTAATTCTCTGTATTTACAGTTTTATAGTCAATGCTTTGGGTTCTGTTTGTGGTCAAGACACACATTCAGGGTGAGGAAAGGTGTACCGTTCATTGAGAGAGAGAGAATCCCACAGCAATTAAGGCAGATCCACAGTAAGATACAGGATCAGGTCTAATTAGGCTTAAACATGCAGTAGTCTCTATTTGTCTCATAAAACTAAAGATGTTATTTGAGTATTAAAACTAATTTCTATTCAGTTTGGATTTTTTTTTAAACCATGTTTTTGAACTAAAAGTTTTTTGGCATAATTATTATTTTAGTTAGTATTTCAGAAGTTGATATCTGAACTTCCATGTTGAAGGTTAGGGGAGGGTTTTAATAGGTTGTGCTTTTTCATCCATTCTTCAAATATTAAAGTCAGGTCTAAATACAAGCAGACCTACCCGTTTTACTCTTAGAAGGTAAAATGGGACATACCTAGGTTTATCCTCATGCTCAGTTTCTCATCAATTTTCATGGGAATGTCTTTGTGAAAGAAAACAGAATCAAATCTTGGGACTCCCAAACTCACTATGCCAAAGGGAAAGTTAAGTTTGGGAACTGAGTCAGGCCATACTGCTTTCCTTTTGTTCCCAAACGGATAGCTGTAATTTCACAGCTCCGTGTCATAGCCTCACCCATGAGACAGGTTTCCACAACAATAGAAGGTCACACATCTCCCCAGATGGCCTCCCTCACAAGGAAATTCCTTGAAGCCCCTAAATCTTTCAGGAGACATACCCACTGTAAACTAGCCCTAAAACCAAGTTCTGCTGAATCTCATCCTGACAATGTCAATTATTAGCTTATCTTCACAGGGCGAGAGCAAGGACCAAGACCAGAGACATCCTTGTGCCTACCCTGTGATTAATACGTAACTTTTTCCTCTACTCCCTCTTTTCACATATAAAATGTAGATTTACTGAGGCTAATCAGAACCTCATAAGAATGTAACCATTTGCCTCACTGCCTGCCCTTCCTCTTCTTCCCTCCTGCTTGCTCTTTCCCCTTTAAATACTGAAGTTCCCAAAATCCCTTTTGGAAAAGGGTCACAGACGCATTTTTGATCTCCCTGGATCTCCCATCCTCAACCGTGGCTAAATAAATCTTTATCGACTGAGACCTGCCTCAGTCATTTTTTGGTTAACACCTAAAACTGGACCAAATTATAACTGGGTGTTCTTAATTTCACTTGGAAAATAAGAACCTTAGTTACAAACATCTGCTTAATGCCGGATACACAAAAATATAGATTCTCAGGTTTCTCAGTTGGCTTTGCTTCAGTAAGAATGAGCATTACTCTAAGTGGGTGACAGACATGTGCAAACATATTTGGGAATCAGCAGACTGGAATCTCATGCCTTGTCAAACCACTCAGAGCAAGTAACCCAGGACATTTCACATGACAGGAGAAGAGAATGAGATCATAATTCTCATATCACATGTTGATGTGGGAAATGAGAAAGTCTATTAGTCAAGGACACATAGAACGATTGCCAAGTATCAAAGACAGAAGCCCAGCTTTGCAGGAACTGTTATTCACATAACCACATGGTTTTCTCTAGCAGAGTTCAGCAGTTCACACCATTATACCAATCCACGATTGAGGTGATTAAGGTGAGTATAACAGAAAAGGGCATTAGGAATTTAGAGGCTGATAAAACTGGCATTTCTGACAATAAGTCCTTGTTTTATTGTTTTTCAAAAACAACCTGAAGACACAAACTACATTTAAAAACCATCTCTAAAACAATTTGCTGCATTAACACTCTAGTTGATTCCACAATGGAGAGAACTATGCATTTGGTTTTGGTTTGGTTTTGTGATGAGAGTATAAATGACACTTTTAAATTGAAAATCCAGGACTTCCTGAACAATTCTTGGGATGTTAATGTGAGCGTTACGCAGATGCAAAATGTTATGTGTCAGGACTCAAATCTGAGAGTGACATTTATAATTTTTGTAAACAAAAGCGAAGAAGGAGCAGCAGGGAGTTTCTAAGTAAGTAAGTAGTTTAGTTCCCTGTATTGCAGAGAGTGCGACATGCTAACCTAGACCTCTGAATGGAGTGACAGATAGTATAAAAGCAGTGACTAAAATTTTAGGACTTTTGGAGAATAAAGGTTAAAGAGGATTTATGTCATCAAAAAACAATCAGGCTTAAAGAAAAAAAAAAACATGGGACAGTCTAACTTTGGAAAGCGAGATCTAACAAATGCAAATGTAATAAAATAGAATAGGCATAGAATTCTATAGAAACCTGAGTTTTATTTAACCTGTTTAATCACCAGTGGGCTATAACTTACACTCTTTATGTCTCTGAGACTTACTACAGACTGTAATGTGTCAGATGGGCTCAATAATGGTCAATGAATCAGTTAATTGGTTAATATCCCATAAGAAATTATATATTATTTTTATACATTACTCTTGAATTTACAGCAAAATATATTGCAATGTAAATACAAGTAAGATATAGAAAAAAATTAGTGGGACCAACTTAGGTAAAATATCTGTTTCACAGAACCAAGAGATAGTTCTTCCTGTGTCTATCTCTCTTCCTTTCAACATGAAAAGTTTCTTTAATTTTCATTTCCTCATCTGATTTCCTATGTCACTTATCTTACTATTTAAGAACGTTTTCTGATTTCCTTAGGTATCAGTCTGCATCACAGCAACAATAAACCATCTGATAATCATCCGTATTTATTTAGAAAATGTTTTCTCTCTTGCTTATAAAAAAGCACAGCCACTTTTAGAAAAATATAGCAATATTTATTGTTGCAGATATAGATAAAGTCAAACAAAATTTGGAGTGAGACACCAAGAATACTAATAGTAACTAGTATTTCCACTACTTACTATAGGAATGAATTGCCCACAATTAAACCACAAACAGTGAACTCCCAACAATGTGTGTGGTACATTTCCAGAACATAAATGTAGTCAATTCAAGTCCACAAGTCAAGAGTAGGAACCTCTGCCTGGTGCCATTCTGTCAGTATTAGAATCCTATCTCTATTACTTACTAGCACAGTAACACTGAACAAATTACTATTTTTCTCACCATAAAGTGAGAATAGTAATAATATATACCTCAGAGAGTTATTAAGAGGATTACACTTGAAAATCCACATAAAGAACTGTGAATACCCAGATCACAAAGAAAACATGCAAAAAGCATTTACTTTTGATAACATTACTATTATCTTTTGTGGTAGAAATGGCAATGCTATGGAACAAGCAATAGATCAATATCAACAGGTGAGTACTGACAAAGTGAAAACATAGCATCTAAGTGGGGCAGGTTGAGATGACCAGAGAAATCCCCCTATTCTCATAAGGACACATTTCTCTGTAACAAATGGAAATGACAAAATTGCAGTTATTTCATAATTAAATGCTGATTTAGTTGATTTTGGTTTCAGAATAACATATCTCTGAGAGAAAAGTTGACTGGCAAAAAAATAGTACACGGATTGTTTCCCTTAAGCAAATAAAATAAAATATCTGACAGATGATTGTGTTCTTAAATGGCTACAAGACATGTTTTTTAAAAGTATAAATCTTGAAATACAAAAAAGGTCTAATAAAATTATTGCTTTCCAAGTTTTGTGTTTTATCTTTTCAAACATATATTCCAAAAGGCAAGACAGGTTTCTTTTAAAAAGTGTAACAGAATCTAGCATGGTGCCTTCTACTTATCAAATATTAAATTAAATGTTTGTGATGCAGTTTTAAAGTCAGAGAGAATTAGGTTCAAAGCCAAACTTCTACCTATATTTTCCGGGTGGTGTTGAACAAACTGCTTAACCTCTATAAATCTTAGTCTCCCTATTTGCAGCATGAAAGCAAAAGTACCTAAACCACAAGAGTTGTGTGATGATCAAATAAAAAAATAATAGGCCAAATATCTACCCACAGTGCCTGGCACACAACCCTCAATAACCTCCTTTCTTCTGTTAACTATGATAGATATTAGCTCAATCATTATTTTCATATTTATCTATATTTTATTATTTCTTAACTCAAAAGCTGGACCTTGAATACTATGCAGATATGGTACAATGAACTTGCTTGTTTAAAACTTTGAAATAAGGAATGATATCAGCAAAAAAGCTGAGTGAGGAACCCAAACTTCCACCTCTCTATAAAATCTTTAAAAGAAACTGGCAAAAATGGCCTGAGTCAACTCTTTTGGTATTCTGGAAATTAATTTTAAAACTTGCAGCAACCCAAGGAGTACTTACTCAGAATCAACAGCTGAATCTTGGTAAGAACCGTAAAACTTGTGACATTTAACCTTCTTTCCATTTTGGAAAAAAAAAAGAAAAGCTGCAGCTTGTTGTCAGCACTTATTTAACTCTACGTAAACGCACTCTTTGAGGCTGAAGCAAATCTGATTTTCAATCAATGTGAAAATAAAATATAAAAACTGTTCTCGGAGCTATTTCTAAACAGAACTAACATCAGAATCGTCTGAATCATTAGAATCCTCTATTTCTGAAAAATCAGATTCATCAAATGAATCTTCAGTCAACCGCTGTTCTAGAACAATGTTAACATTACGCGTACAAATGCTGTATTTTCTAGGATTTGACAAGTTCAGTGATCAGGAATTACTACTATATTTTGTAAATGGAAATACCACTACTAAAACCAAAATGCTATAAGTAGAATGATGTATTTTGTTTCCAAAGTAGATATACTAGAGCCATGCAGAAATAATAATATAAGCGACAGATTTCATGGCAAAGTTATCTCCGGGTAAACACTGTAGCCGCAAGTGCTACTGGCAAGTATTGTTGGGGCAAATGGGAAAAGGGTTAAATTTACCCTAATCCAATCTTCCATTCGCCAGCTCAGTGGCAGCCTTAAAAACAATGCCCTGTATTTCCAATAATAGAGGGAGCAGAACGGAACTGATTCACAAATAGCTGTCTGATAGTTCTCTGGAAGACACGCTGAAAACACTTGTCTTTATTTCTGCCTGACTTGGAACTCACCCAGTACTAAACCATTACCTGGAGTGGGGATTGAAAACATTTACAGTAAGCGTTTTAGTTGTGTGAGGCAACAGATAACAACTGAGGCAAACAACAGAATAATCAAAAAGCTTAGAAGAAAGGATTGGGAAAAGAGATGTCCATAAGGACTATGAAAAACTCACATATATTTCTGGAAATCCAGAAGGCCATGTGCTTGCCCATGACTGTGTGCATGCTCAAGAAAGACTTTAGAAGGCCTTAAATCTCACCTCTGGCTGATCTTACCACTCTGTACAAGCAGGAATGAAGGCTAAGGACTGCCAAAACAGTTTGGCGAGATCTAAATCCCAGAGTTCCAGCATTATTGTATTTAAAATGTCCAGTTTTCAATAAAAAAATAAAAAAGGCATGCGAAGAAATAAGAAAGTAAGACCTATTCACAGGGTAAAAAGCAACTAATAGGAAGGGGCCCAAGGAAAGCATAGATGTTAAATTTACTAGACACAAACTTTAAACTGGCTATACTTAAAACGTTCAAGAGCTAAAGAATATCATATCTAAATAAATGAAGAAAAGACAATGTCAACAGAGAGTATCAATTTATAGAATTTATAAAAATAAACTCTGGAGTTGAAAAGTACAATTACTGAAATAAAAAATCAGATTTGAGCAGGCAGAAAAAAGAATCAGTGAACTTGAAGATAGGTCCATTGAGATTAACTAATCTAAGGAAGAGGAAGAATAATAAAATGAAAAAAATGAACAAAGTGTAAGAGATCTATGGGGTACCATCAAGCATACAAACATACAGATAATGGAAATTCCAGAAGGAAAGAGGAGAGAAAAATTGCAAGAGGAATACTTGAATATATATGGCTTAAAACATCTCAAATTCATTAGAAAAAAATTAATCTACACTTCCAAGAAACCCAATTAACTCCAAATAGGATAAATTTAAAGAGGCACTTAGACACATCAAAATCCAGACGCCAAAAACCAAAGACAAAGAAGAAATCTCGAAATCAGCGAGAGAAGCAATTCATCACATAACAAGGAATCCTCAACAAGAAAACAGGTCATTTTTCATGGGAAACCACAAATACCCAAAGGCAGCAGGATGACATACTCAAAATGCTGAAAACGGCACAAATCCTCCTCCATCACACACAGAAATTTCCAACCATGAATTCTATACCCAGCATAACTATCCTTCAAACAATAAAGGAGAAATTAAAACACTCCCAGGTAAAAACCAACAGAGTTCATCATTTGCAGAGATTTCCCACAGGAATTAATGAAGGGAGTTCTTCAGATTAAAATGGAAAGGACACTACATAGTCCACATAAAGAGATAAAGAGCTTGGGTAAAGGTAAACATGCATACAGGTAAATACAAAGGACTGCACACAAATATATATATTTTTAAATTTTAAACATAGATATAATACATTGATACATTTGACTTTGATTTTTTTTCCTGATTTTTTCTGGTTTGGAAAACAACTGCGTAAAGCAATAATCATAAATTTATGTTGATGGGCACATAATATAAAGATATAACTTACATATTTATATATAACAGCAATTACACGTACTTCCACTCTGGGAGTGGAGTTGAAACTATGTAGGAGCAAAGTTTTTATATATTATTAAGGCTGGGTACAGTGGCTCATGCCTATAATCTCAGTACTTCGGGAGAAGGGAGAATCATTTGAGGCCAGGACTTCAAGACTAGCCTGCTCAACATAGTGAAACCCCATCTCTACAAAAAACTTTTTTAAAGATTAGCCAGGCATAGTGGCTTGTGCCTGCAGTCCTGGTTACTTGCGAGGGTGATGCAAGCAGGAAGATCACTTAAGCCCAGAAGTTGGAGGCTTCAGTGAGCTATGATCAGCACCACTGTACTCCGGTCTAGAGGACAGAGCAAGATCTGTCTCTTATTAAAAAAAAATCAAGTTGGTATTAATCCAAACTAGATTTTTAGAAATTAGAATGTTAATTGTAATCCCTAGAGCAATCACTAAGAAAACAAACTGAAAAGCTACAACATGGGAATTAAAATGGTACACTAGAAAATGCCTATTAAACACACAAAAGAAGGCAGTAAGGGAGAAGCAGAGGAACAAAATAGACATAATACAAATAGAAAATGAATTGCAAAATAGCAGAAGTCTTTCCTTATTAGTAATTATGTTTAAGTAAAAAGATTAGCAAGGATTTAAAACCAAGATCAACAATTTGCTATCAACAAGAGATTCACTTTAGTTTTAAAGACATTAATAGGATAAAAACATAAGCATGAAAAAAGATATTCCATGCAAATAATAACCAATAGAGAGCTGCAGTGGTTACACTAATCAGACAAAATAGACTTGAAGACAAAAATTGCTATTACAGACAAAGAAGAACATGAAAAAAGAGTCAGAACATCAAGAAGATAAAACACTTATAAACATATACGTATCCAGCAACAGATTTCCCAAAATACATGAATCAAATATTGAAAGAACTGAAGGTAAAAACAATTCAACAATAATAGTCAGAGCCTTCAATACCCCCACTTTCATAATGGTAACAAAGAATAAATGAATTTGAAAGAGAAAATAGAGAAATTCAATGAAATGAAGAATCTGTTCTTTGAAAAGGTAACTAAAATCCACAAGCCTGTAGCAGGACTGACAGAGAGATGATACAAATGTTCAACATCAGGAATGAAACAAAGAGTATCACTAAAACTCTGCAGACATCAAAAGGATAATAAGAGAATACTAATAAATTACTCACATAAATTTGACATCTGAGACAAAACGGACCAATTCCTCTAAAAGCACAAACTATCACATTTCACCCAAAATAAAATAGATAATTTGAGGCCTAGCATGGTGGCTCACGCCTGTAATCCCATCACTTTGGAAGGCCGAGGTGGGCGGATCACCTGAGGTCAGGAGTTTGAGACCAGACTGACCAACACGAAGAAACCCCGTCTCTAATAAAAACACAAAATTAGCCGGGTGTGGTGGTGCATGCCTGTAATCCCAGCTACTCGGAGGCTGAGGCAGGAGAATCACTTGAACCCGGGAGGCAGAGGTTGCAGTGAGCCGAGATCATGCCAGGGCAACAAAAGCAAAACTCCATCTCAAAAATATATATATATATAATTTGGATAGCCCTATAACTAATAAAGAAATTGAATTCATAAATTAAAAATTTTTCACCAGGTGTGATGGCTCACACCTGTAATCCTAACACTTTGAGAGGCTAAGGCAGGAGGATTCCTTGAGCCCAGGAGTTCAAGACCAGCCTTGGCAACATGGTGACACCCCATTTCTACAAAAAATTTTAAAAATTAGCTGGGCATGGTGGCATGTACCTGTAGTCCCAGCTACTCAGGAGGCTGAGGTGGGAGGATCACTTAAGCCCAGAAGGTTGAGGTTGCAGTGAGCCATGTTTGCACCACTGCACTCCAACATGAGTGACAGAGTAAGACCCCTGTTTCAAAAAAAAAAAAAAAAATCTAAAACAGAAATCTCCAGGCCCAGATAGTTGTTAGTGCATATCAAAAAATCAGTGTAATACATCATATTAATAGCATAAAAGAAAAACATAGTAATATCAAGAGACATAGAAAAACAAAAACCAACAAAAATGCTTTCATGATTATAAAACCACCTAACAACTAGGACTAGAAGGGGATTTTTCTCAACCTGGTAAGTGGCATCTATGAAAAATCCCCAACAAACAGTGAAAGGCTGAACATTTTCCCCCTAAATCACAAGATAAAAATTTCTTTTCTTGCCACTTCTAATCAGTCTTGTATTGAAGTTCTAGTCAAGCACATTAGATAAGGAAAAGTAATAAAAGGCATCCTGATTAACAAGGAAAAAGTGAAACTCTATTTGCAAGAGACATAATTTTATATAGAGAAACAAAGAATCCAAAAATAACTTAATAGAGCTAACAAATAAGTTCAGCAATGTTGCAGTATAAAAGATTAACATGCAAAAATAACTTCTATTTCTATATAATAGCAAAGAACGTTCTGAAAATGGAATAAAGCAACTTAATTTACAGTAACATCAAAAATAATAAAATGCTTAAAAACAAACTTATCCAAGGAAGTGTAAGACTTGAATGCTGAAAACTACAAAATAGCATTGAAATAAAATTTTAAAAGCCTAAATAAATAAAATGATCTGGTGTACATGAATTGGAAAGGTTAATATTGTTAAGATGATGTCTTGGTCTATTCCGGCTGCTGTAATCGAATACCATAGGCTGGGTGGCTTATAACAACAAATATTTATTTCTCACAGTTTTGAAGGCTGGGAAGATAAAGATGTCAGGAGATTCAGTGCCTGATGAGGGCCCATCTGCTGATTCATAGACCAGAGTGACAGTAAGGCCACAAATTGATCTTCTTGCTGTGTCCTTTCATGGTAGAGGAGTGAGAGAGCTCTTTGTGCTCTATTACAAAGGCACTATTCCTGTTCATGAGGGCACCACCCTCATGACCTAATCGCCTTCCAAACAACCCATCTCCTAACACCATCACATGGGAGTTAGGATTTCAATGTATGAATTCTGGGAGGAACACATCCAGTCTATAGCCAATGGCAACAGTCTTCAAACCGATTTACAATTCCAATGCAACCCTATCAAAATTCCAACTGCCTTTTTGCAGAAATGGACAAATGAACCACAGAACTGATAGAGAAACGCAAGAGACCCCAAACAGTCAATGCAATCTTATAAAACACAAACAAAGGATTTCTGCCTCTTGATTTCAAACTTACTATAAAGCAACATTAATCAAGACAATGTGGTACTGGCCTAAGGACAGACATGCAGATCAGTGGAAAAAGACTTGAGAGTCCAGAAATAAACCAAAACATCTATAGTCAAATAATTTTCAACGAGGGTGCCAAGATCATTCAGTAGAGAAAAAATAGTCTTTTCAAAGAATGGTGCTGAGACAACTGGGTATCTACATGCAAAAGAATGACTTTGGACCCCAACCTAACACCATATACAAAAATTAACTCAAAAAGTATTGTGACTTAAATGTAAGACATAAATCGTGAAATTCTTAGAGGGAAACATAAGTGCACTGTGTGACTTTGAATTAGGCAATTACTTTTTAGACGCAACATCAAAAACACAAGTAACAAAAGAAAAAATTGATAAATAAGACTTCATCAAAATTAAAAACTTGTGTGTGTCAAAGATTACCTTTAAAAAATGAAATGACAAACTACAAAATAGAAGAAAATAATTGCAAATCATATATGTGGTAAAGATAAAGTATTCAGAATACATAAAGAACTCTTACAACTCATGAATAAGAATACAAATAACCCAATTTAAAAATATGAAAAGGATTTAAATAGGCATTTCTCCAAAGACATGCAAATGGCCAATAAGCACATGAAAAGATGCTCAAAATTTTTTAGCAGAAAATCAAAATATTTTAGTATCTTTTAGTCAGTCATCAGGGAAGTGCATAAGAAAACCACAATAAGAAACTGCTTCGGCCGGGTGCGGTGGCTCAGGCCAGGCGCGGTGGTTCACGCCTGTAATTCCAACACTTTGGGAGGCCGAGGCTGGTGAATCACAAGGTCAGGAGATCGAGACCATCCTGGCCAACACAGTGAAACCCTGTCTCTACTAAAAAAATACAAAAAATCAGCCGGGCGTGGTGGCGGGTGCCTGTAGTCCCAGCTACTAGGGAGGCTGAGGCAGGAGAATGGCATGAACCCAGAAGGCGGAGCTTGCAGTGAGCCGAGATCGTGCCACTGCACTCCAGCCTGGGTGACAGAGCGAGACTCTGTCTCAAAAAAAAAAAAAACAAAAAAAATAGAAACCGCTTCACACATACTAGCATGGCTATAATTATTAAAAATAATAATAAATAGAGAATAATACGTGGGGAAGATGTATAGAGACTGTATCTGTCATACATTGCCAGTGGAAATGTAAAATTATGCAGCCACTGTTGAAACAGGTTTGGCTGTTCCTCAAAAAGTTAAACAGAGTTAACATATGTTCTAGCAATTCCATCGACTGATGACTGGATAAACAAATGTGGTATATGCATAAAATGTATATTATTCTGCCATAAAAAGAAATAAAAGTACTGACATATGCTATATGGATGGTCCTTGAAAACATTATAATAAGTGAAAGAAGTCAGAAACAAAAGCCCACATACTGTACAATTCCATTCATATCAAATATCCAGAATGACCAAATCCATAGAAACAGAAAACAGTTTCATAATTGCCAGGGGATGACAGGAGGCGGAAATTGGGAGTGACTGGTAACAGAATATTTCTTTTGGGGATAATGGAAATTCCATTTTCTGGAATTAAATAGCTGTAATGGTTATATAATATTGTGAATATATGAAAAACCACTGAATTGTATACTTTAAGTAGTGACTTATAAGTTATATTTTAGCAATAAAAATTCCAAAAAAAATCATTTTAAAATTGAATCGTTCTCTCCAAAATGCACGTATACACTGATTCTTATTTTCATACTCCTTTGATAATATCCCAAATGTGTCAGGATGCTAGCATCTTTGGAAATCTTTATTGGGATCCTCTCTCTACTACTGTGTACCTCTTTTAACTAGCATAGGATCAAGACTCTCCTCTCACATATTCAGCATCTTAAATTGTGGAGTTTTGAAGGGACACTGCCTAAGCATCCTTGTCACATAACCTTGTAAACACTGGTTCTTCAAAATTCCACAATTTAAGATGCTTAACGTTGATATAGGTGTAGATGGATAAATAGCTGTTAGATAAACATATGTAAAAAATATAATAAGAAACATTTTCCTAATATCAAACTAACTGCTCTTTCACAGGCTACTTTAGAAGTAATACTATTTTGTCAAAATTATATGTAAATAATTTGCTCAATAAAGAGTATTTGCTTTCAACTGCATTTATTTACTTATTTTTATATTTCAAATCTTTTCTATATTTCTATATTCTAAACCAACACGGACATTCTATCAGCAAGAACTTACCCTAAGCATAGGGCCATTTTGAAACACATGTGGCTCATCACAAACCACACAATATTCATTTAATACAGGGATCCGCTGTTCAGCAAACTCAATTGTCTGAATAAAACAGTAAGGAAAAATAATTAAGACAAGCTCATAAATGATTTAAAAACCCCGTAAGAACTAAAATATTTGTACAATGGATAGAGTTTTGGCTCATACCTGCACCAGGAAGCCACGGTCTCGTACTGGAATGCATTTTGCACCATTTGGCTATAAAAAGCAAAGTAAAAAAAAATGATAATTTTTTTAAATGTAAAAATGTATAAATTACAGGCTTTTACTCTTTGCAATAGTGAATACGAAAGTGATTTAAGATCACATGAAATATGAATTGAGTCACTGATGACATCAAAATTAAAAACTTTTTTATTCACTCTATTATAAATACCCTTTCTACCATTACTAATGCAATTTTTGCCTACAGTAAATGAACAGCACTCTTAGCTGCTGATCTTCTAGCAAAAATTACTGGCATCTTTACATGATCACAAAAACTCATTTGTCTGTTACTAATCAGCAAATGCTCATACCTCTTCATTAGGAGACTTCAGTCTTATTTTACAATCAGATACAATTATTCCTCCAAAGAAATATTAGACAGCTACTGAAAGTGTCATAACAGAAAACTATGAATTATGCTTAGCCATATCAGAGGTTATTAAGGCATTTTCTTTTACAGAATGTCTGAAATGATCTTTCTTGGATGAAGCTAACATGGGAAACATTCCACTGTGCAGTTGTTCTACATTATTTGCTCTATGTCCTTAAAACGTATGTTTGAGTAGGAATGGGCTTCTAGGATGCTCATGTGAAATTGTCAACATACTCAACTTTTCAGATAATAAATATACAGTATAGTTTATAATTTAATTTTAGAAATAAACCTATATAAGAATAACATTACTTTCCTGAAACATCTTATTTTTTTCAATTTCATCTCTTGCTGAGTGTTTACACATTAATGGTTAGAGCTAAACACACACCCCCAACATACACACATATATATTTAGCAAAAGGAAACAAAACTTTTCATCAACTATTTTGAATATGTTAATAATATACATAAGATAGGTCTATGAATTTATCACTAGCATGAACTTGGCTATCATGCCAATCATGCTAGCGATAAATTTTGTGTAAGAGTTACTCTTGATAAATAGCATCAAAAGGACTTAAATTATTGAAGTCATCTTCTGGTCCCATGTCCCCCAAAAACGGCTACAGCATAAAGTGACTTCAGTATAAAATGGACACTAAGAACAACTTTAAGTGAGGCTCTGGGATAAAGTGGTAAATGTTGCCTCTCTCCACAGGTAAAAACATGCATGGGCAGAGTGCTCTTATATATAATTGAAAGGGAATTATTCTCAATTTAACCACAAGAAAAATGTGGTCCTCCACCACTCATGTGAGAAGACCAGAGATTAGATACACCTACTTAATGAAACATTAAAATTATATGCTTATTTAATAAGTAAGGGCTTTGTGAATCCAATGCGTTTCCTTCTGATTTTAGTAGCATTTGTTACTATGACAAGAATTTGAACTGGACTTCAAATGAATAGCTACATTTATTTTTTTTCAGAACCAAAGCTTACATTTCATTGCCAGTTGCAAATGTATGGGATGCAAAACAATATCCAAAAAGATTTTAAAAAAACAGTAAATTAAAACAAAGTTTTGCTTCTTTTCTCCACCAGATCTTATAAGAAAAAAAAAATTCTACTGCACCTTAGCTAACATTTAAGAACTCAAGATGAAAATATTTACGCACAGCAAGCTGAGAAGATGAAGATGAAGATGGTGTTAGGATACCAATAAGCCCTGAGGTAAGAGAGAGCCTCCTGCCCTCTGCGTTAGGTTCCTTGAAAAGCTCAGTTTTGGATGACTTGGGGGCACTGGAGTAGGACTTGCTGAGCAATTTGTGATTTTTCAGTCCATATAATTCTTCCATTCTGAGATTACTAGAGTAAGACCTGCTTAACAGTTTATGGGGCTTCAAGTTTGTGTTGTGCTCACATCGTGGATCTCCAGAACAAGATCGAGTCAATAGTCTATGCGACTTTAGAGTTAGGCATTCCTCTGACTTAACAGCTGCAGGGCAAGGACGGTTCAAAAGTTTGTGCGATTTAATTGCTGTCATAGCCTGCTCCGCCCTGGGATCGCTGGACAAGGAGCGGCCAAAGGTCCTGTGTGACTTTGTGACACACACATCATCAGTCTTGACTGTGCTGGAACAAGTCCTCCGCAGCAGCTTATGCGTTTTGGAGATTCCGTCCTGCTCAGATTTCAGTTTGGATTTGCTTTTGCCACAACCAGGGGGAGGATAACTTGGCGACCTTCAAAATTGAACAACAATTACTACAGGGCAAATCACAGGTACATCAGACCATGAAGAAAGCTTGTCATGCTCAAACTCGACTGTGCTAATAAATATTCTACCACCTCATTTTAATATAGCCTACCCAGTCAAAACTGAAATCAAAGGTATGTGCAGAATGATCACAGGACTTGAATCCCATTTTTCCTGAAAAGCAAAAAAAAGGTTCTAAGATTTTTTTTCCCTCCTATCTATCCCAAAGCCCTATAATGAAACTAATTTTGGTAGGAAAAACTCTAGGTGATTAGAAAGCAAAGAATGTAATTTTAGCAAATGTAACCAATGTTAAATAAATATTAATAAAAACTCTAAACATAGAAATGAATATGTTTTTGATGGAATGCATCTAACTCAGTCTTTTCTTAGAGGTTATAAAGAAAATAAACAGATGCCAACACTATAGAAAGAATGCTGTAAGCATGAACTACATCACACACTCAGCATTCAGTAAGACAATGACGAAGTTGCCTGTTACCAACCTGCGCAAAGTAGAAAATAAATGCAGGGGAGACTTCACTTTCTTCTCTGACAACTTTTTATTGTGCAGGCAATTGGATTTTTCTTTGCTCTGTTTCCACTGCTGTGTAACAAATGTCTGCATGATTCTGTCAATCCAAAGGTAATTCTGTTATCACCATTCCAAGGCAATTTCAATTAATGTTACTGTATTTATTATGTAGAAAATGCATTTATCAAATAAATGCAAACACATAGAAATCAGTGAGACGCTAATTTAGAATCATACAAGATTTTTCATATGTAGGAAAGCATCATATAGCAAATTAGCAGAGCTTTACTGTGACTGGTTATATCACAGTAAATGATAATGATTACTATTTATTTAAATAATTAAATTACAATATTACCAGGATATGATAATTCAAATGATAGAAGAATAAAGATATAAAGAGAATTATAAAGACGGCCTTCAGGATCAACAACTTGAGCTGAAGTGGCAAAAAAATCTAAATTTTTTTTGGTGCTAGAAAATCAACTTTTAAGAAAATTTTTGTTACTAATTATAATGCTATTTATTAAGATAGAAGTAAAGCCATTTTCTTTTTACTTGACTTGCTTCGATATCTTCTTCATGAAAAGGAAAGCAAAGCTATAAAATCATACATAAAAAGAAAACACGCAGAACTGGCTCTACGTAGAAATATGTGGTCAGCAAATTATATCTTCAACACAGCCTATTCACCTTTGAAGATACTATACTAAATTTTAAAAACTGGGTATCCTTAAGTTTGTTTAGTTAATATCATAAGGCAGAATGTTGGTAACTCCTAATGTCGATATTTTCTATGTCAAAATCACTCCATCAGTGCTTTATGGTAAAGAATTCTGGAATGCCAACTGTGGACTTGGACACAGTGTTCTTATTTGGGAAAGGTCTTTGGCTTGGATGGCTTCTCTGTATCTCCATTTTCCACATGGCAGTGGCCCTCAACACTAATACTTAAGTAGACATGAAATTTTACAATTAAACATCAAGCATGCAATAAATTAAATGTGTTTCTTTTTCTTCAAAAATAACTTCAGGATTGTCTGTTTTTCACGCTCTTTTCAGTTATTTCTAACACATTGCTTTGGGATCAGGAAAATGATACCAATATTTGTTTCCCACTTACAATATGTCACAGAGTAAAACAGAAATGTTATATGCACATTTTTGCCTCTAATTTTCAGAGTACCGCAGCAAGTAGCTGTTATTCCACACATTTCACAAATAAGAGAACGAAATCTGCCCAAGTTAGCATAGATACAAGTGACAGAGTAGTAGTACGTATATTATCAAATATGGGTTTTGATATGTATAACACATGCTATTCAAAAGGGACAGATGTGACTCTTAGCACAACGCCAGTTACTAAGTTCTCAGGATCCTTCAGGTCTTAACAAACTAACTCAGATCGCCAGAAAGTATATCACTTAGGCTTTTTTCTGCTAGTTTTGATAAATTCAGAAGAATAAACAGTTACATACTCAATTATTTTGGGGCCCTTTTAGCAGTGGAAGTGGTGAGAAAAGGGGAATAAAACTTCAATAAGTGATGCCATGATTCCAAATTCACAGTAAATTCGCTCAGTCAGCACGAGAAACATTTTATTCATGTTTGAATTTTTTTTTACCCAAAATTTCAGCAGGATTTAAATGTAATAATAAGATCATCATTTCTCCCTGTACCTAATTTGAAATTTCCACTGACACAACCCTTTGTATTAAGCAGATTTTCTTCCCATAAAAAATTGCTACTCCTGTGCACCATTCTTTAAGAAAGACGGCAAGTGCTTGCCTAATCTTGATAAGCTAAGAGGAACAAAAAAAAAAACAGGTCAAAATGGCTAAAAATTTTCCCACTTATATATTACATTAGGATTCAAAGTGTGATTCAACATCTAAAATCAGTAATTCTTAAACTTGAATACCCAGGTACCTAGTTGTCCTTGGATGCAAAAGAAATTGTTTTCTAAAAGACATTCAATGTTGTGTTTAATTTCAGGGGTAATCTGGAGTATACATATGAACACATTTGGTATAACAACCACCTCCTTATAATAGAGAACCATGAAGGGACTTCAGTATTTACATTTGAGTTTGTGTTTACTATTGTGCTGGCACCAAAAGGAACTACTACCATTGCCAGTGATTGGCTGATGGTAGGGAAAAAAAGAAAAAAATTTCAAGGTAAAGTATACATTTGCATCGCGTCAAGAGCAGATGATATCACGGCCAACTATGTGAACAAAGGTTCCAGGGCAGTGGACAAAAGCAAGTACATAGGGATGACATCACACTGTTTTACATGTTGATTTCAAAAAACTATGCACTAGAGCAGTCAGTATTATATTCTAATTGTGGTGGTGAAACAGCTTTAGCAAAATAATATCATAAACCAAGTTAATGGTATTAATTTGAATTTCAAGTATTTTATTTTGATTCGCACTTTTAAGTTGTAAATTGAATTTCGTTTTACAAATGTGGAGCTCTACATACAAAAAATTTATACCTAATTTTATGTTACACATAAATTTAAGGGAAAACTGAAGATCTGCAATATTTTCCCCCCTTAAACACAACTAAGGTTTGATCAGTGCAGACTCAACATAAAGTCATACAAAAGTCGAAGATTATTTCCATTGTCTGTGATATGCTGAGCCTTTGAATGATAGGATACCCTATACAAGACCAATCACTATATCTGTGATATCTGTGTCAGGTCAGCCATGAGAAAATACATAAATATTTTTTCTTTTAGGCTATTTTGACTTCACATTCTCTCAATATTCATTCAATGCCAAACACATATTCCATGTCTCATCTCAAGCAAAGGAATATCTAGGATTATATGAGAGGCAGATTAGTTTATGCGTTGTAAGTACTGATTTGGAGTCAAATTCTGACTCTATCACTTTCTCGCTGTGTGACTGTGAACAAGCTGCTCAACCTCTCTGGGCTTCAGTTTCAACATCTAGGAAATATGAGAGTAACAAGGCCTGTTTCATAGAGTTGTTGTAAAGATTAAATGTCTTATTATATGTTAAACACTTAGAATAGTGCATGACATATAATACGTACTGCATAAGCATTTGCTGTTGCTATTGTTGATAAAATTATTCTGCTGTCTGAAATCACCAGAAAAAAATTTTCCTGTGAAAAAGTTATTCAGTAAATAAGAGTGTCTTCTATTTACTGAAAACCAACTGATAACAAGGGGCCTAGATTCTAAATTTGCCTTCCTAACTTGCTGTATGTTTCTAAGAAAATAACCTCTTTATATTTAGTTTCTTTTTATAAATTATTGTGAGGATGAAATTAGATTGCTAAAATAATGGGATTTTAGGCTGGCAGTGACCTTAAGGATCATAGCCAAATCTAATTATTTATAATTAGGGAAACAAACATATCAGACCAAAATTTCTCAAGGATCATAAAATAATTCTAATCTATATTAACAAACTTTCCACATAGCTAATATTTATCCCTAAAAGCAAGTAACTCTTTGAAAACATTAATCACTCGGATAGGGATATTAATTAAATATGTTATATATGTTACTAGGTACTTAAACAGTGAAAAAGGCACATAGCTTTCTTTAATTTCTCAGAGTTGGGATTATATACATGATTTCTTTTGCTGAGCCTATGTAATGTACCCAGAAGCCACTAAGGGTAGAAAGCTATTTATTCCTAGACCTGTGTACTTTTGTAAATCTTATCTTATTTTGATCAGCTCCATGCCACTTAAAAATAAAAGTTTGTAAGTGTCTTGCAAAAGTACACAAAGTAGAACAGTATAAAAACAAGGGAGGAAATTGAGTGAGGAAAAAAAATCATAGTATAAAAAAAATGTGTCAAGGTGAAATGGTACCCAACTTGCATAATGCCATCCATGCTCATCATGGAGGCAGGCTCCATGCTCATCTCCAAGACACGCAGGATATGGGCACAATGCAGGAAACAAAATCCAATCACAAAAACACAACCAAGTGTCCTGGGAAAGCATACCTGACCCTAGAATGGAAAACTGAGAAAATTTATCCTGTGAGTCCTTATAAGAGAACACTACATTATATAATATGCTAAACACATATTGTAAATTAAATTTAGTTTTAGAGAGGCAGAATTCTAAACATTAAGGGTTTATTATCTAATTTTATATTTGCATATCTTTGAACTCAACACTGGGAATTTATAAGAATGTTTTTTCCTTTCAAATGTGGTAGGCACACAACTCACATTTGAGTAGTACTGCCCCAATTTAAGTCATAAAAACTTGAGAAAATTCTAGAGCTCTGTAATACGTACAAAATCCTAGATATCATATATGTGGCTTCCTACATCAGGCAAAATGACCTCAGTAAGTTCTCTATTTCATATATCAAATATAGTTCCAATATGTTTTCCCTTAGAATATTGCTCAGTAGAAGCCCACATATGATGCCAAATTTAAATTCATTAAAATAAAAGTGATCATATAGACTGCATCATTATGAAAGGCCTAAACCAGGCTTTAAGCATACAATTATCTAATGGTCTTTCTTGACAAATTTACATTTAAGCTAAATTTGCAGATTTGGAAGAATAATCCTCTAGGAATTCTCCATAAACACAAATTCTTAAAGCTGATATTAAGTATAGAAGTTAATGTTTATATTCTGACCATGGCGAACTGAGGTACGTGCCTAAATTTTAAAATTCAGTTCAAATGGCGTGGCTTTATGTCTTCGTATGAAATCAAGGCTCATCTAGACTCTATGTTCAAAGAGAAAGCTGTATTCCCTCTGTGTGGAAGGCTGGCGAAGGAGACCATGTGGATGGCATCATTATTTTCTTCAGGGAAAACCACAACAAGCCCTCTGGATGCATACCAAAACACAGGCCAGTGGGTCCCAAAGTTCTGTGCCTTAGATCACATCAGTGATCTTCTGATTTTAGAAAAATTTGAGAGCCAATTCTTGTGTCTGTAATTTATCAGTGTTCTCTATTTACTTCTAAGATGCATTTTTTTTCTTTCTAGTGCCATTGTATCCTGGCTCTATCAGTGTTTTCTTTTTCTGTTTTTTAAAAATAGATATTTATATAAAATAGACTTAAAGATCATAAAACAAAATCAAGGTCCACACAGGAAATAAAGTGTTTAGTTAAAAAACCAATGTTTCAAAGCGGTAGGAATGGCAATTAGGGATAGTGCAGGAGTCCAGGGCCGGTGGCTGCTAAACTGATACCACCTCTGGGCCCCAAGGAATGAGCAGTGGAAGCCCTCAATAGAGCCCAGTAAGAGAGAAAGTCATGTACACGTTGCAGCCTGGAGCAGAGCAGCAGGCTTCAGTGGAAGGACTGGTCGGCTCAGGATGACCTCCTAGGAAGGAAACCAGAGCAGTAAGTACTTCCATCTTACTCTCCTTCCTGCCTCCACTGGTCATGTTAGGGACTCAGAGCCTGTGTCCACACAGGTCAGCCTCCCCAGGTAGAGAGCAGGGTGCTGGAGGAAAGAGAGTGGATCTTGGATAGCAACAGAAGGACTCTGGCCCAGGTGGAAAACTGAGCCCTGCTAATAAATTATCAACGCAGCTCTTAGCATCATGATGATTTCCTCTCTTGAGGGACTTGCTTCAAAAAGTTCTTACTGAATAGGTTTTTGTTTGTTTGTTTTAATGAACAAAATGAGAACTCAGTTCTCTTTAGCAGAAATTTATTTTTTGCACTTTAGCAAACTTACTTTTTCAGCTGATGTCCCAATCCAAATCGCTCTTTTGTGGAAATCTGAAAGACATCAACAGTGGGCACTGGAAAGGAAAAAGGATCACAGTCACATATTGACTTGAAACTGAAACTCAACCATCAGCCAGAAAAAGGTTGAAATCGCATTATATATGTGCATATACATATACACATTTAAAAACAGTGTACATGCAGTCCTAAACAATGCTATTTATGCTATATGCACATAGGAGATTATTGGTCATTATACATTAATGTATAATATATATTATACATTATATTGTATACATTATACATTATATTGTATAATACATAATACATTATATTGTATACATTATACATTATACTGTATAATAATATACAGTATAATGTATAATAATATATATTATACATTAATATATTATATATTAATGTATAATATATGTAAATGTAAGAAAGAATGATCTCCAAAGTAAGCAACAGCTGAACTGGCCACATGTAGGACAGTTAGTGCATTATTTTTTAAGTGGAAGAAAGACAACATGTTTGCATCTACATACATCATTTTTAGAATAAAACAATGGGAGATGAGAAGGCACAGGAGATTTCCTTTTCACGTGGTTCGTACTTTTACCAGGTATATATATATGTGTATATATGTGTGTGTATATATATGTATGTATGTACATATAACATATATACATATATACTAACATATATATGTTTAAATCGGTAACTAAATGTATAAAAATACTAAACTAAATATGTAACTAAATATATAAAAATATATGTTTAAATCGGTAACTAAATATATAAAAATACATATATACATATATTTCTTTAAATCAGTAACTATATTAATTAAATTAATAACTTCTCTCAAAAAAGTCGCTCATTTTTCATTATTCACTGGTTTAAAGAGTATCTCTTGCACTCATCGCTCCAGTCATTTCAGATGGAAGAGTAAAAACACACCCACGAATATCCCTGCACCCATGAAGTCTGAAGTCCAGTAAGAGGAGGAAGATGAAAAACAGATAGAAAAATAGATACAATGCTAGATGGCAATAAAGGCTCTGGAGAAAAATAAAGATGGGGAAAAATATATGGGCTGCAGGCTATGTGGGCTGAGGTTTAAATGTTAGATAAGAACAAGCAGGAAAAAAATGTCCCAGCCAGAGCAAAGAACAAAGGCAAAGCCCCTGAAGAGAAAATATGCTGAAATATCCTAGGAACAGCTTGGAGAACAGTGTAGGGAGAGGACTGAACAAGGTCTCATGTCAGGAGATGAGAGCAGGGAAGGAACCTGGTGAGCTCTGCAGGATCAACTGGTCAAAGAGCAAAGGGAAAAACAGGAAAATCAGTCAGGAACTTATTGCAACAAGTGAAGCAAGATATATAGAACTTCGTCCGTGGAGGTGATGAACATTTTGGATTCACACTTCTAGGAGAGTGGACAGATTTTGCGGGTGGACTGGATTTGAGGTATGAAAAAAAAGAAGAGTTAAGGATGAATCCAAAGATTATGGTCTGAGCAACCAGAGGGATGAAATTTACCAATTCCTACAATGTGAAAGACTGCAGGAGACACAGGTTTGAAAAGGCAGATAAGACTAGTTATTTGACCAAATACTTTAAATTTAAGATGCTTATTTGATACTAAAATGGAAACGTTAAGAAGGCAATTGGAGAAGCCCAGCATTTAGGCATTAAAGGTGAGAGGAATGTACTAAAGATATAAATTTGGAACAGAGTATATATATATAAAGGCATGAGGCTGAATGAGAAACCACTCAGTAAGTCTATGTAGGTGGAGGAGAGAGAAAATGTGAGGATTAGGCCCCGAGCCCAGCTCAGCAAAGAAGGCTGGGGAGGAATGGCCAAGCGGATGGAAGATTCCAGAGTGCTGCTATCTAGACACAAATTCAAAGAAGTTTTTCAGGCCAGGCACAGTGGCTCATGCCTGTAACCCCAATACTTTGGGAGGCTCAGGCAGGTGAATTGCTTGAGCCCAGGAGTTCAAGACCAGTCTTGGAAACATAGAGAGACTCCATCTCTATTTAAAAAAAAAAAAAAATTAGCCAGGCATGGTGGCATATGCCTATAGTCCCAGCTACTTAGGAGGCTGAGGTGGGAGGATCACCTGAACCTGGGAGGTTGAGGGTGCAGTGAGCTGTGATAATGCCACTCTACTACAGCCTGGGAAACAGAGCAAGAACCTATCTGAAAAAAAAAAGAAAAAAAAAAGATTTTCAAGGAGGAGGTAAACAACTGTTATGAAATACTGCTAACTTAATTAAGATGAAAACCCAAATAGGTTATGAGTCATTTGGCAAGAATGAAGTTACTGATGACATTGACAAGAGCAGTGTTTGAGAAATGATGGGACCAAAACCTGACTTGAGTGGATTCAAAGAGAGAAAAGAAAAAAGAAAATGAAGTAAGCTAATAGAGACAACTCTAATCAAGGAAATTAACAGTCAAAAGAAGCAGAGTGTTAGGGTCCAAACTGAAGAGGCATTTGAGGTCAAGAGGGTTTTTATTTTATTTTTTTAAGACAAGAGAAATATTTGCTGATGTGAATCTTCTAAGAGAAAAAGAGAAATGAATAGTACAAGAAGGAGGAGGAGGAGAACTGAATTGCTGGGATGGTGTCCTAATTAGGTGAAAGCGAACAGAGACTAGTGTGCAAATGAAAAGATGACATATAAGAGCTTAGATAGTGCCATTCACAGCAACAGGTGGGGCAGCAGATAATTAGAGCAAAGATTGTGTTGCTCATAGGACCTTCTCAGATCACACATGCTCTATATTGTAAGCCAAATGGTATCCCCTGTTGGCCACTACTCTGGGACACAAATGCTCCATCAATCAAGGAAATTGGGTGTTTGTATCCCCAAAAAATTAGTTCGTTTCCTAAGAACTCCCTAATCCTTGTACAAAGAGTAAGGTATAGAGTAAACATCACTCCAATCCCACTTATCCTAAACCCATGGCTATCAAAATTCAAAAGTGAATAAGAACATTCTAACATCTTGAAAACCTCAGTGGAATTAAATGAGAAAGCACTGTATTTTCTCTAAGAAGATTTAAGAAGATACAGTCTCTTCAGAGGCAGACAGAAAAAGTGGGAAGATGAGGGCAGAGAAACAAAAGAGATCTAGCTACAAAAATGTAGAAAAATCCGAAATGCACTAGAACTAATGCCTTTACCGGAGAAAACTGCGTATGATACATATGTAGAAAGAGAGAAAGAAGGGTTATATAACACTAGACACAAATGTTTATCCAGAACATAGAAATTATTCCTATAAATTAATAATACAAAGACCAAAACTTAATCATACTATGCATGACTAGAAAGTGTTAATATTTATCAAAATAAATTTTCTAGAAAAACATAAATTTCAAACATTGACTCAATAGCATAAAATCTAAATGACCTATAATTTTGGAATATACTAAGAGTTCACAAAATTCTAAAATTTCCAAAATTCGCAATTTGTAATTCATAAAATATTCCAAAATTCAAGTTCTAAAACACATATTATTATTAAAATAAATGTAATTAATTATATTCAATGTATTAATGAAAGATGTTAATAAACAGAGAAACAGGGGTTTGGAGTGTATGGGACCTCTGTACTAGCTGCAATTTTTCTGTAAATTTAAAACTTTTTAAGTTCATTTTTAACAATGTTTTAAAAAATTAATACTTTCTTGATAATAATGAGTTAGAAAATAAAATGAACTACAAAAGTCTAATTATGCAAATAAGTACTCAGGAATAAATATAGCTAAAATTAGTGACCTAAGCAAAAAAAGCAAACAAAAAACAACAACAACAAAAATCCCCAGAACTGTACTGATACATAAAACTAGAAACTACAAACAAATGTTCTTTTATAAGAAAAGTTAAGAACTTGACAGAAAGTACTAGTGATATATTTTCATGTTCTTAAAAAAGGTCAAAGTTATTCAATGCTTTCTTATCTCTCATATAACTGCAGTTGGGAAGTGAGGGCTGCCCAAGATATGTGGAAATTATTCTAATGCACTGATCATGCAAGCACAGAGGTACCAATAATGAGATGATATGCACAGAAATCATTTTAAAGTAAGGTTAGTTGTTTATCATTTTCAACTAGAAACAGCTTTGTCCTTGAGATGAAAAACTGCATCTCTATATCAGTAATTCCAGAAAATATACATTATCATAAAAGAGACAAATTATATCATATCTTTATTTAAAGCATATTTCCCCATATATAATACAAATAATCCTTATCTTTAGTTTCAAAGTGGATAAGGAGGTATATGTCTTCAATTCGTATCATTTCTGTTCTCTCACAGATATACTGTCAGATTAGCTGTAGCCAAATATTGATGTTTAAATAACTGTTATTTATACATTTCCAAAATGTAGGAAATCCTTTTCAAAAAGAACTGTTAAGTAGGTCAGTCTAAATCTTGAATTAGCCATACATTTTTTGCAACTTCATTTTACTATAAATGCTGATACCTTCCAAAGACACATTGCAAACACTCTTTTTAAATCACCGATTTTTTAAATCACTGAATTGTTATTTCAAAAAGTTTTCATAAAAAACATAAAATATCAACTTTTTGTAAATATCACTGTAAAAGACTTTTGCATGAATTGAACCCACTAGCTATCAACAGCTAACATACTAAAGGGATTTGTAAGATAAACAATAATAAAATTCAAAGACAGGAAACACATTAGAAAAATAAAGGTTTGACAAAGCAACACAGAGAAGGAAAATTCTAAATGGTTAACAGATATTTGGAGAAATTCTAATAAGTAGAGCCACGCAATTGAAATGATGAAGATGAGTATGTGCTCTCAGCTCAGATTAGACCAACCCATAAAAATTCCATTCTTCATAAGTTGACTGTCATAAAGTCCATAAAATAAGTTATTTAAGGGCATTCTTTGCAGCACTGATTATGGCATCAGGGATCTGAACACAATGTAGGTGGCCATCACTAAGAAAGCAAATATGTAAATTGTAGTGGATCTATACTATAGTATATATTAGTGTACATAGAGCAACAGGGCCAACAATTCTGTTGCTATCTTAGCAACAGAAGTGGTTAAGAGAATAAAATCTATAGCACGATAGCATTTATGTAAATCAAAAAATGTCTAACAGCACTATGCATTTGACAAGGATATACACATAGGCCATTGTGTTTTGTTTGCTCTCAAGTCCATTCCTCATTCTTCCACCTTTAGGCTGCATTTCCACAGGTCCCTTGCCAACTACCTTCCGGTTAGGTTTGACTAATGGAAGCGCTGGTTGGACTTGAGGAAGAGAAAGAGAAAGAGAATCAAGGTATTATTTCCCTTCTTCTCTCCTCCCTTCTACCCCATCTCCCTTCCCTGTCTCCCCTTCCCTCTTCTCTCTTTTCCCTCCTATTCCCTTATCTCTCTTTCCTTCTCCTCTCCTCTCTGTCTTGTGTGGGCACTTTTTAGCAGTTGCCATATCTTCTCCATGGTTGCAGCTCTTTACCAGACATGTCCTATTTCTGTGGCCCTAACTCCTACAGAGCAACTCCTGACATGGTTCTAGAACCTGTAAGATTTCCCTGATATTTGGATTCTGCTGCATACCATCCCTTTCCCGTGTCATTCCAGCCCCAAGGGACTGTAGTGATCTCTTGCGGTCATCTTCCCTAGTGGTCTCCTCCTACCACTCTCTGATGAGCCTCACCATCCTGTTTTTCTTCCCAACTTTTTAGCCACTGGATTAACTAATGCCTTATGTTTATTTTTTTTACCTGAGATACTAGAGTGGTTTGTTTTCTGATTGGATTCTAACTGATGTAGTATCAAATATTAGGAGTGGTCCCAGGCAACACACCGTAAAATGGGATACTGAGATTGGGCAGTTCATCTGCTTAACCTTAATAAGGTGGTAACTTCTTTACAGATGGAAACTGAAATAATGGTATTCTGTGACAGGCAGAGGCATTATGGGCATAGCACAAACACTCTTCATAAATATTTTCTTTTTTATTTGCTAGCAATAATCCTAATCATAAGCTAGAATAAAACCTAATTATTCTCCTGGAATAATAAGTTAAAGGTTCCTTTTTAGTAACACTGTCTCCAGTTCTATTCATATATTATACATTACTGCACATTTTCAATCATATTTTCCTCAAATTTTCAATAAGAAAAAAAATCTCTTGGGGAGTTTACTAGTAAGATGGTAATGTGAGTGAATACTTTTGCACAAACACAATCATAACCAGTACCTAACAGAAATAGGAGAAAACCAGTGAAAAGACCAGAAACTTGGAGTAATGCCATCCCCATGTGAGAAATGCCCAGCAAATTTTGCACAAACAGAGCAGATGGAATCAATCTTAAGGGGCCCTACAGGATGGATGCAAAAGTCTCCATTCTATGAAAGAGATAGATGCTATAATAAAAGTCAACCACTGCTGGTGCCTCTCAAAATAGGGAGCAAATGAACCCTAAGGCAGAGAGGACACTCCGGATTGGTCTGGCAGGGCTTCCTCCCTCAGCAGATGCTGCCTTCTTCTTGACCCCAGACCCACCATCTTTAGGTCAAGTTCTCTCAGAAGCAGACCCTGAGTGCAGACAAGGGGCAAATAATGTATTCGGAATTGTTCTCAGGAGGAAGCAATAAGAACAAGTGAGACGAGGGTAGATAGGAAAAGAGAAAAAGCCAAGCAAGGGTACAAATCCAGGGAAAGTTCTAGTTTCCACCCCATCTTGTAGGTAAAACTGGAGCATGCATTACAACTTAGAATTTGTACAGACCTGAAACAGAGTAGCTAGGCCACTGTACCTTCACACTAGTGACACCTGAAGAGTGAAGGGAAGATTAAAAAAACTGCCAAGTACTTATCTGCACTCCCCAGGAAAAAGAAAGCTTATTTGTCTAAGGACAAGCTACTGAGGGTCTCAAGTGGAGCTGTTAGCAGCCAAGGGTGCAGAAATGGGGATGGGAGCAAGAGCTGGGAAAGGGGACCCAGGGGAACAGGGTAGGGCACCAGCAGAGCTCACAGCCCTCCCCTCCAGTGGGCAGATCTCAGAGCTGCCGACTCTAAAGTAGGGTCAGTGTGGAATTCTCTTTCTTTCCTCTTCTTAATGGGAGAACTGTTCACACATCACACTAATTTCCAAAAGAAGAACAATTTCAACTCTTGCCTGTATATAATATTGAAGAAAACAAAACTCCATCTATAGGAATAAAATAATAAATCTTTGACAATTACTGATTGATATTCACAACAAAATTCAAAACGACACTAAACAAATAAAACAAAAGCGACTGGTGATAAAGAGGGAATAATACGGAATCAGTAAAGAATGTGGCCAAATTAAAAATATAATGGGAACATTAAATTTAAGATGAAATCACGAAAAAAATTCACTCAGTGGAGCAGAAGACAGATTGGAAAAAACATATAAAGTTTTCAGATATGAAGGATGAAAGAATTAGAGAAATGAAAAACATGGAGGACAAAAGAGTTAGATCCAACCAGCATATTGGGATTAGCAGGTAAAGAAGGAATAATAAATAATTACATAAAATGTACTTGAGGTGAATTAAGACTCAGGTATATCATGCAGAAATAAATACAGAAAAAATAGTATCAAGGAGAAGAAGAAAAAAACAGTCCAAAAAGTACACAACAAAACACAAACAAATCAAAACAGATTCCTTGCAAATAAAAAAAGTTAAAATACTTCAGGCACAAAATGAGAAGTTTCTAAAGCATTTTTGCTTTTCGTAGGAGGAAAACTATCATGACCTTGCTAATTTTACTTGGACAAGTTTGTCTCATTCACAAAACAAAAAGTCATTATCAGGTATGAAAAAAGAAAACATAACCCTCAGGTTTCCTTGGTTTCCAAATTGTAAAATATATGAATCAACCAATACAGATGAAAGAAAGAGCAGATGAGTTGTGACACTAAAGGAGTTGTACTGAACATTAAAATAATCTAACCATGAGTTAAAATGAGTGTTAAAATATTTATAAAACCACGCAAATGTAAAAAATCTTTAAAGAGATATTGTGAAGGAAAATATCTCCCTTACATTCAAGATTATATCAAAAAATAAGTATCAGAGGTAAGATTACATAAAAGCATGCTTCAGTATCATCTTATACAGATGGGGTTTGGGTGAGTAGAGATTAACCAGCCCAATTTCATTCCTAACCCTAAACAAAGTTCAGACATAAGGACTTCCTTTTCTTTTAACCACCATTAAAATAAAATCAAATTAGTATATTTCAAATCACTAAAATAAGAAAAAAGTTAGCCATATGGCAGAATATGTGGGGAAGGAGCAAGAACACATACAACTATGGGCTGAAATATTCTCCATACATTACAAATCATTCCCTTATGGCTTATTTAATGACTTGAAGACAGCCTCATGACTTAACATTAAGGTGCATAGCTATTTATAAAATTCATTGTCAACTTTATAAAAATAAATTCATATGCACATAGAAAACAGAAACAACACCAAGCCATTTAGCTTTCTCATTACAAGAATTATGAGAAATTCCTTTTCTTATTACATATTTATATATCTGAAATTATCAGAATAAAAATATTTTAAACATTTATTTTTTCTTGTCCAGCATTAAATCAGTTAGAATATGTAATTTATATTATGCATTAATTTAAATAGAATGTATTATGCAAAGACAGAAAACAAGTGACTAACTTTAAAAATGAAAGATTTTCCTGTATTTTATAAATTTGAAAGAACAAGTATGTTTCCTATGTGAAAACAAACAGTAGATGTATATTCCCTGATATGCCTAAAGGAAAAACATGCAGACATCATAGTAACATGTGTGTCAGATTAAAGATGCCCATGATTTCACAAGGTGCTGTCTATGTTCCTGTCCCTTGATTCTGGGTGGGCTCTTCAACTGCTGTGATCAACAGAATACAATGAAAGACTCACTATGTCTTTTCCCAGTAGCTTCTACATCCTGTCTCTTCCAACACTTGCATTTGCATCCCAGTCACCATGGTACAAGAAGTCCAAACCACATGAAGAAGCTATGTGTCGGACAGGCACTCTAGCCAAAAGCCTCAGGTGAGTCCCTAGATGACACCTGCATCAACTGCTAGCCATTTGAACGTCCAGCATTGTGTGTATCCAACCCAGTGAGGCCTTGATTTGGCCCCAGCCCCACCCACACATAACTGCAAATCATGGGAGACTGCAAGCAAGAAGTGCCCAAAGAATAGTGAGAGAGAAGTTTTTTTAAGCCACTAAGTTTTAGGATTTTTTTTTAAATGTAACACTAGATAACTGGAACAATATAAGTAGATACAATTGTGTGTGTGTGCATGCGTGTGTGTGCATGCATGTGTGTGTGTGTGTATGTGTGTGTATGTGTGGTAGTAGGTAGGAAAAAACATTTTACCAAGTAAATTTTGGCAAGACTTATGATAGGGTCCTTTGTTGTAAACAGCTATCAGTTGAAATAAAATAGCAACATTGTCGCTTAAAGATTCAGCAAACAAATACACTATTATAATCTCCATGTTCAAAGACAGAATTTATATTGCATTAAAATTGAATCTCAGAATCAAAGACAGAAATAATTATATCTAAGGAAAACCCAAAATATATATATTTACTGAGTTTCTACTACATGCAAAGTACTCTTTTGGGTTTTTTAAATGTTTGTGTCTCAGAAACTTGTCAGTTTCTGAAAATCTATAAAATGAAATCTTACGTTTCTGTTTCCATAAGTTATATTGGCAATAAACCATCTTTCTTAGACTGCAAGCTTCTTTAAATACCATTATCAAGATATTTAGCACTTTTGCTCAGAACTGACAAATGAACACGCATTTTGCTTAAGGCATAGTGCACAGCTAATTAATATTCAAAATAATAAATAAAGAAATAAAACTAACCTGGGCCATTTAAATACTGTGTAAGTGAACAGTGTAGTCGAACAATTATAGGTTCTGTTCGAATTACTTCCCAAGCCACAGCAATCTCCTCCTGCACAAATATATTTAAAAGATGAATTAATCATCTTTTAGAGTTCAAAATGAAAAAAAAAACACACAAACTTTTAAAACTTGTGTTCGCAAAATGCATATAACATGAAGGCCTATAAGTTATCTCAAAACCCACTGTTTTGTGAAAATATTGGCCTTCTATGTATGAGAACTAAAAATGAATACTTAAAATATAACGAAGTATTGTAAAAGCCCATAAATTTCAGAGACCATTAGAAAAACCAATGCAAATATATGTTTACAAAATCGCTGCTTCTTTGACAAGTCACAGCAATTCTTCACAAAGCACCTTAACAGTCAATATGTAACTAATAGTATTATAAGACAAAACTGAAAATTAAATTTCCCCCAAAAATAAAATAAAATGTATTTTAAATGCACCATTCATATTACATAAAATTGATACTTACATCAAGAAAGCTAACATCGATATGCAGATCAATATCTACATCATCAATGGCTCCATATTCCCTGAAAGCAAAAATTAACACTGTTTTTTTCATTTTAATGATGCTTAAAAGATGGTGTGTGTTAGGTTATTTTATTTAAAATTTTAAATCACTAATTCTCATCCTTGATTTTGACAAATAGCTCACATCTAACTGTGGATATGAAATAACTAATAATCTAGTTGGACTGTCATTTTTCTGTTTATACCACATTGATATCTTTCTATTGTCTTGTACACGCACATGCATATATAAAATCAAGAGTTGCTTGGTTCATAGTTTTAAATATTCCGTTTTCTGTGGCAAATTAGTCAATCTTCCCATATGACTGCTTTGTTTTCACAGCACTCTGAGGATAAGGAGCTGCTTCTGAAGACAAGAAAGGAGTTGATGACATGAGGAAGGAGTATAGGGAAGACACACAATAATGCACCCATAATTTTTCCTTCTAGTTAGGCATCAGTGGTTCAGAAACCAATCCAAGTGTTCTGCCACTTAAATGTCAGTGTTTTGATGGGCAGCTCTAAAAGTCTGATATTAAAAAAAAAAAGGAACTGTAGTATATTCTACAGGAAGGAATTATGAGGACCAACTTTTGTACAGCACAGGTACTGCCACGAACCAACATACTTCTTAAGCGAATGAAAGAATATAAAAACAAGTTTGAATATTCTCCATATATAACACATCTGTATTTTTGATATTCTTATAAAATTCTGAAGTTACAAATGCTATGCATAGTGAGAGATAAAAACCACAGAAATAACTGAAATGATAAAAGTTAATGACCAATATTTACTCAGCACTGATGTGCCAGAAATTGTTCTAAAGATCTTACATACATGTGATAATTTAATACAGTACTCACAAAACACCTAAGGTACTACTGCCATCTCCGCTTTACAGATGCATAAATTGAGGCCCAGAGTACAAAGTAACTTATCAATCATCACTCTATAGCAGAGCTGAGACTTGAATACATGTATTTTAGTTAATATTCAAGAAACTAGCACTTTGTGTTGGAAACCAGGTCAAGCATTAATGGATGATCTCATTAGGTCCTCATCACAGCCTTGTGAGGTGGATAATATTACGACATTCATTTTGCAGATGAGAAAACTAAGATTTAAAGATGTGAAAAAAGTTGCCAAATGAAAAATAAGTTAGTGGGGAAGTCAGGAATTGAATATATGTCCAACTCTAAAACTGTGTCAAGTATGGTATCTGGCATATAGTTAAGTACTCACTAAAAATTTATGTCTATTATGTATTCAAGTAATAGAATTATAATACATAATTGTGGCACTTTTATAGAGTTCAGAGAAGAAACTTTTAATGATTGAAAAATTTTATGTGATTTAATGAATAAAGGAATCTAGGGGATCTTTTTCTTTCTAATATAAATGACCAAAAACCAAAGCATATTAGAATATAAAGTAGCCTCTGTGCTTTCTCCATTCTCTCCTTTAAAAATACATTAAAACATTGAGCACATTTTCAACTTTTATGAAATTACACTCTTATTCTTTCATGGTAATATCTTTAAATGTTACATAAAGGGATAAAAATGATTTGCATAGGTATTCCTTTTTAAAGACCATCAAAGCATCATAACATCTGTGCTTTGCAAACTATTTTCAAACTATTCTAAAAATCTGAAGAGGAAGGAATTCTTCCAAACCTGTTTTATGAGGCCAGCACTACCCTGATACCAAAACCAGACAAGGAAACAACAACAAAAAGAAAACTACAAGCCAATATTCCTGATGAACCAGATGCAAATATCCTCAACAAAATACTAGCAAACTGAATTCAATAGCACGTTAAAAAAATCATACACCATGATGAGCAAGTAGGATTCATCCTAGAGAGTGCAAGATGATTCAACATATGCAAATCAATAAACGTGATACATCACATTAACAGAATCATGAAGAAAATGTTATGATCTTTTCAACAGACAAAAAGCATTTGATAAAATTCAACATCACTTCATGATGAAAACTCTCAACAAATTAGCTATAGAAGGAACATAACACAATAGAGGCCAAATTTACAAACCTACAGCTGACATCACATTGAATAAGAAAAAACTCAATGCTTTTCCTCTAAAATATGGGAACAAGACAAGGATGCCCACCTTCACCACTCTTATTCAACCCAGTACTGGATGTCCTAGCCAGAGCAATCAGGCAAGAGAAAGAAATAAAGGATATCCAATTAAAAAAGAGGACGTCAAATTGTTCCTGTTTGTGGATGACATGATCGTATATATAAAAAACTCTAAAGGCTCCACCAAAAAAACTGTAAAACTAATAAACAAATTTAGTAAAATTGCAGGATACAAAATCAACACACATAAAAATCAGTAGTTTCTGTACACCAATAATGAACTATCTGAAAAATAAATGAAAAAACAAATCCTATTTACAACAGCTATGAAAAATAAAATACATAGGAATAAATTAAACCAAGGAGGTGAAAGATTTCTACAATAAAAAATAAAAAATTGTCCCTCTATTCTCTCTTCTCTCTCTTTCCACGGTTTCCCTCTGTTGCCGAGGTTGGACCGTACTGCCTTGATCTCGGCTCGCCGCAACCTCCCTGCCTCGGGCTCCCGTGATTCTCCTGCCTCAGCCTGCCGAGTGCCTGGGATCACAGGCACGCGCCGCCACGCTTGACTGGTTTTTGTATTTTTGGTGGAGACGGGGTTTCACCGTGTTGGCCGGGCTGGTCTCCAGCTCCTGACCTCGAGTGATCTGCCCACCTCGGCCTCCCGAAGTGCTGGGATTGCAGATGGAGTCTCACTCACTCAATGCTCAATGTTGCCCAGGCTGGAGTGCAGTGGCGTGATCTCGGCTCACTACAACCTCCACCTCCCAGCCACCTGCTTGGCCTCCCAAAGTGCTAAGATTACAGCCTCTGCCCGGCTGCCACCCTGTCTAGGAAGTGAGGAGTGTCTCTGCCTGGCCGCCCATCGTCTGGGATGTGAGGAGCCCCTCTGCCAGGCCGCCCCATCTGGGAAGTGAGGAGCGCCTCTGCCCAGCTGCCACCCCATCTAGGAAGTGAGGAGCGTCTCTGCCTGGCCGCCCATCATCTGGGATGTGAAGAGCGCCTCTGGCCGGCCGCCCCGTCTGGGAAGTGGGGAGCGCCTCTGCCCAGCCGCCCCATCTGGGAAGTGGGGAGCACCTCTGCCCGGCCGCCCATCGTCTGGGATGTGAGGAGCGTCTCTGCCTGGCCACCACCCCATCTAGGAAGTGAGGAGCGCCTCTGCCCGGCCGCCTCGTCTGGGAAGTGAGGAGCGCCTCTGCCCGGCCGCCCCGTCTGGGAAGTGAGGAGCGCCTCTGCCCCGGAAATGAGGAGTGCCTCTGCCCCACCGCCCCGTCTGGGAAGTAAGGAGCGCCTCTGCCCGGCCGCCCTGTCTGGGAAGTGAGGAGCGCCTCTGCCCAGCCGCCCCGTCTGGGAAGTGAGGAGCGCCTCTGCCCGGCCGCCCTGTCTGGGAGGTGAGGAGCGCCTCTGCCCGGCCGCCCATCATCTGGGAAATGAGGAGCGCCTCTGCCCGGCCACCCCGTCTGGGAAGTGAGGAGCGCCTCTGCCCGGCCGCCCCGTCTGGGAAGTGAGGAGCGCCTCTGCCCGGCCGCCTTGGCTGGGAAGTGAGGAGCGCCTCTGCCTGGCCGCTGTGCAATCTTCCAAGTGTGAAGTGACAGCCTTTCTGCAGGTGTACCCAACAGCTCCGAAGAGACAGTGACCATCGAGAACGGGCCATGATGACGATGGTGGTTTTGTCGAAAAGAAAAGGAGGAAATGTGGGGAAAAGGAAGAGAGATCAGATTGTTACCGTGTCTGTGTAGAAAGAAGTAGACATACGAGACTCCATTTTGTTCTGTACTAAGAAAAATTCTTCTGCCTTGGGATGCTGTTAATCTATAACCTTACCCCCAACCCCTTGCTCTCTGAAACATGTGCTGTGTCAACTCAGGGTTAAATGCATTAAGGGCAGTGCAAGATGTGCTTTGTTAAACAGATGCTTGAAGGCAGCATGCTCATTAAGAGTCATCACCACTCCCTAATCTCAAGTACCCAGGGACACAAACACTGTGGAAGGCCGCAGGGACCTCTGCCTAGGAAAACCAGAGACCTTTGTCCACGTGTTTATCTGCTGACCTTCTCTCCATTATTATCCTATGACCCTGCCACATCCCCCTCTCCAAGAAACACCCAAGAATGATCAATAAATACTAAAAAAAAAAAAAAAAAATTAATGAAATAAGTTCATCAGGACACAAAAAATGAAAAGATAATTGCTTGTTTATGGATGGAAGAATATTATTAAAACATCCATACTCCAGCCAAAGCAACCTACAGATTCAATGCAACCCCTGTCAAAATATCAATGACATCCTTTACAGGAATAGAAAAAGAATTCTAAAATTCACATGAAAGCACAAAAGACCCCAAATAGCCAAGGCACTGAGCAAAAAGAACAAAGCTGGAGACATCAAACTACCTTACAAAGCTATAGTAACCAAAACAGCATGGGACCAGCATAAAAATAGACATGTAGACCAACGAAACAGAATAGAGAACACAGAAATACATCCATACACTTACAACCAACTGATTTTCAACAAAGGCTCCAAGAACACACCTTGAGGAAAGAGCAGTCTCTTCAATAAATGGTGCTGGGAAAACTGTCCATGCACATGCAAAAAAATGAAACTAGATCCCTATCTTCATATACAAAAATCAACTTAAAGTGGATTAAAGATTTAAATGTAAGACCCAAAAATATAAAATTACTGGAAGAAAACATAGGGGAAATGCTTCATGGCATTTGTCTGGCCATGGATTTCTTGAATAAGAATTCAAAAGCACTAATAACAAAAGCAAAAATGGACAAATGGGATTACATCAAACTAAAAAGGAAACAATCAACATAGTGAAGAGACAACCTACAGAATGGGTGAAAATATAACTGCAAGCCATGCATCTCACAAGGGGTTTATATCAAGAATATATAAGGAACTCAAACAGTTCAAGAACAAAGACAAACAAACAAACAAACAAATAATCTGACTTTAAAAGGGGCAAAAGTCCAGGTGTGGTGGCTCATGCCTGTAATCCCAGCATTTTGGGAGGCCAAGCTGGGCAGATCTACTGGGTCAGGAGTTCGAGACCAGCCCAGCCAACATGGCGAAACCCTGTCTCTAATAAAAATTCAAAAAAATTAGCCAGGTGTGGTGGCACACGCCTGTAGCCCCAGCTACTCAGGAGGCTGAGGCATGATAATCGCTTGAACCCAGTCGGCAGAGGTTGCAGTGAGCCAAGATGGCACTACTGCACTCCAGCCTGGGTGACAGAGTAAGACTCTTGTCTCAAAAATAAAAATAAAAATAAAAATAAAAATAAAAGGCAAAAGACCCGAATGTGCATTTCTCAAAAGACATACAAATGGCCAACAGGTACATGAAAAAATGTTCAACATCACTAATCATCAGGGCAATGCAAATCAAAACCACAGTGAGATATCACTTCACTCCAATTAGAATGGCTGTTAGCAAAAAGATTAAAAAATAACAAATGCTGATGTGGATGTGGAGAAAAGGGAATCCTTTTGCACTGCTGGTGGGAATGTAAATTGGTATAGCCATTATGGAAAATGTATGAAGGTTCCTCAAATAATTAAAAATAGAACCACCATGTGGCCCAGCAGTTCCATGATTGGACATTTAACCAAAGGAAATGAAATCAGTCTGTCCAAGAGATATCTGTGCCCCCATGTATATTGCAACACTATTCACAACAGCCAAGATGCAGAATTAACCTAAGTGTCCATTAACAGATGAATGGATAATGAAATGTGGTACATACACACAATAAAATACTGCTCTGCCATAAAAAAATGAAGGAAATCCTGTCATTTGCAGCAACATGGATAAACCTGGAGGACACAGTCTTAAGTAAAGTAAGCCAGGAAAAGAAAGACAAACACTGCGTGATGTAAGTCATTTGCAGAATCTAAAAAAAGCTGATCTCATTGTAGTACAGAGTAGATTACCAGAGGTTGGGAAGCATAAAGGGAAAGATGATGAGGAGGAGAAACTGGTCAATGGGTACAAAATCACAGTTCAGTAGGAGAAATAAGTTATAGCACAGTAGAATGACTATGGTAAACACTAGTATGATATATATTTCAAATTAACCAGAAGAAAGGATTCTTGATGTTCTCACCACAAAAAAGATCAATGTTTGTGGTGGTGGATATGCTAAACACCATCATTTGACCAGTACACAATGTATATATGTATTGAAACATCACACTGTAAACCACAAATCTGCACAATTATTATGTGTCAATTAAAAATAAAATTTTAAAAATTGTGTAAAGCACAGTATCTGGCACTAAATAAAAATTTCTATCGACTATTCAAGTAATAGAATATAATCCCTTTTATAGGGTTCAGAGAAGAAATTTGTACTGATTAAATGGTTTTATGTAATTTAATAAGAAAAGGAATGTGGGAGATTTGTTTGCTTTTTGATATCTATGACCAAAATAATGTCAGCATATCCAAATATAAGGTAGCCTGTGTGCTTTCTCTGTCCTCTCCTTAAAAATATATTAAAACATTGGTTGGGCGCAGTGGCTCACGCCTGTAATCCCAGCACTTTGGGAGGCCGAGGTGGGTGGATCACTTGAGGTCAGGAGTTTGAGACCAGCCTGACCAACATGGTGAAACCCCGTCTCTACTGAAAATACAAAATTAGCCAGGCGTGGTGGCAAATGCCTGTAGTCTCAGCTACTCAGGAGGCTGACAAAGGAGAACTGCTTGAACCCAGGAGGTGGAGGTTGCAGTGAGCCAAGATCGTGCCATTGCACTCCAGCTTGGGCAACAAGAGCAAAACTCTATCTCAAAAAATAAATAAATGAATATATATATATTATATATATGTGTATATATATGTGTGTGTGTATATATATATATAGAGAGAGAGAGCACATTTCCATTTTTAAGGAAATTGCACTTTTTATTCATGGTAATATTTTTATAGGTTACATAAATAAATGAATAAATATTTACATAGGAATTAATTTTTAAAAACCATCAAAGCATCTATAATGTCTGTACTACATGATAAACATTAATCTTAAAGGATAAGATTATGTGCAAATTTCGGTATGAAAGTATACAGAAAGTATGACAAGAATAAGGGCCAAGCAAATGAACACTTTCATCTCTGCCTCTAGTTCAGGGTACCACAAACATTTTCTGTGAAGGTAAAGAGAGTAAATATTTTAGGATTTTCAGGCTACATACAGTCTCTGCCGCATCCATCTTTTCTTTTCTTTCTCTTTCTTTCCTTCGTTTTCTTTCTCTCTCCTTTCTTTCTTTGCTTGCTTTCTTTCGTTATTTCTTTCTTTTCTTTCTTTCCTCTTTCTCCCTTCCTTACTCCCTCCCTCCCTCCTTCCTTCCTTCCTTCCTTTCTTTTTCTTTCTCTTTCTTTTTTCCTTCTTTCCTTCTTTTCTTCTCTCTTGCTCTCTCTCTCTCTTTCTCTCTTTTCTTTCTCCAACCCTTTTAAAAAGCAAAACCATTTGTAGTTCACAGATCTGTTCAAAACAAACCTCACAGCCCAATGGTCATAATTTGAATGACCCTGAACACTGGCAAATATTTAATAAATAAAATCGTGAGGCATGTAAAAAGAAAGAGCCACTAAACTGAATGATGAGGAAAGATGATGAATGATGTTCAAGTAAAGTTTCAGGAGTGTGAAGGGGCCCTGTCTACAACCACACTTTGCTCACAGAAGTTAATCCTAAGAAAATAATAACAAATATATTCAAAGTCTTATCTACAGCCATGTGGGTAAGAACAGAAATTGAGAAAATAGATATAGAATAATAAGGAAATAGTTAAGTAAACTATAGCATGTTGATAGGAGAAAAAATTACCCATTAGTGAAGGAGTCGATACAAAAATATTCATATCCTGGGGGAAATGTTGCAAATATACTGATAAGCAGATTACCAAAAAAGCACGGAAGCTAAAATGATATTTTTAAGAAAATAGAAACAGGAAAATCAAGAGTAAAAACAGTACTTATATATCAACTCTAAATTGTGTGTAAAACTTATTTTATGAAAAATGTTATGTATTTTCTAAAAACATATGCCTACTTTTTCTGATTAAAAAGGTAATACAGGCTCATTATATAAAATGTGGGAAATTTTAAAATGCACAAAAATAATCTGTCTTATCACAATATGGAGATGATTCTTTTTGCTTATCTCATTCCAGTCTCTTCCATGTATACAAGATTTATACAGTGTAATATATAAAGATTGTGGTTCTGTTCTTTCACTTCTTCTATCATCAGCTGTTTTTCCCATATTGCATTATATTTTATATAATATAATGCATAATTTTATAATATATATAAATACAACACAATTCCTTTTTTGTTTACACTATAAATATTGGTAAACAGCAACTGGATAAAAAAAATCTATGTGCATCTGTCTTCTCATAGAATCACTTCTTGAATTACTGGGTTAAATAAACATTATAACCATATTTGGGATTCTTGATGTATGTTGTTTAGTTACTTTTTAAATGGTTACAACAACTTATAATTACACCAGCCAGGTTATCACAATGACCTTTTCCTACATTCTCATCATCATCAGACATTTTTTTTCTCCCATCTTTGCCAATTTTATGGGAGGGAAACAACTTTTTTTTTTCTTTTGAACTTATTTACATTGGCAAAACGCTGGTACGTTTACAGGCAGGAAGATTAAAAAAAAAAATCAGTACGACCCTTATCTACAACTGTTTTCCCCATAAATAGTTTTTCAGATTACTTCAACAGAATTTACCATAAAGGAATAATCAGAACGTGCATATATGCTTTTAAAACCTCTTACATGTGAATTTCTAAGTATTTTGTATATGATGTCTTAAATGACCTTTTGGTTAAAAGTATCTTCCCAATTTCTAACACTCCAAAAAAAGGAAATGAAGGGTTGCAAGTGTTCCTCTTCTTCAACATAGCAGAACATGAATAAAGAATTTTAAGGAGGCAGAGGCCTAAAGGTTTGCAATTAACTGGATTCTGCAGGTGTAGATCTATAAATAGTTATACTTTTTTCTTTGTATGCCAGATTTCAAAGAATTCACAAATGACGCTGTGTATATGCAAACCCATTTCCGTTGTGATGCCCTTTTTATATAATGCCAGTAATTTCATATTTCCCACTGAGAGATTACAAAGCGTGATTACAGTTTGTCCAGATGCAGCGACCCAGTCATCAGGATTGCTTCTATATCTGAATAACTTTCAGTGGCCCAGGATCTCATGAATAGCAAATGCAGAATCAAGTTGAATGCTTGAAATATGACTACAACTTGAATTGTGAAGCTAGACATCTGATTGTGTCCTGAATGCAGTATTCGGTATATAATAACTCAAAATAATTTCATGTGCTGCCTATATTTATTCACTGTGAAAAGATCACATCAAATTGATGAATTCAAATTTTTTTAATATGAGGGAAACAATACAGAAATGATCTAACGAAATTGCTTCATTCTGGTCTGAAAAGAATGCCTCCACAAATGTTCTTTCCCGACATGTAGTGACATATTAAATTCAGGGTGAGCTACTCTTTTAATCTACATTTCTTGAAATCTGGTAATTTGATTTTGGATATTTAAATGTGACTTAGTTCATTTAAGCATATATGTATAAAGTTTTTTTTTTCAATGAATATGGACTTTGAGCCACTGTGTTAGAATTCTTAGCAATTTGTTCTCCTATTTTTAATGGAACTACTCAAGACAATATCCTCACTCGTGAGACACTCACATACACACTTACAATATATTAAATGTTGGAGCATCTATGTTGGTCCTCCTTTGTCTATAAAACTTCAGCTTATTCATTACACTGTTATGATGTTTTATAATGAAACCTGATCAAAATCAGCAGTCATTGTGTTGGTTATGAAAATATATTTCAGATATCTAGCCTTGTCTTATTAACTGTCAGGGAACACACACACACACACACACACATATATGTATATACACATACGTGCATGCATGCAACTCTACCACATGTTCCTAGGAAGTAAGCCTCTATTGCTACTTGTTTATTTCTTCTTTCAACAACTGGATGGTTATATTTTGAGAAGACAGATATTTTGTGAAGATACATACACCTTCCCATGTCATCTGAAACTCAACAGCTTGCATGTCTATCTCTGCATGCCTACTCAATGTGTGGTTTTTGCCCAGCGTGGGAGAGATGTTTGTGAATGGGCCAAGAAATATGCAAACTCAGTAGTCAGGAAGAAATTCTGGCAGATTAAAGCATTTGCAAGACTGCATCCAAGGTAGCTATAAATTTCTCTAAAGAACAACAGGGCTGAGAAAAATTTAAAAATTAGATCCAGATAAGAAAGGAAGCTCATGTAAAACTGTGCATAAGAGGTACAGTATAAACAACTGCTACAACTCTGCAGTCAGCTTAAAAATCTTCAGTTTTGCTAGGAGAAAGCCCTTGCGTTGGGAGTAGTGGTTAGTGTCTAGGATCTGAGCACCTGAAGCTTACATCTAGATTATGTCCCCGTGGTTTGGGAAAATGCTCTCTCCTTTCTTTCCCCTCTGTGCCTCCTGTCATCACTTCCCTGATTTTCAGAGTCAGACTGTTTTTATTCTTTGGCTTGGAGGCAGAGGATGAAGACTCAATATGCTAGAAAGGAGATTACAAAATATTCAATCCAAGATCTTTTTTTGATGAATGATATACATCTATGTAGGCTGAGGTATGTTGTGGTAATAAGCATTCTTAAAATCTCAGTGGCTCAAAACGAAAAAAGATTTCTATCTCACTCCTACCTTATTGTTAATATAGAATTGGGGGTTAGGGAGGGGCAGCTCACTGTCGTCACTAAGGGGCCCAAGGAAGCAGAGCTGAGGGGACATGGGAACTAACACACTAGCACTTAGCTCACATATGACTGGCCAAAATTAGTGATATATCCATGCCTAACACTAAAGAGTGAAAGGAAATACAATCCTACCATAAGACCAGAACAGGAGAACCAGAAGATATGTAAGCAGTCCTACTGGCCACTACAAATGAGAATTCAGAAATCCAGAGAATGTAAAGCAGTGCATTCTGAGGTATGCATTTTTTTTCTTTCCTTTCATTTACCATTTTTGTTTTTTAAAGGAGATACATGTTTGGTGGGTATGAGTAACGTGATATACGTTCCTTAAGCCACCCCAAATTCTCAGAATGCTCGTTTCCCAAACGTTACCCTCAAAAGGCCCAATTACAATTGTCTGTGCACAAAAAGTGATCGAAATAGTCACAACAGTTGACTATTCACAATAGAACAGTCACAATAGAACAGTCACAATTTTAGAAGCTTCCAGCCTACATTAAGCATTAGTCACAATAAAAAGGTTAGACTATTACTCATATGACTTAAATTTTCTAAATGAAAGATGGCATGATAATAAGGTAAAGAATATTTTATATTAAATGGAAGTTTTAAATTTCACAAAGAAACTATCAGAATCATTTCTTTCCTAAACAAATATGAATTTTCTGATCTGTAATTCCCTTTCTAAAAATACTAATTTCAATTTATTTTCCAATGACACTGATCAATTTTATTTTCATAAATATATAGGGAGGTACATTTACAATGAAAAACATAAAATGCGTTTTGTTGAATGATTCAAGATGAGACTTATTCAGACTGATCGCAAAGTTCATGTTGCCCCAAGACCTAACTCACTTCCTATACAAAAGACTATAAATCAGAATTATCATCAATGTTTACATGTATGATTCAACAGCCAGTAGTAGGCTTTTGGATAGAATGGTGAGGTAGAATTGTCATTACCTACTTAAGTAATATATCTATCATCACTCACTTTTTCTACACCTTCTTTCAGCCTTCTTTAAGAGGATTTTGCCTCAATAATCTCAGGATTTTGCCTAGGCAATCTCAGTTACTTCCATCTCTTACAGAGAACTTAGATGTGGTTAGCTGCCTTTCTCATTAGACGTTGCTTTAAAAAAAAAAATTACTCCTAATAGCCTGTTGTGCATATTGAGTTACTTTTGCTCTTCAAACTTCATTAAGTTCTTGTAAGCCCCAATTAGGTAAAAGAACAGCTAATTAGAACAGTCTGTTTTCAACAGACTTAGAACTTTGCAAGGAAGATGATTTCAAGACCTTCTGCCTAACTACCCACCTCTTTTCCCTTGAATCCAAGCCTAAGTATTTGAAACTAGACAGTAAATTCATTCCCATTTAAGTAAATCAAACTAGTCCTGCTGTGATTCACCTTTGTACCATGAAGACTCTAGGAAGATATTTATTTTGGAAATATCCTCTACAGCTAGAGAAAATCTAGAGCAGGCAGGAACATGGCTTACATTCATTAAGATTTAAACTGGATCAAAACTATTACAAGTGAAAAGGGTTAAGGGGAAAAAATTCAAAACACTGATATGACTTTAGATACTTCATTTGACTGAATTTCCAAACATTTTTTAATCTAATTTCAGCAGCTAACAATTATCACTAACTTAATTAATAATAGAAAATACTGATACAGACCATCATAGGTACTTAACAAATGCTTGGTGAAGGAACAAAAAAAGACCTTCATCTATACATGGCAATATGACTGGGGCCTAGACAGCATGGAAAGATGTTTTAGAAAAATATTTAACTATAAAAGAAATAAACATGTGCTAAAGTTGTCCACTAAACAAAAATATTTCTTTCTTTTTTTTTTTGAGACGGAGTTTCGCTCTTGTTGCCCAGGCTGGAGTGCAATGCCACGATCTCAGCTCACTGCAACCTCCGCCCCCTGAGTTCAAGCGATTCTTCTGCCTCAGCCTTCTCGAGTAGCTGGGTTTACCGGCACCTGTCACCATGCCCGGCTAATTTTGTATTGTTAGTAGAGATGGGGTTTCTCCATGTTGGGCAGGCTGGTCTCAAACTCCCAACCTCAGGGGATCTGCCCTCCTCGGCCTCCCAAAGTGCTAGGATTACAGGCATGAGCCACCGCGCCCAGCAACCAAAATATATATTTCAAAAAAAAAGAAGTTGAAGTCTATGTTGTATTATGATTGTTATATCCCATAGACATATTTTGGTGTATATCGAGATGTAGATTATTGTGCTTAAAATTAAAGTTTTAAGCTTTCAAGCAAAGTTCAATTACTGTTAAAAAAAAAAAAAAGAAAAAAACACAGCCATTGTTTTGGACTATGTATTGATAGTCCCAATTGCCTTCTTCATATATGCATTCTATAACACTTATAAATATGCATATTACCTAATCTGGAGCCATAACAGAGATCAATGTAAAATTATTGCAGCTAATTTGCTAAAACTTTGAAGTCTGCAAAGAGAAGACTTGCTTTTCCAAATATAATCCCAACACTTTCACTCAATTGTAGCCTAATATACCTTCATGAATAGAACAGAGACAGCCTGGGTACACAATCCCAGTTTATCTTAGGCTGCAGATGGTAGGGAGTTTCTATTTCTGCAGTTAAAATAAAATGTTTGGCAATTATAAATTACAGCTGTGCCATACTTCCCAATTGAAATTACTTGTTTGCCCTCTCAAAATATGCATATGTCCATTGAAGAAGTTACAACCAGATAATGTGAATGTCTTTTTTCAGATGGTGCCACTGAAAATAATCAGGAAGCCGGCAGCCTATATTTCATGCATGTCCCATGATGGTACCAGAATACATGAAGAATTAAAAACCAAACCAAAACAAAACGAACAAGAAAAAGCACTGCCCAACCATTCACTGAATTCAGTCTACAGGGGGAGACGTAAGCCAAATAATTAAAAGACATGAGACGAATAATAAACAAGGTAAGAGCCAAATGTGATGGAAGTCCAGAGAACAGAGTAACTTATCTGCACTGGAGATTCCAAGAAGGCTCAGAGAGAAGCTGACCCATGGACTGGGGCTTAAATACAGACAGCAGTGGGATTTGAAGAGCCGCATTCCTTGATCAAAGAACGGCTTATGCAAATGCCCAACGTGAAGCGGGAATATGACATATCTGGGTAGTCTGGGAGCATAAAGGGGCCAGACTGAGGTCAGGCTACGAAAGGGGTCTGGAATTCCATGGAGACTTCAAGACTACAGTGTAGGCAAAGAATGGAAATCTGAAATAACCAGAGCTGACTCCTGGAAACTATTATGGTGGCAGAAAAAGCTTTTTCTTACATTAAGGAGAAAAAAGAAAAGTAAGGATGGTGGGGTCTTCTGAAGTATTAAAAGCAATAAAAATGATGTGTAAATTTATCACCAAATAATATATTAGGTAACTACAGAATAAAATACATGATCATTCAAACAAGTACTGTGCAAAGTTACACTTTTTTTTTTTTTAGGGACCAGATGACAATGTAATTTGGATACCAGTGGGTAGGCATCATTTACTTTTATCCTTCACAAGCATGTGGCCATGATTTATGATAACAGCATGGGCCCAGCTGGCCAAATCTATTCTAGGAATTAATTATGACACTACTTAAGATTGATATGTCTTCAAACTAACTCTCCAAAATAATTTTTAATGCAATCAATGTAATCTTAAACCACATGTATCAAAAAAATAGCCATAAATATGTCATTTTGTGTAAGGATAAACAGTAGACTCTTTCTAAAACACTTTAAAATACAATTAAAACCCCAAATTTTTCCTTTAAATTACTCCAAAAGTAAATTTCAATGACTTACCATAAAACTTTAATTTTATTCACCAGTGATACTTATTTACCTGAGAGAAACTGCATGTGGCCCATATATCTCTCTAACTGCTGACAAATCAGCTTCCAGTTGTGGGTGCTTGTGCAGTTCCCCATCATAGTTCACCTGATGAAAAGGGATAATTTAAAAGTGTCTCAGAAGTGAACAGAATCAAAAACTTAAGCAACCTTTTGAGACAGGTCTCCCTGTGCATTTTGCCATGGGCATTTTTAGCTTCAATAAAGTAATATATTCACTAATATCCTTAGGTTCACATATGACTAGAAAAATTGATTATGGTTGGAACTTAAAGTTAGTTTATATTAATACAAAGAAAAAGCAAATGTAAAAAACTAGTGAAGTAAATGTCTGGCAGATAATCTAAAAAACTTCTAGAATGAACATCAAGACTGAAGAAAAGCAGTTACTTCCCCTCTGTAAGAATTAGTTGTGTAAACAAAAATCAAACAGGAATGATTTTGCATAATGTTAAAATGTTATACTGGTAAAGGAATCATTTCGTTGGGAAAACTATCTTATTGCTAGAAAGACATTCCTGGAGAGAGGAAAGCCCGTTTTATTATATCCATCTCTCTGTAGCCTTGCACATGCTTGATTGACAAATTGCTAATTTTTCATTCTGAATAAATAAATTTACTTGCATTCTTTTACATAATTTTGGCTTTAACGTCCTTCTTTAACATATTGCCCTCCCATTATACTATCCAACTTATAAAGCACATTTGCTCAAGGAGTTTATAGAAACAGAACCACATATTATACAGCCACACCCTAAAATCAATTGCTCAGTTTTAAATTTTAACATTATCCTGAAAAATTCTGATGAGTTCTTTTATATATGTGGCTAGGCTATTCTCATATATTTAAATTATGATGATTCTTCATAACAATTTTTCAACACCAAGAATTCAATGGCAGTGAATACAAATAAACAAATGATGAAGATGCTCAGTAATGTGGGCCCATCAAATTTAATAAAGGTTAACCAGCTTCTATTTAAAACTAACAATATACACTTTTATTACAAGTGTCATTATCTCAGAATAGTGACTGAACACAACATGCTTAAGAAATTCAAGTCAAAAGCATAATAAAATACTATCTGCAAAATCGCTGTAATGAATTAAGATGACTTCAATGTAAATAAATGATTACAATTGAAAGGACTGCAGGGGAACCTTAATTTCTAAAAATAGGTAGAAAATGTGCAAAGATAAATTATATAGATTTTCTAGTTAGTTACAGAACCCTGAACAACACACAGGTCCCTTAACTCTCAGGCACAGATTACCACTAGGACAACATGGCTATTAGAACTTTAAGACTAGGTATTTGGAAGACCAGGTTTCCTTACCTGCCCTCCGTAATAAAATTCTTCGGAATCATTGTCACCTTCAGAATCTTCCTCCACTGTACTATTCTGTCTTGATTCCTTAAAATAATAAAGTAAGAAAACAATTTAATGGTCAAATTATTTTACCTTTCTAAAATAGCAAGTGACTATAATAGGCAAGTCTTGAGCATATATTATGGATTTTATATATAAAACATCTTGGTGCAGTAAAACCCCAGAACAAAAGGTAGTGGGAGACAAATGGCTTTGTGAGTGTATTCAGCAGCACACCTGTTTTAAAAGTTCTCTTTCACTGATTTTACAGGAAATGCACAATTCAATATTTGATGTATATTAAAAACTTATGTATAATCAATTATACCTTCAGTTTTGCTCTGATAAAACATTTGGCAAGCTTATACTAATTCAATTTTATTAAAAAGCTCCTCAGCATTATTTGTCCCAGGCTGTTCTCACTTCCCCTGCCAACTCTAAACAATGGTATGAAAAAAAAGAAACTTTAAATGCAATAATATATAATCAAATTATGAAAATAAATATGAAACATATGAGAACTTTTGATATACAGAAATTATTTGTTTCAGAATTCAGATTTCAAAAGGGTATTTAATTTAATATGCTTCAACTTGAAATTTGAGTTTCTAATTAACTGAGCCACATCTGCCATGTGTCTGAAGTACAAACAATGAAAATTCATGGGGGTATTCCTATCACTGGCCCTATTAACACAGGAGAAATGTAGGTATTTGGACACAGGAATCCATTCATCCAGTGTTTTGTAACCATCCCTAAACTTCTACACTGAATTTCAAGTTCTTAAGGAAAACAAACAAAAAAATATGCAAAAGGAAATTTGGGTTTTATAAAATTCTAACCATTTCTGGTTTCAGCAATCCTTTTGTTCAACCAATAATTCTCAATGTGGATAAAGAAGGGAACAATGAATGGTGCAACACTAACAGGAAGAGGAGGATTGGATCAAATGCATAATTTTGAAAGCAAAGAACTGCTGGTCCTATTGCACTCATTTTGTTTGTTTAATATCCTGATATTTATTTATAGATTCAAGTAAAGTCTTTGGAAATGGAGAGAAAAGATGAGTTTGTGTTTTTAAATACTGACAGAAAATAAGACTATGTACAACCTCAGTGTTACTTTGGCTAAAGAAATCATCTTTTAAAATTTTAAGGATCCCATCAAAATTATGTATAGCCACGTGCAGTTATAAATCAGTTACATAATGTTCCTCAGCTAATTACAGTGTTTGATGAAAGAATACAGAATAAATTAAGCTTTATATACATTTTATTTAGATTTAAACCAGACATTTCTTTCTATGATTTTAAGGGGAACTTTCTTCTCAGAGTTAATTTTAGGCCACTTCCTACCATACCAAACACCCCTGAGCCATTAGCTTGAGTTTCATTCACCATATACCATTTTAGTCTCACTAATGATGCTATTAACTACAAAAACCCAGTAAATTTTAAATATATCTATACTGTTTCAAGAAAATAAAAAATATAATTTACATACCTCCCCATTTTCCTTTTGTAATTTGGATTTTATGGATAAGCAACAGTTAATGTCATTTGTTTTTCTTAATTCTGAAAGAAAGTTGTAATTTAAAAAATATTATGATACTTAGTATGCTATTTACCAAGCATTCATAAGTTTTGGTATAAAACTACCCTTTAGGTGATTCCATCTCCTCTGAAAAAGAATTAAGGGATATTTTGAAATCATGTCATGTTGAGGAGTTACACAATACGCAAGCTATTCTGATTTTTCACTGTGCAGAAAGATGTGATTAAACTAAACCACCACTTTACAAATTCCTTCAGCTCTCACTCTATATTTCATGGTGTCTTCATTGCTGTAAGTGTGGTTTTAAAATATTCAGTCTGTCACTATGTAGGAAAATATTTTTACAACAGCAATGTCAGCATAATACATTTACACAGAATTTTTTTACAACTACTTTAAATTTATGCATTTACAAAATTGTTAAAAAATGTACTTTAGATAGAAAATTTGTATGGAGACTGGATTTATAGACACAGAAGATAAATATCTGTTACTGGCTAAATGAAACAAACAAACAAACAAAAAAAGATAATGCAATTTAAAAAATTAACCTAGTATAAAAAATAATACTACTATTACCTGTTGCTATTCTATGAAAAATTACTGGTATTGGCTCTGTAGTAACTAGCACATCTTCATCATTCTCTGAACTTGACACATATGTATTATCTGCAAAAAAAAAAAAAAAAGATAATGAAAGGCATAAGTTTAAAAAATACATCCTTTACAAAAATAATAGCTAATTTATATGCACATCACTTTAGTTCCAACTCTCATAAAGCATACACTACTGTTTGATTAAACTCAAAAAATATGATAAAGTAAATTGCAGATTTATGTGTGAAGTAATTGTAAATAGTCTCTTTAAAGACATTTGTATCTCCTGGTGAAATACAGATTTTGAATAGAGACTATCCAGGTACATCTGTAATATCCCTTATGGCAATGAATCATTTGGATGCAACTGGGTGCCTTAACTCACTGGACAAGGTCCTTCCCAATATCAGCATCTACTATAGGAAGCAGGGTTAGTGAGTGGAGAGAGAAAACTGAAAAAGAGCATTTGTTGCAATAAAAAAAAAATTTATTAGTGGGCCGGGCACAGTGGCTCACACCTGTAGTCCTAGCTCTTTGGGAGGCCTAGGCAGGCGGGTCACTCGAGGTCAGGAGTTTGATACCAGCCTGGCCAACATGGTGAAACCCCCATCTCTAAAATAAAAAATAAAAATAAGGAAAGATTCATTATCAAATCATTCAAAAATTTGAGCTGAAGACTTTGTTGTAAATCATACCTTCCATATTGCTCTAATACATATTTTTAAATTGATAAAGTCTCACAATTATCATTCTTCCATGAATTAAATTAGCTACATGCATTATACAAGTTGAGTGCACAAAATACTAAGTTAGTCTACAGGGTCCTTAAATTTCTTATTCACTATTTGTTTCCTCTTTAAAAAATAACATTTTTATGAGTTTAGCACTCTTTCCCTAATGAATACAGGTCTCCAAGTATATGGTAATACAATTCTTAGGTATTTATTTTTCTTTGCTCATTGATGATTGCAGGGCATCTCTCAGAAGAGCTTTTTGACCCACACTTCATCAATTCATTAATAATGGTCCTATAATGCACTCATCAATGACCTACTAAATAGTATAAAATACCACGAACACATAATAGAAGCATGGATCAATTTCTGCTAGGAGAAATTAGTTGTTCTTATGGCGCAGGGAATGCACATTAAAAGATATTTTTGAGCCCAGTTTTCATAATATTGTGTCGGTACAATGAGAACACAATTTTTAATTAATACATCTCTAAGTCATTATTTCCAAAGAAACATCTGTAGCATTCTTAGCCTCAAGTAATGAGTGAATGATAGTGATCTGTATGTACAGGTTAGCTGCAAAAGATTCTCAACAGACCTAAGGCTTTAACAGTCAGGGAGCTAAGCAGGAATGGATATGAATTAAATTTGAGACAAAAGATGTTTGCCTCATTATTTGGATTAGTGCAATCACAAATTTTGCTTTATTTAGTTTTCCAATATTTTCATGGAGCATGTGAGGTTTTCATGCTTATCGAGTGGGACCACAGATTAAGAAACAGGTTTAATATAAACTTAATTATTATCTCATTAGTTGAGACTTTGATCACTTATCTAGAGTCTCTTCTGCCAGTAACCTCATACTTTCAGTAAGTATCAAAAACGCCTATTAGAGTCAATGTTTTTTTATTATGTCTTAAATCCTCACTCAGAGTCTCACTGATTTGAAGTCGGTTGCTACTTAATATAAAACCTAATTATCTGTTTTCCCTGTGCACAATGGAGTCCCTGGAGCTAACATTTAGGAGAAAAAGAGTATTAGAAGGCACCATTAGACCAACAGAAACAAAAGCTGGCCACCAAGTAGAAGGGAAGATCCAGAAGAATCCGTAAGGTGGATAGCATCATGCAATTTTACAGTATCATAGAATGACGAAGATTTTACTAAAACACCAAGAGGTAAGTAATTAAGACATTATGTTTAAGAAAACAGGGGAGTGAATAACTAAATAGAAAGGATTTTCTATCAAAATGGCTTACATAAAGTGTCAACACTGGAAGACAGTGAGATTTGATTCAAGAGAATATAATTTGGTGACTATAAGTTGCATAGGCTAGACAGCATTATGCCTTCAAACGTATCATTTTCTGAAAGATTTTGTATAGTTTGTATTTTGATTAGTGTTTAGGAATTAGAACCCATGTAATTTCCTATTTTGGCTTAATTTACCCCAAATAAAAATGTTTCCAGGTTTTATGACATTATTTATTAAATTGCCGTTATTACATAATAGGCCAGATCAGATCACAGAGATAGACCCAATCTATGATCAGAAACATAGAACAGGAAAGAAAGCACATCAAACCTAGAAAACTGGTTCAATTATTTGACAGAATTCACTTCACTCTGAATTCAAAGCACTCTGTTCTCTTTTTGGAAGATTTTTGATTACTAATTTGATCTCCTTACTGATTATTGGCCTGTTTTTTTTTATGATTCAGTCTTGATAGGTCTCTAGGAATTTATCTATTTCTTCTACTTTACCCATTTCAGCAATCCTTTTGAGATCCACAGGAAACGGAACCAGGATCTTGAAGCAATATCTCCACCACCATGTGCATTGTGGCAGTATTCACAATAGCTAAGAAGTGGAAACAACTTCTTAAGTTCTAAGTGTTCATCAATGGATGGTTGCATAAAGAAACGGAGGTACACATATACAACAAAATACTACATTCAGCAACTGAAAAAGAATGAAATCCTGCCATCTGCAACAACATGGATGAACATGGAAGACGTTATGCCAAGTGAAATAAGCCAGACAACACAGAAAGATAAATACTGCATGATTTCACTTCTATACGGAATCTAAGTAAGTTGAACTAGTATAAGCAGAGAATAAGAACAATGGTGGCCAGGGGCTGGGGGACACAGCAAGATGTTAGCTAAAGGGTACAAACTTTCAGTTAAAGCTATAAAATGAACACGTTCTGGGACCTAATGTATAACATGGGTGGTGATGGATATGTTAATTAATTTGATCGTGGTAATTACTACACATGTATACATATATCAAATCATCCTGTTGTATAACTTGACTATAATCAAGCTTTATTTGACAATTAAATATTTTAAGATTAAGAAAAATCTAGACACTACTGCAGACTAGCTATTGATCTCCTTTAGCCTAAGCCACAGTTTTAGCTATAAAATGAGAGGTTTGCTCATGATCTTTGATGATCATCCCATCTGTATGAATCCATTCTGTTGGCTTTTTGTTCTTGCTTAATTACTTCTAAATCTTCCTCAAATTATTTTGACATTTGTAAAAAAAAATTTGTTTAGAGAAGAATGTGGAGCGTAAAAAGGGTTAAAGAAAGGACTTAAAGTAATAGAATAAGAATGGGATGTATCTCAAAATAATAAGAGCTATCTATGACAAACCCACAGCCAATATCATACTGACTGGACAAAAACTGGAAGCATTCCCTTTGAAAACTGGCACAAGACAGGGATGCCCTCTCTCACCACTCCTATTCAACATAGTGTTGGAAGTTCTGGCCAGGGCAATCAAGCAGGAGAAAGAAATAAAGGGTATTCAATTAGCAAAAGAGGAAGTCAAATTGTCCCTGTTTGCAGATGACATGGTTGTATATTTAGAAAACCCCATCGTCTCAGCCCAAAATCTCCCTAAGCTGATAAGCAACTTCAGCAAAGTCTCAGGATACAAAATCAATGCACAAAAATCACAAGCATTCTTATACACCAATAACAGACAAACAGAGAGCCAAATCATGAGTGAACTCCCATTCATAATTGCTTCAAAGAGAATAAAATACCTAGGAATCCAACTTACAAGGGATGTGAAGGACCTCTTCAAGGAGAACTACAAACCACTGCTGAACAAAATAAAAGAGGATACAAACAAATGGAAGAACATTCCATGCTCATGGATAGGAAGAATCAATATCGTGAAAATGGCCATATTGCCCAAGGTAATTTATAGATTGAATGCCATCCCCATCAAGCTACCAATGACTTTCTTCACAGAATTGGAAAAAACTACTTTAAAGTTCATATGGAACCAAAAAACAGCCTGCATTGCCAAGTCAATCCGAAGCAAAAAGAGCAAAGCTGGAGGCATCAAACTACCTGACTTCAAACTATACTATAAGGCTACAGCAACCAAAACAGTATGGTACTGGTACCAAAACAGAGATATAGACCAATGGAACAATACAGAGCCCTCAGAAATAATACCACACATCTACAACCATCTGAGCTTTGACAAACCTGACAAAAGTGAGAAATGGGGAAAGGATTCCCTATTTAACAAATGGTGCTGGGAAAACTGGCTAGCCATATGTGGAAAGCTGAAACTGGATCCTTTCCTTACACCTTATATAAAAATTAATTCAAGATGGATTAAAGACTTAAATGTTAGACCTAACACCATAAAAACCCTAGAAGAAAATCTAGGCAATATCATTCAGGACATAGACATGGGCAAGGACTTCATGTCTAAAACACCAAAAGCAATGGCAACAAAAGACAAGATTGGCAAATGGGATCTAATTAAACTAAAGAGCTTCTGCACAGCAAAAGAAACTACCATCAGAGTGAACAGGCAGCCTACAGAATGGGAGAAAATGTTTGCAATCTACTCATCTGACAAAGGGCTAATACCCAGAATCTACAAAGAACTCCAACAAATGTACAAGAAAAAAACAACCCCATCAAAAAGTGGGCGAAGGATATGAACAGACACTTCTCAAAAGAAGACATTTATGCAGCCAACAGACACATGAAAAAATGCTCATCATCACTGGCCATCAGAGAAATGCAAATCAAAACCACAATGAGATACCATCTCACACCACTTAGAATGGCGATCATTAAAAAGTCAGGAAACAACAGGTGCTGGAGAGGATGTGGAGAAATAGGAACACTTTTACACTGTTGGTGGGACTGTAAACTAGTTCAACCATTGTGGAAGATAGTGTGGCAATTCCTCAGGGATCTAGAACTAGAAATACCACTTGACCCAGCCATCCCATTACTGGGTATATACCCAAAGGATTATAAATCATGCTGCTATAAAGACACATGCATACGTACGTTTATTGCAGCACTATTCACAATAGCAAAGACTTGGAACCAACCCAAATGTCCATCAATGATAGACTGGATTAAGAAAATGTGGCACATATACACCATGGAATACCATGCAGCCATAAAAAATGATGAGTTCATGTCCTTTGTAGGGACATGGATGAAGCTGGAAACCATCATTCTCAGCAAACTATCGCAAGGACAAAAAACCAAACACCACATGTTCTCACTCATAGGTGGGAATTGAACAATGAGAACACATGGGCACAGGAAAGGGAACATCACACACTGGGGCCTGTTGTGGGGTGGGAGGCTGGGGGGAGGGATAGCATTAGGAGATATACCTAATGTAAATGATGAGTTAATGGGTGCAGCACACCAACATGGCACATGTATACATATGTAACAAACCTGCACGTTGTGCACATGTACCCTAGAACTTAAAGTATAATAAAATATATATATATGTGTGTGTGTGTGTGTGTGTGTGTGTGTGTATATATATATATATATATATATATATATATATATGAATGTTTTCAAACTCAAATTCCTTCACTGGAATTCTCCATCTTGACTTCTAAGCTCTTTTTTTTTTTTCTGAAAACCTCTGGGGACAGTTAGATTTTTAATGTGTATGTTTTATAGAGGACCTACAGATCTTTGTTAAGGCTGTTAACAGCAAGATATTTTCTCTTCACTTCTCTAACACTATGCAAAGCATTACCAGAACTTTCATGAACACTTGAGACTTGGGGAGAGATGAATAGAACTGTGCAAAAGTATTTCTTAAACTGTTGCTTTTATTCTGCTCCAAATACAGCACCATTTAAGTCAAGTCATTCCATCCCTCACTGATGTAACTTAAGATAAATAATAATTATAACTCTAAAAAAATTATATTGATTTCATGTTACATTCTGGATATTTTTGCTGAATTTTCTACATAATTTCACCTCATCCCCTATAGCAGTCAATTATTATCCCTATTTTAAATACTAGGAAACTAAGGCTCAGAGAAATTAAATACTATTAATTAACTAACTATACACTAGTAAGTGGTAAAACTTGAATCTGCCTGAATCCAAAAATCAATGATTTGTCACTATACCATGTCCTTTTTCAAATATGGAAAGTATTGTCACTAAAAAGTTGCAATGTCTTATAAAATATAAATGTTTATTAGGTATAAAAACAATTATATTTTTGGGGCTATAATTTGATATAGACTGTATAGTATTCTAATTCTCACTTAAGAGGTTTATTCACAGGCTATACCTAATGCTCAAGTATATCATGTAGGTCAAGACTCTTTAGACTCACAGGTGCCAGAGGATCCAGAAAGTATCCCTTCATTCCTCTACTAGGGATAAGAGAGTCCACTCCCAACAGTAGGTAAGCCTTTCTAATTAAAAGTGGAAAGAGAAAATTAAAGAACTCTGCCATTATAGTAGAGCCAACCTGTGACTTGTAATATACACAACTATTGTGTAATTCATTCTCTGACATTAAAAAAAAAACTGTCTTCAAAATAAAATCTACAAAGAAGTACAAGTAAATCACAAGGCCTCTCTATTTCTTCACTTAATCATGAACAGTCAACATATCATTTAGTATTTCATTTATATACATGCTATTATATATGCTGACTCAACAAAGGCCCTCTAAATTTTCATTTCACTAAAAGTATGAAATAAATTTCAATAGATGGTACAAGTTAATTAATAGATCACAATTATAAAAGGACAAATCTGTTCCTAGGGACATAAGCTAGAATGATGTAATCTTGACTTTGGAGGATAATACTGATATATTTTCATAGAGCAAAGAAAATTTCATATGTTCAAACTTAGATGATTACTTAATAACTGATCCAAATAATCCAGGAAAAGTAGGCAGAGGGGAAGCCTAAGGTATATTATTAGAAAGAATTCATAAATGTAGTATCAAGATTACTGCATTTAGAAATTGAATGCAACATTAAAGAGAGCTATTTGTTTGAAAGAATCTTTTAAATGGCTAAACTATTTGGAAGACAAACCAACGGACGGAAGAACAAGAACAAATATGAACAATAAAAATGGGCCAGGAGAAATAACCAGAGACATGGAAGAATTTTACAATTACGGACCAAATACTATACTTTTGCTAAAAAGTTTGGACATTTCACCAACATAGAAACTTTCAGTAAGAAGACATATTTTAAAATGACTAAGAAACAGAAAAACAGAAGAGATAATAATCATGGCAGAAAAATAAGACAACTGACCCAGAACCATCCCTAAAAAGCTCAGACAGATTTGTTTGCAAGTTCTAGCAAATGCTCAAAGAGTTGTTTAATTCATTCAGCAACTTAAGGTCTTTAATGCTAAAGTATATGACAAAACACATAATTCTCATAGCTCAACATTGAGTTATTTGCTAATACAATTTGTTACTTTATTGTTTAAAGGAAAAAGTAGATATGACACCTCAACAGATGCCAAACAATAGTTTGATAAAGATTTAATATTCATTTTTTTTAAAAAAAAGCTTGGTAAATGAGAAAAAGAGTAATTTCCTTTCTGAAAACAACTGGAAGCATGCTCACTAATTTTGAAAAAAGGGACAAAGCTGCCAACTTTCATATCTATTATTAAAAATTATTCCAGTGCCAACAAGAACAGGTATAAATGTTGGAAAGGAAGAACAAACACGTAAGTTATAAAACAAGATGTCTACCTAAAAAGTCAAGCATATTAACCAACAACTCTTAGTACAAATAAATGTGGATTAAAATTTAATAATGGGGAAAACATTATCATATTAATTTCACTGTGAAGAAAGCTCCATAAAAATACTAACACTACTTCCCCAGAGGCAACGGGAATCAGAACTGAATTACAGACTTGATTTTATCACCAAACTACATGTTTTGGGAAAATGTTATTTAATACTTACCATCTCTCAGCACACTTCTCTAAGTATGAATTTATATTATAAACTGCCCTGTTCTGCCTTTCCTACAGACCGGCATTGAGAATCAAATGAAATTATGTATGTGCAAATACTTGGTATACTGCGCACTGGACAGTGTATTTTGATATACTGGTTACATCAGCCAACTGAAAATTCTGCCCCGGTATTTAAACCAGAATGCACTAATCTCCGTCTTCTGTGATCATATTTTATTGCAGCATAACAACCTACTTTCACCAAACAGATTAAATATATATACTTACACTCCTTCCTTTTGGAAATTAAGTTATATTGAAAATTCATTGCAAACTTGCTCCAGTTAGAGAATTCAGTAAAAAGAGCACAAATGATAATCAATACTTTTTTTAGAATTTCAATGTTTGTATATTGGCATTTCCAGGTGGGGCTCCCGTAAAGTGTGAAAAAGCCCAAGTAATACCTCTTGGCCACAAGAGGGAGCTAAACACTTGGCCCACTTGGTTTACTAAAGGCATCTTCTACCATACATCCTGTGCTACAGATTAATTCACTTAGTGTCTTCAACCTGGGCTTTAATTTGTACTATTATTTCTATTACCTTGACTTAAAGTCCTGTACTTCTCATGGCTGACATCTCTATGATCTGACTCAGATGAGAAGCACATTAATTTTTGTATTTACAATAAATAGTGGGGCTTTTATTTCATAACATACTTGGCAAACATAGCATCAAAAACATGCTACACTATCAGACAGGGCTGACTGCATAACCATCTATAAAAAGTATTTTTCTTATAAATACTTCTTGTATTGGTTCTTCCAGTAAAATTTCTCTAGAACACTTTTTGTATTACTATTAAAAATAGGCATAGCCTTAATGAATAACTTCATTGTATAACTGTACAATAGTTTTATAGAATACTATTCTTAAAACATATGGAGAGCATAGCAAAATAATTGTAAGGAAGTTTGTGATTTAAGAAAGTATTTTCAAATGTAACGATCTTATAAAATGGTTAAATGCTTAATGCAAACTGCCGCAGAAAATACTTAAATGCTAAACAAGTAAGTTTTACATTATCTCCATACCAAACTATGAACTAATTACTATTTTTTAATACTAAAAAGAAAAAATAGATACACACACACACTTAGAAAACTGACTGAAACAAATAAATGTTACCTATTATTTTTACATTATGAAAGGCCAAATGATGTTCAAAACTAACAATTAGACCATTGATCTCTTTATTTTAATTGTAATGATGTAAATGCACAGGCTGGAACTATCATAGGGATCTTTAAAGAACTTTTCATTGGGAAATTATTTTGATTCTGCACTGTGTCTCAGAGTAAGACATGTACTTTGCAGGCAGTAAGCAGAATTCTTCTATAGCTTTAAGGCTTCCTCTACCAGTGTTTCACCCCTCAATATATTTATATGCGTTTTACATCTCCAGAAGAAAAAAATATTCAAAGGAACCCTGATACGAATATCTGTAATAAAACAAGAAAAGCATACCTGGGTAATCTTCAGATACATGTACTGAGTAGGATACACTGTTAAAACAAACAAACAAAAAAGGCTCAAGTTATTGCTAAGGTAGACAGGCTTTTATAAAAAAAAGACAAACCAAACCCATGTTACCCATTCAGTTATAAAGATGTAAGTATAAACAGGAAACTTCCAAAACAGATTAGAAAACCACTTTTATATCCGCCATAAGAAACACAGGTTTTTAAAATATACTTTCCATTAGTCTAAATGGGTCTTAGTCTAACAGTTTTGAAATATCTTTCTCCCAACAGGGATATTTCTTTTAGTATAGACAGGTCTTTTATTTCAACAAGGTCTATTTTTCCTATTATATGATCATTTGTTTTCTTTGCTCAGATTTCATCAAATCATCTTTTCTTACCAAAAAAGTATTTCTCTTATTTAGTACAGCACCCAAGAATTTAAACATTTTAATAGTTTCCCCAAAATATGAAGTACTTTTGATAATGTTGGTTTTTTTCTAAAAGAATTAACAAAATATAATGGAAGTATAAGTAATATTATCAATCTTTCATCATGCACGCACACACACGTATATATAAATAAACTTTATTCTATTTTCATAAGGATTGAGTTGTTTCAAAATAATTTTTAAATTATATTTTAACAATTGCACAACTCACTTCTCAGTAACCCTGCTGCCTCTATGTACTTACCTCATATGACATACGAAAATTGAACATATTTATCTGTTCATTTTTTATCTCTGTCAACTAGATAGCAAGCCCCATGAGGTTAAGATCTACGTCTATTTATATTTGCAGTGTCATCATTTACTTTGGTGCATGACACACAGCACATGTTTAACATTAGCTATCTGACTGCATCAGTGAAGCTGCCACCTGCCACAGAAAAGTCAAATTTTAGTTTGTGTTCAGCCAATTATCTGCCTGTTAAGACAAAAAAAACTAATTCTCTTTAAAGGAACATATAGAAGACAGAATCTACTCAAAGCATCATTCACAGGGTGAATCCAATATAATCAGAAATCACTTAATATATGTACAAACAGAAAAATGTAACCTATTTTCAAGAGAAAAGAAGATCCAAGTGTTGGGATTAGCCCACCATAATGTTAAAACAGTTATCATAAGTATACTTAAGGATGTAAAGGAAAAACCAATCTGAAGAAGACAGAAACAAACAAAAACAGACTATCAGTGACTTATGGGGCACTAGCAAAAGAGCAAACATTTGTATATTAGAGTTTTAGAAGGCTGAAGAAAGAAAGAATAATGCAGAAAATATCAAGAAGAGCTAAAAATTTCCCAATTTGAGTGAAAGACAAAGATGTGTTGAATAAAGAAGCTCAGAAAATCTGAAACAGGAAAGCACAAAGCAAATTACACCTAGGTACATGCAGTCAAACTGCTGAAAACCAAATGTAAGGAAACATTCTAAAAGAAGTCAGAGAAAAATAAAACGACATATTACACACAAGGAAACAGTGATAAGAACCAATGTTGACTTTTGGGGAGGGGAGGAGACAACTGTTCAGCCAGAATTCTCTATTCAGCCCATATATTATATATACAGATCCACCAAAAACAAAGGAAAAATAAAACAACTTTCAGATAAAAGAAAATTGTGAAAATTGGTCCCCAGCAGACCTGCAGTATAAGAAGTCTTAAACAAAGCTCTTCTGGATGAATAATACCAGACGGAAAGTCAAAAGAATGAAAAGCACCGAAAACTGTAAATATAAAACACTATTTTTTTAATGCTTTAAAAATACATTCGACTGTTAAAAAGTAAAATTATAGCACTTCACACACATATGATTACAGCGTTGTAACAGGGAGGGGTAGGATGGTCTTAAACAGTTGCAAGGTCCTTGCATATTATGTAAAATGAAGTTGCAAAATCCTTACATATGATGTAAAATGATATATTAACCCTAAATAATAACTATCAGAAAAGGAAATATCCCTATAGCATGTACACACACACACACACACAAACTGCTTAAAAAGCTAATAGATAAATTACACAATAATTCTAAAAATCATTTTGGATCATTTAATCCAAAAGAAAGCAGGAAAGGAGGAACAAAAAACAGAAGGAACAAATAGAAAACAAAAAGTAAATAGAGCCTGAATCTAATCATATCAATAACTTCATTGAATGTTAATGGAACAAGACACACTGAATAAAAGGAAAAGATTACCAGAATGGATAAAAAAGCAAGGTCTATACTAAAAATACAAAAAAAATTAGCCGGGCGCGGTGGCAGGCGCCTGTAGTCCCAGCTATTCGGGAGGCTGGGGCAGGAGAATGGCGTGAACCCGGGAGGCGGAGCTTGAAGTGAGCCGAGATCGCGCCACTGCACTCTAGCCTGGGCGACAGAGCGAGACTCCGTCTCAAAAAAAAAAAAAAAAAAAAAAAAAAAAAGCAAGGTCTATCCTATCTTTGAGAGATCCATATTAAATATAGAGACACATATAGATTTAAGTAAAGAATGGAAAAGATACACCATGCAAACAATAAGCATCAGAAGACTGAGGACTAAAGATATAAAGAGATCATTCGTAATGATAAACGTGTCAGTTCGTCAGGAAGAAGTCATACCAATCATAAATGTGTATGTACCTAATAACAAAGCCTCATAATATATGAAGCAAAACCTGACAGAAATAGAGGAAAAATGAACAACTCAACAATCATAATTTGAGTAATTAATGGAACCAGACCAAAAAGAAAAAAAAATTAAAAACACAGAATATTTGAAACTGATTTTCATAGAACACTACAACTGCAGAATATCAAGATAGATCATATACTGAGCTATAACACAAATCTCAATAAATTTGAATGAATGGATGAACATGAGTCAGCATAGCTTATACCCTGGGTTCCCTGGCTCATCTTGCCCTTATGACATTTGAGTCTTAAGTCCTTGAAAAGAGTTCCCAACTCCACCAGTCAAATCCCTGGCATGCTGCTCAGTACTTGGAAAGAGATTAGGAAGAGACAAAAAAAAAAAAAAAAACAAAACAAACAAACAAAAAAAACCATAACTGAATAAGTAGATGAGTAGAAAAGAAGTATGATTAGTAAACAGACCAAGTTTGATACATTTTTATTTCATAAAGCAAATTTTTTCCATTTAAAAAAAATTTTTTTTAGAGATGAGGTCTTGCTCTGTTGCCCAGGCTGGAGTACAATGGCATAATCATAGCTCACTGTAACCTCAAACTCCTGGGGTCAAGCAACTGCCCCCTGCAGCCTCCTGGGTAGATTGGACTACAGATTTGCACCACCACATACAGCTAATTTATTTTATTTTTGATAGAGACAGGGGTCTTGTTATATTGCCCAGGCTGATCTCAAACATCTGGCCTCAAGTGATCTTCCTGCCTCAGCCTTCTAAAGCACTGGGATTAAAACCATTAATCCCAGTTTTAATTCAAGGAACACTTTTTGGTAACCTGGTATGAGCCAAACATTGTGTTAATGCCAAATAAGATTTAAACAGAAAAAAATATATATATCAGAGGTAACACCTTTGGATGGTTAATTTAGAGGGAACCAGAGAATATGATACATAAATATGACAGACAAAGGAACTTGAACATTTTAAAGCACAGTAGTATTTTTTTTTACTTTTTATATAATATAGACTCACATAAAGTTGAAAAGACTGTACAAAAGTGTCATGTATATTACCCAGTTTCCTCCATTGCTTACATGTTATGTACCTACAGTAGAATATCAAATCCTGGAAACTGACATTAGTGCAAAGTTTGAGTATAGTTCTATGTTACTTTATCACATGTGCATCACATACCCATTATAGCAAACAAAATACAGAACTATTTGATCACACAAAAATTTCCCTTGTGCTACCTTTTTTAGAGACATATCCATCTCCCTTCACCCAAGCATCCTTAAGCCCAACAGCCACTAATCAGTTCCCTAGCTCTAAATTTTTTATCATTTCAAGAATAATACATAAATGGAATCAGAGATTATGAAGCATAACAGTATTTCCAGGCAGATTAGTATTTTGAACAATATACTCTGATAGCTAATATTTAGGATAGATTGAAGAAAAGAGAGATCAGATTAAGAAGCTATCATAGTAGTAAAATATGAGCACATATCAGTGAAAAGGTATGTATTGGGAATAAGAATGCAGGAACAAATGGCAGATGTTGGACCTCAGCCAATAGAGCAGCTTTGGAAATCATGGCCCTGAATCAACATGCCAAACATTAGAAGATAAAATATCCATGACAATGGTGCCCCAAAACAAGCTGGGGGGAAATGTACACTATGACCCCATATGAATTCATTTTCCCGTGATCCATTCCTTTATACTGTCGAATGGTACTATGTAGAAATAAAACTGATGATCAAGGCACCCTTCTGATCTGGCAGTGCTATGTGACAGAAGCTTGGCAATGCCAGAGATTATACTCAGTACTAAGCTGAATTAATTCCCAACAGCCTACCATCTCAACCAATGGCAATTGCTTCATTTTTCATCTAAATCAATGTCTGAATCCAAAATGAGGCCTTAATTCATTCCTTTGTCTACCTCCAGTTAGAGGGCCTGTTGTAGTTCAAGACAGACAAATAGGAGTCCAATGCAGCTTTGAGGCTTACTAGCTGGGAGGCATAAGAAAAGTTGGTTAAACACTCACAGACTCAATCTCTATTTAGTAAAATGGAAGAATCCATACCTACCTTAAGAGCCTGCTGTGATGATTTAATGGCTTAACAGGTGCAAGGACCCCAGGACAATGCCAGACACATAACAGCAGGTGCTGAGTAATTTTAGTCAGCTTCCAATACAAGCAATTAAAATTTATAGGAGTGAAATTTACATGAATGAATGTTCTCTGGAAAACTCAATTTGCTAAAAAGTACAATATATTACATTTATCTGAGACCCAAACCAACACTGATTATTTTATTTTATGGTCGTATTGTCCTCATGATATTAGGAGACATTCCCATGTTCGTGAACGTACCTAATTTTTCAAATAGAAAATAGCAAACAGAAATCCTGCAAAATGATTCATCAGCCCCTTGTGCGACAGCATTTTCTCAGTGGTATACCAGAAGGAAAATCACCAGGACTGTAAAATCCTAATCAGTTTCACTTTGTGACTTGCAGAGTTCTAAGGGAAACAATCTAGTACAAACAGACATGGATGATTGGCTCAAGGATCTAATGAGTAGTACCAAAAAAACGTGGAAAGAACAAAGCTTAAGTAGATTGCAGAGTACTGTTAGTATGTGCTGTACATAATAAATGCCATGTAGCAGGCAGAAAATATTGTCAAGAAGCATAAGTGAAAGTGAAAGAAGGTGGACATGAGAAGAAAGCAAAATCTAGAGCAAGTTCTGAATTCCTTTTAAAAGTCATACTCATCTTTTGTCCTCACATCCCTGGAGCAAGCTCTGAATTCCTATTCAGAGAAAAAAAAAAGCCTTCAGAATTTTGGGATATGCTGACTTACAATTAATTACATTGAGGTGCTTTGCCAGAAACTCAGGTCAGTCAAATATGTGTTTGGTATATATTATATGAACAGTGTGATGCATGGTTCTTAAAGTCACAACTTTGAAACCAGAATCTAAAAATTATTTTATTGCACCTCAATAATTTTCTAACAAAATGGTTACTTTCACCTCTTTTTCCTCTGAAAGCATCTGGCCCAACCAAAGACATCTCCCAATAGCCAACAACTTCTAAAGGAGTTCCCAAAGCAGCTGTCAGTTGCTCCATATCTACCTAATCCTGTATTCTGTTCATATATTTGTTTACTCCTATAACTGGAACCATTTAATAAGGTCATTCTTGTATCTACACTTCCCAATCACTCCATTACCATCCTTTTCCTTCTGAAATGTCTGCAATGAGCTAAGAACAGATAGAGTCTGGTCTGAACTCCCAAGTTCATGGATCTAAGGAGAGTCTTTCAAAAGTAGTGGAAGATGGTAGCTCTATGTAATAAAGATTGGAATTTAGGCTTGAAGATGAAAGAATCTTAGACTTAAAAGAGTTTTTCGATGCACCAATTCATTATCTGATTTTACAAGCAGGGCCCATAACTGCCATCTGTAACGTCAAACTCCTGGATCCTCAGTTCATGCTTTTTCAACAACACCCAGAGGTTTTGACAGAACAAGTAAAAACCAGTATTTTATTGCACATTACCTTTTTACTTACCTGCTAATATTTAAAACAATTTCTCCAATAAACTACATCCTCGTATCTTTTATCCCTCCCAGTTAGATCCCACTTTAAGAATTTAAATAAGAAAAAGCAAAAGGCAGAAACAAAAAATTGCACATGACAAACAATCCTCTACCCTAGCGAAGATGCTTAGGAGTACAGATCTCAATTTTATTTAATCAATTAATTTTTAATTTTATTTATTTATTTATTTATTTATGTTTTGGAGACAAGGTTTCACTTTGTCACCTAGGCTGGAATGCAATGGCCTCAAGCCTCCCAAACCTCTGGGATTACAGATTTGAGCCATCGTGCCTGGTTAGGTCTCAGTCTTTGTTCACTTGCAAGTCAGCAGTTGAAACCTGAGACCACATCTCACCCCCAGACACACTGGAGCTTTCTAGAAGAAAATTCACTCCAGCACTTATTAATTCTGTCTTCTTTACTCTTCAAGTGCTGCAGAGTGAAAGAGATGCTGTCCCACTACCCACCTCCAGACCCAACTCTAGTGTCTCAAGCTAGAAGGTAATTTGGGGCATACTAGAAGCTCACCTTTGCTACTTTAATGCCATTCAGTTCCCAAAACATTCACTTTCATGTTCATCATCATTTCACCCTCTAAAAACATTTTCAAATTGTGCAGGTCAATCAGCTACAGCATCCTCATTCTTCACCACTATGAGCTACAATCTTTTTGTCATTTATCCAGGGTTGGGGAGCTCTAGGACCTTCTTTTCCTCTTTACCAAAAATCTTGACATCACTCCCATCCATTTGGACAACGTTAAGCTGCACGTAGTTCCATGGCCTCGTTTTCCCTACCACTAGCTCACCAAATCTCCAAATGGCTATACCTTGAAGCTTGATTTGGAGTGAATGGCTCCCCTTCTAAAATCTCAAACCCCCATGTCCCACTTTCTAACCACAATTTTATAATTTTCCCAGCTCTCACTCCTTTCCTCTTACTTCTAACATCCTTAAACAATGCATTCACTCTGTGTCTTTACCAGTCCCTCTGAGCTTCATTTTCATCTTCCCATGATTTTAGATACCTAACTGCTCTCTCCACAGCATCTTCGACTCCTTCAATGTGCAGCGCCTACCTTGCCCCTGCAGACTACCTGATCCTACCAGCTCCAAACTGCAGATTAGGTCATATTTGCCATGCTCAGCTCCTGGACCTGGGCTCTGAATGCTGCTGGAAAGGACAATGAAACTAAGGGGCCTGGTGCCCTACAGACATGTGGTTCTCAATATTATCTATTAACAACTCTGCTCAGTAACCTGAGAAACCCATTCTTCATAAACCCCCTTACTTTTTCTTCCTAGTTGTTTTTGCAAATTTTCACAGCTTTCCAAACACCGTATAACAACCTACCCTTTCACTCTCATCAAAATGCTTTCTTTCCACATTAAGAGAGATTATCATATGGTTACTTCCTCAAGGCATTCCCTTTATTCTGTCTCCCACCAACCACCTACAAGCTCATACTCCTCTCCTTGTACCCAGGAAGAAGGAATTATCTGTCCTTGTAATCTAAGATTAATCCATCTACTTGCTGCACAGAACTCATAAACCCACACTCCATTTGGGGCTTTGTTCTATTAATTTAATCTAACAATTTCACAATTTGAAATCTATCAAACATATGTAACTATGTGAGTGGGGAAAAAAACTAGCCACAAAGATATTAATGGTAGCATTATTTAAAATAAACAAATGTATTTGTTTTTAAGCCAAACTGCCAAAAATAGGATTATATGAACTACTGCACACAATATCTGCCCCCTCCCTTATTCGGAACCACTCAACATGAAGACAAGAACACTAAGTTCTCCTTCTAGAAAATAAAATGCGGCCAGGGGCGGTGGCTCACGCCTGTAATCCCGGTACTTTGGGAGGCCAAAGCGGGCGGATCACCTGAGTTCAAGAGTTCGAGACCAGCCTGGCCAATATGGCAAAACCCTGTCTCTACTAAAAACAGAAAAAATTAGCCAGGCGTGGTTGTGTGCACCTGTAATGCCAGCTAGTAGAAGGCTGAGGCAGGAGAATCACTTGAACCTGGGAGGCGGAGGTTGCAGTGAGCTGAGATCGCGCTATTGCACCCGGCCTGGGCAACAAGAATGAAATTCTACCTAAAAAAAAAAAAAAGAAGAAAAGAAAAGAAAACACATCTTTCTCACCTATGAAATAAATTACGTATTACCCTTTACTAAGGTAAAAGGATGAAGACTCTTGCCCAACAAACATTAAGTTAGTTTCTCAATAATATATTTTCCTATTTTCAAAACTTATTTTGGTAATTTTTTAAGTTATACTTTCAGCACGTGAAGTAACAGGATCAAAAGTAATGTTTTTGTTTGTTTGATTTTTAGGGAAGTGGCCAAGTCAGCAACTTCTACGCTTAAATATTACACTGTAAGTTAAATGTCTGGACTTCTAAGTAAGCTATTTTCTCAACAGGGAGGAACCTGAGAGAACTAAGTCTGACATTGATTAGTAACATTGATGCAAGCTTTATAATGGTATTTTTAAAAGCAAGTGAGAAAATGGTTTTTTTACACTACCTTAGTTCCATGCAAAAGACAACAACATATTTAAATAAAGCTGTGCTTCTCTCTTTTTCTTTACTCATGACTACAAATAAAAGGACAACAATACAATTCCAATAAAATATGAATAGTAGATAGAGCATGTCATCAAACACTAACACCTCGATTAAATTAATTATATAAATATTATTTCCATATTGCATCCCGAAAGTTTAATATCTGAGCTTTTCTTTACTGAACACTTTGTAACTATAACTAATTCAGTATTCTTTTGATAAATATTCACTAACATGTAGATGTTTTTACCTTCACTGTTTTATATCTAAGTTCAAGTTTTAAGTGGTCATAAAAAGTTTAAAGAGGCTATAAATGATCTGCACAGCATACCAAGACGGAAAAACTAAATACGACTGAATAACTCTATAGCTCAATTAAGGCTTTGTCATGGAAAGGGAACAAACACTACAAATATTTAGAAAGAACTTCGATAGTATGATACAACCCTCAGCATCTTAAATATTTAAGGCAAATAAAATAAGTTCTTTCCAAGTTAATTTCTTGTGGAATATCAAATATATAATCTTTTTTTTTTTTTTCTTTTGAGAAAAGGTCTCACTCTATTGCCCAGGCTGGAGAGCAGTGGCACAATCACGGTTCACTGCAGCCTCGACTTCCTGGCAACAAGTAATCCTCCCACCTCAGCCTCCCAAGTAGCTAGAACTACAGACCCAAGTCACCATGCCTTGCTAAGTTTGAAAAAATTTAGTGTAGAGATGAGGTCTCAGTATGTTGGTCAGGCTGGTCCCAAACTCTTGGCCTCAAGCACCTCCTAAAATGCTGGGATTACAGACATGAGCCGCCATGCCATGCTCAAACATAATTTTAATAGCACCTAAAGCCCCCGCAAGACCTTCCCTATCTATGCGTCTCATCTTTGTCTTGCCTCACTGTGCTCCAACTGTTCTCTCTATGCTCCACTGTTCTCTCTATGCTCCAACAAAAAAGACTCCTTTCAGTTCTTGAGCATGTTGTGTTCCCTCTGCCTGGAATTCTCTCTCCCCTCCTCCTTTTGACCTGGTTAACTCAGTCTCATCCTTCAGTTCTCAATTCAGATGTCATCTCCTAAGAAAAAACTTTGATGACCTTTCCCAGACTTGATCAGATCTTACTACGGAGCAGTTACACAGTTTGTAAATATGGCTGATTGTATGACTTATTAATATTTGCTTCCCCTGCTAAATCCATAGAGTAGAAGGCACCTGTTTTCTTCCCATTGTATTTCCAGCACCTACCATCTACCTAGCACATAGTGGGAACATTATAAATATACGTAGAATGAATGCTTACTAAAAATATATAAACCCAGGCCGGGCGCAGTAGCTCATGCCTGTAATCCCAGCACTTTGGGAGGCCAAGGTGGGTGGATCATGAGGTCAGGAGTTCAAGACCAGCCTGGCCAAGATGGTGAAACCCCGTCTCTACTAAAAATACCAAAATATTAGCCAGGCGTGGTGGTGGGTGCCTGTAATCCCAGCTACTCGGGAGGCTGAGGCAGAGAATTGCTTGAACCTCGGAGGTGGAGGTTGCAGTGAGCCGAGATCAGAGATCCAAGATCGTGCCACCTCACTCCAGCGTGGGTGACAGAGCAAGACTCCGTCTCAAAAAAAAAAAAAAAAAAAAATATATATATATATATATATATATGTATATACCCATTGATCTTCCAAGTCTGAATAACCTTCCTTACAAAATTATTGTGTAAATAAGAATTATTTTATAACCAGGAGAAAGAGCACAGACTTTAGTATATGATAGGCTTGAATTAAATTTTGCCTTTACAATATAAACCTCAGAAAATTAAATTGGCTAACTCCTTTCTGCTTATTTGGATTAATAATATCTACTCCCCTAGTGTTGTGAAGAGGATTACAAGGAAGATGAAATATGGAAGAATGCAGCTGATGTAGCGAGAGGAGATGATCAAAAAAATGATTTCTCAACTCCCTCCCCACCCCCATCCCCCCACAAAAAAAATTAACGAATGAGTAAAAGCAGAATAAATCTGTAATGGACATCCAAAGGCCTCCTCAATATCCATTCCACTCATTCCTCTCCTTCTTCATATGGAAGCCCTAAGGTTTTCATGAGGAGAATCCCTTCTCCCAGGTGGAGAGGAAGACTGAATGACTGGATAAGCCATCAGGATAACAGATCCCCCTGCAATGGAAGGAAAGGAGTTACCTAGCCTGTGTCCTACACTTTGGCCTCAATGGTTGTTGGTTCAGGGTGCTCCATTCAGAGTAGAGCTTGGGACTTTGATTCAATACCTGTGGGAAGTCTCTTGCTCCTCCTAGATGTGAATGAGGAAGCAGACAGCTCTGGTCTCTGCTGGTTAGCCTTCTCACACCCACTGGGAAGCCAGTCTAGGAATGTGCTTGATACAGAAAAATGTGGAGCTTAGAAAATGTCAGAGACAGAGGCAGAGCCCTGATGTAAACTAAGCCTACGTCTCATTATCAATAATAAATTTTTTATTACATGAACAAATAACTATCCTTTTTACTGTTTAAGCCAAGCTCGTCCAAGCCGTGGCCCACATGCAGTCCAGGATGGCTTTGAATGCAACTCAACACAAGTTTGTAAACTTTCTTAAAACATTATGAGGTTTTTTTGCTATTTTCTTTTTTTTTTTTTTTTTAACTTATCAGCTTTCTTTAGCATTAGTGTATTTTATATGTGGCACAAGACAATTCTTCCACTGTGGCCCAGGGAAGCCAAAAGATTAGACACCATTGGTTTAAGCCAAAACAAATATTTTTGTTTCTTACAACTGAAATCATCCTAATTTTAGGCAGACCTGTTAAAGTGCTTGAGATGTTTCAGTGTAAGCATCTATAAGCTATTTGCATTAAAAACTGAATGTAAACATATAGCTTTGATTTAATTTTATGATTTTTACCTGATTATTTTAATGTAGTAAATACACAATTTGTTTAGAGTTTCAAGCAATATTCATAAATTTTATAGAATAAATTTTAGGTCATGATCTAAAAACAATTGTAATAAATTAGACATTTATACATTACATAAGAAAAAACTGCAAGCGCACAGGTTTTAATATTTTTCTGCTCGCCAAAGATAAAATCATTTTCTTCATGATTTAACAATTTTTCCCCTAGTGGTTACATGCTATTTCAGGCCTTCACAGGCACTGATTCATTACTCTGTTTAAATACTATATGTATGTAAAGCTACATTTGGAAAGCCCTAGTCCTATCCACTGCTTTTCTTGTTTCTTTTTGGATACAGTCTTTTGGGAGAACAGCAACTAACGAGGGCAATAGTAATACTTTTATAGACTCCAGAATGGTATTTCTAAGTGGTTACTAAAATCAGTTAGCCATTCACTATTCATTAAGCTTTCAGAACATGTTTTGTTCTCATAAGATTGTGTAAAGTATAATTATTTGAATTATAAGGGCACTGTGCTTAAATCTGACATATTTTGATGACATATTTTGATTAGTAAGTATTTAGTTAGCAAATGCAACTCATTCTTAAGCCAATGAATATGTAACTAAAAGCCTCAGTTACAAAAATCTAAGACAGCCGTGTGTATGGTCTTACCAAAGTAAAGGTGGCCATTTAACAAGACAGTTATGATTACAATGCCAATTTTGAATGTATGTCCAAACTAAGCTCTAAATGTAGATTTTTCATACGGAAGCAGAAGACAGAATGTTGACCCAAGATCCAATGAAACAAGAACTACATAAGATTTAAATAACTGGTGAGGGACATTCAATTGTGGCTATTTGTCTAGATACTGTTGATACTGTTTTAATATTCTATTTTCTAACATATTGATGAAGAAGTTCTTTTTAAGCTATATTTAATTCTGAATTTTATGGATGCTGCTTTTCTAAACTAAAATAAACATTTTAAAACAGCATATGATTCTCACTGATTACTCCAGAATTCAGAAACTCCTAATGAGTACCCTTATTCTCATGGCAAATATAGTTATTTTCACAGGTTGAATAAGAATATCTCTTCTTTTATTACCAGAATGTCATTGGATAACTCTATTTGGTAACCAAGGCTATCCCTGGAGTATCATATTTAAAATAATTTTCATTTAATCAGGAATAGCAAGCAACTATTAAGGAACAAGGAATGACTTTATATGTGGAATAAATGCCTACACACCCCTCCCAAGAAAACTGGCCTAAGAACTAGCTGATAGGTTCCCAGACTTACAGATGGTGAGGAAGGCCACTTTCTGGCAAAATGGGAATCTTAGTAAATTTTGGGAGCCTCAACCAGAAAGAAATTCACCAATTATATACATAAGTACTGAAGATAAAAATCAGGTGGAGAGAGTTTCTTCATTTTGTTTTTCTAGCCTCAAGAAAGCACTTTTTAAAGTCAAATCCCATCTTTCTTATGAAAATTTCAGAGGAAAAGTTAATTTTATCACCTTGATCAGTAGCTGCTCAACAGATCATGGTTCTAGATTTGCAAACTCCAAGAAGCCTACATGGTTAATGAATACTCTCACTGCAGGTTTTTTGTTTGGTTGGTTTTGGATGAAGAATTACCTTTGGAAATTATTTATGATCACAGGAGAGAAATTCTAAAGGAAAAACTGTAAAAACCTTGAAAAAGGGCAAAAAAGATCTTGGGTGTTTTTCCATTGGAATGATAGGCATAAATTATAGAAAACTGGTAATAATGTAAGTGATTCTTGTTCATGGCATTACAAATAAATTTTGTCTGCTAAAGAATATGTATCTCAGTAAGTTAAATGCCTGTACCTCCAAATGCTCATTTGAACCATCTTCATTTAGTATGCAAACATAAGCAAAGAATCTTTGGTATCCATAAATAAATGTCTCCTTATTTCAGATTAATTTAGGTGCTGAACTGATTAGGTTAACTTTGTAAACTCAGTAGACTTTGCTTAAAATATTTCTGGGTTTTGAAAAGTTAGAGGTAACTAAAATGTTCCAAATAGGCATTGGTTAAGTAATAGCATATCCATTACAAAGATGCTGCACCATTACAAAGATGCTGCAGCCACTAAAAGAGATATAAAACTAGCTTAATGAGGCTATAACCCCATCTCTGTTAAGAACAATGCATACTCAAATGCATACAAATGCACAGAAAAGTGTCTCTAAGGACATAAATCAATGTGTCACAAATTACCCTCTGTATGGATTTATAATTTTAACTTCTTTTGCAGGGTATGCTTTCGGTGGGTGGGGGGAGGTTTCTTGGTTCATTGATTGTTGTTATTGTTGATGGTGTTTGCCTTCTCTTTCTAATTTTTTGGGAATCAATTTTATTAACAGTAATCCAACATATTTACAGGGGGACACCACTAGATTTAATTCAAAACATAAATTCCATCCTTCAAATGAGAATACATTCACTAATAAAAGGGGGGGGGGGAATCCCCTAGATCTCCTGGCTTGATCCTACTCATCCTTCAGGTATTAGTTTACATTTTTACTTTCTTAAGCCCTCCCCCAGCTTCCACCCCCACTGCCCTACCTGACCTAGATAAGGTTAAATCCCCTTTATAAAGCCCTATACCAACCCCCACTTAAAACTTTTCTTAGTTGTAATTTGGATGAATATCAGATTAATGCTTCTTTCTCCCACTAGATCGTATTTCTCTATGTATCTTATTCACTGTTGTGTCCCAGATGCTCAATATATGTGCAGGTTGCATCTTAAGAGATGTTCAAAATATATGTATAGCTCCCTTGTCAGGGACATTGAATGACTCTTAAAAATGGCAGAATAAAAAGTATTTTATGTCTTATCAAAGATAAACAACCTGAATCCAATTAACTGAAGTCTGTTTATAAGCCTGATTTTAGGAGAGATGAATAATACTTGTCTTTCACTCACAGAAACAGATTTTCAGCATATATAATATTTTAAGGGTTAGAATTTGGCCTATGATGTGTCTGCATGAAACAAATCATTGTAAGAGAATTTGATTGTACCATATAATGTAAAATTAGAACAAAGGAGTCACATTGTCCATGTATACATTATGTGCAGAGCATTCAAGTGCATTTATCTATAATTCAACAAGCCCAAAATCATGAAAATATTACACTTGATATTCGCAACATTGATTATAAAATCTGAACAAGCAGCAAAGGGCACTTCAAAGTCTTGAAATGTCAATATTTGTAGGCCATGCAAATATGTTTAAAATATATTCTGTTTGGGGAGCTACCCAGAAGCCAAACAAAAGTACACCAGAATCCTATTATAGTACAGTACTAACACACAAGAGAAGCAAGCATCAATCTATCTTATAAAAATGTTATTCCAGTCACTACATACCCTACATTGCGCATGATGAATTTCTATTATAGTAATGTTATTACTAGATATTATAACTATATATTATTCTGCATATTTTAATATTAATTGTTATGATTTGAATTTTAGGATGGGCATAAATATCCCATTGTCTCAGCTTCCCTTTCTAGGCACTGCAGGTTAAAGAGTAAATCCATGTCTTGGCCTCCTTGATTTTGGCACTATGAATTCACTGAAGAAAATGAGAAAACTCCAATA